>NC_000004.12:146421381-147046381 GCF_000001405.40 Homo sapiens | reverse complement strand
GAATCAGATCATCTTGAGCCTTTTGCACCATGGAAAGAGCTTGGATTTTAATCTGAAGGCACAAGAAACCATGGAAATATTTACATAGGAAAGTGGTGTGGTTTGGTTTATGATTTACCAGATCATTAACTGATATATGGACAAGAGATTGGAGAGGAAGCAAAGTTCCTAGAGTCATGATATTCAGGAATAAGTTAAAAAAGAAGTTGGAATTCTCTAAAATTTTAAAGATATTTATAAATTAGAGAAAATTTACAAATCATAAATGTATAAACTACAAAAATTTACAAATTATATTTATAAATACTAGAAAAAAGTGATAGTAGTGATTCTGATGGCTATCAAAATCAGACCTAAAATAATCATTGTCTCACTTCTAAAGACCCATTACTGGGCATGGTGGCTCATGCCTATAATTCCAGCACTTTGGGAGGCAGAGGCAGGTGGATTACCTGAGGTCAGGAGTTTGAGACCAGCCTGGCCAATGTAGTGAAACCCTGCCTCTGCTAAAAATACTAAAATTAGCTGGGTGTGGTGGTGGGCACCTGTAATCCCAGTTACTTGGGAGGCTGAGGCAGGAGAATGGCTTGAACCCGGGAGCAGAGGCTAAAGTGAGCTGAAATGGCACCACTGCACCCCAGCCTGGGTGACAGAGTAAGATTCCGTCTCAAAAAAAAAAAAAAAAAAATTACTTTTAAAAACAATATTTTAAATGAATTAACCTTACTTAAAATCTGAAAGTTGACCATCTAAAAGAAGGCAAAAGAATTAATTGTAGACTGCATCTTTGGAGTTCACTTGCAGCACTTTTGAATGCCTTCTTTATTTCTATTAAATTATTTTGTTGATTCTGATAGTTTATAGTTTAAGCTATTTTTTCTGTTGTTAATGATGAAATATTTATTCCCTGTGATGGTGGTAGACTGAAAACTTCTAAACTAATTTTAACCAATGGATATAATGATATTTCCTACTAAGACTTTGACCAGATTTATAATAAATAGCAAATAAGACAGATTTGTTGTACTTCTTAGTTTTGCACTTGATTTGGTGAAATGATGATCTGAGCAATCTCAAAAAGAATAGAAAATACATCATATTGTTTTAATGTCATGAGGGCACATGTATAATTGATTATTAGCTAAAGGCTATTTTTAGATGTTTGCCTATTACCACTGAATGCACAGATATTTTTAAACATTTGAGAAGCCGTGCATATATATATATATGCTTTTCAAATTTCAAAACAAAAGTTTTCACAGCTCAGGTAAATGAGAAGGTCAGTGATATTGCTGTTTCACCGCATAGAAAGAAGAACTCCTTTTGAAAGATGTATTTTTAAGTGTCTTTCAAAGAAGTTTGGATTTGGGCTCCTTGTGGTTCCCAGGAAGTGAAATGAACCATAAATGAGACACATCAAAAGTAACTTACAAAGAACTTTTTTAATATTAAAGCGATGAATCAGAGCTCAAATTAACAAGTAAAGGAGTCCGCCTATAATGAAAATCTTTTTCCAACATAACACTTCATTATAAAGGGAGTTTTTCTATAATAGAAGCAAGTGTAATTACATTTTTATATGTAATTAGGACATTATTATCATTTCACCATATCAAAGTTCATTATAAGACATCTCTGATACATTTTTCATAGAGCAAAAATAAAAAGAGAACAGGAGTCCTTCAATTAGACTCATATAAGGACATCCACAGAGACTGAGAGAAGCTGATCAAACAACTTACTTAGCCCAAAAGGGACCAGGTAGAACCCACGTTGCTTTTATGACACAGAAGTTGCTTTTTTTTTTTTTTTGTATCTGCAGTAATTTCTAATTATAGTTTTCACTGGTTCCTATTCAACCATATGAAATTAAAGGTGCGACATTCTCAGCTGGAACCCAACTTTCCCCAGCATTGCAAGCCAGTGCACCACAGATCTTCATTGTTTACTCGGCTTGGAGTAATTTGTATTGTCCCTGACACAAACACCTGTCAAACGGGAGGGAATCCACTGCTCTGTTCACCAGTTTTATAAAAATAACTGAAGTTCCCTCTTTCCCTTAACCCACCCTCTTGTAACATCTTTGGAAGATAATTAAAGTAGCTTCTAAAAAGAAAGTGACATGTTTTAGAACAAGTTATATAACAGAAATGTTATGTAATAGATTTATATATAAAAAACAGATTACATAACAAATGTCTAGTCGAACATGAAAAATTAGTCATGTGTCAGGATTTGTAAGCATGTGTGCAAATAAATTCTGACTTGTAGAAATTAACATATTAACATGTTCGAAGTTAAAACAATGCAATTTTTATGCATTAGTTTTACAACATAAAAATTATTTTACATTATTTTACATTACATCTGCTCGTTATTTTGAGCACATAAAATGAGGAAGGGAACAAGATGCCAGAATTGACTCTTAGTACTCCAATCTCAGAAATTCTTTTCAACTTCCTGAAGACCCCTCACTGAGTAATGCCCCCGTGACTTTGTCATGTATGTTCATCTTGGTTTTAAGATCTTCAGTCTCTGCTCTACCTGAAAGACATGTGAATATGTGCCAGGGAAAGATTTTTGTCTGACCCAAGTAATTATAAAGTTAGCACTTGGAGCTGTAGAGAGCTTCCGCCTTGAACAGACGGTGAAACTTTGACTCACAAAACGTCTTTGCCTGACCTTAAACTGGGTCCCTGCCTCCATGGCTGGGGATCTTTCTGCTCCACCCTATTCCAACAGCATTTGTTGTGTGTGTGTTTTTTTTAATCATTCCCATGCTTCCAGAAAATAAATTTTTTTACAATTGAATCATTATCTCTATTGCACTATGTAACTTATCTTTATTTTAAAGATTTTTCTTGTGTGCATGTGGTTCTTTTTGTTTTGATTTGTTTTATGCTATGTCATCTGAAGTCCCCCACCTTATTTTTTTGAATAGCAGTTTGATGTGAATTAATATATGTAAACAAATAAAACATATGTAGACAGCCTCCAATACTAATGATTCAGAAGGTACTTCAAGGTTTCCGGGTTTATAATTTTAAATAACAATTATTATTATTAAGTAATTATGGAAAGGTTATAATTAATAGGGCTTCCTGAAATTAAATTAATAGAATTTAAATAGAGAAATTTATGTATGCCAATTTTACCTCAGCTCCACAGATCCTTTTATTCTTTGGGTTTCTAATACTTCCAGATGCATATTATTTCTTATAATCATAGATTGCATATGAAAATGTTAAAGAAGACTAGAGATCTAGGTCATTTATGGCAGAGATGGATTTCAAATCGTGCTCTTATCACTTAAATCACACCACACTGCTTCTCAAAATAAGTGATAACCCATACATGTAAAAACTGTGATTAACTAGTCTGAACATTCACTTGTAGAGTTGTAAGTATAGCTCTTTAGGCAGAGTGAATCCTGTTAAAAATTGCCTCATCTCCTTACTTTCTTAAATCAAATTTAATGATCAGTAACTTCTTACTATACCCATGTTCCTGCCTGTAATCAAAGTTGTTTATGACGATATCATCACTGTGTTATGGAATAAATGTTTATCAAATAGCATCTAGTATTTCTGTACTTTTTTGAATATTCACGAATTCTGTTTGTAATAGAATTTTCTATGCGAGATTATTCCTTAGAACAAGACACTTTCTCCTTTCTCTATCATGCTAAAATACTAAATATGAAAACGATAGTAAAATTAAAAGTATAGTCTTTGTTAATGATTCTTAGAGATGGAGAAAAAAATCTGTTAAAATACTATCTCATTTCTTGCCTTTTAATTCTAAAAACCGTAAGTTAACACAGTGATGTGTCATATTTCTTCCCAATTAAACTTAAAAAAATCTTTCAGGTTCTTTTTTAAAATATTAAGAGTTAAAAGTCTATAAACTATCTTTTTTTTTAAGTTGAAATAAAACCCATAGCCTTTGTAAAACAATCAACAGAATGGTGAGCTAATCAATTATGGGATTAATTTGATGAAACCTTTTATCATGTGATCAAACTATGTTAACTCCTGTCCTATCTCACAACAAATAAATGCTTTGACAGAAAATGAACAAGTTTCTGTTGTGGACAATATTGTCATTCAGCTGTGCTTGTGTGCCTGGCAATGGAAGTTTTGGGACCATTTCAAATGAAGTCACCCTGTCAGTCGGATGCCTCTGCATAAACTCCTGTGTTTGATTGTAATTGGTTTTGCATGCTCTGACTTTTTGAAATGTATGTGCTCTTTGTACATTCACATACATTTGTTTATATGTATTTCTTCTATTTGACTATAGGCACTTTGAAGGAAGAAAATCTATTTTCCATTTTATTTTTACCTTTTCATGGTAGCTGGCAAAGGGCTCTGCCCACCATGGGTTTTCTGTAAATACCATTGACATGTTTTCCAACTATCAATCACTCTTACATTATGGTTTCTTACTTGTTTGTTTTATTTTAGTTCTATGGCACTGTACTCTCTGAAATAAGCTGAAAACTTCCTCTCAAGAACATGTGAATACTGGTGGGGGAAACTGGGATAGAAGGACTGTAATTTATTATATGCCCCCACTGCACTTGTGATAAATACATGCTAAGGTTTCAGATGACTTCCTAAGGAAATGTCGTTTGTGCTCTGTATTTACAGAAGAAGCAATTTTTTTCACAAATCAAAGAAAGTACAGCTTTTTCCATGTTGCTTTCAGAATACATGGCTGGTGAAGCACTCCTTTTAGCCTATCAAAGGACTGATCAGGCGTTCAGAGTCTGAAGTTATGCGGATTCATATTTAATTATGTTGGCCAATTATTTTGCTACACTTACAGAAGGGGGAGGATGGTGACATGGTAGAGAATTCCCAGACCACATAAACTATTGCTATCCCTCCTAGCCATCACTCTCATACTATCGGCATATTCTTGTACCTTTTTTTTTTAAGTCAAACTTTCATCTGTGAAAAGAAAAGCATTAAAATAAAGTGCAACAGAAGGAGGCTGCATTTGGAATTGAGCAAGATGTTCAAAGTGCTTGCATTTTAGAAATGCATTTTTTTTCTCTCCAAAAGGAAAATTTCTTGATCTCATCATGTTTGGAGTAAAAAGCTCGAGACATCTTTTTACTACCTTGACTCCAAATTAGACTGATTTATTACATTTGAAAATAGGAACTCTGCTCTTTTTAACCTTTTGCTCCTTGAGGTTAATAGTAATTATTATTTTTCACAAAATGTGTGCATTATATTTGTATTTTATTCTAAGTGATAGCTTTATTTGGGACAACATTTAAGGTGAGATTAAAAGCAGGCTTGCGCAACACGTAATGGGATGACCAATTCTCAATATATTATGCTATTTTCTTGTGCAGAAAAATAGGAATTTTACTAATGAGAACTATCTAAAGAAGAAGTATCTAAATCTATTCCCTTCATTAATGTTTCTGACCATAGGTAAAGGACAATTTATAAAAAGCTGAAGGAAGTTTGTTTTAAAGTTTTATTTGTGGTTTCATGCTTGTTAAAATGGAGTAAATCTTGTTATAATTCTCCAAGTGAACCTCTAACTTCACATTTCTACTCTAGAAAATTAGGCAGACAACAGTGCACTATCATTCACAGGATTCAATCTTTTTATTTAATGATACAACCAAAGAAATATACTTAAAATTCTTTTTCTTCCATGAAAGCTGCTCTTAAGATATTCTCCCCCCAGGTCTCTGTACACGGCTGTATATTGGGTATTTTGCCCTCATCAAACCATCAGTTCATGCTGCATACATGCTTTCATCCAGATAGATGCTTAAGGGCTGACCACAATGCTGATAGCTGCTTTCATAGAGCTCCCAGCCTGGCAGTAAATCTCACAAGAAGAGCACAAATTTGAGCTTAATGCTTTCATTATTTCCAAAGCAGTGTTAGCTTGTTTTTGCCTTCTCCTCCTCCAGGACAGCTGCTTTGCCTGGGAGACTTGCCCCCAGGTTGAAACACAGTGAGGCTACAGTGGTTCTCGTGGACAGAACCCCTGCTCTGTGGGAAGATACAGCCCCGGCCCGGATGCTGTGATGTTGCATCTCAAGGGCAGCTTGGACAGCTGTCATGGCCAGCTCATCTCTTGTTTTCTCTGACCTCTTCCGACCTCATTTCATCCATAAGTAATGTCTGAAGTTTCATCCAGTGGGCGATGCTCCTGCTCTGCTAATGTGATTATTAGGGTCCTGCAGCCGACCAGTTGGCCAGATGAGCATGGAGAGTGATCTTGCCCGGATGCTGTCAGCCCCAACAGATGGCTGTGTCAGTCATGTTTAAAGGCACCGTGTGCTTGTTCCCTCTTAGACCCCTTTAAGGCTATACCAGCCAAGTTGAGTGCAGGAGAGAAGGGCCAAACAGTAAGACTGATGTGAAGCCTGAATGCCACAGACATAAGCAGCAGATAGTAAAAATGGACACTATGAAGACAAGGGGATGAGTAGGTTTGGGGTATTGTCCAGGAAACTAGTCTCAGAAGTATTCTTTTCCATTCATTCTAGTTTTGTTAAATCCAGGGCGCCATTCTCCTACCCAGGACTTACCTGTGATTAAAGAAACATCCCCCTCGAGTTGGATACAGCGCCTAGGTTTCCGTCACTACTGGTTCCTCAGCAGAGCTCTTTTGCAGGGCACAGCCTGCTGAGCTGTCTCTGTCAGCCCCGTTTCCCTACTTTTCCTTAAGTAACATCAGCTGATGGCTCTCTTCTCTTGCAGCATCAAGAGCTCACCACCTCCAAAAGCACACGGCCTGGACAGCCACTCCCTGAAGCAAATCTGCCATGTATCCATATATTCATGCTGTGAGTATCACTTGGAAAGCCAAGATATCAGCATTGCAGACCACTACCTTAATAACACATACTTAGTCTTATTTCTATGGAGGGATGGACCCTTGTTTCCGAATAGCACAAGTGGGTAGCTTTGTTGTTATTTATAATTAACTGGTCACTTCCCCCACCTCACAATAAAATAAAGTAGTCTTTACACTCTAAGAACATTTTAAACAAATGCAATGCTTTTTTCCAATCTGTGGAGAGTTTTTGCATCCCAGTTTTGTCACTCATTCAGATTCATTCATTCATTCATTCAAACATTAAGAAGAGTGTGTCATCTTCAATATTCTTTCAGGTACTGGGAGAAACAGTTGGATAGGGGCATGGTGTTTGTCTTCACAAAGCTCACAGGTAAGAGGGAAGAGGAATGATCTTTTTTTTATGTGTCTTATTAAATGCCTATGAACTGAGTTCCTTTTCCTCAGAAGGAGGCGTGGGATTCCCAGCATGTTACATTGGAACTGCCCACCTCAGGATAGAGAGTATTGAAGAGGTAGGATAATGAGGTGGTCATTGGCAGAAATTTTTAGTTGAAGCTCTATTCTGCTAATCTAAGTCCCCCAACAGTGTCTCTTAAATCCAGCCTCTTTTCTTCAGCTGACACTACCATCATCTCAGTCTGGAGAACTACACGTGTCTTAAGTGGTCTCCTTGTGCCAGTCTGTTCTAGAGGGGTCAATATCCTTTCCATAGAACCATCAGAGTTAGTGTAGAAAGGACATCTGATTGTCATCCTTCCTCTTTGTGGAAGGTTCCAGTTGGCTCCCTGTTGTCTGTAGGGTGAATTCTAAATGTCTTAGCTTAGCATATGAGTCCATGTACTCTGCTCAAAGCCCAATTCCCTAGTCTTATTGCCTCTCTCTATTCCCTCTCCTCTCCTCAAATGCACAGCCTAAGCTCTGGCCACACTGACATTCTCACCATCCCCAATGCTGCTGATTATCTATGACTTCAAGTCTCTCCATCATCCTTGTCCACTGGGTAAGCTTCTCTCCACACATGAAAGATGCAGACCCCAGTTATAGTCTCAACACATGTGGCCTAGAAAACAGTGTATTCCCTCCTTGGAGATCCCCAGCACTTTTACATGCCTTCAAAAGAGATGAAATTATAGGTTTTCTGCTTACAAGTGTCCTCTCCATTAAAGGATGAATTCCTTGAGGAAGGGAGTTGGGTCTTACCCACCCTCCTATTTTAGGGACATGGCAAAATCCCTAGCATGGAATATCATGTGCAAAATGCTTCTTGAATGAACAGATACACGAAAGAGAAATTGATTGTGCCTGTTCCAAGTCCTTATGTCATCAATGCCCCTCTGTTTATTGTTGAAAAGAGCTTGTTGATAGATAGAGTCATTCCACGGATGGTAGAGTGAGTATATGACCACCTCTGGCACACACCACATTCAGTATTTGGGAGAAGAGGCTGCTGACGCTTTGAATGTAGCCACAAAGAGCAAAGGTAGTACACAAGCAGTTAGCTTCTTAAGCACAAAACCTTTGTCCCTGATTTCTCACTGCTTACCCATTATTAGCAGTTGGGTCAAGCTTCTCTGTACAGAGCCACTGGAAGTCTTTATTTTCCCCGTGATTATTTTTCTTGGGTTTCGAAGAAGTACAGCAATGTTATTTGGGTGATTGTTTCTCTCTGATGCCAAGATGTTTTAGAACAATGTTATGATGGCTGGTCGCACCTACTACCACTGAGACAAGCCCAGAAGTTAAATTATGAAGCAAACGTAAGCTTTGAAGAAATTTTTATTTAATCTGTATTCCCCTGTTTCATCTGCACATCCATCCAGCACAATCTGCATCATTATTAGCCACATCAACTTGCTTTAAAAAAAAGAGTAAAAAGTAAGACATCTGTGTTATAACATTAATATATTCAAAGGTTTTTACTTTCATCTTGCAGACATTAACAGTGTGTAAATGCAATGTAAGCGCAACTTACAACTGCACTAAGTTAGCAGAAGAAAAATGCACTTAGCATAAAAAGAAGGGGGTCTTACAATAAGAAAAAAGAAAAAGGTATGTTTATGTGGAGGGGACAACCAGGATGGGACTTATGTAAAAAGCAGAGTTTTACCCATAAATAGAGTATTTTGCCTATTGCTCTTACATAGCTTTATTTCTAATTGCTAGCGCAATTTCTAAGGCACTGAGGCAACCCTCTAGCAGTGTGCTGAAGGTGTGTTTGTGCTGCTATGCCCTCTGGCTTGGCTGCCAGCCTATTCCCTTAGATCAGAGCCAGAAGGCAGACTGTTTTCGAATACCGATCACCTCACCCGGACCTAATCCTTTGAGTTCTCTTTGGCATCTATTCCTTCTGCCAGTTTCCTCTTCTGTTCCTCTCTTTTCTTCTGAAGTTGACAACAAAGACATCCTCAGGGCCCTCCTTGATGTAAGACCACTCTTGATGTTATTACAGTGTGTTTTTTTTTTTGTACCCTAAAGTTGTGCTACTTTTATATTCAGCTAGCACAATATTTGCACACTAGAAGATAAAGAAAATGTGAATATGTTATACAGAGTGATCGTTTCTTTTTAATTTGTACCCCTCAGTGTTTTTTGATGTAAACCTTTTCCTTCCCTGTCACTCATCTCCATACCTGATCAAGAACCTGAAGGTCTCTCTTTATAGACAATGTTACTTCTATACCTTAAATTGGCCTGACCTGCCACTTTTAATTTTAAAAATATGGCTGTATGGGATATGGATGAATATGGAATTTCTATGAAGCACAAAACTTTTGAACGGTTCCTGTCCTCTGTGATAGTGAGTTTTAAAAGGGAAATCTCCAAAGAGCTAATTAGTAGACAAGTAGAGCTGAGCCTGAACAAAGCTGAAAAGATAGCAGATAACTAAAAGGACCTGGCCATAGCTGACAAAAATCAAAGCCCTGACAGAGAGCTGGCAGTAACCTTGGGCTGCTAACTGACAGGGACAATAAAAAAAAAAAACAACAACAAAAAAACCCCTCTGAACCCAGCGGAGAGTGACAGCCTCACTACCGGCTCTCTGAAGAGCACAGTATCTCCACCACAAGGAAGCAGTAATCTTCCAGCAGGCAAAACCAAAGGCTTCTGCTGCCCGCCCCAACTCCAAAAGGTGTGCGCTGGCTCCGATCACGGCTCTTGGAGGAGAGGGAGAGGGTAGGCCCAGGAGCTTTGAAAAATTCCTTGAAAAGTTCCAGGCCGGTGGTTAACTTGACAGTGGATGTCTTTCTGGAGTGGTGGGAAGAATATGGAGGAGGACAAGGAGCGAGGCGGCTGCTGGAGGCTCAGGCTGAGGAGCCCCTGGAGAAAAGCGGAGGGAAAGCCCTGCTTGGAAAGAGCCCATGCCAGCCAGAACTGACCGCCAACAAACAATGGTTGGAAAGAAAAGGAGTGGCATTTGTAAGAAACTTGAGACATGCAAGGAAAAAGGGAAGGTGGAAGTCAAGGAAAAGAATAACAGCAAGGGCAACAGTAGTTCTTCATTAGAGAAATAATTTGCAAGGAGCAAATTATTTGTGTGGAGTAGAGACCCCCATTTTAAAGTTACTAGAAGAGAGAAAAAAATGATGTTGAAAAAAACTCTTTAATTCACTATGAAGAGAGAGGAAGTTCTGGAAGATTTATATTAGGTTTAGGCACTAATGATCCCTGTTCTGAAATTCTAAGGGTATAAAGGTCATGAGAGGTAAGGAAATATACTTCTGTGAACTCCGTGATCTTAAAATTTCTGTGTTTATGACATTCCATTATATATTTCTGGACACATGAACAATTAATGTTTAAGAACGAAGCCAAGCCCTGACAAAGTGCTACAACTATTAGTATGGTGGAACTTGAAAGCAAGTGCTTAAAAAGCATTCTACTTTGAAACCCAAATGATAGTAACATACATTAGGTGGTTTTTATTATCCCTAAATAGGGTCTTAGTTTCAGACAAGTTCTTCTGGTTCTATATTTATTCCTCCCCCTGATGCTAAAATCTAGATTCGTACTGACATTTTAGCACTTGAAAATATGATCAGTGATTTCAGACTCCAGGGATATTACCTCAGACGGAAACAAGTAGGAAGACCAGGTGAAAGCTTTAGAAGTAGAAACTCAAGGGATTTTTTTTTTTTAAAGAAGGGCAAATAAACGTGCTTAAATTCAAGGAAAATGCAACTCAGTTTTCTTCCTCAGACTCCAGTGCCTGCAGTCATATACCTCACAACTGACGGGGAGTGGAAAGAAAACTATATATTTACTATTCATTTTAAGAATGTCATCCAGTCCTCCCTGCACCACAATCCTGTTTCCACAAAGAACACTTCTGGCAAGTTAAAAAACTTGGCTTGACTCAGAATGAGTCCGATCTCATACGTCTGTCTGAATCGGAACAAAAATGACAGATAATGGAGTAAAGTCTGGGTCAAGAAAGTATTTGAAGATTTTAATCATGGAAAATCTGTCCCAGACTACACTTGGGATAAAGGAATAATTTTCTTTTTTTTGATGTGGATTTGAGATTCAACATCCACTTAGGAAAAATAAATGTATATCAGAAGACTTTGTTTTCTTTAAATATATCTATCTGTTCATATTTAGAGCTCAGTATATAATCTAAAACAAGCTTGGGTTTGTTTGTTTTTGTTTGTTTTAAGCAAGTAAGGGGTTAGTATAAAGTACATTCAGCAAATATTTGCTTTTGGGTTCTCCTTAATTCATATTAACAGGAAAAGTCAGGATTTTCTGTTTCATATTTAAAGATGATGCTTCTAACTCACCTATAGTAGAACAAGTTGTTAGTTATTTTCTCTAGGAATGGAAAACGATTTTTGATGAGCCATTTGCAGGCTACACCAAACATTTTACTGTCACACAGTAACACATATTTGTGGTGCCTGGCCAGGATTCAGATGAATAACAGGGAGAACTGGAAGGGTTTTTAGTCCCTTGTTGTACAGATGAGGTTCCTGAGGCCCAGAAAGGTTGAGAAACTTGGAGCTCAGTGGTGGAGCTGGAAGTAGAGCTCAGGCCTGCCTCTCTGCACAGACTGCTCACTGTTAAGAAGCAAAGGAGCCAAACCATTTTTTGCCTGCTTTGGTATAAGTCAATTACTGCTTTGACAATTACTGCTTTAAAAATAAACTGTCCAAATATAAATGCTTTGATGATCATCCGTAGATAGTGTATCTGAAAATCCCCCTTCTCCCTTTCTCTCTTGAAAGCTTCCTCTGTTGCCGTCTTCTGTGTTCTCTCTTTCATTTGTCTTCATGAGACATCAGTTTGAGAAAACAAAACAAAAGTTGGTTATTGGTTTCCCCTCTAGCACCTACAATGGCTTGTGCATACAGATAGAATGGTGGTTGGCATACAGCTGGTGTTCAATAATATTTTTCTCAAGAAGTAGATGAACCAGTGGTTTTCAGTTCTTGGTTGAAAATCAGACAGTGGCCCAGCTGATTTTTACAAATAACTCTCCATATGAATTTTAATTAGAACTCATGAAGATGACCCAAATAGTATGCTTCCTTTTTTAACTTTTACTGGTGGTTATACTTACTTGATTGGCCCATCTATAACTTACTCATGAAAACCCCTCCCAAATTTGATTTATTAATGTAAATGCTTTAAATCCTTCCTCCCTTAACATGTGCATATGTTTGTATACTGAAGTGATTTTCCTTTTGTAGTTTTCTGTGGTAAAATCTTGAAGTATGTCATAACAAAATGGAAGAGAGAGAGTTGAAAACACACTGTCATCGAGACACAGATTATATATGCTTCATTTGCATAATTTTGGAAAGATTTCTCTTTTTTTCTGAATGTCTTCAATGGGAATTCTATGAATCAGAATATATGCTTCTTAGTCTTTTTAACAGATCTCTCTGTAGTAACACCACATACATTGCTATCAACACAAAACTATGAAAATTCGGCATTTTCCAAGTCTCTGCATTCTGCTATTACTTCATCTCAATGTTGACTTTGCTTTAATTTTCTCTTTAGAGGACAAAAATGTATCTAAAGAACAATATGTATTTTAGTTTTTTAAAAAAAGATAAATGGTCCTGAGTAGTGAAATCTCTGCACCTATCCTATGATATCCTTTAGGAAAATTG
The DNA here is from genome assembly GCF_000001405.40 of Homo sapiens. Taxonomy (NCBI): domain Eukaryota; kingdom Metazoa; phylum Chordata; class Mammalia; order Primates; family Hominidae; genus Homo; species Homo sapiens. The sequence continues at coordinate 147,033,422 of NC_000004.12, read as the reverse complement.
TCAGAAGATATCAATATGTTAAATACCAAAGCATCTCTAAGAAAAGGCAGAATATTCAATAACCTTTTGTTGGCATGAAGTGTCACTCTGCATCAGCCTTTGTCCTAAGTAGCCAGTGCAAACTCTTTCCATTATTTTGTTGTAGAAACACAGATAATTCCTTTTTTCTTTCCTTTTTTCATTTCTTTTTTCTTTTTTGCTTCCTTCGCTCTCTCTCTTTCTTTCTTCTCAACATGTAATTCAAAAGTATGGAAAGATAATATTTGAGGTCTTTTAAATACATTTTGTTAATATGATTTTTGTTTGTTTTTGAAAAGATATACTTAAAGTGATTTATTTTTAAAGCCCATGTACTTCAGTGGAGACTGTGTTTTCCCATCATTAAAGTGCATTTACAGAATTGTTGTAAGCTAAAATTTTCTATCAGTAATGGGCATTTACATAATTGTTGTAAACTAAAATTTTCTATGTCCTTTAGATTGGAGTAAGAAATAGTTGATGGGGAATTTTCTTTATATATTTTTATACTGAGGGCTTCTACATGTCTGCAAATGGAATAAGTCACAAGGAAGTTATCTGTGAAAATGATGCTTATAAGACAACTTAGACATCTGGTTACAGAATAACCTTAGGTAATCATACTTCAAAAATGATTTTGCTTCCTTTTGTGATAAATGGCATTGTCTCTTCCAGAAGCAGACAATATGCAAAATGATCCTTTGTGATTATTTTCTTATTCAATTTTATAGGGTTCTGCTTTATGAAAGAGAATTTTAAAAAGGATCTTGAATATAAAGTGAATCTACTCAATCAAATTAACTTGGCAAAACAGGTTGAATGCAGTCAAGCAGTTATATTGAGAACTAGTTGAATTCAATTAAAGGTTATTTAGAAAGAAAATAATTGGTGATAATTTTCTCCCAAAATAAATGGTGACCAAATTATTATTTTTATCCCAAAAAGAATAATTAGAATCTCTAACTTCCAGAACAGCCTTCAAAGTCCATCACTCCAAAACACATTGCTTCAATGCCATAAATGATATTTAGAATAGTCCAGGAAAGCTGATTTAACAGAAATATTGTACATTGGCAGTTAAAATTTGAATATATTCCCTTAGCCAAATTTTACTTTCATAATTTGAAAAAGGATCACTGTGCTCATGACACAGCTTTTATTTTAGGCCTTTGTAGTCTAAAATATGTTATATTAAATTTCTACATCTCTGTCTATCTGGGCAGGATTAAGAATAAAAAGGTATAAACTAAAGAACTGTGGCAATATCTCTTTATCTAACCTGCTGTGACTTTGCAAGTTCCCCTTTCCTCAGCTATCTTATTTGTGAAACAATGATTGCCAATTCCAGTGTATCTCCAACAGAGTGAATGAGAGATATGTACACTTCAAAAGTAAAAGGGGGCAGAATACTGCTTAATGATTACATTACATTTCCTCCAAGTTTTCCTAACTTCTCAAAATGCATAAAGCATCACAACAGAATCCACTACAAGATCTCTAATTTGGTGGCATAGACAAACCATTTTGGTGTTTCAATGTAGGACTATATGCCGAGAATTACATTTTTCTATCTTTGGTAACAATTTCCAACTTAAAGTGTTTAGAATGCTACATGTGCATGCTTCTTGATGATTATCTTCCAAGTTTATAAATGGGAAAAGTAGAGATTAAATATGTTAGCAAAGTTTGAAAGTCAGAGTTAAGGCCAAGCTTTCCCGATTCCTGGATTATCCATGGAGGCCTATCCTGGTGATTTGATTGCCTCTTCAGTCCTCTTCACTCATGGGAAACATACTGGTACCTCTTTTTCATAAACAATCACAGAATTGTATTTAGTATTAAATTCCAATAATTTTCATTTTTAAAAAAATTAAAATAATTTCCAGCATAATAGCCCATAATTACTTCAGAGTTAACTTTTCTAAGTGAAGATGAACACGCCATGCTTTTCTCTAGTTTTTTTTTCCATATATTTGATAATTACATCAAATGATGCATATATCACAAATTTGATTAAGTTCACCACAGTAAACACCAACAATGGGTACACTCAGCTCTGGGTTGAAATCATTGTAAAAGCCAGCAGCTGTTCTATGTAAGGGGTTAATTATGCATAATGAGTGCCTAACTTTAGAGCAACACAAAACACATTTCATCTAAAAATCAAAGAAATTGATGTGACATGCTCAAGTATCTCTTATGAATTTGTTGATTGTCCTTACTAATTCAAAGGATAAGGAGTGAGTGAGCACCTCTTTCTACTCTTGGCTCTTTTCTGAAAGACAGCAATTTTTCCTTTGGGAAGGACTTATGACCTATGCATCCTGCTGAATGATACTAAGTACCTTACTATTTAGATAGGAATACCTTAGTTTAGCACTGAGGTGCTGCGTATTGGCATTGAAGGCCAACTATGCTCTTCCTCAGTATACCTGCAAAATATAAAGGTACTTGGTGGTGTCAACATGTTGGCAAATTCAGGAAATCAACCACCAACTTCTCTTTTAACAACTTGCCTCATATTTATGAAGTATCATGGTCAAAGTGTATCTGAAACATAAATATTTAAAGCCTGACGAAATATAAAACACTACTGATCCTGCTATCTTCTTTAAATTTTATACATTACTTCAAAGAAGCAGCATCTATTTGTACTTATTTTCTCACATTCTAAGGCAGGCAACGTTGAGCCCTATATTGCTTCAGAATCCACAGAGGCCAATCTGCATTGCACTGTCCTCTGTAGGTACTTGGCTCTGTGAGAGAAGAGAGCATTTCCATCTTGCTTATAATTCTATCCAAAATGTCAATCCCAACACCTGACACATAGTTGGCAATGAAGGAATATGCCTCGGATAAATAGAAATAGAACAATTGTGGTTATCCAAATGCTTTGAGCTTGAATGCTGTCTAGGTAATTGGATGGACAATTTCTTACAATTTTCATTTTTTTCTAATCATTTTTGTCCTTTAGGTGATATAACATACTATATTACACATGGTGAGGTGAGACCCTTAGAGGGTTGAATCATTCCGACTAATGGATATACTATCACCAGGTAAATAATATGACCATTTAGGGAGGAAAATGCATACTTTTGAATCAGACTTTGGCTGGTATCCCAATATATTTAAACCCTCTGACCTCAGGTTCTTTGTCTTTAAAACACCCACTTTGAAGAGTTGTTTTATTAGATGAGAAAATGAATATAAACTCTCTAGCATCACACCCAATAACAGATAATAGGTCTGAATTTCGTATTAACTTCTTCCCTTTCCTTTATAGCAGTATATAGATGACTATTAGATTCAGATTGAGAATTTGAGTGAAAGAATTCTTAACAACACATTAAAATATTAACCCTCTCTTTTAACTTCACTGTAACCTGTGAATTACGCGTCATTTTTCTGTTTTCACTTATAGCTTTGGAAGGTCTATCGTCTGCTTATTTGATCTATAATCTCTTCATAAAACATATAAACTGGCTCTTGCCTTAAATCCAAGTTGCCTTCATCATCCAAATTAAGCATAGACATATAGACATAGATTTATAGCAAGAACAGAAATGGTTACTTAAAGAAAATCAACATTAAACATTAAACTCAACAGGCCATATTAAACCCACATTAAATCCACCTGAGCTGCACTCTCCTCTTGACAGGGTAATTGTTAGGGGGACTAGTGAGGCTGAAGGGTGAAGTGATTGCACAGATGGTGGGAGGGTGGAAGACAGGTGTTTGAATAGACACAACCTTCTCACTAGGTCTGTCCAACTCAATGATTCTCAATATATTTTTCTTGCACCACAAGTTCCATTTTTATTCACAGTGGTTTTGCAGATGGTGACTGAGTAAATAGATACAAATGACAGTAAAGTGTGTTTTGTTTAAATATTAAACATGACATTGACATGGGCTGATCTAGCCTTTGGAAAGATAATTGTGTACAAAGTGTCCTTTTGTGATGACAGGCCCTAAGTGTTTAATGCCACCAGTGGCCATGAATCCTAAAAGCTACAAGCAGGTTTGAGTGCCAGAAGAGAATCATCAAATCATAAGAATTATATGTGATCCCTTACATTAGAGTGAACAGTGCATTGTCTTTCCTAGTCCCTATCACCATAGAAGGGAACAAGCATGTATAATAGGTCAGCTTACGTCAATATATTTACAATAACATACAGGAATATAGGAAGACAACAGGAAGCTACATTATGCTGAATTTGGCCCTGCCAGAGATCACTCCAAATGAACTGGCAGCATTTAGTCAAAAGTCCTTGAGATAGCCATGCTGGAATGTTAGAAGCTAGTCACTGTACTATGTAAGAAGTACAGATTTTGGACTCCATTGTTTCAGAATAAAGCAAAAGGGACAGGAGACTTGTCTGAAGAGGACTGCAATTGCATCCTAAACTCCATTAGGAAAGGATAATATGAGCCTTGCTGTGGAGAAAGTGAGTCAAGTTGGTAGAGAACCAAAGATCCGAGTTGTATTCTTTCTTTTATACACAGTGCTAGTGATGCCACTCTTTGACTCTAACCACATTCTGACCTTCAGCAAGATTCCATCTTAACAGAAAAGGACCACAAATTCTCACCCTACAGCAGCCAGATTAAAAGATTGTGGATACCGAGCATCACATTACTTTCATGGGGGACAAAGGCAAGTGCTGTTCTGCACACGGCATTCACAGGCTCACTGTCTCCATCCCTTTCATCAGTGCTTCAGCACTGAGTCTGGTCAAAATGGTAACACGTGGGAGAAGCAGAAGGGCTTCTCTCTCTTCTCTCTGCAAACACATGCATAGGAAGCATTGCATGTGCTCTACCTGAGCAGGCTCCGTGGGACTGTAAACAAGTCTAGGATGTTGGAAATTAGAATCTTATTTACTTATTCATACAATATATTGAGTGCTTGTCAGCTGATAGGACCCATGGCAGGTGCTAGGAACAGAGGGATGTGCAAGATGGATGTGGCCTCTGTCTTTATAGGACTTACAGCCAACTGGGGGTCATAGCACACGAACAATTATACAAGTAAGTATTAAAGTATAATTATGTGAATTGATGTATATAGAAGAAGTAAACTTTATGGAGAGCACACACCTTGAAGTGGCCTGGCCTAGGCTGGGAGTCAGGAAATCTTGTCTGAGGAAAACAGTGTTTATGCTGACACAGAAAGCACAAATATTGGTTAGCCAGATGAAGAACAGGGAAGAGTGTTTTAGTTTTGGGGCAGAACAAACATGAAGTCCCTGGGATGGGAAAGCATTTGCGCATCTGAGGAGGAAAATGAAGATCAGCACAGTTGAACATAAAGATGAGATTTGCAAGGGCAAGTTGGTGTAATTCCTTGTGGTAATGTATCCCTTGTGCAGTGGGAAACTGTTGAAAAGTCTAAATAGAGATAGTGTGGTGTTATTTTTAAAAGTTCATTTTGGACCTCATGAATAACTAGAGATATCAAAGGTGGAGGTGGGAAAAGCGGCTAAGAGACTACTGTAACAATGCAAGTGAAGAGATGGTGGTGACTTGGACTAGGCTGGGTGATGTGAATGGAGAGAGACATATGCACATGTGTTAATTGGCTTTTCCTGAAGCCTTACCTGGGCCATGTCCTTTTTCACAGCTAATTAGGCCAAAGCATTTAAATCATATCTTACTTTCTGGGAAAGAATTGCTTCCCTTTCTGTAAATGGGCACAGCAGTACTTGTATTGTCAAGACTAATGCTTAGTTCAGCCAGTCATCATCAGGAAGATTCTAACAGTGTAAGGCTAATTTGTGTACTGGATGATACTGGATTAAAAGTGAAGCTATAGTACTTCTACCCCTTGACAAGCTGTCCTCTATACATGGTACATTGAGAAAGCTGGTTGCAAGTAATTAATAAGATTACAACTGTAACTTAACATGATTAAGTGAAGCACCAAGGTGTACCATAAATAATTTAAACAGTCAGAATTGTAAATGAACAATCTGCATTTTATTTAGACCACCAATCTTTTCTTACCCAGGTAACTGACAATGGCTACTCTATGTCTTAATCCATTTGTTTCCTGTCTCTTTATCCTAGCCCACTCTTCTCTACCGGGCTCTCTGTTGTCTGGTGGAATCCTCTGTGTTTCACCACTTTCTTGTCATGCCAATTCCCCTGCTCTCTGCTTTTGCCCTGTATTTCCTCCCCTTTTCCTGTTTACTTGGGTAGCTCTCTCTCCTTTTCTCTCCTATTTTCTTTGACCTGTCACTTCCCTTCTGCTGCCCCACACTACACTGATTTCTTGCCCTCTCCTTCAGTTAGTTCTTTGCTCTTTTTTCTGTTCTGCTCTCACTGAAGGTTTCTCTTAGGAAAATCTTCTACTTTTCATAGGACAGAGGGAAGTTAAATTCCCAGCTCAGTAATGAAGCCCGTGTCTCTACTAAAGTCAGGAGAAGAAGCTGATTGGATAAGCCAGAGAGCTCTTGCCCTACTTCTGGGAAACAAAAACATGTGCTATAACAAGGGATTTATCAAGGTTCTATCAATACCAGATCTTTTTTTTTTCCCAAGACGTGAGCTTTGAGACTCAAGTTCTACCCCTAAAGCTTACTCTAGTAACAAATGTAAACATTTGTTACTAGATAGAGGTAAACAGCATGTATTGTACATACTAATATCATCACACACATCAAATTGTGAAACAATCACACGGTCACATCAGATCAGTGGTCATCAAATTTTAGAACTGGAAGAAACATTAGACAAATTTGAATAGCATGTTAATTGGAAAGAGTAATTAGGCATCACCTACTAAGAGGAGATCTTATGGCAATGAAATTGAGGACAGGTTCACGTTCATGAGATGAAGAGAAATGAACAACTTGAAGGAAGTGGAGCATAGCCTGGCCATTCATGAGGCCTGTGGGAAGAAAATGTCAGGCGAAAAGGTCATCAGAATGAGGCACAACAAAGAACACAAGTGATGCCCACTTTGTATCTAGGCATATGGGGGTGCTGGACCAAGTGTGTGCAGCTGTGACATCAAACACTATGTTCACCCACTCATGAACTTTAGCAGCCAAATCCCATAAGTCACGGAAAAAGGATGATGAAGACTTGAAGTCATTTATGCATTCATTCATTCATTGAATAAATAATTATTAAGCCCTTACTATGTGCTAGGCACTCTTCTTGCAATGAGAATATAGTAGTCAACAAAACAAAGTCTTTGTCGTTAAGAAGGTTATCTTCTTGTGTAGGAGACAGATAATAAACCCCAAACAAATAAATGTACTACTACTACTAATAATAATGATTGACACTTATGCTTACAATTGGCTAAAGATTCTTCTCATTGTTTTACATGCATTAACTCCCTTGATACAACCCTTTTTAAGGTAGGTATCATCATAATTCCCATTTTACAGATGAGACACAAACAGGTGAAGTGCCTTCCTTAAGGTCACATGGCCCTAAGTGGCAGAGTTATATAGTGTCAGTGATAAATATCATGAAGAAAAATAAAGGTCAAGAGATGCTGTCTACAGATCTGGCCAATGGAAGTAATATAATTTAGAGTAACAACAGAATATTTGGAATCTGAAATCTTGGATCAGTGTGCTACATCCAAGCTGTCTGATGTTAAATAAATTACATCATTTATTTTGGGCCTCAGATTTCTCATCTGTAAAATGGGGATGAAAAACCTAGTTAAGGAGTTTCTGAAAGCATAAAATAAGATTAAATTATGTAACAATTGTAAAGATTGAGCACAGTCCTGAAGAACATCATATGTATATTTTACATATATGTATTATATATATTTTATATATTTATATACGTGTGTGTGTCAAAATTAAACAACAGGGCTTGAAGCTCAGCAACAGCAAAAAAAAAAAAAAAAAAATGAGAAGACAAATTGCCTGTTGCTGCATGTTTCTGGGACAAGATTTAGTAACTCAGAAGACTAAGAAAGAATATAAGAGACTCAGATCTCTCTCCAAGGCAAATGGACTCTTTCAAGAAGTGATCATTTTCAGCATATATGCAAAGGCAGATGCTCCCTGAGGAACTCTGACGCACTAGGAAAGAACAATGGAGTAGTTGGAGAGAAGCTGAACCCTAGGGGTTAGCAGGACTTTACATAACCCATAACCACAGGGGAAGCCCTGAAGTTGGAATGCATCACACAGCCCCTGTTGGTCATAGAACTTAGAGCTGAAAGTAAAAGAGCTGGGCCAGCCTGAAGCCTTGTTACTGAAAGACATTTCATCTGGCAGTGTATAGGTGGCTCCTTGTACAGATCTAAAAGAAGAGAACATGGCCTGAAGCAATGACGTCTGATTTCATTAGAAAACTTATACAACCTCCTAATGCTCCCTTTTCCAGACTTACTCTGTTCAGCAGGAATCTAGATGGTATTTCTCATTATAGTAAAATGAAAAAAAAAAGTTATTTGTCACTAACGTGTTCCTCAGTTTTTTTTCTCCTTCCTATAATCATGTTCTTTGCTTATCAAACATTTACGATTCATTATTAATATTCTGAGATACGGCCAAGTTCATTCAAAGGATAGCTCTGAGACACATATTATTTTTGGTTGGTTGGTTGGTATATTAGAAAAACATAAGCCTCATGATTCCAGAGTAATTTTCTTGGTCAATCAAAAAGACTTTAGGAACCTTGACTTCTGACCAAGGTTAATGTAGAACAAAAGTTTACTGCCAGCGTTAAAATGTATATTGGCATTGTGGTAAATGCTCATGGTTTGAAAATGAAGAATAGATTTTATGCTGGATTTTGCCAGTATTGTCTTCTGACATTTTTGGAAATCTGGCTAGCCTCTTTAGACATCCCTTTTTCAATGGTGAATGAGAATAATAAGGGTCCATAATATTGGTGTGTTAGACAGTGGTGTAGCTTCAAAAGGATTTATCTCTACTGCATAGGGATAGTCAATCAAGGGAAAATAAATTAATGTAATACTTTATAGGGGCAGGAAGCAGGGAGAGTACAATGTAAGCTTTGTATTATATAATAAAGTATAAAGGTTGAAATGTAGTATCCTTAATGAAACTTGTTTTAAAATACTCTTTCAGACTACTTTTAATATGATATAGTACGTTTGAGAAGTGTCCTAGGAGAAAGTGCAAGGGAAAATAATCTCCACATATTTATCATTGTCAATATTAACACATTTCAATAGAATGCCTAAGTATGTGTGACCTTTAGTTGAATACCTTAAAAATGATTGCTGGTGATACACATTAGTGGAATCCACCTTGCTCTGTTCTTCTTGGTCTACCAGATACCCACTGGCCATTTTTGAGCCTTTCTAAAAGACACAAAACTGGAGATCCCAATTGTTTTACTGGCCTTCAGATTTTCACTAGACTTGATTCAAATTCCTAACCTTTCTAATATAAATTTCCTGAGACAAACAACCTGGAGTGACTTTTACCACTGAAACTTAAAGTTTGGTGTCACCTATACACCTAAGCAGGTTCTCAATAAATATGTGTAAGTGTATTCATGGGCAGCTCCAATGTGAGCAATCAGCACTGTCTTTTATTTGAAGGATACTGTCCTTTAAGCGTAAGTCATGCTGACATGTAATAAATGGAGTATCTATGTTTGCTACAGTGTTCTGAACCATGGGCCCCTCAGAGCAGTGACAATTAGAGATTCAAAAAGGCAAACAACAAAAAAAGAAGAAGGTTAAGAAAGAAGGCTTCAGGGAGGCCAGCCTGTAAACCTGAAGAATGCTTTAGGTAAAATTGGGAGAGTGGTCTTTGTGGAAATGCACATATTCATAGCTCTGGATAGAATGGATAGATGGACTTGTAGGCAACTTTTGAACAAAAATTATTGCCTCTTTCGTATAAAAAAGTCAGTTTCACATTGACTAATTTTTTTCAAATTTTTTTCTGCTGTGTTTCTAGCAACTCAAAAGCGATATTGCATGATTCTATGTCTAGAAAATCCCATAGTCTCAGCCCCAAAGCTCCTTAAGCTGATAAACAACTTCAATAAGGTCTCAGGATACAAAATCAATATGCAAATATCACTAGCCTTCCTATACATGAACAGCAGCCAAGTTGACCACCAAATCAGGAATGTAATCCCATTCACAATTACCACAAAAATAATAAAATACTTAGGAATGCAGCTAATCAAGGAGGTGAAAGATCTATATAATGATAATCACAAAACATGGCTGAAGGAATCAGAGATGATACAAGCAAATGGAAAAACATTGCATGTTATGGATAGAAAGAATCAATATTATTAAAATGGCCATACTGCTCAAAGCTATTTACAAATTTCATTCTCTTCCTATCAAACTACCAATGACATTCTTCACAGAATTGAAAAAACTATTTTAAAATGCATACAGAACCAAAAAAGAGCCCAGATAGCCAAGGCAATCTTAAGCAAAAAGAACCAAGCAGGTAGCATCACATTACCTGACTTCAGACTACACTACAGGGCTACAGTAACCAAAACAGCATGGTACTGTTTTGTACTGTAAAAAACAGGCACATAGACCAATGGAACAGGGTAGAGAGCCCAGAAACAAGGCCGCACACCTACAACCATTTGATCTTCAGCAAAACTGACAAAAACAAGCAATGGGGAAAGGATTCTTTAGTCAATAAATGGTGCTGGGATAAATGGCTAGCCATGTGCAGAGGATTGAAACTGGACCTTTTCCTTACACCACATACAAAATCAACTCAAGGTGGATTAAACACTTCAATGTAAAACCCAAAACTATTAAAACCCTGGAAGGCAACTTAGGCAATACTATTCTGGACATAAGAACTGGCAAAGCAACTTATGAAGATGCCAAAAGCAATTGCAACAAAAGCCAAAATTGACAAATGGGATCTAATTAAACTAAAAAGCTTCTGCACAGCAAAAGAAACTATCAACAGAGTAAATAGACAACCTACAGAATGTGAGAAATTTTTTGCATTCTACCCATCTGACAAAGGTCTAATATCCAGAGTCTACAAGGAACTTAAACAAATTTACAACCCCATTAAAAAGTGGGCAAAGGACATGAACACTTTTCAAAAGAAGACATACATATGGCCAAACAAGCACATGAAAAAGAACTCAATATCACTGATAGAGAAACGCAAATCAAAAGCAAAATAACATACCATCTTGCACCAGTCAGAATGGCTATTATATTTTTAAAAAATCATAAATTATTTCAACCATTGTGGAAAGCAGTGTGGTGATTCCTCAAAGGGCTAAAAACAAAGCTACCATTCTACGAAGCAATCCCATTACTGGGTATATAACTAAAGGAATAGAAATTGTTCACAGAGACACATGCACGGCTATGTTCACTGCAGCACTATTCACAATAGCAAAGACATGGAATCAACCTAAATGCCCAACAATAGAAGACTGGATAAAGAAAATGTGGTACGTATGTACCATAGAATACTATGCAGCCATTAAAAAAGAATGAGATCATGTTCTTTGCTGGAACATGGATGGAGCTGGAGGCCATTATCCTTAGCAAACTAATGCAGGAACAGAAAACCAAATACTACATGTTCTTGCTTATAAATGGCAGCCAAGTGATGAGAACACATGGACACAAAGAGGGGAGTAATAGACATTGTGGCCTACTTGAGGGTCAAGGGTGGGAGGAGGATGAGGAGCCAAAAAAAACAGCTATTGGGAGCTAGGCTTAGTACCTGGGTGATGAAATAATCTGTACAACAAGCTTCCATGACATGAGTTTACCTACGTAACAAACCTGCACATGTACCTCTGAACCGAAAATAAAAGCTAAAAAAAAAAGTATATATGTAAATTCAAAAAAGTTGTAAATATTTGAAGAATATATATTCATAGCATGGATAATATGGATGTATTTGACAAGGAAAAAATGTTTTTGCAAGATTTACGTAAGAAACAAAAGGAGCACTGTGGCTTGTTGGGTTCACCTCAGCCATAAATTACTTTAACAACTGGCACAATAGGCTCTGAATATACAGTTGTTGAATAAACGAAGAAATGTAGTGATCCATGAAGAGTAGAATCTGTAAAAAGTCTTTTGAGTTTTGGAGATATAAAAACAGAAATAGACTGGTCACAGTGGCTCATACCTGTAATCTCAGCACTTTAGGAGGCGGAGGCGTGAGTATCTCTTCATCCCAGCAGTTTGAGGCCAGCCTGAGCAATATGGTAAAAAATCTCTATCAAAAAAAAAAAAAATACAAAAATTACCCAGGTGCTGTGGTACATGCCTGTAGTCCCAGCTACTCAGGAGGCTGAGCTGGAAGGATGGTTTGAGCCCGGGAGGCGGAGTGTGCACTCCAGCCTCGGCAACAGAGCCAGACCCTCTTTCAAATAAATAAATAAATGAAAATAAGACCAGAAATGCTCACTTTACTTTTTCTTTTTTTCCTAAGTTTATTAGAGCCCCTCTCCTTAACTTCAGTGTTCCTTCAGCTGACTCTGCCTCTTCAATGACTCTCCCACCATGGCCAGGCTAACAGTGTGTGCTTTAACAGGGATGGTGGTGACACCCCACGCTCAGTAAGTCTCTCTGGGCTCTAGTTCTCATCTATGTCCTGAATGCCCTTGCTCTGGTCAAGAATACCTGTCCTCTCTTCCACTGCTTGATTCTTAATTATATTCTTTACCCAGCTGCTACTGTGTTCCTGGTTTTAAATGTAAGTATGAGCTTTGGCCCCTTTCTTTATCACACAAACCATAATCTGTGGAGTTTTTCTGTCTCACCTTTGTGCCTTACCCAGCACCGGTCTCTCAGTCTCTTTCCTACCTCTCAGGCTACAGTGGCTGGGTGTGCCGAAGATTCCTTAATGGCCAGTGTAACTGACTGATGTGTTTCTTCAGGAAGCTTCTCCATACCTCAGACAAGCGCACACCCAGAGCTTGAAATCACAGGCCTATAGACTCGAACTTTTCTAGGTAGTTCACTAGAAATAAAGGAGAAACCTAGGCTTCAGGAGAGTTCTAAAGGCCCGCTGTGTCCTGAGGCTCAGGAGTACACTCCACAGGGGTTGATCTGAGTATGGCCAATAGGACCAGGGGCTAAGCATTTTAACCAGAGCATCCCCAGACTCCAGGCTGGTGCCTAGAAATGCAGTAGCAAACAGAGGTCCTGCCATCCTTTCTTCTCAGTATGGCTATTGCTGGTATCTAGGTTTTCAGAGGGGTTTAGCCCACCTACCTGCTCTCATGCTCAGCAAGAGAAAGAGAGATAGACAGGGTCTGCCCTCCAGCCAGAAGCCTACAGCCTCCCAGCAGCAGCAGCATGTATAGAGGCTCATGCGGGAAGAGAGGACCTAGGAAGCCAGATATGGGCCTTTTCCAGTCCTTCATAGAGAGCAGTGCTCCATGTGCTTCTCCCCTGCTCACAGGTGATCTGTTTCTGTCTCAGGACTGAGATGATGACGTAAGGAAGTAGTCACAAGGCAGTATGGATAGCAGGCAAGAACTGGGGTCCCGGGGCCGCACTGCCTGGATTCCAAGCCTGATTTTGCATGCATGACTTGAGACTTCAGGTAATTTGTTTAAACTCATTGTAACTCAGTTTTTTCTTTATAAATTGATATTTCATCATGCAACAACTGTTTATTGTGCTAATTATTTGGGAAGGGTATCATTTTGGGGGCTAGGATATAGCCATCAACAAACCAGATAACGTTCCCTTCCACTGTGCAATGTTAAGTTCTAGAAGGGTTATAAGCAATGCACAAATACATACATTTCTTCCGGGAGATAAGAGCTGTGCAGAAAAATAAAGGATGGCAAGGGAATAAGCAGTGGGGTAGAGTATTTTCATGATCAGAACAGTGTTCACTGGGGAGATGACATTTGACCAAAGGTCAGAATGCCATGAGGAGTAAGCCATGCATATACCTGGGAAATGGTGTTTTGATTAGAGGAAACTTCAAGTGCAAACACCCTGAAGCTATAAGCATGCCTGAGATCATGACATGATCTATTAAATACAGTTGTTGTGACGTTAAGTGAGTTAGTTCATTAAAGTTGAGCCTGCTAGATAAATATTTCTTGATTAATATTAGGTATTAGTATTATCAGAATGCTTCATACTTTCTGGCCCAGCTGGTCCACTTCCACACCTGACCTGTGGCCTCGCTAATGTTGGGGGACACTGCCACCTGCTGCTTCTTGTTGGTAAACCATTGAGTGTGAGTAGCATGTTGAGAAGCTGATGTGGAGTCTGATCTTCTGCCCTTGGTGTCCCTGTATCTTGGCTTCTTCTGGCTAGATGTTCACTCAGCTCCTTAAATCCACTCTGTTTTCTGCTTCATCAGATTTCTACCATTAGTACTGCCTATGTCACCTGTCAAGTGTCAGCTTGCCTTCCAACACAGTGCCTGACATCCAGGACAATTGTCGTATAGGGAGATGTCTTTAAACACAGAAGACTGCTTTCAATACATGTTTCACTAGGGCCTGTGCTTCTGCCAAATGGCTATCTTTGGCTTTGAGCCTAAGAACCCATGGAGAAAAACAAAGATACCAAGTTACGGTGGAGTCTAATGAAAGAAAAATGGACCATCTCCCCCAGAGCTACCACTGCTTCAATGCATTCACCATTTAAGGCTGGTACCTGCTCCCACAGACTCATGACTTTCTGAAACAGCTCTGTTGAATGCATTTGTAATTTGCCACTAAAAAAATTATACTTCCACGTGTTTACAACCTTGTCCATATCTGGGAAAGTGACAAGTAGAAAGTTGGCTTTCTAGTCCTTTCTGAAGGAAGGGTCTGGCTTTGGTCTGTCTGTGCATACAATGGTGCTGTTTGGTATATGCAGAAGCCTGGGTACCTACAGGATTTGCTTAGTGAATATATCTTATATGACCTTCTGGTCCATCACACTTACATAATCCCCTAACATACCATCCCATAGTCAATAACAATAACATCAATTACAATAGACATTTCCTGAGATCCTATTAAAAAGTCATATGTTGGCTAGGCACGGTGGTTCATGCCTATAATCTCAGCACTTTGGGAGGCCAAGGTGGGAGGATGACTTGAGGCCAATAGTTTGAGACCAACCTGGACAACATGGCAAAACCCTGTCTCTACTAAGAATACAAAAATTGGCCGGATGTGGTGGCAGGCGCCTGTAATCCCAGCTACTCAGGAGGCTTGACACGGGAATCAGTTGAACCCAGGAGGCAGAGGTTTCAGTGAGCTGAGATTGCACCACTGCCCTCCAGCCTGGGCAATAGAATGAGACCTTGTCTCAAAAACAAAACAGATGTTTTGCTAAAAACTTTTTATTCATTATCTCATTTCAACCTTGCAACAATCCTATGTGACCCAGATATCCCATACATCAGCAGGTTGTAAGATCACACCTCCCATGAATATCCAAACCACAATAATCTAGGTCTCCTTTCCTTATTACTGTCAGAGGTCCAGTGGCTTCCCCAGTTTCCCTTTCATGAATCTCTTGGAACCCCTGGGAAATTCTTCCTGTCCCTAAACCTGTCTATCTATGGCATGTTGGTTTGGGTTTGCGCTGCTACTGGGCTCTTCTGAAGGTCTCCTCTTCCTGTCCAGAGACTCTTTTCAGGCATCAGGGGCTATTCTCCTGGCACAGCTTTGTCTGAAGTGTAGGCTCAGATGCTTCCCATGTTTTCCTATAGTGATAGGGAAGATTGAGCTGTAATGTGTGAGACATTTATGATGGCTTTGGGGAACAGAATGAATTAATGCTCAGAGGACTTAATACTGGTTATTAGATATGGTTACTGTGGGAGTCCTCAGGCTCAAGCCCCTTCTAAAGCCCCAGCGTGCAGTGCATAGAGCTTTTAGCTCCCTCCTTCCAACATATTGCAGGGGTCAATTTAAAATGCTGGCACTTGGATATCCTTGCAAATATCTCTTGTATTTTGAGTCTAAACTTCTTTTTTCTCCAGTCCTAAACAGAGGGACATTTATCCCATATTATCTAAAATCTTACCCTTGAGCTTTCATTTTCTACCTCTGGATGGGGAGCAATCTCATCTCTAGCCACAGGACCTTACCGTAAGGCCCCCAATACGTAAAAACACCATAAACCAACATATGGGGACATTTCTCAATTTCTGAGTGATTCCCTGCTGACTCACTGCACATACGAGGCCTAAATAGAGCTGTCCAGATTGAGCCTTGGCATTCCCAGATCAGTCCCTTACAGACATGGGGCTAAGACCAGCTGCCACACCCTCCCTGACACCTTTCAGCCTCTGCTCCCAATCTCCATCGTCTTTTGTATGTGTTATCCCATTGAGTTCTCACCATGGTCCAGGCGAACAGATATAACTGCCTTTTGCCACTCACTATGCACAAAGTCAATGAGATTGGAACTATTATTAGGTCCATGTCACAGGTAAGAAAACCCAGGTTTAGAAAGGTTAAGTAACTTGCTCAAGGCAGTAGACATTTATACATAGAGGGCACCTTGTGTATTCCACTTGCTTTCATCCAGTGCTGCCCTCTCCATCAAAGATATTTATTATCTCTAGGAAACCCTTAGCCGCTTCACTAACTACCGCTCTGTCTAGTTGGCTTTCTGGCTTTGGAGCAGGCTACTCGTATCACCACTGATCTATGCACATGGACGAGACAGCTCTCATACCACAACCTTAGGACCTCCACTTCCCTGACCCCTCCATCTGGAGATCTTCCTTCTCTGCACTGCTGTAAAAACTTATTTTTTTTTCTTAATACACATAGCATAGCATTTTATTATTTATTACAGAAAGTCCTCATTAATCACTACAGAGAGTCTTACACTGTTCTCCCATGCTTTTTATTTCAGTAAGTGCTGTATTTGTCTTCTGCATAAAATTAGAACTCGAAGTTATCCTGAAGGACCATGCCTTAAATGTATTTTTGTTATCTCTAAAGAATGTAATGTTATGCTAGTTGTCTATAAGATGCTAAATAAATATTGGCTTGATAAATCCTTTATAGGAATTAACCAAAAAGGAAGGAACTGGTATAAATAAGTCAATAATGTTCCTTAAAATACATGTTTTAAATTATTTTTCATATTGCCAGTAAACTTTAAAATGTTAGAAATTGTCAATGATAATTCTAAAGCAAGTAGCAAAGCCTTTTTATCTTTTAAAAAATTTAAAAATTTTTAAAATAAGTGGTAAAAAAGGAAACAGACACATGTGGTTTTTAATAACTCGGAAAAAAGGTTAAACCGTTTCTTAGCGTTTCTGAGTAATAATTTCCACATGTTAATTGTTAGATAGTCTTATCTTAACATTTTCTCAAGTGTCTCCGGATATCTTTGTCATTTACTTTATATAAGTAAATTAACAATGTGAGCTTTGCAATTTAAAAAAAGAGATTTTTGGTTTGATTTCAAAGACTATTGTTTAAAAAAGGCAAATTCCATCACCTAATTTTGAAGCACTTAGGTTTAATGGCGTTCCTTTTAACATATGTTTAATAAAATCCTGAATTAAAAGCTCAATTAGTTTACTATATGCTTTGTGAACAGCACCTTTTTTTTCTGCCTTTTCAAGAAACTATGTTGCTTTCTGATTACACATGATTTATCTTTGGTCTTGTTTCTTAATGTTTCTGGAGTTAAAAAAATATCTTATGGCAAAGTTAAATCTACTTTAGGAACATTCACATAAAAAGCCAAAGATGATCTCATGGGCCATTGCTGTGCCCTTAAATAATATGAACTTGATTAAAATCAGACGTTGAAGTAGATGACATTCACTGGAAAGTTTTCATTTCTTTCCTATTTTCTTAAAATCCCCAGAAACTTGTTTATTTCAGCAAAGAGCCCACCCTCTTCCAAACACATCAGCCTTTGGAAAGCTTTATTTAAATGCCTCTGCCGAATGAAAGGCTCTTTTCACGCCATTTCAAGCCCCGAAGTACCAAAAGGGTAAATAACTTGAAGTATCATTTTTGACTGACTTGGCTTTGAAACAGGCACAGCCTGCGTAAACAGCTGCTCAGCTGCGCTGCGAGAAGCTCACCGCCTCTCTAAACATTTCCCTCCGTTATCTCCTAATGTTGGTAACAATGATAATCACCTTAATTCACTGGATTAATGAGTTAGAGCCCATAGAAAAGGACAAAACCCATAACTTTCCCACAAACTTAGTTAAATGTCAAGGTTTTTAAAGGCCTAGTTAGCAAGTATATTAGATGAGATATGTCAGTTTCCCAATTTACGACTCTGACTTGTCTCTTGTGATTCCTTATAGCCTCTAGCCATTCTCCTCTTACCTGAGGCATTCTCTGGCAAAAACCTGATGCTTCCAGTCATTCTGCATTCTTGTGTTTCTTCAAAAATAATTGGACAGGCACCTTTCCATAAACAATCATCATTAGTTATATACAGTACACAGATAAGAATACCACACCAATAAGTTTCAATGGAATGTCTTGAGCCAAATAGTAATAATTTGGCCTGTGTGTTACAGATGTGATTGACAGAGAGTTAATGCACTTAGCACTTTTCCAGGAGGCTCTGAGTATTAGCTTCTTGATGCTCAGAAAGTCCTGCTCCCAGAAAAGTGACATAGACATTGACCATTGAGTTTGTTGCTACTCAATAGCCGATTCCGTTTCCAGACTCTATGATTAAAGTCATTATAGGAACTGTCAGCAGAGGGGAAGAAATAGAAACTGTCACAAAAAGCAACTGTCTGAAATGTTAAAGATTTCCATAATGTTTTAAAGCAGGGAATTTTAACTTAATGAAGATCAACTTGAATTATAAAGCTGCAAGCTTCAAATATTTTCTGCTAGATTGATTATTGCCATATCCCTCCTGTGTTTTTTTTTTAAGTCTTTCTTAGAAAAATTCTGAAGAAAACAAAAGCAAAAACAAAACAAAACGTTTGTACTTATGGCTATGAACAAAGTTTACAACATAAATTCATTAACATCTTTCAAGGGTCTGTTCTTAGAAGTATGTATATGCTGTGGAAAAACTAATGAAATGAAAATTCAAGCTTAGTAAAATAAAAGCACATAATTTGAAAGTTTCCAGTATTTATCTTTATATTCGAAGACCATAAGTACAATGTTCAACTGAAAACAATAGTTCCAATCTAATGATGAGCTCATACGTGTTTACAAGTTGCTACAAGTTATATTTTTCCTAATGTTAAAATGAAAAATCCTGATTTATAATTACGATTTATTACTGTTTTTGTAATCTTATATATACAGTATTAGATATAGACTATTAAAATAATTTATATTAAACATTTTAAAAATGTGTTAATTTTTAAAAAGTGGATTTTGAATACATGATCAAGTATTAACACTATTAGATTATCAATTAATGTTTTAGCTCATTTTGCACTGTGTTTAAAAGCAAACAGGAAGTCAGAAAAACTGTTGCAGACCAGGGGAGCCTACCGAGACATGATGACTACATGTAATGTGCTATCCTGAATGAGATCCTGGAACAGAAAAGAGATACATAAGAAAACTAGTGAAATTCAAATAAAAGTGTAGAATTCCGTTCTCTAATATTTATTCTCAGTTGTGGCAAATGTAACATACTAGGGTTACGTTAGGACTGCCATGGGACATTGGTACATTAAAAGATCGTTGATCTTAAATTCAAATTAAACTGGTGTCCTGTATTTTATCAGCTAAATCTGGCAACCCTGATAGTAATGTAAGATGTTAACAACAGGGGAAGCTGGATGAAGTGTGTACAGGAACTCTCTTTAATATCCTTGCCACTTTTCTGTAAATCTAAAATTTTTTCAAAATAAAAAGTATCTATAAACTTAAAAAAAAAAAGTGGGAAAACGTATAGCCCCCAAATGCATTTTGCTTGAATATTTTAGTTGGAGCATTTTATACACCTAAGAAAAATTAAAACCTGACACTAACCTAAGCATTATTATTTTTTCAATATGTAAACAAGTTTACCCTTTAAGAAATGTATGCTTTAACCCCATTTGCCTGTGAGAGGAGAGACTGAAACAATAATACTAACAGTAATATTCTACTATTTATTTTTCTTTTCTCACCTGCTATGCCCAGGTTTTGACATTAAGAATATTGTGTTTGATATTTTCTGCATTAAAAACCACTTTAGGCTTTGGTTCCATTTTACTCCCAGTCAGAAAGATCAGAAAAAGCTCAAGTAACACAGTGAGAAACTTTATCCACTGAATGAGACATTATCCATTCCACCAGACTGCAAATCAAAGAGTATCTCTTAGGCTGCTTAAAAATTCATTTTAAAATCTGATCCTGATTGTACTTATATGGTAATTTCATACCATCAATCATCCTTTTACCTTTAGTCTCTGGGTCCACTGCTCTCCCCATAGAGCTCATTCACTCTACCTCATTATAATTCCTTAGGTGAGAAAACAGGGTAAGAAACCTTAACAGAAAATGAGAGAAAGATGTAAATTTCTTGAGAAAAGTCAGGTTCACTAAGAAGTAGAGCTAATGACATGTTCTGATCTTTTGTTTTTGGATTAAAATATAGGAGGAAAAATGGACCCCAATAAAGCAAAAAAAAAAAAAAGTCTCCATGCAAATAAGATAGTTGTAATCTGCCTTCAATCTCAATTTTATACCTTATAGTTTTTACCTGTCATGGTTCTGACTTGTTTCTGCCATTAGAAGTGAACAAAAGAAATATTTTTTGAAACTCTCTGGAACTTTTCTTTCCTTGTGTGATGTTTGCCTGCCCTTCACCGAGGCCACCTCCTTTCTAATTCTGTTTTCAGGGAATGGAATTACCAGAGTGAATTATCAGCATGCAGCTATAAGCCACAGAGAGCAGGCCCCTCTCTAGGTATATAAGTTCACACAGAGTTATGGGAAATCAATAATATAACTTTGGTTATTACTCTCCATTTGGCAATGTATATATGCCTGCTCCTGCTAACAATTAATCACTGGAAGAAAATAGCATGTGGCTGTGTGTCAGCTGCAAAGTGCTCATGGCAAGTGAAATGATTTCTAACATCCAGTTTAAGTCAAGCATTCGTTCAGCCTTTTTCAGCATGATTCAATTTTACTAACAATAAATGTTATATTTTTGCTCCATTGATTTGAATGCTGACTCCAGTGTAAAGCATCTTTCTTAGAGCAACAAGAAATGCAGCAGATAATAAACTCAGCAGTGCAGCTCAGCCTCGGTACACTTAGATTGGAAGAAAAAAATGGCCATTAACCACAAGGGAAAGGACTGATTTCTCTGAAATATCAAGTCCAGCTGCACTATCGTTTCTAATGTCTTTAACAAAATGTTGCCATAAACCACAGATGCCAATAATAGCAATAATCCCTCCAAAACGGGTTGTTACCAGCAGTTAGTGACCAGTTTCTTAGTTAATGGCCTGAGGGAAAAGGCTTTAAGAAAGCTGTATTCACTATTTCCTCTCAGGCAATTTAACTGGATGCATTAAACTGCATTTTCATCGGGATTTCAAAATGTTTGTGCTCTGACAAGGCGCTCATCCTAAGGTCTTTTGATTAAATCTCCATCTCCACAGTCTTAGGAAGGGCAAACAAGCAACGGATCTAAGTGTGGAGGTGGGATAATTTAAACAGTCTCTTAATTAATAACTAAGCGACAGTCTGAAACATATTCAAATATATGTGCCGATATAATCACGGGGAGCGTCTTTGTTCTTGATTTAATGCTCTGTGCCATTGATAAACTGTAACTTGACCCTCCCTTCATTCATTTCTGTGTGGAGATGATAATCCCTGCCGCCTTCACTGGGGGGTTATTGTGAGGATCAAAGGTAATTCTATTGGTGAAAGAGATTGAAAACTACCTGGTGTTTGGGATCATGAGGCAGGAACTGCCAGCCAGCCGCTTCCTTCGTCAATAGTAACCAGGTGGGCTTTGACAGAGCGAACTAGTTAATTCTCACATTTGTCCAGAGGGTTAAATTTTAACTCTATATTGCAAAGGAGGTTGGGGGTGGGAGTGAGGAGGTGACCAAGGAAATGAGTTTTCAGTAATTGCTTCTAGCAAGAGTCTGAACCCATTCAAATTTAGATTGAAAATTCAAGATTTAAGGGATTCACTTTTATTTTAGGGCTTATAAACCACCAACCCCACTTTGTTTGAAAACGTAAATTTTTTATCAGATGTCATAAGATGTCTGATTATTATAGGATAGTTTCTGTTAGAAATAAATTGCACCTAGCATGCAAATTAACTCAGGCCTATAGACTTCAGACTTTGAAGCGATTACAAGGAGTTTTAAAATTCCACATGAGAAAAAATGAGAATGTTATAATAATTCATATTGGAATAAACTGCCTGATGTACATGAGCTCAGAGATGTTTTACCAATAAATGTGAGAATAGCTGACATAACTATATTTCAGGCGATAATCTGATAACATCATTGAAATGGTCATTGCTATGTCATTATAATAATAATGATAATGTCAGTATAATAATAACATCTGCCTTTGAGGAACTTCAAAATAATTTTGTGTATGCCGTCTTTTTTCATGCATTGTTTTTCCTGACCACACTTAAAATAATTTCCTTTCCTGATTCATATTTTATATATGTAATTAAAATATTAAAATGAACTATGGCCACCAAAACATTTGTTTCAATGTGTTAATCATAGGAATAACACTTCTAGATTTAAATGCAAATGTTCTGACACTATTTATATATCAATCATAAATCATTCAGCAACCTGAATAGGTTACATAGTATTATTTAATTCATCTACTTCCACAGTCTATTGGTTTTAAGTGAAACATTTCAAGTGCTCATTAATCTCAAACATTAACCTAACTTTTTAAATAAAGGCAAAAATGATTGACATTACAAAGAAAATGGCATGCGTCAAGTAGTGGTCTGCTCATATTCATTAAATCTCGTGCTAGCTCAGATTATAAATACTCACTTTTATGTGTGCACTGAGGGGACAAAGGTATGTGCACTCTCTTTCACTCTCTGTGTGTGAATATATATTATGTTACATACAATATATCCCATTTTCTGTGTGAAAACAAAGCAATGTAAGTGAAGCATTACATAGTAAGTTTATCAAATCAAAATTACATTTTGAAGAAAATCAAGTATGCATTTGAAATCACAAGTTTTTATTTTCCTAATAACCAAATTGCAAGCTGTCTAGCACGTGATCCCTTTTGCTTTATTTTTTTAGAGACAAGGTCTTGCTGTGTTGCTAAGGCAGGAGTGCAGTAGTGTGATCATGGCTCCCTGCAGCCTCGAACTCCTGGACTCAAGAGATCTTCCCGTTTCAGCCTCCTGAGTAGCTAGGACTACAGGCAGCTGGTAGAGGCAGGGTCTTGCTATGTTGCCCAGTCTTCTTTTAAAGGATAGTTGAAAAATTATGGATGGCAGGACTTGTCAGCCGGAGAGGATGGTTGAGAATGATGGGCCTCTGAAGAGCTCAGATGGGTATGAAGACACAGCCACATGCCAAGGCACCATTTCACAGCAGAAAAAGGCAGGATGGAGAGAAGCTGGCAGCTGCAGCAAGAGGCACATGCTGACCCTGCTCCCCTCAGTTCTGCTCTTTCTCCCTCACCTCAACATGGCCAGCTTTGGGATATCTAAAAATACTGTAATAGAGACAAAGCTTTTATTCTGCCATGCACCTCAGGAAAAAGGCGGTACTATTATAAAGTTTTGTTTGAAAGGCAGAGCTGTGAAGGAGGGAAAGGGTGCCATGCAAAGTGTGGGCACGGACATGGTAAAGACAGGCTGTGGGTACAGGAAACCAACGCTGCAGCTCCTCCAATGTTGCTTCATACAACTAGCCCTTTTGCCCATCAGTGCATCTCTTAGGACTGTTATGCAAACGTTATTTTTTATTTTATTTTATTTTATTTTATTTGAGACAGGGGCTCACTGTATTGCCCATGCTGGAGTGCAGTGGCACAATCTTGATTCACTGCAGCCTTGGCCTCCTGGGCTCAAGTGGTTCTCCCACCTCAGCCTTCCAAATAGCTCGGATTAGAGGCGTGTGTCACCACACCCAGCTAATTTTTGTATTTTTTAGTAGAGAGGGGCTTTTGCCATGTTGGCCAGGCTGGTCAAACTACTGAGCTCAGGTGATCGCCCGCCTCAGCCTCCCAAAGTGCTGGGATTACAGATGTGAGCCACCACACCTGACCCTTTAAATCAATGTGAAAGAGTGCTGAATTCCTTGGAAGGAAGATAAGCGAGTGTTCCAGTATGACCGCATCTTGAAAGAGCTTGACAAATTTGGGAAAAGCACATGGAGCATAATGTTAATTCAGAATTTTACTAACTTAATTTTCTTTTATTTGATATGGTACTCACTTGCTGTACATTAGAGGAGTCAACAAAAAAATATAAAAGGATGGTAAGAGTACAAATTCTTTCGAAGGGCACTAGTGCCTGTGTTTTCTCCTGAGTGTGGCCATTGGTGAGAAGCAGTGATGGCAGATGAGAGGAAAGAGAAAGGAAACTTGTATTTAAGTATTTTCTCACATATTATTTCTTTCATCCTCAACTATGCGGTAGCTATTATATTATTACAGTCGGTAAAGTCACAGAAAACTTAAGTTAACGTGCCTAAGCTAGTAACTTGCATAGCTAGTTAAGTAGCAAAATGCCCAAATCCAAAACCAAGTCTTTCAGACACCAATGCCAAGTTTTTTCTGCAGCAATAATTGAGGGTCCCAGTACCCATAAAAATCAGGCCTGGCAGGGCCTCTGCTTAGAAACATGTTCATAATTCATTTGAATGATTATAAAGTACCTGTTATTGCAGTTGCATTTTAAAATATCAAAGTCTACAAGTTTCCATAGTAAATATTCTGCAAATATATTTGATCCCTGACACATTTCTACATTTTCCTGGCTGGAAAAGGAAGCTTTGAAAAAGATGTTTCTATCTCAACTAGTGACCTACTTGCTTTGCAATTATCAGAAGATTAAAAAGAACTTTTCTGCAATGTTTTCTTAGCATTCTGGTGTGTAAATTTCTGCTGCTCACCTCTCTCTAATCTGCTTTTATTTTCAGACGTTAGATTTTTCTAGAGACTTACTTTTCCGAAGAATTCAACAACAATTCTCTAAGGCTGCTTACAGAAAGAACTCTTGCACCCTGGGCTTATCAAAATGTGCAACATTTTTCAATATGCAAGGTTATCCGGTGACCAAAGACATTTAATATGAAATCACAAAATTTCAGGGCTAAAAGGGACTACTGAGGGCATCTAGTCCAATTCCTCAATGTGTTTGAAATTCATTAGGACAGAGCATGATGTATGTAGTAAAACTGATTTCTTTCCTTAAATGTGGCTCTCTCATGCTACAGACATTTTACTACAGGCAATTCTCAGCATTGTGGCAGCTTAACAGCCCCTGAATGTAAACGATATAAATTTAATTGATTTCTGCATATAAACAATGTTGTAACAGGATCGTGAATTTGGAGCTCTGTTCCCATTTGAGACCATAGAGCGTCACTACTTCAGTATTAACACTTAATGACAATAGCCTTTTCCAAATTTTTAGGAAGAAAATTAAATTAATTACTGAAATTCTCTCCACTAAAACTTAACCCTCATTTTTTCTTAAACCTTCTCTATTCTCATTATGTAGAGAATGAGAAAATAGGATCTCAATCAGTACTAAATTAATTTAAATTTGATATCTGAATATTTCATCATATCTTATGTTATGATTTTCAGTTGCTCTACCAGTTAAATAATACATTTGAGACTCAAAGTCATAGGGGACTACTTTTCTAACTAAGAACCTACTCTTAATTTTTTAATAGAACAAGACACAAATACACCATTTAATCAATTGTCAATAATATGTTTTTATATCACACAGCCTAAAATATTGCAATTATTTTTCTGTAAATGGTGAATTAGAAATAACACTACTATGTTTATCAATTATATAGGGAAGCCAGAGAAAAACCAATGATACACATTTATCCAGTGGATTCCCAGAAGAGCCTTGGGTAACTACTGAGGACTCTTGGGCTGGGGCCTGTCCTGGCTAGGGCTGCACTAAAGTGTCAGGGCAGAGGACAGGGGAGTTGCATATTGGCCAGGTGGTACAGTTGGTTTGCTCTCTTCACTGAGTGCTACAAGTCAATAACGTGCACAATTTACAGAATTTTGTCCATATTAACCACAGGAAGTTGGATAATTTTGAGTCAAGAAAGCATCATATTATAGATGATGAAAGTGGAAAATAATAGAAAGGACTCTTGTAAAACACATTAAAAAAAGAAAGTAATAGAAAGTGAAAAGGTTTAGCTTATAAAATGGAAAGGAAATGGTCATTGCTAATTCTTCAAAGAGCTTATAAAGAAATTTGAGACAGCCTTTCTAATATCTGGAAAGGTTGTTATGTTATACCTGACTTGAAGTTTTTTTAAAAAACCCTAAGCCTAGTATTGTCTGTTTTTGTTTGAAGAACACTGTGCTTCTCATTGACAATTTGCAAATTCAATTTAGGACTGAAGGATTAGCTTCTCAACCTACTTACCAGAACCAAGATTAGGTGCTGAAAAGAGTCACCTAAAAAAAGGGGGCAGAGAGTCACCTAAAAAAATGAGGCATCACTATGGGTGATAGTACCATGTATTAAAGATTCCAGTCTAAAAAGCAAGGTACTTGAGTATCTCATTCAATCTCCCCAGCATAGCAGGTCACGAAAACTGAAAATAGAAACAATTCTTCTAGCAGGCATTTGAAGAAGCTCTTCTAGTTGATCTTCCAATTGACTGTGAAGATGGGTGAGAGGATATTAATGACATGAAACTAGCTAATAGAATTATGTGGAATTATTGCTTATTATAAGCAGAAAAATTAAACTAACAGGTAGAATTCTTCTGGCTTTCAGTTTTAATATTGCATTTTTTAAATGCCTTCTTGGTGAAACTTTAATATAAAATAATATCTTATTCAGAACTGGTTACTTAGGATGAGGTCTGGTATTGATGACTAAGCAAAATTATTTGTTGGAGACTGAGCTGACTTCTATCTTTTGGTGTGATACCATGACCTGGCTCTACATCTGGCACATAGTAAGTGTACAATAAACTATCGTTAATGGACAGCATAAATGAATGCATGCTGTATGTGTGAGATTTGGCAGAGTAAGGAGGCGGTAGATTGTAAGGTAGAATATTAGTATTGCCTCAAAAATGTGTCTTAATTCTTTTTTCTTTTACATTTTTCTATCTCCACTGCTACAACCACAGTCCAGATTTTATCGAGTCTCGTGTAAAATACTGTACTCGCCTCCTACTTGGCCTTCCTGCTTCCACATTTACCCCTTACCTTCTGTTCTCCAAAGAGAGGCCAAAGTAATTATTTTAAAATGTGAGTCAGGTCATGTCACTCCCCTGCTTGAAACCCTCCAATGGCTTTCTGTAACACTTAAAGTACAATCTGAACTCTTCGCCTGGCCTATGAAGGCCCTGCCTTCTTAGGATTTGTCTGACTGTCTCATATTCCATTCCTTACTGTCCACCTTAACGACTGTGCTTCTGGTACATTGACCTTCTTCTAATTCCTTGTATTTGCCAAAGCTTATTCCTACCACAGGGCTTTCGCACTAGCTGCCCTTTTTACCTGGTAAGCCCACGTGCTCAGAAAGCATGCTCCTTCTTATCACGAAAGCTTCAGCTGAAATCCCCTTTTTGGAGAAGCCTTTTTTGACCACCCTGCCAAAAATGGCCCCTAGGGGCTCTCTAAGACATCACACTGATTATTGTCATTGTTCTGCATTTATCACCACCTGCTATTTTCTTGTTTACTTTTTAAATTATTTGTCCCTCCTACATTAAAAGGGAGGCATCATGAGAGCTTGTTCAGTTATATACCCTCTTAATTTAGTAAAATAAATACATAAATAAATTAAGTAAGTAAGTACAGAGAGAGAGAGAATGAGAGAGAGCTGTATCCCCAGGAACCAGAACAGTCTGCCATTTAATAAGAGTTCAGTAAAGGATTGTAAAAATAAATGAAGAAATGAGAAGTTTATCTTGATTTGTGAAGAATCCATGGTGGAGAATCTTAGCAATTGGATTGTTCTGTGTGTTTATATGCATTTCTGTGCACATCCCAAATGGCAAAATAACAAATATCCAGAAGGGGGATATCAGTGGAGCAAGAATATTTCTGGTACCATGTAGGCAACCCAATGTCTTCATGAATAGTATTATTTTCTTTTTGGCCAGGCGCGGTGGCTCATGCCTGTAATCCCAGCACTTTGGGAGGCCCAGGCGGGTGGATCACCTGAGGTCATGAGTTTGAGACCAGCCTGGCCAACATAATGAAACCCTGTCTCTACTACAAGTACAAAAATTAGCTGGTCGTAGCGGTGGGTGCCTGTAATCCCAGCTGCTCAGGAGGCTGAGGCAGGAGAATCGCTTGAACCCAGGAGGAGGAGGTTGCAGTGAACCGAGATCGTGCCACCTCACTCCAGCTTGGGTGAAAGAGTGAAACTCCATTTCAAAATAAATAAATAAATAAATAAATAATAAAAAATAAAAGATATTTTCTTTACAGCCTTCTATTTGGAGCTCTCATCAGATTTGAGCTATTTGAATTATACTTGGATGCACTTAAAATGTGAAATTTCCAGTGGCCATTTTCTCATAACTTCTGACTTGTTTCACAAAGTCTGTGATGTTCACTGTGATTCTTCTCATCCCATCAGGATGGTCTTCTGTGATCAGGCTTATTCAGTCGCCGACAAATAAGCAACAGCTGTGTCTGGAGCTAGCATATTCCTAAGTAGGATGTTGTAAGA
Source organism: Homo sapiens (assembly GCF_000001405.40). Classification (NCBI taxonomy): domain Eukaryota; kingdom Metazoa; phylum Chordata; class Mammalia; order Primates; family Hominidae; genus Homo; species Homo sapiens. Next base: position 147,004,621 of record NC_000004.12, on the reverse strand, counting down.
GGAAATATAATGCAGTGGGCTGGGGGAAGGAATGGAGGTGGTGAGATGGGAACCTGTCCACCCATACCAGTTGAAAAACCTACTTTAAAACTCACCCAGCACCCACTGAGCTTAATGTGGTTGTTACAGAGAGCATGGGCATTGTGATGGCTTGTGTCAGGCCTAATTGGGACCTTCTGGGAGCTAAAAGGACATGCAATTTGAGCAGAAAAATGTTAATCCAGCCACAGACACTGTATTCACAAGAAAATTTCCCTTCAGTCCTCCCTGCCTTCCTTACTTAGCAATTCAAGGGATGTGATCGGTGCATGCAAAACTTATAAAAATTTAAACTATTTGGGTGCTTTTGGAAATGAATTACAGAACTCCACTAAACAAACAAACAAAAATCCTCCATGAAAATGAGATCCTTAACAGGTATTGCTGACTCCTCTCTCACGTAGGGGCAAGTCCAGCCAGTCAGCAAGCCACCTGAATTTACAGGAGTGACATTTCCACGTTATTCAAATTCAAAACAAGCCTACTCGGTGAACCTCAGCCCCAAGGAATTCACAGTGCTCTACATCGACTCCCAATTTGCAATTCTAGGTAAGTGTTCACCAAACCACTGTTTTTTGCTTTTGTTTTTGTTTTGAGATGTCGTCTTGCTCTGTCGCCCAAGCTGGAGTGCAGTGGGACAATCTCGGCTCGCTGCAACCTCCACCTCCAGGGTTCAAGTGATTCTCCTGCCTCAGCCTCCCGAGTAGCTGGGATTACAGGCGCGAGCCACCATGCCCCGCTAATTTTTTGTATTTTTAGTAGAAACAGGGTTTTGCTGTGTTGGCCAGGCTGGTCTCGAACTCCTGACCTCAAGTGATCCACTCCCGTGGGCCTCCCAAAGTGCTGGGATTACAGGCGTAAGCCACCGTGCCTGGCCTCCAAATCACTTCTGAAACAATCAATGGAAAATAATATGAGAGAAATCTCTCACTCCCTGGCTTAGAGGGAACCTGAAGGTGGGAGGAGGTTTGTCTATGTTGATATGATCAATTCTGGTGTCATGAAGACCCAGGGAAGACCACTTCCTGGAGGGGGCTTGCCACACTTATGTTCATTCCACAGTTGTCTTTCACTGGGGTAAAAGGTCAAGGTCAATGTAGTTTTTTCAGGTCAAGAGATGACTCTAGGTATTGTGTCCTTTATTTCACCTTGCTCGTTGACAAATAATGAACACAAAAAGCCAACAACTCATAGATGCAAAAAAACAGTTTGTACCCCTCACTTTTGTTAAGTACAATGTGACTTGCCATGAAAAGAAGCTTTGACCAATAAACTATGGTGGCTATCAAGATAGATCTAAAGGAAATTAAGCAAGAGATCTTAGAGAAATATACTTTACCATGCCTGCCTTTCAATTTAGAAAACAGCAAGACAAATTCTAATGGGTTTCACTGAGAATCTAGATGTATTGGGGACCTTTGATATAATTGTTGAATAGTCTTTATCTTGTCCTGGTTTGCCCTAACACTTATTGATTACTCACTCTGTTCCAGATATTATCTAAGAGCTTTGCATACATTAACTTATTTAATTCTCACAACTCTGAGAAGCAAGTATACCCATTGTAACAGACAAGGAGGTGGACAGGGTCACATGGCTTTAAGATTGCAGCACTCTCATGAATAATCAAATACCAATTAATGGATTGTTTTCAAAAAAGAACTTGAGCAAAACTGGAGAGATAAATCTTGTAAGATTTAACATTTTCAGACTAGAGAATGCTTAGAAAAGAACATTGGGAACTATGAGGAGTTAGAGAGCAGCATTCTAGACTTAAATGAGACTTTTTGTCATGGATATGAGCACACATTAGTCAGAACCTAGAGTTTCCAAGGACCAGGAACCTTGCAATCATACCTTTTTTCTACTACCTAAAGCAAAATAAAGTCCTGGTTAACATTTGCCTTGACTGCACACCATGCATCCTATAAGTTGTTTACACATGTTTTTGCTTTGTTTTGTATAAACATTTTATCTCAGGGGTTGCAGGAAGAGCAATGTGGTAAGTTCCCAAAACATGATCTCTTCTATGAGATTGCTTCCCTGCACCTAGTGTGTAACTACAAGTAACTTCCTTATGGGTTATACTTAGGACAAGGTGGGGTGATGTGTCCTGCCAGGCTCCCCAGAAGCAATTCTTTGTTTATCCATATTTCTTCCAGATCATCTCCAAAGACCTGTCTACCTGTGTTTTAGTTCACCTATGTTTTATTTACAGCATCTCACTGAGACCAGGCAGTACAGAAAGAGACCTTGTGTTTTGTGACAAGTTCTTCTTTCAAGTCTTCATGCTCAAAGAGAATTGACTACAGAGTGTCAGGTGTCCTTCAGCTGAGATTTAACAAGCAGGTAGGATACAATGATCAGAAAATGGCTTCATTGGACTTCATGCAATGAATCACAGACAACATCTTAAGTCCTTTCCAAATATTCCAAATTAGAGCAATATATATTATAAAATTAATTTAAGAAATTCACAGTGGGAATCTGATTTTTTCCCCTATAATACTTTCCTTCCCTGATAAACCTTCTGTAGAAGTAGCAAACATGATTTTTCATTCCTGCCATATTCAGCGCGGTAGGAAATAATGTCAGCCAGAGACATTAACTCCCGCGTTGTTGTGCATGCTTAAGTGTTCTCATTAACTACCATGCCAGCTCTAAACTTATTCAAGAAAAAAAAAAGATCTCAGCATGACACTCATTCTGACTATAGGAAGTCCCATGAACTGTGTTTAAAAATTCAGCAGAAACTGTCCTCATCACATACATGAAGTTCTTTTGACAAATGCCTAAGGCCTTGAATTTTAGGAGCCACTTTATGATGGTTTTCAGGGGATCTATGAAATCAAAAAAAGATGTGATATGGTTTGGCTCTGTGTCCCCACCCAAATCTCATCTCCAATTGTAATCCCCACGTGGGATGACGTGGGAGGGACCTAGTGGGAGGTGCATGGATCATCGGGGTGGTTTCCCCCATGCCGTCTTGTGGCAGTGAAGAAGTTCTCACGAGATCTGATGGTTTTAAAAGCAGCAGTTTTCCCTGCGCCCTCTCTCTCCTGTCATCATGTAAGATGTGCCTTGCTTTCCCTTCACCTTCTGCAATGATTGTAAGTTTCCTGAGGCCTCCCCAGACGTGCAGAACTGTGAGTCAATCAAAACCTCTCTTGTTTATAAATTACCCAGTCTCAAGTAGTATCATTATAGCAGTGTGAGAATGGACAAATACAAAATGCCACTACAGGTGGCATTGTCTGAGAATATTGGGCTTTTTTGGTTAACAACACCAGGCAGTCACTGGCAGTCCTTGTTAGATTTCACACAAATAATAAACTCTTTCAACATTTACTTGAAATGCTTACTTCTGAAGCTGATGAGCAAGCCAATGGCAAAATAGGCAATGTTATAAAACAGTTTTGGACTTTGAAAATACCAGCTCAGTAACTGCATGTGTTAGCCACACACCCTAGTCCACCATCATATACAACCCATGTTGCCCAGTGAAGTGGAAGTCGCAACAGTGAGGACTGTAATATGCAGCACAATGTATTCAAGGGCACATAACAAGGCTATTCAGAGGTTCCATCATCAGCAGTAAATGTAGAGTTGTCTCTCTTTTGGATTTGCTCTACAAAATTCATCTTAGGTGTCTCTGCTTTTGTTCATGTGCTTTAAGTACATCTATGTCAAGGCCCTCTTAAAGACCAGCCAGGGGAGATTTCCCTCTTTCTTTGGGTCTGAAGTAGTCTGCAAATTTCCACATAGCATGAGATATGATGGGATTCCTGATGTTAAGGGAGAAGGAAAGCCTTGGATTCCGTGGTCCAAAAGGATTGAATGATTTACCAGGCCCTGATGATTTTCCACAGTAAGCTCATGCAGCACCCCTTTTAGACTGCAAGGATTCCTCACTACTTAACTTGATGAAATGTATATAATCTGCAGTGAACTACTAGAACTGAAATCATTTACCATGAGTACTCATGGCTTTAGGTCCAAGGCAGTGAAAGGGCATTGGAGAAGGACTTGGGCACGGCTGGGATGGCACAGGCTATCTATGAAATCAACATCTATAGCACAGTGATTCTCAAACTTTGCTATACTCAAGCCTCCAGCCCCACTGAAGCAGCCTCACCTTGGCTGTTTATGACAGGCAAACAACCACAGGGACAGCTATGTATGGAGAAAATTATCCCAAGACAGACACAGTTTAAAGGGCACCAACACCTGTCTTGTGGTACTTGATGAACACAATTTGACTCATGTATCATTTACATAATCTGCCTATAAAGAACGCCATTTTTTTGTAATTTTTTACATTGAAACTGTAAGACTGTGCATCCAAAAGGCAAATTTCAATGACTTAAGTCTGACCAAGATAGCAGAAGTTACTTACCATAAATCTGGTGCCTGAACCAGAGTAGGGGGCCAAAACTTCCTGGATATGTGTCATATGCATTCACAACTCTAATCTTGGTAACATGCTAAAATAGAGAGGTTTCGGCACATTAAGAAATATTTTCAGAGTGGCAGACTATATTGTTCAAATATGGAATCATCCCTTTAAATATAGAACACTTAACTGTGCAAGTCATTTCCATTTACTCTTGTCTATTTACTACTATACGCTGTCATTGCTAAGGTCCTTAATAATTCATGCATTCCTAGTTTCCTCTCCTTAAGGTTCTTCTATAGAGCTAGGATGAAGCAATGCCTCATTACTTACACTTCTTATCACCTCTACATTTACCTGGTCATCAGAATGTTTATCTGTGTAAAGAATTTCTCTATTTCTATGATAAAACATTTTGAAGTATTAAAAATATTTACTGGCCGGGCGCGGTGGCTCACGCCTGTAATCCCAGCACTTTGGGAGGCCGAGGCGGGCGGATCACGAGGTCAGGAGATCGAGACCATCCCGGCTAAAATGGTGAAACCCCGTCTCTACTAAAAATACAAAAAATTAGCCGGGCGTAGTGGCGGGCGCCTGTAGTCCCAGCTACTTGGGAGGCTGAGGCGGGAGAATGGCGTGAACCCGGGAGGCGGAGCTTGCAGTGAGCCGAGATCCCGCCACTGCACTCCAGCCTGGGCGACAGAGCGAGACTCCGTCTCAAAAAAAAAAAAAAAAAAAAAAAATATTTACTTGACCTCACTGGAGCAAAAACATGAGGTGTTTTCTTCTAAATTCCAGTATCTAACACAGTGTCTAACTCATAGTGGCACTCAATAAATTCTTATTAAATTTATTTTTTTAAATTTTATTGCCAAAATGAAACATGGTGCAAACCAATGGATGCTAGCCTTTTCGCACAGCCTTTTACACCCTCCTCTTCAAATGCTACAAAGTGCTGACTAGAACTTCAATGACTTACTACTTTCACTTCCAAAACTTTGATTTAAAAAAAGACTTACTGGGAATAAAAATTAAGCTGCTTCTACAACATTGAGACATACAAGCTTGAGAAGATTTTTTAACACTTCTGCAGTGGAAAAATGGTACTTAAATATTCATATTAAATCCATCATATAGGAACAAGTTTTATCAATTTCCATTTAATATCAAGACTCTCATATTTTATTTTAAAAAGCTACTATGAAAGAGCAAAGATATAGCTCATGAAGGAAACGGCATTTGAGAGGAGCCTTGAAGTACATGCAGGATTTTGTTTGGTTTAATTTTACTATTGATTTTAATAGAAGTATGTATATATAAGTGATACGCACTTTCGTGTGTAGGTTTATGTCACAAACTACCAGGCAGGGTTTTGATATAGGAGGGGAACAAGGATAGGAAGCCAGGTCAGTGGGAGATGAAGGATCATGTCTTATACATAATAGGGGCTGGCATGTAGTAGGTACTCTGTGAATGTTTAGTGAAGGAATAAAATGAAGGAAAGCTGGTCAGACATGGTGGCTCCCTTCTGTAAACCTAGGATTTGGGGAGGCTGAGGTGGGAGGACTGCTAGGCCAGGAGTTTAAGAGAAGCCTGGGCAACAGAGCGAGGCCCCGTCTCCACAAACAAACAAAAAAACTAGCCAAGCATGGTGGTGGTGCATGCCTGTAGTCCCAACTACTCAGGAGGCTGAGGCATGAGGATTGCTTGAGCCCATGAGTTCAAGGTTGCAATGAGCTATGACTGTGCCACTGCGCTCCAGCCTGGGCAATACAATACCTTGTCTCTGAAAAAAAAAAAAAAAAAAAAAAAAAAGAGGAAGCTACAAAGATGAAACATACAAAGGCTATTTAAAGAACCACAAGTTGTCCGGTTTGATTGAACAGGTTAGGGCAGGGTTTCTCAACCTCAGTATTCTTGATGATTTGAACTGGATAATTCTTTGTTGTGAGGGAGGACTGTCATTTGCAGTTTAGGGTGTTTAGCAGCATCCCTGACTTCTTCCTACTTCATGCCATTAAACTCCCAAGTCATGACAGCCCGAAATGTCTCTAGACAGCGCCATATATCCCCCAGGTGGCAAAATCATCCCTGATTGAGGACCATTGTTAGGGAATTCCTGTAAAACAGAGCTGGAGAAGGAAATTAGGATCACAATTTGAGAGCTCTTGCATGTTAGGATAGGATATTTGCACTTAATTTGATAGACACAGGATATTTATTAAAGATTTCTTGGGTAGAGAATGGCAAAATCAATATTGCGATTTAGAGAGAGTAAGTTGACAATTTGTAGGAATGTTTGAATTTTTGTAAAGTGTTAATATTTATATTATATGTAACAAATAAGTAAATTATTTAACTTCCTGCGCCTCAGTTTTCTAAAATGTAAAATGGGGATAAACATAGCAGTATAATGAGAATTAAAGTGGGTAACTCATGTAAAGTGTTTGAAACACTGCCTAGCGTATTTTAAGGAAAAAATAAGTTTTTGTTATTATTGTTAATATCACATAAAAAACCAACCTGTTCTACAACCTTGAGACATGCAAGGCCTTGTTGTGGTGTTAGTAACTTTGAATCATTTTTGAAGTACAAGTACCATGTCTAATATGAATCAATATCAAATCATTTATTCCAAAACTAAGTCCCACTTTAACCAAAATAATCACACCCAAAGGGATTAATATTCCCATTCCTTTTTAAACCCTGAATTAAAGGATAATAAAATCACACTTAAAAATAAAATGAGAGAAAAGGTTAGAAAAAGAAAATGGATTTTAAAGCTTCTCAAATAACGTATTGGAGTGCTCTGAAACCATGTAGAGACAGATGGAAGGAAGGCAACAGCCTAAAACTCCTCTGCAGGGGAAACTTTGAATGGGTTGGCTTCCGCAACGTAATTGCTAACAAGCCACAGGTGCCAAGCCACATGAGCAGATGATAGCCTGATTTTGAGAAGAGAAATGACAATTCTTTACCCATCATTCATCCCAAGGTGCGCTTGTCATCTCTCATAGCACATAGCGAGTTACCTTTTTATTAGTGGCTTTGGAAACGTTTTCGCAGGGGAGTAGCAGCAGCATCCATATGTGCAAAACTGCGTGTAAATGAGACTATGCTCAATGGAAGATGTGCGATCCACCTGCCAGGAGGATGAAAGGTGTGTAGTTGAGCTCTCAGGCAATAAGATTAGGGCCTCCTTTCCTTCCTGTCTGTCTCTTCTCAATGACCAAAATGATGGGTGAATGCAGTTCTCCCATCTTTGTTCTCTTCCTCAGTTTCCCTGACCATCTAACCTCACCAGCTTGAAATAAAGTTTAAAATGCAAAATCAAGTTCATTCTATCAGCTTTCTTTAGCAAGTTTTCAATTGCTTTCTCATAAGTCTTCGTGTTTGAGCCCTACCAAAATACTTAAGATAAACAGCACAAATACTATCTACTCCTTACAGAAAGAAACTGGGTGGAGTTCAGTGAGTTTAAATGACTGGTCCATGAAAATGATGGAATTGAGAATTGAAACCAGGTATTCTGATTTATAGCCCTACATCTGCTGAGCCATATGGGTCCATCTACCATCTTATTCCAGTCCAATTCTCCTTCGTTCTGACCACCATTTTTTGGCACATTCCTTAAATCATCTCTCATGGACAAAACATCTACACCCAACGATTCACTGACTTGCCAATCAGTTTCTCTAAACCTGAATGTCTCGAGCCCCAGAACCATAATATTAACTGCTTATTCAACTGATATTCAGCACTTGGATATGACTCCAGGGTGAACACATGTGCACTTCATTTGTTCTTTCTTCTCCACCCACCCTTGTCTTAGCCTGTTCCTCGATTTGTATTTCCCATCTATACATGTCAATAGATGGCAGTATATAGCACAAGCATTTATCCAATTATCTTCAAAATCATTTTTAAAATTTTAAAATATTTTTTGTAATTTTAACTTTTATTTTAGATTCAGGGAGTACATATACAGGTTTATTACTTGGGTATTGTATTAATCTGTTTTCATGCTGCTGATAAAGACACACACGAGACTGGGCAATTTACAAAAGAAAAAGGTTTAATGGACTCACAGTTCCACGTGACTGGGGAGGCCTCACAATCATAACGGAAGGTAAAAGGCACATCTCACATGGTGGCAGACAAGAGAAGAATGAGAGACAAGCGAAAGGGGTTTCCCCTTATAAAACCATCAGATCTTGTGAGATTTTTTCACTACCACGAGAACAGTATAGGGGAAACTACCCCCATGATTCAATTATCTCCCACTGGGTCCCTCCCACAACACAAGGGAATTATGTGAGCTACAATTCAAGATGAGATTTGGGTGGAGACACAGCCAAACCATATCAGGTATATTGCCTATTGCTGATGTTTGGGGTAAAACTGATCTCATCACCCAGGTAGTGAAGATAGTACTCAATAGTTTTTCAAGCCTCACTCCTCACCCTATCTCCCCGCTCTAGTAGTCCCCAGTGTCTATTTTTCTCATCTCTGTGTCCATGAGTACCCAATATTTAGCTTCCACTTATGTGTGAGAACATGCAGTATTTAATTTTCTCTTCCTGCATTAAGTTACTTGGGATAATGGCCTCCAGCTACATCATGTTACTGCAAAAGACACAATTTTGTTCTTTTTTATGGCTGTGTAGTATTCCATGGTGTATATGTACCACATTTTCTTTATCCAACCTACTATTGATGGGTACTTGGGTTGATTCCATGTCTGCTATTGTGAATAGTGCTGCAATGAACGTGAAAGTACATGTGTCTTTTTGGTAGAATGATTTATTTTCTTTTGGATATATACCCAGTAATGAGACTGCTGGGTCAAATAGTTCTGGTTTAAATTCTTTGAGAAATCTCCAAACTGCTTTCCACAGTGTCTAAACTAATTTACATTCCTACCTATATCATATAAACGTTCTTGTTTCCCTGCAGCCTTGCCAGCATCTCTTTTTTGGTTCATGTTTTGTTTTTTGCTTTTACTTTTTAATAATTGCCATTCCGACTGGTGTGAGATGGTATCTCATTGTGGTTTTGATTTGCATTTCTGTGATGATTAGCGATGTGGAACTTTTTTTCATGTGTTTGTTGGCTGCTTGTATGTTTCAAAATCATTTCTGATACCTTTCTCTCTGTAAAGCCAACTGGATACCATGTCCTATCAATTTTATTTTTAATGATCTCAAGATTCTGTATCTTCCGCTCTGTCGTCTTGGCTACTGCTTTAGTTCAGGTTTTCATCTTCTGTCTCCCACCTGGACTCCCACAAAAGCATGTGAACTTTAGTTTCTTTTCACTTTCTGATTCTCAACAAACCACCCTGTGTGATAGGGCAGGGGGAGTAGATGAGAGAAAACTTTTCTGCATTTTTCAATCTCATCGTTGAAGTGCCTACGTGTTCTGTCGTGGTTTGGCCACTTCCTGAGGGTGCCATTCCCTGGTCCTGGGAATGGTGGTATGTTTTGGGAGTTGGCAACTGTAGCAGTAACTTCACAACTTAGTAGCAGCTCCCTTAATGGCTCAATTCAGAATCATGGCTCCCAAAGTCGTTTCTAAAAGCTCATCTTACCATTGATTTCCTCAGCCTTCCCAATGATATATAAGCCATTTAATATTCCAAAATACATTCATTTCTACTTAAACTTGGTAGAATAACTTCTGTTCTCTGCCCCTGAACCCTCTCCCTTAACAATACAGTTTGTCACATTTTCCATTAAGACTATTCTGATAATTCCAGAATTGCAACACAGAAGAAATTACCCCTCCTGTAAACATTTACCTCTTACTTTTTGAAGCAATGGTTCTCAAATTTTGCTGCACATTAAAATCACCCAGGAAGTTTTTAAAGACCCTGATGTCCATGCTGCACCTCTTACCAATTAAATCAGAATTTCTGAAGGTGGAACTGAGACATCTAGATTATTCTAAACTACCCAGGGGTGTTCAGCCTGCAGCCAAATTGAAAAGTCAGTCATTGGAATACTTGTTAGACATCTATGCCGTTATACTATACTGAAGAGCGTGGTATACAAGATGAAATACAATTGGCATCAGAAATTGTTTTCTCCCACTTAGAACTCATTTCATCGAGATACTTTGAAACAGAGAAAAGGAACTAAAAAGTTAAATTCATGAGCTCATTTTAACATTGTTCAAATGATTTCCTAGATGAGAAGAGCATATGCTCAAGCATTTGGAGAACTTAAATATAGCTTATCTTAACTCAGATGTGTTGTATTCAATATTTTGAAACAAACACTAGAAGCTACTTTCAACTTCTCTACTGTGTCTAAGATAGAGACTGGTTCCAAGTGTCTGTAAACTCTATCTTGCTCTTCTGAACAAAACTCCCTATTTGTCCTGTCCCCTATTGCATTGTAATTTCTGGGGTTATGTCCCTGGGCTACGAAGCAAGTTTGAATTGTACAATGCCATGTTTATTGAAAATGTATCTATTAGTGTAAATTATTAATTTATAAAATAATGAAATTTCACTGATTAGATGACTGTCCTGTTGCCTTATACACACTCTATTAAAGCATTTCAAAGTAAATGACCAAAGCATTTTTAAAACTTGCATAAAGACTAATAACACTGTTATTGTTTCAGATTACTTCCTTTGATAAGGCAAATATATATTTATCTCTAGGCATTAGGAAAAACCAGTATTAAAAAGTATATATATTTTCTCTTAAGATCTTTGAATTAAAACTGATATTGTATATGTGTTCAAACAAACTGGATCATGTGAGCAAATAAAGATTTAACTTTAGGCTGGGCACAGTGGCTCACACCTGTAATCCCAGCACTTTGGGAGGCCGAGGTGGGCGGATCACTAGGTCAAGAGATCAAGACCATCCTGGCCAACATGGTGAAACCCCGTCTCTACTAAAAATACAAAAATTAGCTGGGAGTGGTGGTGCGCACCTGTAGTCCCAGCTACTCAGGAGGCTGAGGCAGGAGAATCGCTTGAACCCAGAAGGCAGAGGTTGCAGTGAGCCGAGATCATGCCACTACACTCCAGCCTGGTGACAGAAGGAGACTCCATCTCAAAAAAAAAAAAAAAAAAAAAAAAGATGTAACTTAAAATATAAAATATCTTATTCATATAATGGATGGATAACAATTAGTTTGAAGTGAAAACAATTAAAACAAAAGATACTTTGAAGCCTAGGAAATCTCGTCATGTGTTTCATCAGTGTAAATCAGCTATCAGAGCCCAACTGAGTTGGAGTGGAGAGAGCTGTGTCAAGAGAGAGGCACATGTATATGAAATCATACATTGATGATCATGAAAACACAAGAAAGAACCAGTGCATTTTTATATATTGCACTTAGAGGGCCAAATAGAGTTTAATGACAGTCTAAATAAATTAAGTGAGAAACTTGCTGTTAATACTAGGAAAAATAGCCAAAATATAAAGCCCAATTTATACAAAGATCCATCAAATCCAAATTCTTGCTTGTTCAAGCTTGTGAAAAATAGCTTTACTATTTTACCAGATGAATCACTCATTTAATTGAGGTGAAGTTACATACAGTCAGCCCTCAGTATGCAAGGGTTCCACATCCACAATTCAAACAATGTTGGATAGAAAATATTCAGGAAGAAGAGTAAAAAATAACAATACAACAATAAAAACAGCACATTTAAAAACACAGTATAACAACTATTAAATAGTATCCATATAGTGTGGTGACTAACCATATGGCCTAAGTGTGTAGTAGGTTATACTGTCTAGGCTGGTGGAAGTATACTCTGTGATGCTCACACAATGATGAAATCCTAACCAAGCATCTTTCAGAAAATATCCCTGCAGTTAAATGTCACATGACTATATTCACCCATATCTCTTGTAATACCCCTTCCCTTATAGCCTTCTATGACTGATATTAGTATAATCTCTTCAGCTTTCTTATTATTAGTGTGTACTTGTCACAAAGCTACCTATTCTCTTCACTTCTAACTAATATAAAGTGAATTTCAATATTCAAGATGGGTAACTAGACATAGCCAGGAAGAATGTCTGCCACTGAGAGACTGGGACATCTGGAAGACTGGTGAACTCTGAGCCATCTTCAGAGGGAAGGTATTGAGAGTGGATGGAGGGAGGACACAGGTGCTGGGCTGAAGAGAAAAGAAGCTGGGAACCCGACATGGCGCTACTGCACACTGGGACTCATTCCTGGCCCACAGCGACTCCTGGAGAAGGGGTGAGCTCAGCAGGCAATCAGCATCCTGCTCTCACTGGGGACCTCTGGAATCCTGTCAGCAGGAGACCTCAGGACCTCCATGGACACTTGAGCTGGCAGGGAGAGCTGCTTACAGAGGTGGTAGGGGCAGGACTCCAGCCAGTGTGGAATCCAGAGGGTTTGGTGTGGGAACGTGTGCAGTGGAGCATGGCCAGGGATGCCCATCCCCCAAGGCTTGGCTTGTGCCTCTAGGAGACTTTAGCCTTAGGGTGACTGACAGCCTGGGACAGAGCAGGGTGATCTTGCCTGTGAGATGGGGCCAGCCCAATCTGAGCAACCGCCTGTCTGCTGGCCTGTCCTAGAGCCCCAGTTTGGTTGCATCTGCTTGCAGTACAGCCTCAGATGCCCAACAGGGGTGCTTCCTGGGGGCCTTCATTGTAGTTCCCCACCAGCGGACTGGGCCTGACTATCAGCTACAGCAGAGTGGCCCTGTCAATTTCCATCAGCACACACACTCACACTGCCTTACCCACTGAAGCCTCCTCCAGGCTGCTTTGCTGGCATGCACTCGCCCACAGCCACCCCTTATCACTTTGCCAGTGCACACACATGGGGATGGACATCGCCTCCCCTCCCTCGCCAATTTGTATGTGTGTGTGCACCCTGCCATGCCACTGTTGCTGGTGTGAGCACACCCCACACCCCCCAGCTGTACTGTCATTGCTGACACAAATGCATGCTAAGATTCCATCAATCCCAGGCCCTCCATATGTAGACATCACCACCAGTGAAAACACATGCCGAGAGACCAGCAACCCCGCCCCCACACCATACTGCCATCACCACTGCTGAAAACATACGCACAGAGGCTGGCAGCTCCGCACTCTCCAGCAACCCACCCTTGTTGCTGCAGCCACTGGTGTGAGCATGCACAGGAATACCACAACCCCACTCCCACTAGTACCCCACAACAGCAAACATGCATGCACCCCACCACATTGCCACTGCTGCTGGCATGCACGAATGAGCATGAATCCTGCTGCCACCACCTCAGTGAAGCACTTTGGCTGCCATCATCCATCAAAGTGCTGTGGCCAGCAGTCTGGGAATACCTCAGCCCCTCCAGTTCAGTAGGTTCTGAGCCTCTAGCAAACAAAGAACAAAGCTGTGGGCTGGTACCATTTCTCCAGAGTTAGAGCACAGAGGCCAAGAGTGCTGAGCTGAGACTTGGCTTCCTAAAATCTTTCAGAAATGAAGCTAGCTGACTGAACCCACCTTATACTACAATCAAACACTGAGAGCCTCAAAGAGGATAAAAGCAAAAAACAAAACAAAACAAACAAACAAACATCCTGCATTCAAAGGACAGCAATGTCAAAGATTGAAGGAACATCAGCCCACACAGGCGAGAAAGAACCAGCACAAGAACTCTGGAAACTCAAAAAGCTAGAGTTCCTTAGCATTGGTTATTAATTAGGCTGAAATGGCTGAAATGATAGAAATAGAATTCAGAATATGGATAGGAATGAAGATCATTGAGATTCAGGAGAAATTCAAAACTCAAAGGATTCTAAGGAATACAATAAAATGATACAGGAGATAAAAGATGAAATGACCATTTTTAAGAAAGAAACAAACTGACCTGATAGAACTGAAAAACTCACTTCAAGAATTTCAGAATACAATCGCAAGTATTAAGAGCAGAATCAACCAAGCAGAGGAAAGAATCTCAGAACTCAAAGACAAGTTCTCTGAAATAACTCAGACAAAAATAAAGAAAAAAGATTAAATAAGAATAAATAAATCTACCATGAAATATGGGATTATGTAAAGAGAACAAATGTGTCTCACTGATGTCTTGGAAAGAGAGGAGAGAAAGCAAGCAACTTGGAAAACATACTTCAAGATATCATCCATGAAAATTTCCCTAACTTTGTTAGAGAGGCCAACATTCAAATTCAGGAAGTGCAGATAATTTGTGCAAGATACTATACAAGATGACAATCCTCAAAATACATAGTCATCAGATTGTCCAAGGTTGAAATGAAAGAAAAAATGTTAAAGGCAGCTAGAGGGAAGGGGCGGGTTACCTACAAAGGGAACCCCATCAGGCTAAGGGTGGAAATTTTGGCAGAAATCCTGTAAGCCAGAAGAGACTGGAAGACTATAGTCACATTTTTAAAGAAAAGAATTTGCAACCAAGAGTTTCATATCCAGTGAAACTAATTTTCATAAGCAAAGGAGAAATAATATCCTTTTCAGACAAGCAAATGCTAAGGGAATTCATTATGATCAGACCTGCCTTACAAGAGGCCTAAAAGGGAATACTAAATATGGAAAGGAAAGACTATTACTGGACACTACAAAAACACACTTAAGTACATAGATCATTGACACTATAAGGCAACCACATGAACCAAGTCAGCATAATAACCAGCTGACATGATGACAGTATCAAATTGGCACATATCAATATTAACCTTGAATGTAAATGGGTTAAATGTCCCAATTAAAAGGCACAGAATGGCAAATTGGATAAAGAGACAAAACTCAATGATATATAGTCTTCAAGAGACCCATCTTACATGCAGTGACACCCATAGGTTCAAAGTAAAGGGTGAAGAAAATTGACCAAACAAATGGAAAACAGAAAATGACAGGGATTGCTATCCTAATTTCAGACAAAACAGTCTTTAAACCAGCAATGATGAAAACAGACAATGGCACTACATAATTCAGCAAGAAAACCTAACTATCCTAAATATATTTAAACTTAGTACAGGAGCATCGGTCACAAAGCAAGTTACTAAAGACCTACAAAGATACCTAGATAACCACAAAATAATAGTGGGAGACTTCAACACCCCACTGATAGGATTAGGCAGATTATCAAGGCAGAAAACTAACAAAGATATTTGGGACCTGGACTCAACACTTCAACAAAAGGACCTAATAGATATCTACAAAACCCTCCAACTGAAAATATCAGAATATATATTCTTCTCATCTTTACGTAGCACACACTCTAAAATTGACCACACAAACAGCCATAAAACAATCCTCAGCAAAGTAAAAATGCCGCAAATTATACCAACCACACTTTCAGACTACAGCACATATAAAAAAACAGAAATCAATACTAAGAAAATTGCTCAAAAACCGTATCATTACATGGAAATTAAACAACCTGCTCCTGAATGACTTTTGGGCTAACAATGAAATTGAGGCAGAAATCAAGAAATTCTTTGAAACTAATAAGGGGAAAATACAACATATCAGAATATCTGGGACACAGCTAAAGCAGTGTTAAGAGGGAAGTTTATAGTGCTAAATGCCCACATCAAAAAGTCAAAAAGATCTCAGATTAGCAAGCCATCATCACACCTAGAGGAATTAGAGAACAAAGAGCAAATGAACCCCAAAGCCAGCAGAAGATAAGAAAAAAACAAAATGAGAGGTGACTTGAAGAAAATTGAAATATGAAAAACCATAAAAAAGATCCACAAGTCCAGGGGTTGGTTATTTGAAAGAATAAATAGATAGATTGCTGGGTAGACTAATAAAGAAAAAACATAGATTCAAATAAATACAATCAGAAAGACAAATTTTTTTCCAATTTTTATTTTAGGTTTAGAGGGTATATGTGCAGGTTTGTTACATGGGTATAAATCATTCTACCATAAAGACACAGTCAATTTTGTTTTAAAGAAATTAAGATACAAGCAGAAAACTTTTCTGTTTTACCCACATATTCCTCATTTCTGGTGTTTTTCACTCCTTCCTGTAGATCCATGCTCCCGTTGGGTATCATGGTTTTCCACCCAAAAAACTTTATCATTTATTGTAATTCAAGTCAGCTGTTGATGAAAGTTCTTAGCATTTGCTTATTTGAAAATGTCCTTATTTTGCTTTCATTTTTAAAGAGTATTTTCTTTGCATTTAGAATTCTAATTTGACAGGTCTTTTCTTTCAGTGCTTCAATAGTAACATCACTTGATATTCTGGCTGGCATTATTTCTTTTTCTTTTTTTCTTTCTTTTTTTTTTTTAAGATGGAGTCTCACACTGTTGCCCAGGCTGGAGTGCAGTGGCACAATCTTGGCTCACTGCAACCTCCGCCTCCCGGGTTCAAGGGATTCTCCTGCCTCAGCCTCCCGAGTAGCTGGGATTACAGGTGCCCGCCACCATGCCTAGCTAATTTTTTTTTTTTGTATTTTTAGTAGAGATGGGGTTTCACTACATTGGCCAGGCTGGTCTCAAACCTCTGACCTTGTGATCTGTCCCACTTGGCCTCCCAAAGTGCTGGGATTACAGGGTAAGCCGCTGCACCTGGCCAATTTCTTTGAATATTTTTTCTGCTCTATCTACACTCTCTCTCTCTTCTCCTTTTGGATTCCAAATACACATATATTAAACCTCTTGCTGTTCCCACATGTTATCTCTGGTCCTGTAGTTTGTTTGTTTGTTTGTTTTCAGTTTTTTTCTTCCCTCTGTTTTTAGTTTGATTGTTTCTTTTAATTGGTTTTTAAGTTCAGTGACCTTTCTTACGCACTGCTGTTAAAACTATGCATTAAATTTGTCTTTTCTTATATTGTATTTTTCAATTCTAGCATTTCCATTCATCTTTTGATAGTTTTATTTTTCCATTGTCATACTATACCTGGCCACCCATTATGTCCATTTTTAAATTCTTGAACATATTTGCAATAGCTGCTTTAAAGGTCTTTTCTGCTAATTGCAACATATTTGTCAACTCTGGATTTGTTTTTTCCCTGTCATAGTTTTATGTCACAGTTTTCTAATTCTTTGCCTATCTAATTATGTTTTGTTGTATGCCAAACATTGTTAATGCTACGTTGTTAAAAATCTGTATTTTATTGTCTTCCTTTAAAGAGTGCTGAGGTTTTTTTTCTTTTTTTTTCTGACAAGCAGTTAAATTACTGGTGGACCAGCCTGATCCTATCAAAGCTTGGTTTCAGATTTTGTTAGGGCAGTTAGAGTATCCCTGGCTCTAGGGCTAGAGAAGCTCAATGCCAAAATGTGGCCTTTCTGGATTCTTCAGGAATGCCTGAGTTTTCCGGAAGATTTCTCCATGTCATTGGCTGGAATTCCAACCTCTCCCAGTCCTGTGTGATCTCTAGAATCCCTGTTCAGTTCACAGCGCACCTCACACTATCATTGTTCCCTGCCAAAACAGGTCTTTCACAGTCTCTCATTGCACAAGTATAGCTTACTATCCAGCAAAACACGTAAAAAGGCCCAGCTGCAACCTCAGTCATCTCATTATGTGGGTACAAGCTAAAAATGGATGGCATTTGTTTGACAACTATAGTCAGAGATATCCCTGAAACATGTGGAGAATGAAAAATTGGCTGAGCTATGAGCAGTGCACTTTCTCATGCACTTTGTGTGGAAGAACATATAAATATTTCTGAGCAGTGGCCATCGTCCTAACAAATTGCTCAGGGACTTCGAGGGGAAAAAGACTGGATGATCTGAGAAAAGTAGTTCTGAATAGAGGCATTTGGATAGACATATGAGAGTGAACACAAAGCAAAAAGGTTTTTGTACCACCTATTAATGCCCACCAAAAAGCATCTATCCCTGAAGAGATACTAAAAAAAGAAATAGATAATATGAGTTGGTGAATTGATTTAGCCAGCCTTCATTGTCAACTACCCCAGGCATGTGATGGCATTATAGGATATTATGGAGGTGACATTGCCCCAAAGCATGGACTCCCACTTACCAAGGCTGATATAGCTATGGCTACCTCTGAATACCCAACCTTCCAGCAACAGAGACCAGTGATAAATTTCCAACATGACACGTTCCTCATGGAATACTCCTGGAAGGTCCAGAGGTTCACAGGGATGGATACCTAAACTAAATATGGGTTTGCCTTTTCTGTCCCAGGGCAACACTGTGTGTGTCCCACTCTATTATTTGGTGGTTTATGGAATGAGTGATCCACAGGCAAGAAATCTCACAAAGCATAGCCTCTAACCATAAGACCAACTTCATAGTGAAATGAGCACAGAAGTGGATCTGAGATCATGGGATTCAGTGGTTGTATCACATACGCTACCAACCAGATGCAACTGGTCTCATACAAGTCTGGAAGAGTCTTCTAAAGGTGCCAATGGAAGCACCAGCTCAGAGGAAACACTGAAAGGTAGATGTCATTCTCTAGGATGCAGTGCATTTAATTAACTAGAGATCCAATATGCTGTATTCTCTATAGGAAAAAGGCATGGGTTAGAGCATCAAGGGGTAGAAGCAAGAATAGCCTCACTTGTCATAACTCCCAGTGACATACTGGTAGTTTCATGCTTCCTGTCCCTACAACTCTGGACTCTTCAGGGCTGGAAGTCTGGGTCCCCAGTAGGCACGTGCTCTGCTAGGGAACATAGCATTGAACTATAAGTTATGGCTGCCTCCAGAGCACATTGAACTCATTATTCCCAGACCCCTGGTAAGGAGAGGAGTCACCTTACTGGCAAGAGTAATTTTCCCTGATCAGCAAGAGGAGGCAATGCTGTTTTTACCCAATAGGGGCATGGAGGAATGCATATGAAACACAGGTGCTCTATTTGGTCACCACCTGGTTCTCCCTTTACTTGCTGTATCTGTGAATGGACATTTGTAGCAACCTCAGGCTTAGACAAATGTGATTTTCAGGGGTTTGGATACTTCAGAAATGCTACCAAGACTTGCCTAGGGAATAGCTGAGTGTAAAGGGAGTTGGAATGCATAGTGGAGGAGAGTCAGGGTAAGTCTCAGTTATGGCCCCAACATCAACAGGAGCAATGGGAGCAGTAGCTCATCCCAGTCACCTCCCTATTCTGAGTTTTCCCACAGGAAGGAAAGACCACAGAAACCACAGAGGAGCTACTCTACAAATCTGCATAAAAGTAAATCTGTGTGGCCTAAGAGTGGCCTGTGGCAGCCATGAGAAACACACCTTGTAGATCTGCAACTGTGTGGGAGTATACTTGACCAAAGGCCCCAGCTGCTGCCTTTTAAATCCATTGCCACATTTCTCTCTGATGAACCTATGCTCTCAACATGCTGCTTCCGGTCAATGATGAGCGCATTGGTTCTGCTAAGGCAGGACAATTCCTGGAAGACACTGGCATCCTCTGACAGCAAATTTGATTTTGAGGACTCCCCATGGCCTTGCTTAGACTGTACAGCACTCAGACTTCCTTCCCTCTCTCCTCTCTGGTCAGACTTGCACTGCAGTCTGATGGTGCTCCCAGTCTAACCTAGCTTCGACCTATTTTCTCAAACAGAGTATTTCTCCTAATAGAATTCTTGCCTGTTAATCCTGTCTTAGTGTCTGCTTCTTTCAGAAGCAGGATTAAGAACTTGATAGTTTTCTTGGTATGACGTGAAGACTTTGAAGGATTGAAAGGAGGGGAATGATATGATCAATTACTTGTTCAGCCAGTGGTGTTCAATATTATGTGCCTAATATTTTATGAGGTCACTTCAGATACAAAGCCAAGAACTGAGAGAATAGTGAAGGAGTGCTTTGCCTTGTCCCCTTCCAATTACTAGTGTCCCTGATTATGACTGTAGAAAATTAATATGGATTGTGTCTTCCATCTACAATCTATTCTTGTCTTATTCCAGTCATCACAACTCCATCTTTCTCCCTCACGAAACTGTTTCTCCTGAATGCCCATGAAAATGTTATCACATAGGAAATATTTGTGAGACCTGATCTCTAATAATTATCAGCACTGAACGACTTTTGAATGAAGAAAATGGTAAGAATTATCTCATCTCTTAGGATTCTTCTATTTGGTAACTATTAATACATTTGCTAATTTTTTCATTTACTAGCAACAAATACAAGTTTGCAATGGTTTAATGTTTACCTTTTTAAAAATAACACTTTGGTTTTCAGTGTGTTGAAAGGAGAAAGCAAAAAGCGATTGTATTTTTAAAAGCTTTGGTGTATTGTCACTGAGAAATGAACTGGACCAGCCATATTCCCAAATTTGTTTTTTTAAACAAGTGGTAAATGGTAATTAAGTAATCCACCTTGAACAACATTTCAAGTTTTACGTTTATTCAGGATGCTATGGCCAAGATGGCTCCCAGACAGTTTTTTTCACTAAAGATTACATTTTTGCAACAATTTTCATTGTGTTGGTCAACTTGTGAGCAAGAATCATAGTTTGGAGACTTTGACTTCAAAAACACCTCAAAACTTGGTTTCTTCTGCTTCAAGATTAGTATATCAACTAAAATGATTTAAGAAAAAATGAGTGAAAAATACAGAACAACTCTGTAAATTGTCAGCTATGTTATCATTTTCTCTCCTCTTTCCTTCTATATCCTTTTAATTGTCTTGACTTAATGACTTTTGCTTGTTGTGTAGGCAAAGTGTTTCTGACAGCGATATAACAATGGCATCACATTTGTAGAATCCTTTATTGTTTTCGAAGCACACACATCACACAAGTTATTTCATGTAATCTCTTAGAAATTATGAGAATAAAATAGAACAAAGACTATTAGCTCCGTTTTACAAATATAGAAACTGAAGCACAGAAAGGTTAAGAAACCCCCCGAAGGCTACATAGTGTTCATATGAAAGCCCCAATATTCGTATAGAAGCTTTATAATCATCAATGTCACACACATGGAGTTTTGTATATTCTACATTTACAGAAATATGGATCGAAGTTAGTAACCAAGCTCGGAAGTCACATGTTGCATGTGACATACAAACTGAAGCATATATTACCACAACTATTTTTCAAAAAGAAGCATGGCAAAATTACATCGGATTTTGAATGTGCTAAACACAGTTTGCAACAGATTATTTTCATTCCCCAAAGAGACAAAAATGATGCTGCCGAATCCCTCCCACATTCAAGTGATTGGGCAAGCTGAACTGATCATATTTTACCAAATTATTCAACTTGTCCAACTTTGGACTAAGTCATGATTCTTTCCCATCAGGATTGTTCAACTGTATGCCAGAGAGTTGGCAACATTGGAGTTTGCTTAACATTCTCAGCTCTCTTCTCCTTTGATCTTCATCTCCTTTCTTTGCCTTTCCTTTTCTTCATTAAGACTCATCCCCTGGCCCACTCCAGCTGAAAGAGACTTTTGTTGTGGACTAAATCTGTCTATTTGGCCTAATTAAATGGTTAACTTGGCATAACAGAAAGCATAGGCGAAGGATAATTAAATGTCCAGTCAACTACCTATGACTGATGAAATTTTCGCTTGGCATTTACATTATGCATTGCTTATGTAGATAGCAAGTCCAGGCTGGGCACAGTGGCTCACGCCTGTAATCTCAGCACTTTGGGAGGCTGAGGTGGGTGGATCACGAGGTCAGGAGATCGAGACCATCCTGGCTAACACGGTGAAACCCTGTCTCTACTAAAAATACAAAAAATTAGCTGGGCATGGTGGCATGTGCCTGTAATCCCAGCTACTTGGGAGGCTGAGGTAGGAGAATAACTTGAACCCTGGAGGTGGAGGTTGCAGTGAGCCAAGATCGCACCACTGTACTCCAGCCTGGGCGACAGAGCGAGACTCCATCTCAAAATAAAATAAAATAATAAAATAAAATAGATAGCAAGTCCACTAGGCAGAAGCTTTATGTTTTTGTAAGCTGTATCATATAGTCAAAATTTCATCAGCACTTTTTGATATAAAATAAGAAGATAGTAAGCTACATGGACATCTACATTGTTAGTAATGCTGCATTATTACATCCACACCATACAAGCAATGATGCATCAGAAAGTAGAACTCCAAGGCTATTGGTGATGAACTATCACATGGGTTTTCTCCTCTAAAAGTATCATACTAACATTTAGCCTTTAATTCGTGGTAATGACATACCAAGTTTTGTACCAAAAAGAAAAATGACAATCTTTTCCATACTATATTTGCTATCTGTAATTTACGGAGACAAAAATAAATAAATAAATACTCAAGCCCACAGTGAAACTGCCCACACACTCCTGTGCTCTGAAGAGAATGTTCAGCAGCATTTGCTGATAGGGCAGGCAGTTAGCTAAGGCACTGTGGGAGGCTGGATCTGGCCTTTGCTCGGTTCATGTAATCAGAGACCAGAATGTTCTTAACCTTTTATGGGTGAGTGAACAACAAATTAGGAATTTCTAATTGCCTGCTCTCCGAGGGCCCTCTCCCAACTAAGTAGTGAAGGTATTAGCAGAAAAATGTTGTTCATCCACGGTGATGTTAACTTTTTGTGAAATTAAGAGACCTTTATTTGAAAACAGCTTCAATAGCTAGAGGCATAGAATATAAGGAATGTACTCCAGGCTGTAATAATTGCTGGCTGCCCTGGGAAATGGCTTCAAGGCCTGAGCGGTTGTGGCTCCATGCAAACACATCCTCTAATTATTGAAAAACCTGTGTAGAGTCTCCGTGTTAATCAGTCTCTCAGAGACTTCAGCTTTATGTGGTTAGTGCAGATTTATGGCACTTTTCTTTTTCTGTTATTAAAACTGATATTTCACAAGGAAGAAACTATCTCCAGACAACTGTTAAAATGCAAAGTTTCAATCATAAAAGAAAACTGCAAGATTATTCTGAGAATATTCCATAGAGAATTCCAAACAAGGATAAGAAACAACACATCAAAGGCGGGGGGAAAATTCAAAAAATAAAAAGGGCTGATTCTACAATATTAAAAAAAAAGACTCAACAGTTGGCCCATAGAATCAAGAGGTTATGGTATAATTAATTTAAGTGCTTGTTACAATTATGGAAATAAACATTTCATGCATACATGCCAACCGAATTATACATAATTATGAAAGCACCAAACTAATTGGAACATTTGGATTAACATAGTAGGAACCAAATTGCCTTTTAAAGCCAGTGATATAGTGCTTTGCATGTATCTTGCCTGTACACGGCAAATGTTAGTTAATAATGGAAAGAAGCATATTTGAAAACACATGTTTATATGAAGTTGGCATTTTCTTTCTCTTGTAAAGCATATACATATTATAGGTTAAATTATAGTGAAATACTATGGAAGACATTCAAGGCTAGGACAGGCTGGTTACACCAGTTGTCACTAATCCATAGATGAAGAATGACGGGCAGAGACTCATAGTCCGGGACTTGAGTCTCCCTCCACCCCGCCACCAGCCATATTCTCAATACTCCAGGCTCAGTGGGATAATATGGCTGGATGGCAAGAACCGGCAATTTGAGAAAGATATAAGGAACATTGTGCTTAGCTGAGATGAGGAATATTGAGTATGAGATTCTTCCTCCCCTAAATTTCAAAGTTTGTCTGGACCCTCCCAGCTCCCTTTTGGTATTTTTAAAGTTAGTCTATTAGTATACTTTCTCCTCTCCCAGATGTACCACATCATTTTACCACATGAAGGCTGTACAAATCTTTATAATCTATTGCTATATAGTAGAGAAGTGCCCTATGATTTCAAAAAAAAAAGAAAAACAAAAATCCTCTTTCTACTTTTCTTCTGTCCTTCAAAACTCACATTCCTACAGAGAAGGTGACCATAGCTTAACTTCAGAAAAACAGTCTGATTAAACTACATGTATTATAGTTGAAATGACTGATAATATCCTTTTAATTCTCCCAATAGTAACATCTTGTTAACCCAAACGAGCCAGTAATTATATGTAATTAGAGTTCCCCAGACATTACCATTACATTAGATAAGGGATCATAGTAACAGCAGTGGAGCTAATCTCACCAGCTTCTCTGACTCTGCTTGTTCATCCATTACCTTATGCTCTTGCAAAATCTCACTCCCTGATCTCTAACATCTTGAAAAATGTTTTATATGTATCTAGGTACAAGTTAGCCAGGTATAGTCTACAGTGCATCCACCATGGTCTTCCTGTCTGACTAGAGCCACTTTCATGTATATGTCACCTCCAAACCCCCTCACTATGGCTACGATTCATGGTACCTTCCATAACAAGGTTGGCACCCAAACCAAAAGTGCTATGTATTGGTACTCCCTGAGAGTATTAGGAACACTCCGGGTCTTCTGTGATTTAAAGCCATCGTATTTGTTATCCAGTAGTGAGGAGAATGTTTTCCTTTCTAATGCTCACATTGATACTAAAGTAACCCTAGATACCTGTGTTTCATGGAGTCTCATAAAAATATTCCCTTAGCTTCTTCCTTCAAGCATGCTCTACATAGAACTCAAATGCAAATCACTGGAAGCAGGTCATATGAAGCAATAGATCCTCAATTCCAAGTCACTGTCCATTTTATTGATAGAATATTAAAAATCACCATCACTTACCATGGTATCATTTTTCAGTGTAGTATTTTAACATGTTGCTGAATTATAGTTTACAATATTTTTCTTACAGATCCAGGAGTTCATTAGTGGGCTTTTAAAGTGTTCTTATGAATCTGTGTCTTCTCTCCTTTTCTCAGTTACTCTTAGAAATTTTCATGTGGGCTTTGGGTGGAATAGGGCAGCAAGGCCAAAGGCTTTCACCATTGCGGATTTCTCCACAAGATGAGGAAAAGCATCTATTGTTTTATGACTTTTTTATCTTCTTATTGGGTCTACAATAAGAAGTCTGATTTAGAATCATTAAATCCTGGTATCCCATTGCTAGAAATGACCATAGACATCATTAAGTCAATCAATGTCTTTTCTCTTACATATGGGAGAGCTGGCCACCAGAGAGGTTAAAGGATGTGTTCTAGGCCACAAAAACTATCAGTCATGTTATAACCATGGTTACTTAATTCCTTCAGTTCAATATTTTCCATTTGGTTTATAACCAGCCCCAATTTCCAGCTAATGGACATATTTTTAATATAGTAGAAGGATATAAAATTGAAGTATATATAATAGATGTACATAGAGAATAGAACATATTTACTCCCAAAGATACTTTTGCATGAATTGGCTGTCCATATGACCTGCAATAAGTTATCTAGCCCCTCTATGCCTCTGTTTCCACATCATTACTGAGCTGGACTAGATTTCTATAGTACCTGAATGGGCCCACCAGGATCCCAGACCAAGATTCTTAAAAGCTAAGTCATTTTGAAGTCTTCAGAAAACCGCAGATGTGGCAATATTTGATATAAGGATATAAACCTTGTGGGCACATGTGCTGGAAGCTGAATGGACTCCAGGCTTCGATGACTTTTCTCTCACTTGTAGCACTTGCTGCACATGTCATCCATGAGTCATTTATCACTTGTCTTCCACGTGTTTACAAGTACACATATGTACATGTTTGCACACCAGTAGATTTATTTTAAGTCTCCACGGGGTTGAAACTGTGACTTACAGTTCTTTGAAGTCCCAGTGCCTGGTCTATATGGAGTATGTAATAACCCTCTGCTGACATTAAGGATTAGATGCCTCATGTCTACTTTCTCAGTTAATGAAATATCTATGGAAAATGTATAGGTTATCTGGCATGAATCATTTTCCTACAACTTGCCTGTATTTCCATTGGTATGAGATGCCTTTCCTTCGGTTTCCTTCTCATTACAAGGGATAAAAGAAAGTGAGGAAGATAGGGACCTAAACACATAACCACATCTTACTAATCTGCAGAATTAGTAAGCAATGTAAAGGCCTCATTGTTTTTTAACAAAAAAAAAATACTTGTATTTGCTACTACTGTGGTTGTTTTGAGTTTCCATTCAAACGAGAACCAGATAACAGCAGCAGTTTCTCTAAAAGTCTTAAATCAATAAATAATGTTTCAGCAGTGCTAATAAATCACCACTTCTCTATTAAGCCCCTAATTTAAATCAGTCAGAATTTCTCAGGATTTCAAACTTACCATGTTCTTGAGCAGGAAAGAAAGGAATGGGAAGTATCATCTTTGTTAGCATTAAATGGTAGGCATACCTAAGGCAGATGCAAAGAACAGCAAAAAGAGAGTGATGATTAGGATTGGTTTTGATTTGGATTTATTTTTGCAATATTAGGTTTGTTTAGTGAAAGTGCACATTATCTGAGTGAATAAAGAATTTTTAGCCTAACACTGGAAATGGTGCACTGAGGACTTTTTTATTCAGCCTTCCCCTTTCATCTCTCAAAGGGAATGGAGCAAGCGTGTGATGGGAAGAGTTTGGATTGGATTCAGACAAGATTATGGGACTTAACTTCTGTGAGCCTCAGAATCGCCATCCTAAAATGAGAGTAATAATTTCTTCTCTGGGGATTCTTCTCAGAAGGTTAAATGGGATAGTCCAGAGTATCTAGTATTGTGCCTAATGCATTATAAATGCTCATTAAACCACCTGTGACTTTGCCAAGAAAAATAGCCAAGACAACTGCATTAATTGCCCATTGTTTCTCAGCTCATCATTTTCATTCTTAAAATACTTATTGCAAATCTTTCCTGCAAATTTCCCCAACAAAATGGAATTTATCCCGCACAATTAAGAAGTCAACTACATCCATATTCACATATGCACACATACCATTTCTCTCCCAGTAAGTTAAAGAAATTTTAAATATTTATGCATACATATGCTACATAGTTACATGTATGAATAGACATATATAATACAGTAACTTACAATATAACTTTTTTAAAGACAGTGAATCTTGTGCTTGTTCTTAGTTCCTATGTATTTGAAAATACTATATAAGTACTTTGGTTTGCATTTAGTTAGAATAAGAGTTTCATTCACCAGTGACTCATCCCTTGAATGTTTCATATTCTAGACATTTTCCCTACCCAATCCTCATGTCTCTTCCATGCATTTGTCTTTATATTTACATTGTGTGGTAATATGGATATTTTTATTTGAGATTATTTGGCCTATGTCAGGTATTCTTCTCTGTGGTCCCCAGGGTCTTGTATCTTGTTTTTAACTTCTTCTTTTTCCTTGCTCTCTTTTTATCAAATGTCATCCATTGTGCCTCAGTATTTTACCCTTGGGTGTTTCAATTATGCATGAATGAGATCTGCCTCACAGTTGCACGTTTCCATTTTCAGTCTAAATAACTGCACACAAGAATAAAAGTCTCTGCATTTAACTTGAGGGGCTCTCAGCTGGTCACAGGTTTCATTTGGGCTCACTCTGGTCTTCTCTGCTAGTAGCAATTTTGGAATTGTGTTTAAATCAGCCTGCTTAGGTGTTGCCCAAGCTTTTACATCCAGCCCTCTTCAGTCTTCACTCCAATGTTCCAACTAAGCCTCTATTTTCACATTTATGTATTTGCTACCACTGTGGTTGTTTGGAGTTTCCATTCAAAGGAGAACCAGATAACTTAGCAGCAGTTTCTCTAAAAGTCTTAAATCAATAAATGGTGTTTCAGCAGTGCTAATAAATCACCACTTCTCTATTAAGCCCCTGATTTAAAACAGTCAGAATTTCTCATGATTTCAAACTTACCATGTTCTTGAGCAGGAAAGAAAGGAAAGGGAAGTTAGCATTAGATGGTAGGCATGCCTAAGGCAGATACGAAGAAGAGCAAAAAGAGGGTGATGATTAGGATTGGTTTTCTTTTGTGAAACATTAATCTGGCCATGCATACTAGCCCTTAACTCTTCCAGCTTGCCCCTGTCTGGAATTTCCCACACTTGCTTACTGCATTACACTTGTTTAATTAGGTGTCTCCAGTACATAGCACAATGCCTGACCCATAAAAGAAACAAAAAGGAACAAGTGAATAAACAAATTCAGGAATGAGTCTCAAGGATGTTATGACTATGACAATAAAAAGAGTTACCACATTAGGCATTTCAACAACACAATGTAAATTTGTAAAGTAAACCTGAGGTGGCCAATAAAAACAACTAACCTATAAAATTAGTAGCTTTGTACTAGAACAAGTTTAGGTGATCTTTTTTCTGAGCATTATTCTTATAGGTAATCCTTTGGATCATATGTTCAAAATGGCTTTAAATATGTCTATGCCATGTTTGTCTTCATTATCAATACAGCTGGAGTAGCATGCAGAATTAGAGAAACAATGCAAAGTAACTCTATGCTAGAGTGAGTTGCCTTATAAGGCAACTCAGAGCCTTATAAGGGTCTTTTTCAGCCCAGTTAATGGTGTAATTCTCCTCAATCTGCAGCCCCAGACACTGGCCCATGCTGTGTAAACAATCCTTATAGTCCATCTATAGAGCACAGCCTTGGTTTTCCTACTGATCTCATTTAAGATAAGAAACAAACTCAGTGCTAGTGAAATTTGCGTGCACAATTTCCTGAGCCATTCTAGCTCCATTTCATTAAAGGAGAACATATTCTTTAACAGCTTTGTGTCAAGGACTCCTGTTGTGCCATCTGCCATCTGGTCTCAGAGATCAACCACCTGCACCATAAAGATAACAATCATGTGTTCTCCATTGCATAGAAACACACTCTTGCAACATCAGAGGAAGAGTGGCTAGAATTGGGAAGCTGCAGCATCAAACATAAGCAAGAAACCTGTATGTAGGTAGGCTGATATTTCTCAGCCAATGGGATTTTATAAGACAGAAAATTTCAAACATATTTTTAAAAGAAATAGTAGAACCAATGTATTAATATAAGTGCAAACTTTTAATTGCAAAATGAGATCGTTTAACAAACATATATGCACACCTTAATATTAACTCTCGCCATCATAAAAGGAAAGACATGTTAATGGAAAAAAAAAAGGAACAGTATAATTGCAGCAGTTCTTTAAGTGGAAGTGTTCTTATTTTTCTTTTTTACTGGGTTTGGCCCTGTGGTTGATGGCTTAGTCTTGGCTGTTGCCTCTGGAAGCCTCCTGCCTCATCCTCTTCAGTAACACGCTCAGAAGGCTTCTAGTGGTGGTTGCACAGCTACTTCTGTTCAGTCCTGGGTAGTAAACAGTAGAAACATTTAGGTTTTTTTCCTGCTTCTTGAAGTAACTGTTACAGGCCAGGTCCAGGTCAGTTCTGCCTGTGTGCAGTAAATCAATCATTGTGATATAGGTTTTGCAAAAGAGAAAAGATGTGCTCACAAGACTGACATGTGGTGGGGAAGGGAGGAGGGTGGGAAAATAGCTCTCAAATCTGCCTCCCCCGGGATAAGGCTTAGGGATCTTTATGGTTTGGGGAAGTGGGGTGATGTAAGACGTGAAAAAAGATGACTAGCAATGGGGAACAATGAGGTAACAGGTTCATTTTGGACAAGCATAGTTGGAGTTTATGGCAGTTCTTAGGACATATGTACAGAAAATGGTGGCATTAGGATGATCCAAGGAAGAGGTTTCAGCCCTCGGATAACAAAAGGCCACCTCTTGGGCACTTGCCACAGGCCAAGTTGAAGGGTCAGTGGTCTCAACCAGTTAGACTGGACAGGAGCTGGCCTAAGTTCCCTAAAAACAACGGAAGCAACCATTACTATGGTGACCTATAAATGGTATCTATAAAGTAGCCAGGGAAAGTTAAGTTTCAGCATTCAGTGGGGAGGCCTTTAGCTACCATGGCCTTCAGTTTCATGGAGAAAGGAAAAAACGTGACAAAAAAACAAGTGACCAAAAGCAAGCAGGGCAGGCAGTTCTGATCAAAATAGCCCTTTGGTTTCATAACCAATTTTTTTTTTTTTTGAGACAGATTCTCGCTCTTGTCACCCAGGCTGGAGTGCAATGTGTGCTCTCGGCTCACTGCAACCTCCACCTCCCAGGTCCAAGTGATTCTCCTGCCTCAGCCTCTCGAGTAGCTAGGATTACAGGTGTGCACCACCCCGCCCGGCTAATTTTGTATTTTTAGTAGAGACAGTGTTTTACCATTTTGGCCAGGCTAGTCTCAAACTCCTGACCTTAGGTGATCCATCTGCCTCGGCCTCCCAAAGTGCTGGGATTACAGGTGTGAGCCATCACGCCCAGCCCATATCCAAATTAAAGTCTGTGTCTTAAGTAAACACTCAAAAGTGCAAGCCACTCTTTTTGCCCCTTGTAAATCCACAGACAACAGCACCAAGAAAAGCTCTATGAAATAGAAGGATGTATGACAAACAGTGGAGAACTGAATTTTGCTCACCCACTAGCTAAATCTTTTCTTTGTAAAGGCTTCGTTGTCATTCAAACTGGTCAATAACTCCCCTTGAGTATACATATTCAAGAATAGCAAACAAAATATTTATCTGTGGTGAAATCAACAGTGCTTCTAAAAGAACATGGATGAATAGAAAAGTAAATACAAAACAACAAACATATGACTTTAACAAAAACAACACCCTCCCTCTAGGGAACTTTTTTCTTTTTTTAAAACAATCTATCTGCTCAAACAAGGACTGGGTGTAAGAGACATGATTATTAGTTAAACCATCTTAATGAAATGTACGGACCTATGTGCTCTTAGATAGATAATTCATGTGCAATTTTATTATCTCTCAATGTTTAATTAAGTATTTGCCTTTTGGCTAATCAACAGCAATTAATAAGAGATGCTTATATTTATACAACTTAAAAGAAACGTTGACATGGCCTCCACGGGAATTTCAGTGGTCTTCTCTGTGAAAGCAAGGGTAAGTAAGAGTGTGTGCCAGGCCAGAATGAGAACCTGTATATTAGCATTCTCCAGGGAAACAGAACGCACAGAATGAGTGAATACGTGTGTGTGTGTGCATGTGTGTGTGATACTGTGATTAATAGGAAATATAGATTTTGGTCTTCATCCTTGGTTCCTGACACAAAGCTCCTAAAACCATTGTCGTTTCCTGAGCAATAGGGTTGCTAAGAGAATCTTTTGTTCTAATAGTTCTAATATTTGGTGTTTGATCCTGGTTCCTGACACAGAGTTCCTAATCCCTTGGAATTTTCTGGGACACAGGAGTGTCTTTTGTTCTAGTTAGGTGACTCTTGGTGGACTCTTGGATGGGGGTTGGTCACCAGAAAGACTAAGCCATGATTATAAGCTTGGAACTTTTAGCCCTAACCCTCACCCTTATCCTCCAGGAAGGGGAGAAGGGCTGGAGATTGAGTTAATAATCTATCATGCCTCCATAATGAAGCCTTCATAAAACTCCCTAACCTGTGGGGTTTGAAGAACTTTCTTCCAGGTTGTTGAACACCTGGAGATTCCTGGAGGGTGGTGCACCCAGAGAGGGCATGGAGGCTTTGCACCCCTTCCCACATTCCTTGCCCTTTGCATCTCTTCCATCTGACTCTGCATGCTTTAGAATAAACTGGTAAACATAAGTAAAGTGTTTTTTCTGGAGTTCTGTGAGTCACTGCAGCAAGCGATCAAACCTGAGGTGGGGCCATGGGAACCCCAACTTATAGCCAGTTGATCAGAAGCTCCAGAGGACTCGATTTATGATTGGTATCTGAAGTTGGGGGAAGTTTTATGGGACTGGCCCTTAACCTATGGGATCTGTCTCTAACTCCAGGTCAGTAGTATCAGAATCGACTTGAATTATAGGACACCTGGTTGATGTCTGCTGGAGAATTGCTTGTTGGGGATATAAAAGCCCACACATTTTGGTAACAAGAAGTGTGGTGTTGAGCATATAGTAGGAGAAACCAGTTTGTCTTTTTTTCCTATACTGTGTATCATATATGCCTTCAATTGACAGGATGAGGTAACTTGCTTTACTCAGCCTACTGATTTACAATATATCACAAGGATACATTCACCCCCATATTTATTGCAGCATTATTCACAATAGCTAAGACATGGAATCAACCTAAGTGTCCATTGACAGAATAATGGATAAAGAAAACGTGGTATACACAATGGAATACTATTCAGCCTTAAGAAACAATGAAATCCTGTCATTTGTGGCAATATGGATGAGCCTGGAGGACAGTATGTTTGGTGAAATGTCAAGCACGGTAAGATGAATACTACTTATTCTCACTCATATGTCGGAGCTAAAAAGCAATCCGAGTTCATGGAAGTAGAGAGTAGAATTGTGGGTATTAGAGGCTCGAAGGATAGTGGGCAGGGAGGATGGGAAGAGGTTGTCCAACAGATACAAAATTACAGCTAGATAGGAGGAGTGAGTTCTCAGGTTCTGCAGCACTGGAAGGTAAATATGGTTAACTGAAATTTATCACATGTTTTCAAAAAGCTAAAAGAGGATTTTGAATGTTCACAGTGCAAATGATAACTGTTTGAGGTGACAGATATATGAATCCCCCTAATTTGAATCATGACATATTGTATACACCTATCAAAATATCACTCTTTATCCCATAAATATGTACAATTATTGTGTGTCATCTAAAAATAAAAGGAAAAAATCAAATTCCCAAAAATAAAAAAGAAATAAAAGCTTACATTTAAAACATCATATTGTATATATACAATATACATAAATATGTATATATAAATATATACAATTATATATGTATATATAAATATATACAATTATATATGTATATATAAATATATACAATTATATATGTATATATAAATATATACAATTATATATGTATATATAAATATATACAATTATATATGTATATATAAATATATACAATTATATATGTATATATAAATATATACAATTATATATGTATATATAAATATATACAATTATATATGTATATATAAATATATACAATTATATATGTATATATAAATATATACAATTATATATGTGTATATAAATATATACAATTATATATGTGTATATAAATATATACAATTATATATGTGTATATAAATATATATGATTATACATAAACATATACAATTATATATATACAATTTCTTGTTGATTAAAACAAAATAAAATAACTTTGCTAGCCATAGAACCAAAAATAAACAAATAAAATAAAAACCTGTATTATCTTTTTTAAAAAGACCTATTGATTTAAATGTCAATCTTATCTAAAAAACGCCTTCACAGCAATATCTAGACTGGTATTGGACCAAATATCTGGATGCCATGGCCTAGCCAAGTTGACACATAAAATTAATCATCACAACCTGAGAGGAAAAAAAAAAATCAGAATATTAACTTTTAAATAGAAGGCTTAAAACAGATGAATATTCTAAAAAGGTAAATATAATAAATATTTTATAGATAAAGTCTCCTTTTAAAGTCCCATACTTTTCTACACAGAACTAGAAGGAATTTGACTGGATTGAAAGGAATTTAGAATAATCTGTATCTTAAGAATTTCATCTTAAGATGTGTTTTGTGCAGCATCGATATGCACTTGTGCCACCTAAAACATGCACACAAAGTGTACTTTGTCACCCTGTGAAACATAAAACTGCAAGGTAAACGAAGGAGCCTGTATTAAAATTATAAAGAACCCAGGATGTCATTTGTTTCATAACTTGTCATAAAATAGATAATGATTTTTTGATCCTCAGCTTGGTGCCACCATTTCATGCAAGCAAAGTGACTATTTTTACAGTCTCAGACTTTGCAAAATTTTAAAAACATGAGAAGAGGGGAATCACAAATGACAAATAATTACCAAGGTATTTTGTACATTTGGAAAGTGGTAAATGCTTTGGGCATGTGAGAGGAAACTTTGACTAACTCTCTGCTATAAATTTATTTTGCTTTAGTTTAAACCATCTGATGCTTTATTAAAAAATAACTTGGAACAAAGAAATTCTTAAACTACAGTTCATAACAAATCATAGTTTTGGGGAAGAGGGAAAAGCCAGAACCCCATGCAGAATTTAACCAGAGTAGCTCTGATTTAGACATGAAGCTTATCAGAATTCACTTAAAGAGATGATTCTACTACTAAAGAAAGCTTAAACATCACTGTCGATGCCATTTCTTCATTTAAAGATGTTAAAATTATTTCTATGTTCATAAAATGAGCAGAGAAGTGATGCTGAGCTAGAGCCCTGGCCATCCTACTGAGAGCCTTTGCTCTGGGCAGATCGATTTGAAAAAAGGCACTCCCTCTGCATGGTGGCATCCCACTGGCTTGACCAGCAAAAGGTGCCTTTGTGTGACAAAATAAGTCACCCTTTTCTTTAAAAATTGTAGCCCTTGCTAGGGCACAAGGCAGACAAGTAAAAACAAGCTAGACCTCATCCCTCCTCATGCCTCTTCCACTTAGGAGCCTTTGTGCAAAGTCAGAAACACACAGTGGATCTTTGACCCTACACTGATGTACCCCAGGGTCCCAAATAAGGCATTTAATATGACCATATCTGCTTAGTAAAATTAAATCTATTCACTTTATCTCTTTCTGCTAATGAGTTGATATTGAGTTATATAACACTATCCTAATAGATTGACTTACAGAGATTTTTAAACAAAGAGAACTTCAATTCTCAAAAACACACAGAAATAGATTGTTTGGGGAATAACCTATTTTCTACTCTTACATTCTGCCCACCTTTCCTAAAATCTGCACCTAAAACAGATAAGAAGGAGACAGATACTCTTGCAGACATAGGAGAAGAGACATCAGAAGATTCTTCTTTGCAGGAAGAATGGGGCTGATTTTTTTCAGATATTCTTCCTTAAGGCCAGACACTTTGAGGGAGTCTCTTTCTCCTCCTCAGCCCCTCTACACATTCCTTGAGAATTAG
Organism: Homo sapiens; assembly: GCF_000001405.40. Lineage (NCBI taxonomy): Eukaryota > Metazoa > Chordata > Mammalia > Primates > Hominidae > Homo > Homo sapiens. The sequence goes on along the minus strand of NC_000004.12, from coordinate 146,969,509 downwards.
AAAATCCCTCCTTCTCTTTGCTGGCAGGGGAAACAAGTGGAGTATAAAATGACTGATAACTTGGGGTAGAGGCTGGGTCACAATAGCAGGCAGTCACTTGGATGGGCAGGAGAAAAATGGTTTTAAAGCTCAATGGGTTAGGACCATGTAGGACTGGGAGAGCAGAGCTAGGAAAAAGAGTCCAGAGAGGCACTCAGCAGTGGCCACAGGAGGCTCTCTAACATCCCGGGGATGAGGCTGTGAGCCTGGAAAAGACAGTGGGGATAAGTTAACAAACTAAGGAAAATACTCTTGAGGCTCTTTGCCCTTTGGCATTTGTATATATTGGTGTAAATTGAATGACAACACTGCAGAAGGAACTAATTACTCCTCAGGAGTGTGTGTGTGTGTCTGTGTGGGTATGTGCATGTGCATGCATGTGCACACAAATGGGAAGGAAGATGTGTCACCCTTCCTCTCTTCTACTTAAATATACTCTGCTGTCTGTAGTTGTTCAGTGTAGAAAACAGACAAATGGAATAATGTAAGGGAACAACTCATGGGTAAGACCATTTTTATTTTCAGTTCCAACTATGTCTTTTGTGATAAGGATAATAGTACCTAAGTTTCAGATAATAAAGCTTCAGCACAGTCTGGGAGAGACTGGCAAGTCATTATATTCCAGAGAAATTATTCTACTAGATCCTGATTTACTTGAGTTCTTTGAGATTTTAGAACATGATGAAAGCTTTTGATCTGCACTAGATAAATATGTTACTATTAATACTCAGTTACATTGGGGCTGATTAGTCATTTTGTGGGTTTTCTACATCCTTTGCTTTCTCTTCTTTTCTGATTTTTGGCCATTTTATTGCTCATTAGCAACTTTACAAGAAATAAAGATGAAATAAAAGAAGATAAAACTCAAATCAATTATGTAATATTATTTCTCTCTGATTTACTGTGATTTAGCTTGGGGGAAAGTTGGACATATTGGCTGAAAAAGCAGTTTGGGGCTTATTTGTGAATTTCAATGATCTATCTTGTCTCTGAAGAGGAGATAAGATATTGTCCTTCTTGTAGTGTTTTGGAGAGAGCCCTGCCTTTGCAAGACTAAGCTGGCCTGCATTCTTCTGCTTCTTGCTATTTCTGGATAATTATTTTATCTGTATTAGTCTGTTTTCATGCTGATGATAAAGATATACCCGAGACTGGGAAGAAAAAGAGGTTTAATTGGACTTACAGTTCCACATGGCTGGGGAGACCTCAGAATCATGGTGGGAGGTGAAAGGCACTTCTTATATGGCAGTGGCAAGAGAAAATGAGGAAGATGCAAAAGCAGAAATCCCTGCTAAAACCATCAGATCTCATGAGACTTCTTTACTAGCATGATAACAGTATGGAGAATACTGCCCCCATGATTCAAAGTATCTCCCACTGGGTCTCTCCCATGGGGTCCCTCCCACAACACATGGGAATGATGGGAGTACAATTCAAGGTGAGATTTGGGTGGGAACTCAAAGCCAAACCATATTATTCCACCCCCAGCTCCTCCAAATCTCATGTCCTCACATTTCAAAACCAATCATGCCTTCCCAACAGTTCCCCAAAGTCTTAACTCATTTAAGCATAAAGTCCACAGTTCAAAGTCTCATCTGAGACAAGGCAAGTCCCTTCTGCCTATGAGCCTGTAAAATCAAAAGCAAGCTAGTGACTTCCTAGATACAATGGGGGTACAGGTATTGGGTAAATACAGCTGTTCCAAATGGGAGAAATTGGCCAAAACAAAGGGGTTATAGGGTCCATGCAAGTCCAAAATCCAGTGGGGAAGTCAAATTTCAAAGCTCCAAAATGATCTGTTTTGACTCCTGGTCTCACATCCAGGTCATGCCGATGCAAAAGTGCATTCCCATGGTCTTGGGCTGCTCCACCCCTGTGGCTTTGCAGGGTAGAGTCTCCCTCCCAGCTGCTTTCACAGGCTGGTGTTGAGTGTCTGTGGCTTTTCCAGGCACACAGTGCAAACTGTAGGTGGATCTACCATTCTGGGGTCTGGAGGATGGTGGCCCTCTTCTCACAGCTGCACTAGGTGGTGCCCCAGTAGGGACTCTGTGTGGGGTCTCCAACCTCACATTTCCCTTCTGCAGGGCCCTAGCAGAGGTTCTCCATGAGAGATGCACCCCTGCAGCAAACTTCTGCCTGGGCATACAGGCGTTTCCATACATCTTCTGAAATCTAGGCAGAGGTTCCCAAACCTCAATTCTTGACTTCTGTGCACTGGCAGGCTCAACTCTACATGGAAGCTGCTAAGGCTTGGGGCTTGCATCATCTGAAGACATGGCCCAAGTTCTACACTGGCCCCTCTAAGCCATGGCTGGAGTGGCTGGGATGCCAGGAACCAGGTTGCTAGGCTGCACACAGCTCAGGGACCCCATGCCCAGCCCACAAAACCACTTTTTCCTTCTAGGTCCCTGGGCCTGTGATGGAAAGGGCTGCTATGAAGACCTCTGACATGCCCTGGAGACATTTTCCCCATTGTCTTGGGGATTAACATTTGGCTCCTCATTACTTATGCAAATTTCTGCTGCTGGCTTGAATTTCTCCTCAGAAAATGAGATTTTCTTTTCTATTGCATTGTCAGGCTGCAAATTTCTCAAACTTTTATGCTGTTTCCCTTGTAAAACTGAATGCATTTAACAGCACCCAAGTCACCTCTTGAATGCTTTGCTGCTTAGAAATTTCTTCTGCCAGATACTCTAAATTATCTCTCTCAAGTTCAAAGTTCCACAGATCTCTAGGGCAGGGGCAAAATGCTGCCAGTGTCTCTGCTAAAACATAAAAAAAGTCACCTTTGCTCTAGTTCCCGACAAGTTCCTCATCTCCATCTGAGACTACCTTGGCCTGGACTTTATTGTCCATATCACTATCAGCATTTTGGGCAAAGCCACTCAACGAGTCTCTAGGAAGTTCCAAACTTTCCCACATTTTCCTGTCTTCCGAGCCACCTTCCAAACTGTCCCAACCTCTGCCTGTTACCCAGTTCCAAAGTTGCTTCCACATTTTTGGGTATCTTCTCAGGAACAACCCACTCTACTGGTACCAATTTACTGTATTAGTCTGTTTTTGTGCTGCTGATAAAGACATACCTGAGACTGGGAAGAAAAAGAGCTTTAATTGGACTTATAGTTGAACATGGCTGGGGAGGCCTCAGAATCATGGCGGGAGGTGAAAGGCACTTCTCACATGGCAGCAGCAAGAGAAAATGAGGAAGATGCAAAAGCAGAAACCCTTGATCAAACCATCAGGTCTCATGAGACTTATTCACTACCATAAGAACAGTATGGGGGAAACTGCCCCCCATGATTCAAATTATTTCCCACTGGGTCCCTCCAACAACACATGGGAATTATGGGAGTACAATTCAAGATGAGGTTTGAGTGGGGATACAGCCAAACCCTATCATCATCTTTTTGGACCTTGATTTCCTCTACATGGGAAATCAAGACTAATCATTATTAGTCTAAATCAAGACTAATCATTAGTAGTCTTGATAATTTGGACTAGATGTTCTCCATTTGCCTAGAAAATTTCCCTGGTACTATTGAGCCACTGACAATTATAGAAATTCATTGGCAAATAAGATTTCTGACACCTGTCTAGCCTCCTTGTGGCCATTAGTCATCATTTTATAAGGAAGCTGGTTGGAAGGTAAATGCAGTTTTTGGTCATAAAACGGAGCCAGAAATCTGACTTGCTCTCAATAATCCCATGCTCCCTCACATGATCCACCTTTCCTTATAGAACTCCAGTCAATTGCTCTTCTCATGCTTCACTCCCCTTAGTTTTTAAGTGATAATCAGAAGTGGACTTTTCTTCCATCCTCATTACGGGAAGTATAATTTCATAGTGAATAACTCCTAATCCCCACAGTTCAGAGACCTGGCTATCATATCCAACCCCGTCTCTAGACTTTAGGGTATGCAGTGCTAACTCTTATTGTAACATAACTCAAACATTTGTTCTGATATAACTCTAACTTATTGTAAGATCACTCAAATATGCTATTTCTACCTAACACCTTATTATAATATTTTTCCAAATAGTCCTATTGCTATGTGAAGTCTGTAAGAAGAGAATACAATTTTGTTCTGTTTTCATTATTTTCAGCAGAGAGCTGGGACTCACTTTGACTTTATCCTAAATTCACAGATGGTAGGATGCGTGTTTCTTTATATATAACCAGTGCTCATAACCAACTGTATGAATGAAATGATAAGACAAAGAAACTTTTAAAGTAAACCCTTAATGTAGTATATTTACATACTCTTAAATACCAAATATTTACTAGTTATCTAACACAAACTGGAGTCATTTTGTTGAAACGTAAATCATATACAATATAGTTTATTTTCTCCTAGGAAAAGTATTCATGATGGATAATTATCTTTATTCCCTATCAATTATTCACCATTTTATAACGTTTTGCTGTTTATCATTTTTTCACTTCTTATATTTTTAAATAATTATTAAAAATTTTAATAACCTGTGCTATTGCTAATAACAACTATCAGTGACTTAATTCTGGTTCTCTGAGGGGAAGCTTTCCTTGTTATGTCTCAAACTAGATCCTTTTTCTTCACCTTTTTTTGCATTCTGTTTCAGTGTATCTACCATAAACCCTTTGTTTTCATTTTCTTTCTGAAAAGGTATACTGAAGTTTCTAAAGCTTTCAGACACATAGCTCATACATATGTCTTGAGAAATAGATACAATGAAGGAAGTTTGATATCTTTGTCATGATAATTTAATGGCTATACTACTTGATGTTAGGACGTTTCTCAAAGTTAAATAGTCAGAATAAGATTATAACGTGTGCAGTCATTAAGAATATTTGATCGGCATTGTATGAATCATATATTAAAATGTGTTATGACTTAAATTTAAAACATTAGCTTAAACAATTCTCTATAGAATAAATAATATCTTGACCTAGATTTTGATTATTATCTTTCATTCAATCCAAAGAAGACCTTCAAACTCACTTGCCTGAGGCACTCATAAGCTCTAGGTTTTTCATCCTCATGAAAGAAAGATAAGATTTACTATTGAGAAGTGAGAAATCCTGCAGTAAAAACTCAGTGAGGGTTATCGGTTTGTATCCTTTAACTAAGTCAATCCTGCCTTTGTAGAATCTTAATTTATTATTATCAACTTATTTGCCTCTTCAACTATAGTCCATAATGCCAAACTGATTGTCATGTGTTAGCATTACTACATCTAAAGTATAAGAGAGGGTGCTGTGCTCTAAATGTTTCTGTTCCTTCAAAATTCACGTTGAAATAGTAACTCCCAAAATGATTAGATTAGAAAGTGTGAAATTTGGGAGGTGATTAGATCACAAGGGCAGCACCCTCATGAATGGGATTAGTGCCCTTATAAAAGAGGCCTCAGAGAGACCTTTGTCCCTTCTACCACATGAGGATGTGGCAAGAAGGTGTCATCTATGAAATAGAAAAGTGGACCTTCAGCAGATAACAAATCTGCCGCACTTTGATCCTGGGCTTTTCAGCCTCCAGAACTATGAGAAATAATTTTTTGTTATTTATAAGCCACCATTTTGTGGTATTTTGTTATAGCAGCCTGATTAGACTGAAACAAAGGATAAAGTTTAAGTGTATTCCATCAGCTAATTTTATTTTGGAAGTAATAATTTCTAACTACTAAATTAAAAGTGTATTTGAACAGGTATTACTAATGTCTGAAAACCTGGAAGGTAAAAGATTACTTAAAACCAGTAAAGGGTGAAGGTCAGCCAATAGAGTAGGTTCCTTGGGGCTAGATCAATGGCTCAAGTAGAATGAAGAGGCAGTGGTGAGGGGGCTGTGGGAATGTATGTCCCATGTAGGAGCTGGCCAAAAAGAGGGCTGCTGTGGAACTTGGTTTTACTACATCTACATCACCCCTGCTATTAAATATTTATTTTATATTTTACATATGCTATTGAACATAGTGATAATAGCCTACTGGTTTAAACATTGGCAAAGCAAAATTCTCTGTTTTCATTGTTAGAAGAAAGTTTCTATGTTGATTTCATTGTTTTAATTATATAGCACATTAACACTTCCTCCCTCGATGATTTTCATCCCATTCCTATTTTTAACTACAGCCAGTATTCCAACTACTTCCAAATATGTATAACTGATACTGAGTTCCAGATCTGTTTATTCAATGGCTTCCTTGACATTTCCCCCCGAATATGTAATTGACATCTGAAATTGGACATGTCAAAATACCACCTGATTTTGTCCTTTCTCTGTTTGTTTCACCTGAGTCACCTAGCTTTACCTCTCTTGAGTTCTCCATTTCAGTAAAGGCATCACTGTAGTTCCGGTTGCTGAATCCACATAGCTAGGATTTGGTGAACTCTGCATTCAAACTTTTTCCTGACTCTTCTTCTTTGTCACCACACTCCATTCCTACTACCTTAATCCAAGCCAATCTCTACTGCTTACATAGCTCCAATGACTTTCTAACACACTTAAAATAAAATCCAGTTTCCTTACTATGGCCTAAGGTTCTATGTAGTTACCCCTCTACGTCACCTTCTCTCCCACTGGATCACTACCTACAAACCAAATGTGTATTCTTGGCTCCCGGGCCATTTGTTTGTTTTCTGTGCTCTGTAGCAAATGAGTAGAAACTTAACAACTTACAGCCACATATCTATTATCTCATCATTTCTGTATGATATTTAGCTTAGCTGGGTGCTCTGCATAGTGTCTCATAGGGCTGCAAACAAGGGGTTGGCCAGGACTGGGTTCTCATGTGAAGGTTCAACTAGGGAAGTGTTGTTTCCCACTGGCGTGGTTTTGGAAGCACTCAGTTTCTTGTGGCTGTAGGAGTCATGGAAGCTTACTTTTTTAAAGCCGACAGCAGAGGGATAGAGAGACTACAGTAAGTCTGATAGCAAGATGGATCATCACATAAAATAATTACAGGAGTGACATCCATCATTTTTGTCATGTTATATAGATTGGCTAGAGTAAATCACAGATATCACCTACAATCAATGGGTTGAGATCTTCTAAAGATATGAACACTGGAATGAGGAAATCATGGAAAGGTACCACAGCCAATGCACCAATTCTGCTCCCACCTCCGGAGGTTTGCCTGTCCTATCCCACCTACCTGTGATGCTATCCCCACAGCTCTGTACCTGACTTCTCCATTCCATCATTCACTCAGGTTCCAGCTCAAATATCACTTCACATGGTGGCATTCTCTATTCAATCTAAAGAGACATCCCCAAACACACATATGAGTGTGCACATGCATGCATACACACACACATCACTCTAATTGTGTTACCTTGTTTTATTTGATGCATAGCCTTGAAATCATCTTGTTTACTTATTGTCATAGTCTTGAAATCATCTTGTTTACTTATTGTCCATCTCCCATTCCCCTCAATAGAGTTTAATGTTCAAAAAACCCATTAATCTGAGTGTTTTGTTTAGCACTATATTTAAACAGGCAGAAGTGGCACATAATAGTGTAACTAAGATTGTTAGATAAAAATAAAGGAATATTGGAATAATTTGCTTATGCCTTACAATTTTACTTGGGATAAAGAACTGAATTATGAGATTCCCATCTGAAAATCAAAAAATAAAATTGATCAAAATCTTGTTCTAAAGATCAGTTTGCTAATGTGACTAGCAGTGTGTAAAAATCAGTACTTGGAAGATTGAGGTCTGAATTAAAATTCATAATTATGTATCCCTTCTTATTGTAAAAGGTTTATGAAGAAAAAGCATGGGACTTGTAAAACTTTTATTTCTTCAGTGATAATTATATTCCTAAATTTACAATACATATTTACATGAGGATCAGAGTCTTCACATGTTTATACTAGTTTGTCATTTTGTGAATTTTGCAGATTCAAGTCACAAAATTTCAACTTCATTTAAATAACACATGTCTTTCCAAGCTGGAAAAATAAACAAATTAATTGACTGAATACTCATTACAACAGATACTGAAGTAGGCTGTTCTGTAGAGTTTTATGGGATTTTCAGATGGGAATTTCATAATTCAGGTCTTTATCCCAGTATTGGGTAGGAACACTAGCTCAGTGTCTAGCTTACAGCTTTGCTGATGCAACAACAAATATTTACTAGTTCACCAAGAAGTAATTAGGAAGTAGAAACCGATTTACAATGGTCAACATTCTAAAGACTAGTGTTTACACACTAGATTGCCAGTTTATGTTCAAATCTGTATTTGACAAGGCAACAAATCCTAATCCCTTAACTCAAGACAGAACTTCCTTTTTCAATGCATAAAGCAAATTGTCAGTCAGAAAGTCTACTGGCAAGCACAGAATTAGAAAGGAGTCAGATATCCTTAAAAGACATGTCTACCGTGCTTTGGCCACCTATAGGATCACATTACTCTAGTGATATCTCTGGCTACATGACTAGAATTGACCTTTGGAGTCAGCCCTAGTGTCTCTGGACACTGCTGGAGGGCACTTGGTCTTTCTCACCTTCTGCCTTCTGCTGTTTTTAGCAATCATGACATTATCTCTTCTAGGCAACTTATATTGCAGTGGAATCTATTATAGCCACAATTTTCTAAAAATACATCTAGGTCTTTATAGCCACAAGTCCTCAGTCTCAGGGGCAATGCTTTTAAAAGCTGTTTCATACAATGGGCTATTTTTATAGATGCTTGGTCTCGCCTATAATGGTTGATTTTTACAGCTCTCAGTTTCATTTAAAAACTTCTTCCTTTCCCCTTCTCAAGCCCTCCTGTACCCTTTTTGGCACCTGTAGCTTCTGTGAACCGACTATATGTGTGGCTTTTTACTTATTAAATAATCATCTGCTTAGCTAGTTTTGGTGGCACTAATAGGGAAAATATTTTCATTATAAATTCTATCAATATTTTAGAATAAGCTATTGGAAAACATCTGCAATTTTCTATCACAATTTTCAACTTATTCTCTCTGAAACAGAAAGTAATGAAGAGAAAAATGGAAATACTGAAATAAACATTTGGGGTGTCAATTTCCTTGAAAATATTTTATTCTCCCTTCAGTGTGTTGCTGAAGCAGTACACAGATGTGCTCTTCTGGAATCTATGTGTTTAATGATTTGTGTGATGAGCTGTATCTATTAAGAAGCTGACAATGGTAGTTTAATCTTCAACGATACTGCTCTCTCTGTCTCATCTCTCATTCTGCATGTTGTAAAAAAAGGAGAAGTGATTTGGAGAATTTTCGAGGCTTATTATGTATTTCAAGTGATACACCCATTGTTTTGTCTTCTGATCACAAACCAGTAATAATCATCAGCCGAGCAAGATTCTGCTTAAACAAAACTATGCCTCCTGCTATGAATACTGTGCAAAATTAAGTGGATAAAGTAAGTCCATTTTGTTTGTGGTAAGCTCTTACTCAGTTAAAACAACCTAGTCAGATATGCTTCTGCATGTGTAAGGGTCTGTTCTTTTCACAAAACCTCCCACCATTTCAAAAGCAGTTTCTAGCTGAACTATAAAATACTATGTTATTCCACTTGTTGGGATTGGCAAAGAGCCAACTTGAGCAATGAGAGAAGCACTTCAGGAGTTTTGGAAGGCAGGAAGGGGAGCAGCAATGACTCCAGGGGTGGGAACCAGGCTGAACAGGGTGCTGAGACCATGCTGTTCTTTCTGGAGGGAGGAAGTAAGTTAGTGAAAGATACAATGATGAAGGGCAAGTACAAAGATTTGAGCAGCACATTAATGATGTGAAAGGTGCAGGGCGGTTTGGGCAGATGATATTAGAAATGTCAATAATGCATACAGCTTGCTAATCAAATTGATTGCAATTGTCAGTAGGTGGTAGCCAATCAGACGATATAGAGACCGTATTAATGATGTGATCTGGAAGAGTCGCGAAGAGACCACTCACCTTCAGAGGAATCATTCCCATCTGTGAGACATCACTGCTCAAAGTCGGTAGCGCATGGTGATCAGGAGCAAGGACTTTGGAGTCAGAACACCTGAATAAATCCCAGCTGTGTCATTTATTATCCGGGAAAACTGAAACAATACAGCAGAACTGGATACATGCTGCATGGCAAGTAGCTTGCCAAAGCAGAGTCAGGGCTATTCCTGCTCAGACCTAAAACAAAGTACTCAAACTGTACATGGCAGATTGGTACTGGCTTCGGATGTCTTCCAGAGAAATGCATTCAATGCAGGTAGTAAGAGCACTTCTCCCCCAAAAGTCTGTCAAATCACCCATTCAGAACAGGCACAGTATTAATCAGGGTCTTATTTGCAAAGAGCAGAAACCAACTCTGGCTAATATAAGCAGATATAATTTCACTGGAATCATAGTGGATCTTTCACAGAATAGTCACAGCTGGAGAACAAACTTGAAGCCTACAGTGATGTCCAACATCATGCCTCATAGCTGGTCCTGGGAACACTCTGGTGTGCTGGGAACTCATACTTCACCTTGGACTTTCAACTCCATTACTCCTGGCCCTTAGCTCTATACAGTGCTGCCTCTGAAAACTGGATGTGGGGGCTACCACTGCTCTGAGCCTTGCCAGTTCTGCATAACCATTATGTCTTTGCATGACTCCTTTCTGGTTCAGATGCTGGGGCAAACGTGCCTAATTGGCTGAAACTGGCAATGTATCCATGACCTCATTGCAACAAAGTCTGGGAAAGTAACTTTTTGGCATATTGAGCTTCTGTAAATGAAAGTGGACTCTTCATAGGGTGCAAGATTTCCCAAACATAGGCAGAAGGTACAGATGCTGTGTAACCAAAAAGAATGCCAAATTCCCACTATGATCTACCCCTCTGGCTGCCCAACATCAACATACACCGTAATTCCCTTATTTAAATATTCTTTACCAAACCAAAACCATGACCACTCCATTCTCAAAAGGGGTCAACTAAAAAATCTCATTTGTTACTGCAGTTATATCCGCATGCAAGATTGCTCAGTAATGTCCATTCTTTCTCAAGTTCTGGTATGATCTCAGCTCAATATTCTGGATAGGTGGTGCAAGTTTTTTTCTACAACTTGTCATGCATCTTAAGTATGCAGCAATCTTCCTTCTCCACTATATGTTTTCTTTTATTTTTTTGAGCTGGTCGAGGTTCTTTATCTGATGGAATAACTTGAACATTCATTCCAAATGGATACAAGCAATTGGTGTTCCAAATCATATGAGATCATTGTGGTCTTCTAATAATTTTAACCATTAGATATAGAAGTTCTATAAGGCACTCCAGGAACCGCTTGGGTTTCATCAATAATTCCCCTTTTCTCTTGATGGTTCAGATCAATCATCTTATCTAATACCACAACTTCTTTGAGGAGCTCAAGATATCAGGTGGCAGACTCAGTATCCAACTCAACAGAAGCAAAGTTGTGTCCCTTTGTAAAATCATTTCTCCGTTTGGTACTAAGAACTCAGCACATTCCAGAGTTGTGCTGCTGAGAATTTCTGCAAACCAAATATTAGGTATAATATCAAGCAGTGCCACTCTCTGTTCTACCTTTTGGTTCTGGAATTCAAGTATCCTGGCTATGGGAAACAGCACAATACACTGATTTCGAGTTCAGAGTACATATTATATCTTATAGGACTACACCTTAAACTTAGAAGCTAGTGTGAGGCAGCTGGAGCTCTGAGTCTTCATTTGTTTCCTTCTGTAACATCACATGTTTCTGGATGATAGGTGATGTGTAAAAGCAAAAAATTCCTGAACATCAACAAACCCCCTTACTCCTTCCCCTAAAAGCCATTTGTGTTGTGGCCATAAACAAGACATTTATAAGTCCATTTATGATGTGGCTCTCAGTAGCACATCCAATAGAGAAGGTAAATCCATATGCAGAATACATGTCTATTCTAGTTAGGGCAAAACACTGCCTTCTCTGTCACATAGGGGATATAATATAACCGATTTACTACTAGTTAGTCCGTTGGCCCTCCCAGGAAGTGGTATCCTATCAGGAATCTGGGGTTGCTCACCATTGCGTGCAAAATGGGTTCTCAGCAATGGCAAAGGCCACGTCATCCTGGTGAGGGGAAATCCTTGTTACTGTGCTTATTCATGTGTCATCTCCATTCCTGCCAATACAATCATGTAGTTCATAAATCATTGAGTAAGCACTGAAATAAATTGACCTCCACTGGGCAGGAAATTATATCCACCTGGTCTTTTAAAGCCTCTTCTGCCTATTCTGGGTAATTTTTTGGTGGACAAGAGGATATATCTTTCAATGTTCTGACCCCAGGAGGACTAGGCTCTACCATTTGGAATTCTGACCTTGTATAATATGATATAAATGTTGAAGAGAATTTAGGAAAGCTTTTAGATGTGTTGGTCATGGTCTTTCAAGAAGTTGATGCAAAAATGGGCTACACTTGCAAAGATTTTATTTGAGAAAAATGCCCATTTGAAAGAAAACAGGGAGGGAGATGAGAAAGCTGAGAGCCATCAGACTGTGATGCAATTTTGACACCAAATGAAGAGGAAATGGTTAAGTGGAAGTACACTACACTGCTTAAAGGTTTGGGAAAGCCTTAGGAGAATTCTTAAGCTAAGCTTAGCCTTCGAGGAGTCTAGTGTCTCTCAGGAATTGGTCTGCATCTGTACTCCTGCTGCACATAGTCGTTGGCTGGAAACAACACAGAAGAGGCATGGAAGCTACAAATTTCTAAACACAGTATCTTGGGCTCTTGGCTAATTACACTCCCTATAGTTAGTGGTCTGTGAAGTTCATTTTCATGGTCACTACAATAGAGACTAGAACTTCACCTATCCAATTAGTCCAGAAATAAAATATGAAGATATTATTGCTAAAATTGTTAAAAGAACCACTAGCACTTTGCTTTGTAATATCCGAAATCATCGAGTAAGCACTGAAATAAATTTGTTAGGTTATTGCTATGATCTGAATGTGTCCCCTAAAATTCATATGTTGAAACTTGATCACCTATGAGATAGTATTAAGAGGTGGGGTCTTTAAGAAGTGATTAAGTCATGAGGGAACAAGTCATCATTCCAATGGTGGGATGATGGTCCTTACAACAGGGCTTGAGGGAGTGCTTTCTTCCATTCTTTCAACATGTGAGGACACAGTGTTCATTCCCTCAGGTGAATGCAACAATAAGGCACCATTCTGGAACCAGATACTGTGCCCTCAGCAGACACCAAACCTGCTGGCATCTGTATCTTGGACTTCCCAGCCTTCAGAACTGTGACAAATAAATTTCTATTATTTACAAGTTACCAAGTCTGTGGTTGTCATAGCAGCACAAACTGACTAAGAGTGTTACTAGCAGTTTCATCAATATTCTATTTTCTCTTACAGTTCCTATAATACTTAAAAATTTTTAATAAACCACATGGCCCTCTAATTACTACAGTAATTAAGAGAGTAAAGATAGAGCTACCATCAAGAGAAGCCAGTGGTTACTAAATTGGCCCTCAGAAGATGGTCTTTTTCTGGATGGGCCACTCTAGCCAATCTGTTTCCCCTTTTTGCAGGTCCGGAAGCTCTGCAGTACAGAGTGGTGATCAATGGTAGTAAAGGCTTTAACCCAAAGAAACCAAATTCACATATGCTGATACAAAAACCAAATGTCATTACATTAACTTACAGTGAGAACATAATTTTGAGGAGAGCCTAAATATTTATGTCATTAATTAGAATGTACTTTTCATCCACTTAGAAATCTCTACATGGAGAAAAAAATGTGTACCTATGTGATTGCTTGGTGAGCATGGGATAAAAGGAAAGGAGTTAATTAAAGGCAGTGTGATTTAAGAGAAAAGCTTTGGAGTCAGGTAGACCAAGGCTCTTTGTAGAATACTCTTATAACCAATTTTATCCATATAGGACTAATGACTTTTTTATTTTATTTTCTCTAAATAACGAGTTTTATTTTAATCTTCTGGAGGGGCATTCATAGTTCTCCCATGTCCTGACTGTAACTAATTCTATAAAATCAATATCAATTATAATCTCAAACTAAACTAATGAATATGTTATGATGTGTTCAGTTTTTTATTGTCTTGGTTGGAGCTCAAAATTTTATGTTGCTACATTGTTTCATGTCTGGCATTATCTTTCACAGCTCTCTGCCCTTGCATTCTAGAATTCACATGTATCAAGCAAGCCATTCTATTCCAATCCTCAGTACCTGGCACACCTCTATTTATTTTTCAAGGCTCAAAATCACATTACAAGCATTATTCCCTCTGTGAAGTCTTCCATTACCTCTCAACTTCCAGCCAGTCGTGGGAAGCTAGATGGCCCCTCCTTGGGGCAGCAATTGAGATGTCATCTGTACAGAGCTTATCACATGGAACTGTGGCTATGGGACCGGGCTGATTCATGGAGGAGCATCAGCCACGATGGTCTGTGCTGTGCCAGATTCCACTGGACTAAGTTAGTTACCTGCTTCCAGTAGTTATGCAAACTGACTGGAGGCAGGTAACTAATGGGTGGTGAATGCCAAGAAGGTCTGAGATCTGTGCCCGAAGAGCAAGAGTCAGATCTGGGTAGTGAGTTTAAGGTCTTAAATAGGAAATTAGGAGCAGAGAGAATTTGGAACAGATTGGGGAGTGGGGTGGGAGACTTAGGTCTAAGACTTAGGCTATTAAGAAAACAAAGACATCAGTCTAGTTCTCTCTGTTCCTGGTGCAAAGAGATCACAGAAATTAGAGGCAAATAAATAGTTGTCTCTTTTGCCTGTCTGTCTTAACTTCTAGCCTGTGAATTCATTGAGGACATGGCTTATCTTAATATTCCCACCCTAGCAGAGTACCTGGCTGGTTGAAATAATGAATGGGCTGATGGACTTAGACATTCAAATTCAGTACTTAGGGTTGCTACTCCATATTTTTTTCTCTGTTATATCTAATTCAGCTTTTATTTATAACCTTATTGTAAAAATTGTTTCCCTGTGAGACTATAATGAAAGTTATAGTAGAATTTTACCAAATGTGACATTTGTCCTCTTGTTTATAACAATCTCTAAGAAATATCATTATATTCTATATATTTTTCATAAATTTTGAATTTCCTTTGCATATACATGGTTACTTTTTTGTCCTTGGAAAATGAGAACTTCATTTCTTAATTATATTGGACAAATATTAACATGTCTCTTAATATCTAAGAATGCCATTTGTTACATATATAAGTAGCTGGATATAATGTACACACATAATTAAGATTTAAATATATTTGGACAACTATTGAAGCATATTATTTTGTAGATATTTGTCTCCACCTATAGAAAACATTGCCCATGTAATTTTATCAATTACATAGAGGCACAAAATGATGAAGATGAGTAAAATTAACAATAAAGTATATTTGGATATTCATGTTCAAGTGTTATTTTTAAAAATTAGCAGATTTAGCAATCTGAGACAACAGAATTGGACCAAAACAGGACCCAAAGTATGAAGATGCTAAAAAAAAATTGGTAAGTTTAATACCCACTGATGTTTATAAGATAAATTATAAAGTAAAGCTGATTCTTTGTGTACTTTGGATTTAAAAACAATATGATTTGTATACATTGAGGAAAAAAAAAAAACAAGGAAATGCTCATAAAATGCCATATGAGGTAGCCTAGATTTTCAAGCTAGCTTCTGATGGCTTTCCAGAGCTTTTTGGATGTTGATAGTTTTTGTTTGTTTGTTTGTTTTTGTTTTTTGAATCGGAGTCTCCCGCTGTCACCAGGCTGGAGTGCAGTGGCACCATCTCAGCTCACTAAAACCTCCACCTCCTTGGTTCAAGTGACCTTCCTGCCTCAGCCTCCCGAGTAGCTGGGACTACAGGTGCACTCCACCAAGCCCAGCTATTTTTTCTTATTTTTAGTAGAGATGGGATTTCACCATGTTGGCCAGGATGGTCTCAATTTCTTGACCTTGTGATCCGCCTGCCTCAGCCTCCCAAAGTGCTGGGATTACAGGCATGAGCTACTGTGCCCTGCCAGATGTTGATAGTTTTAAGGAAATCATTTCTCAGACCTTCGACTTTCAAATGTGCTCCTTTCCAAAATTGCCGCCTGAGGACTATATGGCCTCAGTGTGCTGCTTCTCCTTTGCCAGTCCCATTTCATTTTACAAAATCCTACCAAAGGGACACTTTGGGAATGCATAATTAAAAAACTCTTTGCTGACTCTCCTTGATTAGATCTTAAAAGTTATTTTTGTAGATTCTTTTAAAAGCAAAACACTTATGACAATTACAAGAGAGTTATATATGTAGGTGAAATCTATAAAAAGGCTTTCAACTCAAAATTCAGTAAAAAGTTATTACTTGCAAGCATCGATAAGCAAATGTGTTTTTTTTGTTTGTTTTACCTTAGAAAACCTAGTGCAGTGCACTGTTTATGTAAGATCGATAAATATTGACTTCTCTACCTGACTTGTTATACAAATGGAAAATGTTTGAAACTCATAAAATATTTTACAATATTTTCAGCCAGGCCAACAACACATCATCATTTGATACTGTATGAATAAAATATTTAGGCCTTAATTTCTTAAACCAATTTTATAAAATATCTATGTAACAATAGAAAAATTAATGTAATTGTTATGTAGGCTCTTTAATGCAATTTATCAAATGAATCTGAGAGCTTCAACTACTTCTT
Organism: Homo sapiens; assembly: GCF_000001405.40. Taxonomy (NCBI): domain Eukaryota; kingdom Metazoa; phylum Chordata; class Mammalia; order Primates; family Hominidae; genus Homo; species Homo sapiens. The sequence goes on along the minus strand of NC_000004.12, from coordinate 146,952,836 downwards.
TAGAAAAAGTGTAATATTCTGAAAAGTTCTGTGTAACTGATATTATCTGTAATTAACAGCTACTAATTTGTGTTTTTTAAATAATTTTATCTCATTTGTATCATCTAATGCTTTCTAAATTATTGTATACATTAGTATTCTTTGGTTGTAAATAATAAAAATCAACTCTGTCGACCTTTAGAAAAATTAATTCATTGGAATAATATCAGGGGCTCACAAAATCATTGCAAAGCTGAAAAGCCAGACTTGAGAAGGGTAGATATCAAGGCAGATCCTGGGGCTAGAAAATAAGAACTGCAGTAATTCTCATGGTAGGGTGCAAATGCAGAAGTTATGAGAAGCTAATTCATATCAGATTCCAAAATCCAAACGATAGGCAAATAAGCATTTTGCCTGGTTGTGCAAATTTCAACAAATTATACTTCATTTTGGAGTATCCCTCCATGTAACACTCCTTCCCAACCAAACAAAAACAAAAACAAACAGTGAAACAAAATAAAAAACAAAACAAAAACCGTCACTAAGATGAAAGACTCCTGTGTTTTCATAAGATTTATATCATTTATTTTGGCATGTATTGATAGTACCAAGACATGTAGGGTGCCTGCTATTTCCTGCTTTCCAAGTCTTTTAGAATACCTATCAGTACAATGATGCTGCATGTTATTGCATAATATGGTAAGATAATTTAGGTCCCTGTGGGTTAAATTTCATCAAAGAGGCAGGGTTGATGGGTTACAAGGTTGGAAAACAAAAGTATACTGCTATCCCTGCTACATAGAAGCAAATTACTTCTATTTTTTTTTTCCATTCATCAAAATGTAGGGGAGAAACAGTATATGGTGTGTATCAGGTTGCTCCAGGAAAAAAGGCTGTATCAGGAACAGTAGAACATTTAAAGTTACCATCAGATTAACATATTCCTTTTCAAGATACATGTATTTTGTTCAGCTAACTCAGAGACAAAATAGGAATATGCTAGGAATGATCACCCCTAAAATATTCAAGTCTGAAATTCCCCTGGAGATTATTACTTTTGATTTACTATTTTGGTAGGAAAGTGTGGGGTTAGCTTGCAGTTGGCCTGTGGTAGCTTTATGTTTATCTCCAAAGATGGTTGGAGTCACAGTACTCTCTTTTAGCCAAGACAGAAATGAAATGCACTAGCTAGTGATATATAACATGCTATTTATATCCTGAAGCTCCCTTGAATGCACTCTGTACTAGCTTGTCTGCATCATTTTTTTAAAAATACAGATTGGTAATCTTCACCTGTGTTATCTGATACGTAGACAGGTTTTGGCTATGTGATCAGTGGAATATAAAAGATCCCTTGGTAAACTTTTGCTGTGAAGATGAAGTGCATTCTGCACGACAGCGGGAGGACCAAAGAAGTTGTACCTGAATGTTCAGGACCAACCTGAAGTTGCCTTGTGCTTTCTTGTCCCTGATTCTGTGTAGCCTTTGCTTATAGAAAATCTTTCTGAGTAAACATCACCAGAGTCTAGTAAGTCCTTTCAATTATCTGACCCAGAGCTTCTTTGACCCCTTTTTTAAACCATAATAACCTTTATTCCATAGGTTAGATGGCCACTAAAAACTTATGCCATTTTTTGCATATATCTACACACTCAGAGGAATAACCATAGGATGGGCTCAGAGTCTACTAGGTCTATTATAGAATTAAAAAAATTAATTTACCTGATATCCATTGATAAGTTCATTCTGGGTCCCTGGAAATTAGTATTAGCTCAGAGTTAACATCTAATGTCGAGCAATCCAAAAGTTTTGGATATAATCTTTTCCCCAGTGCAGTTACCTAAGTAAATAAATACAGTTACCTTTGAGAAAAAATAGGAGAAAGATTCACAGTGTGCACTTGTGATGTTATTTCTGGACCCCAGGGTTCAGAGCGCTTTCATTCAATGTGCTATGAATCTAGTCTTAGAACATAGTCAGAGACCAGTACTCTCTACTCTCCATTGCGGTAAATCAGGTCAGGCCTCTGTTTACCAGATTTAGGAGATTTTACTTTCCTCTTTTCTCATACAAATCAAATTCGAAGTAGATTACCCATTATTTGATTCCTAACAGTGTCATAACCAATTAATCATAATTGTAGATCTCTGTAGATCAGGTCATACTAATTAACACTATGGCATTCCTGTATGTTTATGGTAAATACACCAAATATCCCATGAGATTTGATAATCTAGCCTTTCTTTCCTGGAAACATTGACACTCCATTGAAGTCAAGGTGCCCATTTCAGTTTAACATCTCCCACTAGCGCTGTTAAACAAGGGAAACAAAATAATAAAGAACTTAGAAAGTCTCTGGCTTTGTAGATCTCAAATCCTTGAGGAATGGAAAATTTCAACATGGTCTTAAGAGAACACAGTTAGGAGGTAAGACATAATGATGTATGCTAGCATTCCTGTTTCTGAAAGACTTTAAATTAAACTTTTTTTTTTCAACACAACTTGCTTTAGAGTTGGGAAGGTTTGCATTACCCAAACCAGAAAACTGTCAAATATACTTAGTCACCCAAAATAACACGTGGAATTTAGAATCTCTGGAAAACACACTCATTTGACAAATTTATTTTTTCTAATATTGTATTCCAACCTTTTTGTTGAAGAATCCTCAAAAATCTATTCTGAAAGAAAACAATGTCCTTGGAGTTTTACTGATATAAACTAGCAAATTCATCCTTCTCTCTCTGTGTGTGTGTATGCGCGTGCCCGTCTGTGTTTACAAGAGCCTTCTGAGATTTGGATATTTAAACTATTGTCCCCTAGGACATGATGGAATTCACTTCTAATGACAGATCTGGATAGGCTGGGTAAATAAAAATGTATTGTATTTTTTCTTCAAGAGAACCACCTTAGGCAAAGAAGTAGCAGTGTCTTCAAGCAAGGAAAGAACAGCTATATCAGTCAAGAAAGGGGAATTTTCTGAGCAAAGATGCCTCAGTGGTAAATGCTTAATAGGGGCTTTGCACTTTAGGCTACTAAGTCTTCTCTGAATATGCCTAGATAGCACAATTTCCATTGTTAAAAATTTAACCACTAGGTTCCCCATTTGACCCCCTCATCCCTGTGCAGGCTTTCTTTTGATAAGATGTAATAGCTGGATCACCAATGAGGCAATCTTGGGAATGCAATCCATGTGCAGTGAAGCTAAAAACAGAAGAAACTAGGAATCTGACACCATGGAGTGTCATTCCTATTCTGTAGTTTGCTTGTTTGTTTGTTACTCACAGCTGAACCTAATGCTAATTAACAGAGTAACCAAATACAATATGGTACCTAATACAGAAATTTCAACATTAACAAAAGAAACACTTTCCCTGGAAGAAAAGATAATTTAACAAAAAAAAAAGGGCAACTTTTGAGGTGCTATTCCACCATAAAAAAATATGAGATCCTGTTATTTGCAACAACATGGATGGAACTGGAGGTAATTATGTTAAGTGAAATAAGCCAGGCACCGAAAGATAAACTTCACATGTTCTCACTTATTTGTGGGAGCTCAAAATTGAAACAATTGAACTCATGGAGAGAGAGAGTAGAAGAATGGTTACCAGAGGCTGGGAAAGGTAGTGAGGGGGTGGGGTTGGGAGTGGGGATGGTTAAAGGGTACAAAAATATAGTTAGAAAGAATGAATGAGATCTAGTATTTGATAGCATAACAGAGTGACTGCAGTCAATCATAATTTAATTCTACGTTTAAAAATAAGAGTATCAGTTGGATTGTCTATAACACAAAGGATAAATGCTTGACGTGATGGGTACCCCATTTACTCTGATGTGATAATTACACATTTTATGCCTATATCAAAATAATTAATGTATTCCATAAATACATACACCTACTATGTACCCACAAAAATTAAAAATAAAAAGATAACTTTAAAAAACAAATTAATATATTCAGAGATAATTGCAAAATATTACATTAATAAAAGAGTCTATAAAGAAGGAGCAATCAGAAAGCAAGAACGCTCAAAGACCAAGAATGTGACTCCTTCTATGTACAAGCAAATCAATTAAAGACTAAAAAGCAATATTGTCAAAAACTTACAGACTTTAGAATATAAAGGCAAAAAGGATAAAAATCTTTTTTAAAAAATCAAGGATAAAAAAGACAAATCTAGGGATCTGCATTCACTAAACAGAATCTTAAAGAAATAATAGAACAAATTCAAGACAAGGAAATTATAATTTAAAAAATAGAAGACAATTATCTAAATCTGAAGAAGGATGTGAGTACTCAGCTGAAGAGTTCTACCATAAAATTTGAGAACAAAAAGGATAAAGTAACCTAAAAATGCCTGTGTTGAGGGGAAAAACCAAGTCTACGACCATCATTATGACTATTAAAGGATAATCTGGTCTTTCAGGCACAGGTGAAATCGTGCATACCTGCTTTCTTAAAGTTGAGCATGGCTACTTCAGTTGTGGCCAACGAAATGTGAAAGTGATGGATACCCTTTTGGATGAAGCCTTTAAAGCTAATGTGCAGTTTACTCTCATGATCTCTCTGCTACAGACCAGCCATCCTCCAGGTGGCAAAGGTTCTCTCATATTGATTCTGCTGTGGCATAGCATGGAGCAAAACCCAAGGCTGACTTGTGATGGTGACATACGGTAATCAATCAATAAATTTTGTTGTTTTAGGCCACACAGATTTGTGGTTGTCAATTTGTGGTTGTCACTGCATATGGATCTTACTACTACATCACATACAAAGGAAGGACAATAAAATTGCCACTAGACTTCTCATCCCAAACACTGGATACTAGAAAACAGTGAAATAATACCTTCTAAATTCAGAGGGAAATGATTGTTAATCTAGAATGTGCAATCCTACCAAATGATTGTAGGCAAAATAAGGATATTGTCAGACATGAAAGAACTTAAAATTTTATCTCATATGTTCTTTCCTAAGATGTTACTTGGGGATGTGTTTAGTAAAACAAGAATGATTCAGAATAATTTTACTGTAGAAATTGATGATTGAGATATCAAAAACACTTTGAGAACAATTATGGGGAGCAGTTAAGATGGATTGGCTTCCATTAGAAAATTGTCTCTTGCTTCTTTAGGGAGCTGACCTAACCTAAAATCATTTCTCCAGAGCAAGACTGGAAGAGGAAACTTTAGAGGTTGTTATGTCAGTAATAGCATTCAAACTATCAGTTGTGTCACCTGACCTTCCCCCTAGAATTCTAGGTGGAGAAGATTGAGGAAGCAATGAGAAGAATTACACAAGGAAGAATCTGTTTGAAAAACCACTCTATTCTGTCATTCTGTTAATTCAAAAAATATTTTTGAGCACATACTGTATACTAATCCTTGCATACGGTACAAGGGAATTCAGAAAACAATAAAACAAAGTCTCTGCTTTCAAGGTACTCACAATCTTTCAGGCAAGTTTGGTTCCCATAAGCCAAACACCATGCAAAGTTATACTGATAAAATCAAGGTAGGTCTAAGAGAAAGGAGGCGAGAGGAGGAGAAATTAATTCTGTGTAGTGAAAGGAAGAGGTATTCTGGAATCCTCAAAACTTTCAGAAAGGCCTGAGTTTCTAGATAAAGTTGCAGCTGAATCTGGCATCCTTTGGTTTTCATCAGTTTCCTTTTTTGCTTAAGCCCGTTTGTGTTTTCTGTCACTTGCAAACAAAGTTCTCTAACTGAAGGAATTCTATGCTAAACAGAAGGAGAAAGAGAGTTAGTCAAAGAACTTCTAGTGAAAAAACAGCAAGTAGGAGAAGTAAGTCCAAAGAAGCAGGAAGGAACTACCTAGAAAGCCAACTAAGACAGCCTCCTGTGAGAAAGGAAGGTGCATGGAATTCACAAACAGACTCTAAGTCAGAAAAAGCAGCAAGGACTGGAAAAGAATTCACACAGGTCACAGTGGAGTGTGTTAAGGTGATGCTGAAACTGGAAAATAAACTCATGAGAATAGAATGAGAGTCTTACTGGTGTGGGGGATGGGGTGGAGCCCAATTACAGATAGTCACAGTGCTCATTGAATGTATAATGTAAACATACTTGGAAATAATTTAGTAATTTGTTACAGCAAATGAGATGTTAGAATGAAAGTGTGGTTATGGTTGATATGCTTGTACTCTAAATAGAATCGATTTATGGTTAATAGAATGATTCGTGTGAGCAATATCGCTGGCTCGTTCTCCTACAATGTGTGTCAGTAGACAAGGAACAATAGCCTAACTTTCCAGCACTTCTGTATTTTAGAAGTAACAAGTGGCAAGCCTCACTCTCTTGCCCCATATATATATGAGGGAATGAGCAAGGAATTTCACTTCCTTGCACTCATGTCTGAGAGAAGAGATGGAATGATGGGCCGAGATTAATACGATGATATTTATTTAGTGTAAATATAAAACCCTGAGTTTCAGGTAAAAATGCAAAACAAATAAGGACAGATGCAGGGAGATTCTCTGAAAGAGACCTTGAGTATTTAGCGAACCACAATTCAAAATTGAATTGTCTGTGGGGACATGACAGGAAAAGGCATTTGTGGTGGGTTCTGACTGCAAGAGAGGCTGAGGAAGAGGAGAATGAATGACTTAGCTAGATGGATAAATTGGCTTCAGGTCACGGGGATCATGAATGCCTAGCTCAGCGTTTTCCCATCAATCCTGTGGACAAAAGAGAAATGAAGAAAAAGCATTGAGAATGCAAGGCCACGAAAGAAATGAAAGTGGCAAATTCGAGCCTCTTGGGTTACGTGAAAATGCCTAAAAGCGAGCTAACTTCTGAAAGCAGCCCTGCTTGAAAAGCCTCAGCTATCTGGGGGCCCCGCCCGGCCGTCAGTAAGCTCCACCCCTCGCCAGACTCCGCCCCCAAGCCCGAAGAGTCTGGGAGCTGCCCCAATCCCGAGGCCCGGTTTAGCCTAACTCCACCCCCGGCCGTCATGCCTCGCCTCTCTGTTTCCGTGGAGACGCTCTCGGCGTCCCCTGTCTCCGCTCCGGCGGAGCCAGGCTTCGGAATCACTGAGAGAGGAGGGGGCAGCGCCAACGCCCAGCACCTGCCGCCGGTGGGGGACTGACTTCGGCGGAACGGAAAACTGGAGTTGTTTCCCTGGGCCAGTGCACCGAGGTTCGTGACGGCAGGGGCGAGGTTGGGACCGGACTTCCTCAGCTCCTTGGAGAGGCAGGCTGTTCTTCAGGCAGCCCCTTCCCTGACCCCTACAGCCAGCCCTTCCTCCATCAGTCTTTCTCAAGCTTCCTCAGTCCAGGCCCTCGCCACTTACCTCAATAAACGAATTGAAAGAGAAGTAGGGAAAGGCGCCAGTTCCTCTTGCTCCCCAGTTCACCTGACCCTCTGAGGGGAGTGAAAAACTAGGCATAGGATAAGTCCTTTAGTCCTGTTGAGAACTAGGTGGGAACAGAAAGGGAACTGAGATGCTCTCCGTTTTTGGCAAAGATAACTGTATCTCGTAAATTTGAGAGAACAAATGGTTATCCCTAATGTCACATTTGTATTGAAATACATCAATACATATACATATTTCAGATGTTTTGGCATTTCACTGATTTAGTGATTAGTTTCTCTCATAGGATCTATACTTGGGGATTTTCTTTAAAAGTTCATCTAAACTTAGATGGTAGGAAGTATTTGTTGTAAGAGTGAATCTTATTCCATGACTTGGAGCGGGGAGAGGAGTTACACTACTGAATGATTTTAAATTTTTCTTCTTTGCTATTATTCTTTGCTTCCTGATTTTCAGGCTGAAGTCTATAAGCCTGGAGAGACCATCAGCAGTAATCTGCAAATGTAAGTCACGTGAAATATGGCTTGCCTTCAAACTCATTTCCTGCTTGATTTTGTGATTTAGCCATCAATGTCAGCTGGTAGGAAATGTGTGTTTTCTATTTATTTTACTAAACAACCTATCTACCCATGAGAGAGTGCCAGAAGTGTCCAAAAATTATGATACCGAGAATAAACATTATTACTGACTCTTTATAAACTTAATTATGTTTTTTTTTTTACTTAGGGAGCATAATTAGTGATATTTCTTCTGTAGTTTTCATTAAACTTTCATAGTAAAAGAGCTTGGATAATATGAAAAGTTTTAATTCTTATGAATGATTTTTAGTAAAATCCTACTTGTTTTGAACTCGTGATGATGTATAATAAACTTGCTTACTGTGGTTTACTGGCTTTATTTCTCTAATCTCAGTTTTTACTCCAAAGTGACTGAACCCTGCAGACACTGGTCAGCCTCAGACATAGTCATTCTCCAAGTAGCCTCCATTTACATAGTAGTAGGTCTCCCTCCTTTGTGTTTCCTGATAAAGGCATCTCTGGGGATAGAGGGCAGGAGAGTTACTCTTTGAAGAATTTTACTTGGGGGCCAAAAATTTAAGCTCACACCATGGGACACATTCAGCCTGACCTAGCACTCTCAAACCTTTCATCCTGTATTTCTCCATTTTCATTTGTCTTTGCATGTGGGGGCCAAACTTAGAGATTGTAGCTGTGATACAAGAGCCAACCAGCAGATCAAAGAGTACACCAAATTTCTTCTGAATACCAACAGTGGAATGGCTTCAGGCGGCCTTTTGATCTTTGTCTCAGCACCCGATGATGCCACACTGTAGCACTGCCCACTTGCTAGCACTGGCGGAGGTTCCTGTGGGTCCTCCTAACAGGCTGATTCAGCCTGAGCTCCTGGGGCTAAGCTCATTTGGTAGCAGCCAAAGAGGTATCTTTCATTCTTCTTCTTTCTTACTCACCTGAACCTGAGCAATTTCCCTTCCTGCAGCCACACCATCTTGTGTGTTTTCCCCTGAGATGTTGATCTGGGAGAACCCTAAGGAGGTGCCATAACTAGTGGTGATATGCTCCATTTATGCTACAGGCCTGGGTCAGTCACCTCATAGCACTAGTCCCATTCTTCATTGTTGAGTCTAAATTGGAGCTCACATGGGAACTGAGAATGCTGTCTGACCAACACCAGGAAAATGATGCAACTCATATTAACAAAGACCAAAAGGCTTTCTTTACAGGTATTTAATTTAATGGAAGTACTGCAAACCCTGCTTGAACTTGTAAGGCATAAAAGATGGCAATTACTTAGATAAGAAACTAATTTGTTACAGGACCCCTTTAAATATTTGCTGCATTCAAAATATTAACTCTGTCATAAAATTCAGATCACACATTATCTGTTGTGTAAAACAAAATACCTTATGTGGCCACGTATTGATTCTGAGAAACAAAATTCACTTTCCCGATGGGCATAGGTAAGGTAGGATGTGGGGTTCAGAAACAAAGAGAAAGCCTGTTCAACTTCCATCCTGACTCTAAGCTTAAACTGTCCAACATAGATTGATTGAGGGATATTTTTTCCAACATGCTTTTTTTTTTCCACTTTATCATTCAGCTCTGATAACTTTTTTTCCACTTTATCATTCAGCTCTGACCACCCCCCATTCAGAGTTTGTGCCTTGAGGCTTGCCAGCAGGGCTTGCAGTACTTACATTAAACTAAATTTAAGAGTAAAGGTGCTCCTGCTGCTAATGTTCTCAGATCAGAGGAGAGCAAAATGAAGGAACTGGCAGCTGAAACTTTAATGGTAGGAAACGTTGACTCAGAATTTTGAAAAAAAAAAAAAAAAAAAAAAAAAAAAGCACAGTTGATCTGTATGACAAAGAAGACATATCCCTCTCCATGTATGTCATTTGCATTTGGTTTCTATTCCATGCTTACATTTTCTAACAAAAATCATCGAACTCAAGTAAACATCAAAAAGGATAAATTTTATATAACATGCTGGTATGCCAACTTTGGTGGGGAGTTATACGCACCTGGATGAGCTATCTTGGCTGGATCAGCACCTCTGGGGGCTGCTCTCTTTTATCTGTCTACAAATAGCTGGATGTTCTTAGTATTCAAGGAAATTGCAAGCACTGTTCCTCATTTTGAAGCTCCTGGGTGAACTCTTCAAAGACCCCTGCAATTATGAAGAGATTACCCTGGCCCCAGTGCCCACTGCATAATGCTTTGGCAAGTAAAGTGGGGCTTTTAGAAAAGAGTCTAAAATTTATAGAGGATGGAATGCCCCAAATGAGGCAAACTTAGTTGTTTTCTTCTCTCCCTTTTTAAATTTACTAGGGCTACACTGGTGTGGGTTAAGAACTTAGATGATTCCGATGTTCACTGTAACATTGGAAGACTCTGGAACTCTGTGGAAAAGTCTTCACAGCTCCTCTGAAGTAAGCTCTTGGGAGGCCCGTTTGGGGAGCTTTGGTGTCCCTTCAAACCTCACATGAGTTATAACTTCTTACCATATGCTCTGTATGATGCTGCCATTTAGTAAGTTCTTGTTATTCCAGTAACTCAACTGTTTAATATAACATCTAATCAGAAAAATAGATTTTTTAAATTAAAAAAATTGTCATTACGTTATGAAGTTATAAAGGGTAATATAGTATGTTTCTAATGTTTAGTCTGTAGGAGAGGACTAACATTTGCTGTTTAGATTGTGCACTTTAAAGCATAGACCCTTTAAAGGGTAGACCCTTTGCTTTCCAATTAATGTTCATTAACTTCCACTCTTAATGCCTTAACTGCATAAAATAAGTGGGCATTTTGTTTCATAGATCATATCATGCCTTGATAAACTGGTAGTACTAGGATTCTGTTATATTTAAAATAAACCACTGATCTCCATTAGAATTCTCTTTAATTATGTAAAAAATTATTTTTAGGCCAGGATAATAATCTTTTTCAGTAACACAAAGCTGTCTATTTCTACACTGAATTTCAGAAGATTTTCTCTCGTCTTAGTGCTTCTGCACCCCTACCTCCACCATGGCTTTGTAGCACTAGAGGAATATTGTGTCTTAGCTATCCACAGGTGGTTCTATTTCAGGTTTGACTACATCTCTCCTTCTCTACTCCTACCTAAGCCACCACTCTCTCTCCCCTGTATTTCACAGGAGGTTTTGGGCTGGCCTCTCTGCTGTCTACCCTTTCCCCCACTACAGTCTAACCTGAAAGAAAAACTCAGAGTGATTTTTTCAGGATGCAAGTCAGATCGTGTCAATTCTATGCTCTGTATCCTCCAATGGATTCTTACCTCAATAAGAATAAAAGCCAGTTTTTAGAGTAACCATCAAGACATTACACTATTGGGACACCGAACAAAATTCTCCATAACGTCTTTGAGCTTGTCTCCTTCTGCTTTTACTCATCCCTTTGCCATTGGTGAGCATCTGGGTAGTTTCTAGTGCTCTGCTTTGTTTTCCAGCAGAGAATCTTATCAACATCTGAGGTTCTATATATTTTGCTTATTTGTTTAGTGTCTTTCTCCCTATTTACCCCCATACTGCAAAGTCTGTGAAATCAGAGAGTTTTGTCTTTTTCTTCACTGCTGTATCTTTGGCACCTAGAACAGTGCCTGGCACCAAATAGGAGCTCATTAAATATCTGCTGAATATATTCAAGGCCCAGATTTTATTGTGATTTTCCCTGGGTCACACAGGTAGTAATGCTGAAGATAAGCCATTTAAAACCTAAAACAAGCCTTTCAGCTTCTTGGTGAAGCTAAGAGTACAGGTCAAACCTGGTGGACATAGACGGGGTGGGATCAGGAGCCCCTGGCCTTTTGGATGCCTCTCTATTTAACAGAAGCATGGGTTCTTTTGTATCTGACAGCCCTTGCACCATGTAACAATTTTTCTATTCTAAGTTCACAGATGTCATGTCCACACTTCTTCCTCTTTGGAATAGGATTTAGATAATTTGATTTTATAGACTTGCCTTCCTAATTGCTCACCACTCTGGCACACTGCATTTTCCAAAAAGGGCTGCAATAATATCTCCCATGCCATATTCTTTTATTATAATGAAACTTTGACACTCTCCTATCAATAGGTGGTTCTGTATTCATTTGCCTTGAATCTGGGTGAACTTGTTATTACAGTAGAAGTGGATGCTATGTGACTTCCAAGGTTAGACCCTAAAAGGGGATAAAGCTTCTGCCTGGCTTTTCTCTAAAATACTTGCCTTTGGAGCCTGGAGCTGCTATATAAGAAGTCTTAGGTTGCCATGATGTGAGGGAGTCCATGCCACATGAGGAGACCACATGTGTGAGTTCTGGCAGATAGCCCCAGTTGAGTCCCAGCTAACAGCATCAACCACTAGAAAAGTGAGTGAAGACACTTCAAGGTGATTCCTGTCCCCTGTCATTGGGTTACTACAGCTTCTGAGTTTTCTCAGCAGAGGCTCCCATCATCATGGAGGAGAAAAAATCCATGCCTATGATACCCTGTCCTTATTCCTGAACCATGTAAAGTGTGAGATAAAGTTGTTTTAAACAACTTTTAAAAAACAGTACATTTTGAAGTGATTCATTATATTGTTATGGCTGTGTGCTTTCTCAGGGTAGCTGTCTCCTTGTTGAGAATTGTTCTTATCATCTATCACATCTAAGGGAAAGCCTTTATTTGTGAGCGATAAGGCTTTTAGAAAACAGCAAGTATAAGCAATTTTCAATTATTGATTGTAACAGGAAAGCAACACATAAACATTGGAAATCCATAGCTATCCTTAAAATCTTTATTCTTTAATTGCAATCATGTCCCTTACAAAACTCTTACCAAAGATGCCAACTGAACCATCAATGCATTTATCAAATTTTCTTCTTATCTACTTTGTGCTGAAGATACAGACAAATAATAAGTTGGCCAAAAAGCAGACAATGGAAGAAAATAATGAGAGAAGCAACCTGCAGAATCCACTCACTGAGCATGATTCCCGAATAACACAGCTGTAGCACTACACATAGGCATTCTCAACTAAGATGACAGACTGTAAATCTCTAATAATGTCTTAAAGGATCCTTTGAAAGATTTATTCCTTAAAATACAATTTCTACTTATTTCTTTTTGTAGTCCGAAATGACCACCCTGCCCCCACTGCCCATGACACGCCCGAAGCTTACAGCCTTAGCCAGACAGAAGCTGCCTTGCTCCTCCAGAAAAATTCCAAGGTACGTGCCCCTGGTTTTTACTTATTTTCCTACAGAAGGAATTTTCTGTAATAAGAAATGTCAATAATGTATCTCAGAAAATAAAATCATTTCAAGAGAAGAGAAAAATGCCTTGTTATATTGAGAATATTGAAATCTGCTGTTTCAAAAGGATTTATGAACCACATTCAAATACTGCAAATATATTTATTTATTTATTAACCTAGTGCTTATTTCATCATTTTATTTCCTGTTGCAATTATATCATGGTTCCCGTAGAGTTTTGGAGATAAGTTTCCTGTTTTAAATGTGTATGGAGAACAGAAAGCAGAAGCTTTGGGAATGAAAGGTGTAAAGCTTTTTTCTTTTTAAGGCAGAGTCTTACTCTGTCACCTAGGCGGGAGTGCAGTGGTGTGATCTCAGCTCACTGCAATCTCTGCCTCCTGAGTTCAAGCAATTATCGTGCCTCAGCCTCCTGAGTAGCTGGGACCACAGGCACGCAGCACTATGCCCAGCTAAGTTTTTGTATTTTTAGTAGAGACAGGATTCACCATGTTGGTCAGGCTGGTCTTGAACTCCTGGCCTCAAGTGATTCACCCGCCTTGGCCTCCCCAAATGCTGGGATTGTAGGGATGAGCCGCCATGCCCAGACTGAAAGGTGTAATGCTTTTAATCTACAAGGTCCCAAGGGCTGACTTCTGTTTTGGAAGAAGGAGGGTAGAGCCTTACTTGTAGGGTAGATTGGCAGGCAAGAATCAGCTCCTGAAATGATGCTGGGGCTTGAAAATGCATCATCAAACTGCTGCTGCCCATGAATGGCTGCTGAGCTACTCAAATTGTCACTGAGGAAATGCAGGACAGAGAAATTGATACATTTTGTCATAATTATCATATTAACTGATTGTGCTATTTTGAAATTGCCATTTGTAATTCTATTGACTTTTAGTAACATACATATTAGTTACCAATATAAATAGTTTGCATACGTAGGTTTATTTTCTTTATATGCCTACTTTTCCATTCCTGCAAGGCATAATGATCAAAGTATTAGGAGGTTTCTTTGTTCTCATGCCTCATTTTTAGTATTTCTAGGAAATACCAAAGCCCCTGGAACAAAATAAATACATTCAGCTAAACTAACATAAAAATTCTTTAAAAATAGTAAATCAAAATTTTCTTTTCCTATAGCGGAGAAATCTTTCAATGAATGCATAATTCATGTGTGTACACTATAATATATATACATACATATTTTTGTTTTACTTTTGAATAATGTAAAATATTTATGAAGTCTGAAAAAGCTTATTCTTTCTGTCTTTTTAAAGGATTTAATTTATATTTTGTTTTCAAGGTGAGCAAAAGCATAGCCAAATCTCATATCCTTAGGTTAGGATGAGTTTTAAAGAAAACGTTTTCTTGTATTCATTTTATTGAAGAAAAATATTTTTATCATACCCACAAAAGGCAAAGTTTGTATCAACATTCTTTAATAGCTTCTGAATAAAACACTGATATTTGTTTAGTTCCATATCAATCATCATAGTTATGAGAGGTTGATAGCATGCTTATTTTTAAAGGTGCAAAAGGGTGTGAAGAATGAACGCACTACAAGTATAATACATTTTCAATAAGGGCTTCTTAAAATCATTTTGCACCTTGAACCTTTAATAATTTGAGTTTTATGTGTGATTAAAAAAACTATTCAAAGAACATTTCAGGACAAAATTGAGTAATGTTTGGAATAAATTCACGTTACACATTTGAATCAAACAGGTGTTCTTGGCTCAGGATTCTGTGCCAAACAATATATAACTTCAGCAGTTGGAAAGTTACACCACGAAAAAATGTGAGCAAAATAGAAGGTCTTGTAAGCTTTGAGAAGACTCTTGAGTAGAAAGTGAATTATTTCAAGGTGTTGGTGTTTTATTTGTTTACACACTGGGTTTAATATTCTTCCTTATCATTTTCCATTCAGGAAAGATAAAATTTTGAAATGATCAACCAACGACCTAACTCTATAGCTATTGCGTTTATTACATATGGTATTATACCCTGAATATTTCTATTCTCCTGGTGGCATTTTATGTGTTTGGTAGCTTTTCAACTTGATAAGGCTGTGCTTTATTATTTCTTTCTATTTCATTTAGGTCTCAATTGATCAAAGAAAAAGATGACATAGATCATTATCTAGAGGTAAATTTCAAAGGATTATCAAAAGAGGAAGTTGCTGCGTAAGTACAACCTTTAAAGGTACTTTAATATAAAGTTTGTTTCTTTTGTCTTGATTCTTTATTGAAATTTCAATTTTCCTGTGTAATATACTTTTTCATTGGAACATGGCATTTAAAAATTAAAGCTCATATTAAATAGTGATAAGTCATGTCTATTGATCTCACACATATCAAAGTCTTTAATTTTATGGCTCTCAAAATTCCCATATTTACCAAGATATTATACTATCACATTTGCAATATTTAGTTAAGTCTGTGCTATTAATTGCTTGTTAACCTTCATTTTAAGGTGTGTTGTCTCCATGGGAAAGAAAAAAGCTTTAAGAAACAGATTTATATATCTTTTCTCCTGGTGATTAAAGAAAAAGAAACACCTTACTAATGTACTAATATGTCTCCTTTTCCACCCAAGCACTCACAAAAGAACCAATGGATCATACTTTATTGGTTAATTTTTAAATAATTCCAAATTGTCTAGATTTATTTTTTAGATGAACGATACAAACTTTGACATTTTATCACCAGTTAGAATCTAATTTATGGGATGAATAAAAGCAGTACAAAAATCAATGTAGGTTAGTGAGAAATGAATAGAAACTTAGAATAATAGCTAAACAAGTTTAATATTTCTTACCTATACTTAGTGGCTCTGTTATCACATCTTTTCATGTAAGTATTGAAAAATGGAAATCTTGTAAATTTACACGTATCTTATGGAATTCATTAATTGTTTCAATTAAAATATTTTATGCAACAAATGTTTGTAAAAGATTCTCTCTATTAATTTGTCTAATGCTGTGGGATTCTACTGAAAGGGTGTTGCTAATGATATTTTGGTGTAGGTTTGATATATTCTAAAGTTCTAAGTCTCTTGGTGTTTTCCATTTTATCAGATATTATCTTTGTCAATTTGCATATAACATGGAAAAACACAGTCATTTATTTTGTCAATAACTACTTTATAGAATGACAAAATTTTACAGTAGCTGTAATCACTCACTTCTGCAGAGCTCTATAGACTACCATGTATATGGTACGTGGGATTTTTGGCTAAATGCTATTCTGATGATTAATTATTTAACTTTCCGTGATAAACTGTTAGATAAAATTTAAGGCCAATATTGTATTATAGTACAACTACTTCTTAAAAGAAAAATATATGTATGCCGTATTTGGATTCTGATTTAAATATTATATCCAAATAGTTTTAATTGGCTTAATAATTGGAATTAAATTAAAAACTAAACATGCTACACATAATTTCAACAAACTAGAAGTCCATATACTAAAAGTCTACTGACATTTAAGTTTTCAGTGCAGGCTGAAGAAAAATTTTATCTAAGACAATGCAAAATAGGCTATAGTGATGAGTATTCTCTTAATATTATTTTTCCACTAAAGATACTGCCAAATTGATTTCAAATTCATCATTACACTATTGACAACAGTAACTCTGGGTAATTCTCAGGCCTTACTACAATATTCTCCTTAAAGTTTCCTGCACTTCAGTGCTTTCTTAGACCAAAGCTCTTTCTGTAAGATAGTGGATGCAAATCATTAGTATGGAGATAGCTTGTACACAGGTCATTATTATGCTTTTGATTGATACACATTCTAGACCTTGCCCTAGACAGACTAATTGAATAGCATAAAAAGGAGAAAATTGATGAATGATTTCAGCATCTCCCAGCAATGCCCAGCAGGTGCCATGAAGAATTATGCATAGTCTGTTAGCCAGGGAATTACTGCATCAAACTCTTTATAGCCATTCAGCTCTAAAAAGATAAATTGATCAACAAACATTTATTAAGTACTCACTTTATATCTAATACTAGGTTTTTCACAGTGGGAGAGACAATGATATTTTATTGTAAAATACTTGGCCCCATCCTGGAGCCTTAACATCTATTTGAGACAATAAGACCTATGAGCAGGAGACAAATATGAAATGATCGAGTGCCGGCTGTACCGTGAGGTGCAGCCTAGAGGTCAAGAAAAAATCAGAGAAGACTAAGACGATAGGATAGAACTTCTCAAGGAAAATAGATTTTGAGTTTGGCTCCCTGTCTGGTTGCATTATAAAATTATCTAACTGGTAGTCATAGATCTTCAGTATATGAAAATGTAATGGGTAGAAATGGAAGAATCAAATCAGGCAAAAACAATGTCTAAGATATATCCTCAAATCCCTCTCTCTACTGCCTTATTCGTGTCTTTAAGATGGTGATCGATATATTTGTGTATACTCATTAATACAATTGATGTACACTGGCTTTGATATCCCATAGTACACATATGCTCTGTCTAGTTTCAAAATAACCTCTCATCATGTACCCCAAAATATGCCAACCTAAACTCACATGCTGTGACTTTCCTCCCAATGCGATGGGTGGAGAGTTCCTACTGTCATCTAAGCATGGTCCCTCTGCTTGTGCTCTGCATCTCATCCCCTTACCTGCTCCCAAGACTTAACCTCCTGCAGTTAAATTTGCTTTTCTCCTACACCATCAATTTCTCCTTTTTCATTGGATCGATCTCACTGGTATTCATTTCTACTCAAACTTTTTTCTTGACATCTTATCCCCTTCCAGGTTCTACCCCATTTTGATCTACCCAAGACAGCAAGAAAAGTGCTGTCTTAATATTTTCACATTTCATTTTTGCCTCAGTTGACTCTAAATAGGTTTCCAGCCCCCATACTTACTGAAATGCCTCTTTAGGGTCACCCATGACCCCTATTTTTATCACATCTAATAGTTATGTTTCTGTTCCCAGCTTCCTAGATGTCTTCACAGCATTTGACCAAGTTGAACGCTCTCATCTTCTTGAACATTTTGTGCTTGTGACTTTCGGGATGCCATATTCTGTGGTTTTTCTCCACACTGGAGCACTTCAGTCTTCTTTGCAGGCTGCTTTCTCTTTCCAAACTCTCAGTGGTGAGGTGCCCAAAGGCTGGGTCCTAGGTGCACTTCAGCCACACTCTCAACCTGGACCCAGTCTTACAGCTTTAAACATTAGCAATAACCCAACGGCTACTCAATTTATAAATCCAGCACTGGCCTCTCCATCAAGCTGAAAGTTTTTAGATCCAATTGCCTCCTTGATGTGTCTACTTGGATATATCACAGACATCCCAAGGTTAATATAACCCAAAACTGGACTCTTGCTTCACCCCTACTCCTCTCTTATCCCCAATATTCGTCCCACAGCCTTTCCTCCATTCAGCAAATAACATCAAGGCAGCCTTGAGTCTTACCTTGCTTACTGCTACCCCCCTCTAATCCATCAGTATGCCCGATCAGCTACAACTCCAAAATGTATCCCGTGTTCATCTCCTGGTCTTCATTGCAGAGCTGCCATCATGTCTGCTAAGATCGCTTAAATGGTCATATAACTGCTCTTCCCACACCCACTCTCACTCCACCACACTCCTGCTAGAGTGGTCTTTTGAAAACATTAGATCATGACATTCCCCTGCTTAAAATCTGCCAATAGCTTCCCATTCTTCACCTGACCTGAAGCTGTGCATGGTCTGGACTTTACTGACCTCTCTGACCTTCTCTCTTTCTCTCCACCACTCTCTACTCCCAATGTGGCCTTATTGCTGACACTTCTTCTTATGCAGGTGTCAACTTGAATGTGACCTCCACAGTGAGCCGTTTCTTGACCTCATAATACAATGTAAATGAGTAAGCAAGCAGGATAAGCTAACATGTAGTTGTCACTGGAATGGCCAAACCCAAGTGATGGGGGTTTATTTTACTTGGGAATGGTAGAATCGTTCAAAGGCAAAAGGCTTCTGGGTTTTGTATCATCTACCTTCACAGAAGAAATTTCAGTATGCTTCGTTACTTTCTAAGTGACTAGATTATTGTTGTGCCTTATAGGTGCATTTAAAAAAATCAAATCCATTGTATTCACATTCCATATTTGATAATGATGATTTGACTTTAAACTTCAAAGTCAAATTTGACTTAGCAGTGAACTTCAAATGGTTCACTGCTACTATCTAACTGATCTTTAACAAGTACAGACAGTCATGTCCGAAGAGTTTCTGTACTTCTGTACTTCGGATTTTTAATTCTGTATAATATTATCAGAATGCATTATTGTTTTCAAAAAGAACTTAAAATATCACTTATTATCATATCATAATTACTTTGAGTAGCTAAGTAATAAAAGAGTCATTTATAGATTCAAATAAACATTTCTAGAGGGCACTTTACAGCTTTAGCTATGTATGTGAGGAAACAAAATCATCTGGGGACAGAGTGTGTTAATCTGCTCAATATTATTTTCTGCTTCAGATATGAAGTTCTATTATGCAGAAGGATATATTTGGTTCAAAATTGTGGGCATCTCTAAGATATTACTTTCTTTCCGAACATCTTATTTTTAGCATCATCAGTGGATGTTTATTGAGCATCACTTTGTCAGCAAGCTTAGTGGCAGTTAGGACTGTTCATTACTATATTCAGTGAGTTTGGGCTGTAAAGAAACAAAGAACAATTTACTTCATATCTTTTTTTTTTTTTTGAGACGGAGTCTCGGTCTGTCACCCAGACTGGAGTGCAGTGGTGCGATCTCAGCTCACTGCAAGCTCTGCTTCCCAGGTTCAAGCCATTCTCCTGCTTCAGCCTCCCAAGTAGCTGGGACTACAGGCGTCCGCCACCACGCCTGGCTAATTTTTTTTGTATTTTTAGTAGAGACGGGGTTTCACCATGTTGGCCAGGATGGTCTCTATCTCCTGACCTTGTGATCCACCCACTTCAGCCTCCCAAAGTGCTTGGACTACAGGCGTGAACCACCGCGCCTGGCCTACTTTCATATCTTTTAAAGCCTTTTTCTCCTGCCTCATTTTGAATTGTATTATACTTACTCAAAGTAAATTAGTGTTTTGCCAGTCCACATTTTGTTTTTTGCAGATTAGGTTTTTATCTTGAATCTCAAAATTTTTGTCCAAAGATGCTTTTATGAACTACAAATATACTTTTTATATGCAAATCTACCTTCTGGATTTGCACAATGCCCTGGCACTCAAACATATGGAGCAAGATGAAGCCATTTATTTAAGATACAATATTTCATAATTCTTTATTGGAAGTTAGATCCTTTCAAGTGTGCTCTTCCTCTGCTTCATTCATTTTTGTTTACTTTTGAAAATGTTTGTGAAATCATTTTGGTTTCTCTTAAAAAAGTTTGCTCTTTGGTAAAGTAATAAATTCTCTATGGAGGTTTGTAAATTAACTTCCTGAAGAAGTCAGTTGCCAAGCAAATGTTTACATGACTAATCTCCAGATGAGACAGAGATAGGTGGGCAGGAGAAGGAAGAACCCCTGTTTCCTGCTAGGAAAAGAAGATTTTGGTGCTCTAAAATGAAGAGAAAATTTCTTCTTTCTCATGAATTTTTTTAAAAATAAGCGATTACAGAGAATGCAGATGGGAAGAGAGAAGGAATTGCCACTTCTTTTTGAAAAAATTCTGGCATTGTCTTCGAGATCAGATCTCTAGGATGTGAAACCAGGAATGAAAAGATCGTTTTGCCATGATTTAAAGGAAAAGGAAGAAAGAAAAGAAAGAGAAGGAAGGGAAGAAGAAGAAAAAGCAGAAAGAAGAAGGGGGAAAAGACTGATATCAGTAAAGTTTAAAATTGGGGAATTTAAAAAATGTAGTTGGAAGGAGCTTTTTTAAAAACAAAACAAGACAGAATAAAACAACAATGTTCACTAGGTACAAAAAAATGGTCTCAAATTTTCACCAAAACCAAATATAGAGATAAAAGAAAAGATTTCAAATGTCAACAGAACATAGAAATGCCAAGTTCTTAGGCGTTTATATCTTTGTGTCCTTTAGGAGTTTGCTTTAAAATGCTATTTTCACATATGGTGTTTAAGCTTACCAGCTCTAATAGACATTAAAAAAAGATGTCTCTAAGAGGAAAGCATGGGAATCATGACTAGCAGCTCTGGCTATTATAGGAGCTGATTCCTTCTGTGGTTGAAAACTTGGCTTTGTTATGTAATACCTGTATTGTCTTAAGGTTACCTGCTTTCTCCAATCTTTGCTTTCCACAACTATTTGGAGAGCATACTAACAAGAAATTCTTACAAGAAGTAAATGAGATTCTCTATATGAAACACGTGTAGACGACACTCAATTCAGACTATTATTAATTATCATTGCTCATTTTTCTTTGGCTTTTAAGCATTTATTAATAGTATAAATAACCTAAATATTTTGCATTAACTTAATGTGTTGATTTATGTAGTGATATTAATTTATCATTTCTCTTTATGTATAGTTATATCTTTTGCTTCGTACTAAGTATCATTTTCATCATGTTCTAAAGGCAGAGTTTTAAATAACATATATTTCAAACTTATAATACTAATCAGTGAGGGGACTTTTTTTTTTGTAGAGACAGGGTCTCACTATGTTGCCCAGATTGAACTTCAACTCCTGGCTTCATGCAGTCCTCTCACCTCAGCCTCCCAAAGTGCTGGCATTACAGCTGTGAGCCATCATGCCCAGCCAGTTTTTTTAAGAAAATTTCAAGTTGTAATAAAAACTTTTCAGAAATGTACAGATAAACTCGCAGTTTTAGAAATACAAAGAATATAGCTGAAGGATGTGGTTCTTCCTACAATAGCCCGTAAACCACAGTGCAAAATGCACTTCTCTATTTAAAAACCATTTGGGAAATTCCTTTTTCAGTGTCATAGGACAAAGTGATAAATAAAAAAAGATAAAAGGAGACAAGCACACAGGTACCACAGAGGATGAATCAGCCAGAACTGTCAGTCAGTGGGATAAACAATGATCCAGCCACATCACTCTCAATGTATGGGGCAAGATGGTTTTATTATGTTGAGTTTTGTCTTTGATAGTGTCTTCTTTCTGTATTAAGAAAACAGGGAAGATTAAAAACTATTTAGACCCTTTTCAAGTCTCCATTATGGCTAAAAAACAATCCTTAAAATTACTGAGGTTACTGCAACTATGGAGAAATCATCTCCCTGGCCTATACCCGTATCCTGTTCTGTTTTCTATATTGGAAATTGGAGATGTTGTAATAACCAGCATCACCATCTCACTGTTTAAAGCAAAACCAAGTTATGGATTCACAAGAACTCTTTTGCTTCACCAGGGTTTCCACAGATATTACCAGACCAGGGACTTTTCTGGGAAGCTTAATCAGGTGATGCCCACCTCCAGATTAGAAGGGAACAGCATTATCATTCTCTTTTATTTTTATTTTTTAATTCTCTTTTAAAATAAAAGCATTTAAATGTCTAGTTATAAGAAATAAAAAAGAGAATATAAGTTTGTAGGAGATGCTTTTCCTTGATAGTTTTTATTATTTGGAAGCTTTTAAAACTTCATGTTTGTATTTCAGTGATTCTCTGAGACCATTTAAAATATGATCACCCTTTCTTTGATCTAGGAAGGCAACTTATCAAGATATATATGTGTGTATATATATATATATATATATATATATATATATATGCACACACACATACAAATATATGTAGTGTGTATCTTCATAAATATATATATATATATTGTATGTGTGCATGTTTGTGTGTATATATGTATGTGTGTATTAGCATCTTCAAGCTCTGTGCTTTAACTATTAATCCCAATTTTCTACATACCACTATATAAAAATCTTTCAATATATTTTAAGTGCTTCTCTTTAAACCAAAGTGTAAGCATGTTAAGTCATATTAAATACAGGCATACCTTATTCTATTGCACTTTGCTGTATTGCACATCACAGATACTGTATAGCTAGAAAACCCAAATAGAGAAGCTTCTTCCTCTTCTTCCTTGCAATCCACACAGTGCAGGCAAAACTTGACAGTTCCTTCATAAGAAGAATATCAGGAACACATCACTAATTCAGATGTCAGATTTATATTAACCAACATCAGTATATGCATGCAAACCTTGACACAACAAAGAAAAGCTCCAGAAAAATAGCCTACATATTTTACTGTAAGGAGGGCTGTGGAGGCATCCTTAGGCCAAGTCTGTCGACTTAGACATGTATATAAAATTAGGTTTTCTTATTTAACTAGCTTGCCTATATTGCTTTTCATGGAAGCATCCTGTTTTTCCTACTTTAGGTAAATTAAATTTGTAAGGAAGAAGCTAAAATACTGAAATACTAGCTGACATGGGGAAGATAAAATAATTGGCCACTGTGAAAAGGACAGACTGTCTGGGGACAAGGGCAAGGCATGACTGGGCCCTGCAGCCACCCTTTTCAGTGTATTTACATTGTGTTGAAATTAAATAACAGAATTCATAACAAAGCATTTTTTTGTTGACCTTACTCTGTTTCATATGGCAGGGAAATGAATAATATATTTTAGAAAAGTTTTAATTATATGTTTTGCTTTATTAGTTTTTGTTTTAGTCTAGGTTTATATATTGAAAGATTTGTGTTGCTGGAAAATTTCCAATGTTGATTGCCTCTGTCCTTAAATTAATACAAATTGTTTATTAATTTACTTATTAATTAATTACTAGAGTATCTTCCAAAACTCTTAGATGATCAATAAGAATCTTTCCAAATCTCTTTTATGCTTTTTGGATTTTTAAAAAATTCCCTTCACATTGTTCCTAAGGGATAAAAGTTATTTGGTCAGAATAATTTCCAAAAAGCCTAAATTTTCTTCTAAGTATGCTAGGAAACCTTTGGCTCATTTTATGCAGGGAAATGATATGATATCACTTTATTTTAAAAGGATCACTCAAGGCTGTTGTGCTCTGTAGATATTTGACTGGGGAACACCCCAAGCAAAAGACATTGGTGGCTTGATCAGGGCAGATGTAGTAGAAATGATGAGAAGTGGTCTAATTTAGAATATATTCAAGTGACAGAGAGATCAGAGTTTACCGACGGAGTAAACATGGGAACTTAGTAAAGGAATAGATAAAAAATGACTCCTTCTGAACTGACCTGAGCAACTAGAGGGATGTCTTGTTCACTGCTGAGTCTCCAGCACCTATAACAGTATCCACATAGTAGGCACTCAAGAAATACTTTTTAATTAAGGCCAGTCTCATCCCAGCCTGTGCATACTGTTTCCAGGTTTAATTCCTTCCATTCCTGCTTTGAAATTCATCTTCTTGCAAAAATAATAGTAATGACTAATATTTGTAGAGCACTTTCTATGTTTCAGGTATTGTTTTAAGTGCCTCATATGTATTCATTCATTTAATTCACAAAAAGTATTTATTAGTTCAATTTACAGCTAAAAATTGATGCACAGAGATACTAAGTAACTTTCCCAAGGACACACACATAATAAGTAGAAGAGCTGACTTTGAATCTAGGCAGTCTGGGTCTAACACTCATTTTTGGAGCATTATACCATTCTGCCTCTGAAAATACTCAGGTCTTCATTAAACTGTGTTTTCTCTCATCTCTCATTCTTAGTGTATTTCCATTCTCTTGGCCTAGAATGATTTTTCTCCTTACTGTCTCATGATTCTTACTCATTCTTAAATGGCTCGACTGTATTAGATAAACTTGCTACTATCTTGTAATCTCCAGTGCACTTATAGCACTGTATTGCCATTGCAATACAGTATAATTGTTTCCTATACTTGACTACAAGCTTCAAGAGAGCTGAGGCCATTGCTGCTCTGCTCGTATGTGCATCATTGGTACTCTATTCATACAGTGCTTAGCTCACCTCACAGGAATGAGAACCCATGATCTTTTACCCCTTCATAGCCTTGCACATGTGTTCTGCCTGGAAAACCCTCTGCTTTCTCTCATGCCTTGTGTACTGGGCAAGCTTTTATCTTCCAGCTTCAACTTAACAGTTTCCTGCTTTGTGAGGCCTCCTTTGAAACACTTGGTAGAGAGCAGAACTCCTGTTTGAACTATCTTGATGGCCATTGACAGTCATGTACAAGTGTTTTATTTCCCCTTTATTAATATTTAACATACTATAGTATGTTCTATACTATGCATGTATATACTATGTACGTATGTTGTATGTATGTATTATAGTACAGATAGTATATAGATTGTGACTCATTAGTGGGTAGTGATTTTGACCCATTGGTTTGGGGGTCATGGCCAGGATTTAAAAAATGGAAAGAGAGTGTAGACAAATAGGATAGAAAAGAATGCATTGCATAGAGGAAAGCTAAATATTGGGAGGCTGCCACGTATAATGGAATAGAGCATGAATTTTTAAACCATACTCTCTGGTCTCCAGTCCCAGATTTACTCTCATTAACAAAGTAAATGGTTGACTTTGGGGAAGTTACTTAACCTTTCTGTACTTCAGTTACCTAATCTGAAAAAAATAATGATAATAGGACCTGTTTCCTAAAATAGTTATAATTAATTGAGTTAATAATTATAAACTGATTGGAACATTTTGCATATTTGTGCTTTTAAATATTGGTTTAATATATTACACTCACATTTATACATGTGCTGAACTGCAATGTAAGTGTCTTTTTTTTTCTTTTTTTTTTTTTTGAGATGGGGTCTTGCTCTGTTGCCCAGGCTGGAGTGCAGTGGCGCAATCTCCACCTCCTGGGTTTAAGCAATTCTCCTGCCTCAGCCTCCTGAGTAGGTGGAATTACAGGTGTGCACCACCACACTCAGCTAATTTTTGTATTTTTTCTTAATGTGGGTTGTCATAAGGAATGAACTCTGCTCTAGACTGGAGTCTTTGAAAGCAAGGATTGTGTTTTCTTCACCTTTTAGGCCTCTGACTTACATAAAATAACACTTTTTTGCTTGTTGACTTTCTTTCCAGAATGGATTAAAGAAACTTAAAGTTAAAACTTTGTAGGCTGGACGTGGTGGTTCGCGTCTGTAATCCCAGCACTTTGGGAGGCCGAGGTGGGTGGATCACCTGAGGTCAGGAATTTGAGACCAGCCTGGCCAACATGGTGAAACCCTGTCTCTACTAAAAATGTAAAAATTAGCCAGGCATGGTGGCACGCACCTGTAATCCCAGCTACTCAGGAGGCTGAGGCAGGAGAATTGCTTGAACCTGGGCAGTGAGCCAAGATTGCACCATTGCACTCTCCAGCCTGGGCGACAAGGCAGGACTCCGTCTCAAAACAAAAAACAAAAAACAAAAAAAAACCTTTGTATTACACAGCTGTCAGATTATAACTAGAAAATAGAAGGCAAATAAATAAAGTATGTAAATATGCTCCCCACTGGAATTACTACAGTTACTATGAGGGAACATTAAGTTTTTCTTTCAACTTCTGGGTAGACTGGGCAAAAAGGAAGATGCGAAGGACTACAGAATTCTCATTACCTGATGAAAAGACATACATCAGTTCTTTAAGAGAGACAAGCTTTTTCCTGATACTAAGCTCCAAAAGAAAGTTATTATATAATCTTATATAAGAAAAATGTGCACACCTAATGCAACAAAATAGTTATTTAGAGAGCTTGTCATAAATATTATATCCTCGTTAAGTTTTCTTTCAAACAAGATAGTAACAGGTAAAATAAATGATTATTGTGTGCTATTCTCTGTGTTAACTGGTCCTTAAAACAACCCTATGAACAATAACCCTTGTTATTACTCCCAGAGACGAAGGCATGGAGAGGTTAAGTAATGTGACAAAGGCAATCTATTGTTATAAAGAAGCAGAAGCAATGCAGTAGAAAAAAGGATGGTTCAAAGAGAGGAAGGAATGAATAAGCTGGAAAGAAAATGGATGACATATATTTGAAATCAATTTTCAGACTTTTCCAGTATTTCCAGGACTACCCTGGATCCAGAACCTCCCTTGGGGTTCAGTTCTACCAGAACTCAGTTGTTCTGCAATCATGATTCAGATTTCCATGAAATCATTTTACTTAAGCTTGTCTGAAACAATTTTTTATCCTATAATCAAAGTAGCCAAAGAAATGCATTGCTGATTAAGGGAATTGTTTTCTCAAAAGTTAGTTTGGCTTAAGGTTTTTCCACATCAATGTCAAGGTCAAGATAAATGACGAATCTCATTTCTTTTCTATATTTGAAATGGCCACACAGAAGTACAAAGGATAATAAATTCTTACCATGATAAGGAAGGAGAGAAAACAAATTAGAGATCTCAAAATTTCAGAAAGCAGTTGAAATATTACTATGGAAAAAAATGATATTTTATAATGATAAAAGGAGTTGGCTCATCAAGAGGACATAAGCCTAAATGTTTGTGCTTCTGATAGTAGAACTTCAAAAAAACATTAAACCAAAACTGATAGAAAGAAGAGGAGAAGTAGAAAAACCCATAATTTTTGTTGGAGATTCCAACATCACTCTTTCAATAGCTGGTAGAAAAACCAGTAGGAATATAGAAGCCTTGGACAATGCCTTTAATCACCTTAAGTAATTGACACTTACAGAATATTCCACCAAACAACAGTAGAATACATTATGTTCAACTGTGCATGGAGGATTTATCAAAGTAGATTATAGTCTGGGCCATAAAACAAATTTTAACATGTTTAAACAATTTAAATCCTTCCAACTGTGTTCTCCTACAGGAATGAAATTAAGTTAAAAATGATAGCAGAAAGAGTTTTGGAAAATCTTCCCGAATTGGGAAGCAAGACAACATACTTCTAAATAACCCCTGAATCAAAGAAGAAATCACAAGTCAAATTAGAAAATATTTTAACTGAATGAAAAAGAAAACACAGCATGTCAAAATTTGTGGGATACAGCTAAAGCAGTGCTTAAAAGGAAATTTATAGCATTAAAATGCTTGTATTAGAAAAATATAAATATCCAAAATTAATTTTCTAAGTTTTCATTTTCAAAAACTGGAAAAAGAAAGCAAATTAAACTCAAAGTTAGTAGAGAAAAAGGAATAGTAAAATAAGGGCAGAAAGCAACCAAAAAACCCATGAAACTAATGCTGGTTCTTTGAAAAAAAATTGATCAACCATTCGTCAAACTGATCAGAGAAAAAATAGAAGACACAGTTTACCAATTTGGGAAATGAAAAGGGACATATTACTACAGATTACACAGATATTAAAGTGTTACTAGGAGATAAACTTTATGCTGATAAACTCAACGACTTAGATGAAATGGCTAAATTTCTCAAAAGACACTGCCAAAGTTCACTTACATAGAAACAGATAACAGAAGAGATTTATATTTATTAAAGACATTAAATCTATAGTTAAAAAAACTTCCTACAAAGAAAATTCCAGCCCCATGTGGCTCCACTAATGAATTCTACCTAACATTAGGGGAAGAAATAATGACAAACTCAACACGAACTCTTCAAGAAAATAGAAAAGGAAGAAACAGTTCTCAACTAATTCTCTGGCAAATAATATGATTAAGCAGCTGAAAGATCTTCATGACAATGTTAATATAAACCTATCACATGTATTAATTAGGGTTAAGGAGATGATCAGGAAACTGAGATTTAAGTGTATTAAGTATATTCTTAAGTGCAGAAAAGTAATATAGCACATGCTATATATATGTTATTTGTTGAATATAAAATATTAATCTAAAAAAATAAAACCAGTAATATTTGCAAATCAGTTGTCCTAAAAACTTTACCCTGAATTGAAATGTTCCTTTTATTAAATGCCAAATTTTCATGTGTGTATGCATATACCTATACACATACATGTACATATATATTCTGTTATATTGATTTATTTGCCTTTTCTTATATTAATGCCACTAATCTTTTTATCAATATAGTTGAAATGCATTCTTATATTTGGCAGACAGTCCCTTTTGTTCCAAATGAGAAAGTTTTTCTTGTATATTCACTGTTTTATATGAATTTTAGAATTATCTTGTCAAGAGTTGGGGAAATATCATTAAGCTTTTATTGGGATTGTGTTAAGTTCATATGTTATTTTAGGAGAACTGACATTATTAAAATACTGAGTCCCACATTAACAAGGACCTTTCATTTCAATGATGTTACATAATAGCATTGACAGCGGCGTCTCTTCACATTCCTGGCTTCAGTGAAGACTATTCTAATGTATCCCAAAGAGAAAGCCCTTTGCCATAGGTTTTTTAATAGATACACGTTACCAAGATAAAGAAACTTTTTTTTAGTTTCTATTTTTCTTAATCATGTGTGAGTGTTGAACCTTGTGAAATAATTTTCTAGCACCTACTAGATTATTTAAAGTTACTAGATTTTCTATTTTGAACTATTCTTCCAATTCTGAGATAAACTCTACTTACGATGGTTTCGATTTATTGACTTCTCTGTGTGTTAGTGTGCACGCGCGTGTGTGATTTTTGTATCTAAATAATAATGATATTGAGCTACGATTTTAATTTTCTTATGCTACAGTTTAAGGTTTTGTAAAATTGGCTAAAGAATTTTTATCTTATTCAATTAAAAGTGAGGGCAAATTAAAAATTTTTTCAGATAATGCAAGGACCTAGAAACATCTCTTCCTCTGCAGTCTTTCTGGGCCCTCCCCCAGTGAAAGAAATTACAATGGTTACTTGTATTTTGTAAAATTGACTAAATAATTTTTTATCCGTTTCAATGCTCTAGCACATTTTGGATGAAATGGGAATTTCTTAGTATTGAAAATTTGGTAGAACTCCCATGTAAAACAGAATAGTTTCTCTCCTTTGGTGAGAGTAGGGGTCAGGGGAAAAGGGGTAGGTAGGTCTTGTAACTGGTCTTCTAAATCTTCTCCAGCTATTGTTATTTTAAAAAATAAGTGCCTATTTATGTAAAATTTTATATTTACTGCAATAAAGTTTAACATGATATTTTCTAATAATGTTAAAGCCTCTTCTATATTTCTTGAAATATTCTCTGTATCTTGGAGGGAGTGTAAAGATAATGATGGCTAATAATACGGGGTCTAGGGTTGGACTGCCTCTGTTGATGAACCAGCTCCATCACTCACAGGTGTGTGTGATCTTCAGCATGTTAATTAAACTCTTTGTGCTATAGTTTCCTCATCTGTACAATGGAGATTAAAATGATAGCACCTATCTCATTAAAAATGTTGTCAGGTTTAAATAGGCTAATTACATGTAAAGTATTGAAAACAGCACCTGGCACATCATTAAGCATATAGTAAGAGTTAGCTGTTACTATAATTATAATTAGAAGCTTTTTCCGTTCGTGCTACTATGTTTAGTGACTATCTGTTTTTGTTTTTCTTGGTTATATTTGCACAGATATCTTTTTCTTTTCACATAACCAGTTCTTTCATTTTATGTGTCAACTTTTTGGTCTCTCTTTTATCATTTTATTAACTTACTGTTAATATTTTCTTCTCAGATTTTTATTTAGTATTATTTCATAATATTTGTTTTGTTAGGGTTTTTTTTTATCATCCTGAGTTGAAAGCTAGCTTCTTCACTAGTATGAGTTGCTCCTGTTTTTTAGAAAATGCACTTAAATCTATAGCCTTCTTTTTAAATACGGTGATAACTTCTTCTTTCTTTCAATTCTAAATATGTGAAAATTTCCATAGTGGTTCTGCATTTAAGCAAAAAATAAATTTGAAGTGTATTTCTAAATTTGCAGTGAGTAGTTTTTGGTGTTTTCTTTCTTTCTTTTTTTTTTTTTTTTTTGTAGGGGATCCAGGATTGGGAAGTAAATCTTTACTCATGCTTAGTAAGTGTGTCATGGATGTATATCCATGGATGTGTACTAAATGTATCAATTTACAAAATTCCTGGTGTGACCAGTACATGGTCAGGTTTTATAAATATTTCTTTTTTTGACGAATAAGTATATATTCTGTATTTGTTTGATAGATAATTATATAAAAATCTCTCAGAATCTAAATATTAGTGTGAGGCTGTTATTTCAATCAAGCTAGGCAATTACTGTTGAAATACTTCTCCCTCTACTTTATCTGTAAGTTTCTGAAAAAAATTAAAATCGATGTCTTCTCATTATTCTGTTAATTTTATGTATTTTTAAGCTATATTATTAGGTGCATTGTTTCCCACCTGCTATATTTTTCAGTAAATTGATCTGTTTATAATAATATCTGATATTATTATGCTCCTTTAATTTTTTTCTGCCTGAATTCTATTTTGTTTAATACTAATAATATTATACAAGCTTTCTTTTTGTTGGTATTTGCATTATTATATGGTAATACAAAAGAAAAATATTCTTGTTCTCCGCCTACTAATCTATTTTATACTTTTTTAAAAAAGTTTAAATCCAAGGCTCTTTTATTTCATCTTCTTGCAAATACTTTCTTTTGTTCTTGCAATGTTCTTATTGATATACTTTTGTATGTACTAATTCCATATTCTTAGTTATAACTAGTAATTTTCTAAATGTTTAGATAGGTGCAATAAAATTAATATGATATTCAGGAAAACAAGATCTTTATATACAAGATCTTTTATATATACACAGATGTTTTCTAGCCAAAGCATTTTATTATGTTCTGGAAGTTTATCATATACATATAGTCTGTGAAAACTCCTGGCTTCACTGTTCATGTGCGCAGCGCACACTTACTTTGCAACGGTAATTAAAGAGCACATAATATGAAAGATTTATTTACATGACTTACAGTTCGGTAGTTATCTTTTAAGCATTCAAGTTTGATAGGGAAATGTATTCTAATTTTATTTTTAGATAAGGGGAAAATCAAAATATGTTGAGTCAAATGAGGAACTATTTCTATAATAGAAACTTAAAAACCCAAAGAAGAAATGAGATCAACTGCTGCTCTTAAGTAGTCAGAACTTGACATTTCTCTTAAGGTATTTCTCACCCAAGACATATAGAATATATATAATTTCTCACCCAAGACATACAGATTTCTCACCCAAGACATATAGAATATTTATATCTAAAAATATAGAACTGGAGTCATCTTAAGAATCATTTGGTTTCTTTTTAAAAATTTTATCAAAAAAGGGGCTCAAGAGAGTGTAGTTAATGGAGTACCAATGATTGATTTGTAAAAGATAAGTTTTATAAGTGTATATACTTTTTTCTCATGACAAAATATCATTACTTCACTAGAAGACATGCCATAGTAAGAGAAATACACATGCAGTTTTTGTTATTTACCCCTACACTATCTTCCATTACATTACTGAAAAGAGCATGAATAATGTTTTGTTTTCATTTTTAATTTATGTGATTTTTTTCCCTTTGTATTTTAAACGTTATATTTCTCTTAAAAACTTGTCATGTTTACAACTCAATGTATACTATTTTTCTTGCCATTATTTTTAATATGTTTAAAGTATTATAGGGAAATATATGTTTAGAGGGGGCAACATTAGAATATATATGACGAACCTATAGGTGTAAAGAATTGATTGTTTTACCTTTCTCAGAGAAAGCTCCTCATGTAGTTGTTTAGTATGAAAGGTTTTTTCTTGAAAAGGTTAAAAAAGTTCTAATCAACTTTTGTACATTATGTAGAACTTCATTTTCTAAACTCTGCAAAAGAAAGTTTCATATTTAATGGGGAATCATGAATTATTCCATTTATTATCTACTTCCTCCTTTCAAAGACATGATCTGGATAAAAGGCGGGGTGAATAATTTCAAAAAATACAATACATTTTTAATGGGAAGGTGCAAACTACAGATTCTCATGACTATTAGCAAGTGTAGAGGAAACAGAATTTTACTTGCAAAACTTGTCAAATTCTTGCAAAGATAAAATGTATGACATACTTTAGTAAAAAAAAATGCAGTGAGCTGAAGTTTTCTTTATAATGCAACTTGTTTTTACTAAGTTTGTTCTTTATATTCTCCAGCTTTTCATTTTTAATAAAAGTTTGATATTTCCCTGAATGTATATGGGAAGTTGATAGTTCTTTTATTTATAATGCTGTGTAGAAAACTAAAAGAAAATTTTAAATGATGTTATTTGAGAAAAAGTTTTCCAAACAATAAAATTTCAAAAAATGTGGAGGGTATCATAGAATTATGTTTCAAAAAACAGAGTGTCAGTGTGAAGATGGGTGGTTTTAAAAAGAAGAACACAACAGAGTGAATATCATATTCTATGGAGTTTTTTGTTAATAGAAATTATAAATACAAATTTAGACAAAAATGATCATTTGATGAGTGAGTATGATGATATTTACATGTATATTTAGTCCACTCTTTGTAGTCCTGTGATATGAAGCTCATTTTTTGTTTCCCTCCTCTTTTCCTCATGTTTCTTCTTGTTATATTAGGACACATAATACACCAGAATTGTATTACTTATTTGAATTTATTTTGTATCATTATAACTCAATTTAAAAGCTAAGATTATTTCCAGGGTTTATTTTTCAGCTTAGGTTTAACTGGTTTTTCTATAGTAGAGAAGTACAGTGTAATCTGAAAGAAAAGAACAAGAATCCATATGATTTGCTGCAGTTAGCCAAAGGTGTTTGGAGTCGTGTTGTAATCCTGGCTTGAAAATACTGTCCCTGAAAAATTCTCCTTTAACACTCATTTAATATCTTTCCATGTGGAATCTTTGGCTTAAAATTTTTCTACACAAATTATTTTGTATAAAGTTTGAATTTCTCAAAGGAGTTTGGAAGTAATAAGACTTTTATCAAAATTGCATATGTAATTAACCTCATATAAGGAGCTTTTCTTCCAATCCTTTTTTACCAGACTACTAGAGAAGTTTTCATTAAAGGCAGTTACTTTTTGTGAGATCAACAAATGTTTCTAAAACAAACAGTATTTTTTTAAGTCTTAAAAATGTGTATGTTTGAGGTTTTTCGATAAAGAAAATGAATGATGCTGAAGTGCTGTGCGACAGCTACCGTGGGTAACTATTTTGGTAATACTTTCTATTGTCTGATGAATAGTTTATCCATTCCTGGTTGATAACAATTACTGTACTTGAAATATTTGATTAAATGGGAATCACTTGAATAAATAACTTTGAGCAAGTGGGCACATAAAAAATGCCTTTATGTTATTAAGGAAATTATCTAAAGTTATTGTAAAGATTATAGTCCTGTACTATTTGCTAAATAAGCATGCTTTCCTCTGATATTTGTTAATAATCATCAATGAAAATATAGTTTGGTTTATAAACATTTGTTGATCTCACAAAAAGTGACTGCCTTTAATGCAAAACATCAGTTCTATCAAAATAGAATCTGTGAAATAATTTCTGTCCCATTCTACACAAATATTTCATAACTTCTAAAATATAATCACCCATGTTGAAATGAATTCTTATCAGGCTATTGAGAGAATCTTTACTGATCAAATTTTTAGATATTTTTATTATTCGTTGAGTTATATTAGTGATAGTACTATTTACAAAATGCCAGAGGATAAACTTTATTCCTTAATTATTACTAGTTTTTTTCTTAAAAAATAAAGGTTGAACTTAGGTTAGTTTTTTCAAAATAGCATTTTTCAATTTGTATATATACTTTTAAAATGTTGAAATTCTGACTATGCTTTTCTTTATTATTAATAGATAAAAAATCCAAAAATACAAAGCAAAACTTGCATATGTAACAGTTTCGTCTAAAGTTCAAATTAGTAAACGCGTAACTGTTTTGATAATCACATAAAAATTCTATTCCATAAAATGTTCTGGGGGGCAGATTTTATTTATGTATTTAAAATTGTTAAATTGGCCTATCTACCTAAATTGAGTCTAAATCAAAACTGAAACAGAATGCTATATTAATATTTATATTCTGACTTTTTGGTAATATTTTTATATTGCTTAATTTTTTCAGTTCATATAATAAAAGATGAAATCATTTATTTGGATAGCAATTCTAAGAAATTTTTAGAAAAATTATAAATTAATATATTGCATTAGACAATCTCTTTGGAATGAAGCTAAAATGTTATGTGACTCTTTACAAGGAGAATTTTATATAATTTTTATATATAATTTTATATAAATTGTGTATCATATAATTTAATATAAGTAATATAATATAAAATTTATATAATGCATAATTTTATATAAATATATAATATATAATTTATATAATATCTAATTATATATTATAAATAATATATAATGTATATAATATCTAATTGCATTTTATAAAAATTACATATAAATTATATAAATTTTACAGCAATATATAAAATATATAATGGTAAAATATAAGCATATCACAATATTTATACTTTCAAATTATATTTTTAATCTCTCAAAGTGAATATGGTCTATAAATTCTGCAAAAAAATCAAGATCATTATAATGGCTGTGATATTTAAATTATATGATTAGTCATAACATAATATTATAAAAAGAGCTTTTTAATTAAAATATGTTAAATTATAATACATTGAAATGATTGTATTGTGTTCATTATATGTTCAATATTCTTTAAGGAGGTTCTGAAATGTTTAGAGGACATTAATAACAATGTTCATTTTAATGATGAATTCTAGTTGTAATGACTATAATGAAAAATTCTTCTGATCCAAGTATAATAAATTCTACTTTTTGAGATGTTAACATGTAATAATTAAATTAAATCATATAGAAAATAAGCAGTAGTCATATTATTTATGATTGGTGGATGTATGAGATACAAAATGATTTGTTTTAGAGAATCCATCATAATTTAAAAGTGCTTTATATATATATTTTATTTGGATTAATAAAAATTTCTCATTAAATATGTGAATGTTTAAGTATAAAATATTTTTCTAATTTTTCCAAAAATAAGAATTGGATGCTTTGAAAACTGTTAATCTATGGTATGCCACCTGCCCTATTTACATTTTTAACAGTTGAATATTTGTTAACTGATCTCATAGACAGCTACATGTTTTGCTGTTACCAGATGGATGAGATAGAATACCATGCATAACTTTACATTTATCTTCTTTGTCAACTTATTTGCATATCAATTAAAATAATATCTGTATTAGGATGGATAGTGAAAGTTACCAAATTTACATGATGTAACTGCAGTTTGCTAAATTTCCAGTAGATGCCCCCAGAGACCAGTCAACTCATTGGAAATCATGTAAATTTAAAGACCTTTTTATATTGAAACTTCTTTCTTGCTATATTTTGAAGTGCATGGAAAATAAATTAAGAATTCTAAAAATCTTAACTCACTAATCTTTCTTACAAAATACATATATGGCTGTTGGTAGCCCAATTCTTAATCATTGCTAATCAATACTATGACTAATAATTGTGAACAACCTAAGCATTAAGAAAAATGCTTTCAGTTTTCATTATAATTCTATATGGCTTTAAAGTAAAAAGTCATTTTAAACACTCTCAAATTTTTTGTCTTTTTAACTTCTCTCTCTTTATACATTTATATGGCTAGGAAAATGCTATATTGTTATTTTAGCTTTTGGGAAAAAATAGCATTTTTACCAAAAACTATAAAACATAAACAACTCATATAATTTTTATCAGTTAGTAGGTGTATGTCAAGAAATGACTTTTTAAATTCTGATTACGATATACATAATATCTATCTACACCGAAAAAGATAGGTAAGAATAGTGATTCACTTTATTCCAAGGAAATTATATTAACTGAAGCTATTTAAGTATTAATTTAAGTCAATGTAATTATCCCGTAGGTGATTCCAGTAACATTTATCCCTACCATATGAATGTAAAACTGTTATAACTGACACATGGATAACCCACTCGTGACTTATAAATATTAACTTAATGAAATAAAAGTATTATCCTGACTTTTGATTAGATGTTACATATCTTTTGATTTTATCTTTGTCAGATTAAATGAAAATTTTATGATCTTGTTTTAAAGTACGGTTTTTTTATTGAACCGCTTTTGAAATATTTCACTGACTGTAAAGCTTCATCTTGATTCCATAATTCAGTTTATCCTATGAAAAAAATATGTTAAATATATCAGTCATATAATTGAATATACAATAATGCCTTTGATTTTAAAAATTCACCTAATAACTTATACAAAGACCTACTTAGGTGGTTTTATATTACTTGTTAGATTTATTAGTTTAGGTGCAGAGAAAGTAAAATAAATTGTAATTTCTATTCATTGCATCTATTCATCTTTTTTATATTTATAGAAGTATATGCTTTTTATCCTTTTAAATGTTTGTCTTTGTCAGTGTTTTTCCCGTTAGAGTTTACACCCTTGAGTGGGAACCATATCCATTTAATTTGCTCTTCCTGGATGCTGCTGGCTGTCTGCTCTCTCCTTTTAAAGAGAAGGATTTTCTGGGGGAGTCACAAAATGATACTGATCTCTGTCTCCAACCCAACCTAAACATGGATTGCCATGGATAAAGAGAATGGCTTACCAATTGAAAGATTGCATCATAATTGTCAAATAACATCAAATTCCTAATCAATGCAATAAATAAAACATTGTGTGGAGGAGGAGAAGAAGAAAAAGCAACAATACATGATATAATAGGAGGCAATGTAGGGAAATGGGAAGAATTCAGAATTTGCAACCAGAGGGAGCTGGGTGTGAATTCCAACTCTGCCATTTACTATTAATAACTTGTATGGCTTTGGGCAATTCACAACCTCACTGAAGACAGGTTTTTTAATTTGTAAAAATTGAAGTAGTTCTTTATACAGTTATTGTGCCAGTTAGAAATGATGTCTACACAGTGCCTGACACATTGTGGGTGTTCTATAAATAGTAGCTATTCAAAATAGTTTAAGGCAGAATTTTAAAACACTATAATATCTCCATGGCTGTTTAGCAGTAAATTCTCCATTTCCCAGCATCTCTATATATTCACCTGCTGTGGAGTTATGCCATATTGTTCAGCTCTGCTTTCTGTCAGTCTCTAGATTTTTTAAATCTCTGCATTTTTTTAGGGAGATGTTGATGTGAATTCAAAACAATTAACAACATCTCCATTGAATGAATAATGCCCTTAAATGGCAATAAAACCCATATGAAATGCTTGACTACTTAATTTCATTCTCAAATGCATTCTCAAGCTGCATCCCTTATCTCGTTGCAGCCCCAAGTATCTGCAGTGGCAAAGATCTTCCTCAGGATACATTCAGCATGTCCACGAATGTGACAACTTTTGCTTCTGTGAATGGCACGTTTTTTTCCTGTCAGATGAACTCTCCTCATATTTCCTAATATTAAATCTCTCCATAAATTTTACCAGCATTCTCTATTTTCATCCAGTATCATGGCATCAGTTCAAGAAGATTTTTCTTTTTCTGATGCTTAAAAACAGCATCTGTTAATTTAGACTAATATTCATAAAAGTTTTTTAATGTGTAAATGAAACCAAAGCCTAAAAAGTTTATGGCCAAATGAAATAATGATTAAGCGAATAAATCTGAGTTTTGTTTATATTTCTATTTGTGTTTAAAACAATTCTCTTTCATACAGCAAGTGAACTTGGGCTATGGTTCTCTGTTATGAAATTTAAAACCTGAGAAATTCAAATCTAATGGTAGAGATTGACATTCCTTTTTTTTAGATAGCCGATTTATTTTAATAAAAGAAGATTTTCTGGTTAAAAGAAATAATTTGCAATAACTATGAAGGTTTAGATAGGAACCTATTTATTAAACCACTATAATTGTCTTTTCTTGCTCTCAAATATTAGCAATGAGGCTTAAACAGTAGCATATTTGTATGCATAGGTATGTGCGCATGTGTGTAAAAAATAGAGATGATACCAGCATAGTTCTATATGCATATTTAAATACATTTCTATTTGTAACATCATCTGTAAAGAATGATCTTTTTTAAAAATGTACTAGAAATTTTAAAAATTGATATCAGTTATATATCACAGATGTTTGAAGCTGAAAGGCATTGTGGAAATGATTGTCCAACCCCTTCTGAATCACTTAGTGTTCTTTGGTCACAGACAGCAGAAATGGATTCTGACTAAATCAAGTGGAAATGATTTTATTGAAAGGTTATGGTGGAATTTAGAGGAGAACCCAGATCAGAAGAAAAAGACCAGACCCAGCCCTCTCAAATGGACGTAGTTAGCAGGAACTACGAGAGAATCTTGTCAAGATTCTTCCAGATTGATTGAGCACCAGCAACCTCCTACACCTTTATGTTGCTTGCCTCTGGTTTCAGAATTTTGGGAGAGAGACCAGTTGGCCTAATTTGGGTCAATAACCCACTCCTTGGCTAGGGAGTCCCTGAATTTCCATGCCACCAAGACTACACACAACGTGGGATTGGTTATTTCTGAAATACTTTTAGAATGTGCCTCCTGTGGACGTGGAGCTAGATGCTGGGTGGACCAAATCCAGCAAAAGCACCTTCATCTTCCAGGTGGGGAAAATGAGGCCCAGAGTGATTTTTCTGGATTTCTGACCCTGTTGTGATTAGAACTGAGACAGCCTTCTAACTGCCCTATCTAGCATTTATTTGTATCATTTATGGTCAATTTTAATTTTTATCTATTTATAATTTTCTTCATTTTGGCCCCCAAATGTTTTCTTCACTCCTAGGAAGATCGGCTGGCCGCCAGTGCATACACATACAAAGGTGGCATTGCTTGTGTGAGCAAGATTACAACCCCTTGTCCTCTCAGGCCTCCTATGTCACCCCCCAAACTGCCTTCTAGGGTAACACGTGGAGGTCCCCTCAGGCTCCTGAAACTCCAGTTATCTGAACCTTAACTCATTATCTTTCCCCAAACCTGTTCATCCTTTCGTGTTCCCCTCTTCAGCAAATTACTAATTACCCATTACCCAATCCCAAAACCTGGTTGTTATCCTTGCTCCTCCCTTTCCTTCACCCTTGATATCCTTTGAATCACCAAGTAACCCATATTTTTGTCTCCTTAAAATGTTTTGAAATCACCTACTTCTCTCTATCCTTCCAGCTTTACCCTGGTTCCACCCCCAGCACCTCTCCTTTCCACAACCACCAGTCTCCCATCTGTTCTTCCTGCTCCCGGTTTTACCCTCCTCCCCTCCCTTCTCTTGGATCAGGTGTGAATTTCTGACTCACAGACTCGAGAATGCTAAATTGAAAGTCTTTATTTTTTTATAACTTAATTTTAATTCCTGGCCCTGAGCCTTGATCCTCCCTAGTGTAAAAATCCAATCTTGTCACTCTCAGGTAAAGTCAGTCCAATTCGGCAGTTTCTCAGGTTGTTCAAGATTCTAAAACTTCTTCCCCTCACCCTATTTTCCTACACGGAAACAGCAGCGCACTACTCGGGGCTTCAGGGGAGTAGAGTTACTAGATTTAGCAAATAGAAATACAGACCATACAGTTCAGTCTGAGTTTCAAAAACAAGAAATTTTTTTTTAGAATAAGTATGTTCTGTGCAATATTTGGGGAATACTGCTAATAAAAAAATCATTCATTGTTTATCTGATGTTAAAATGTACCTGGGCATCCTACATTTTATCTGGTAACCCCCTGGGGTAACAACATTTATTTTCAGATCTTGACCTGGAACAAGCTTGTCCAACCCAGTGCCCGTGGGCCACATGCGGCCCAGGATGGCTTTGAATGTGGCCCAACACAAATTCATAAACTTTCTTAAAAAGGCTATGAGATTTTTTTGTGATTTTTTTTTTAGCTTATCAGCTATTGTTAGTGTTAGTGAATTTTATGTGTGGCCCAAGGCAATTCTTCTTCCAATGTGGCCCAGAGAAGCCAAAAGACTGGACACCTCTGACTTCTAGGACTTTGTAATTGTCACTGCATTTGTCTGGCCAGTATCCATTCCTTCCTCCATCTTTGCAGACATAGCTCTAGTTTTGCTTGGGGGCAGCAACATGCCCAAGAGCAGGCAGGGTATTTGTTTTTCCAGACTCCTTGCACCAAGGTGAGGAGTGGGGCTGTGACAGGGTTCTGGCCAATAAACAAGTGGAAATCCGCTAGTGGTTGCAGGAATGTTTCATTTTTCCCTAAAATAAGGGATGCCAGTGCCAACCCACTTTCCCTTTTCTTCCTGTCTTGAAAGTAGACCTAATGTCTGAAGCTGTAGCAGCCCTGTAGCAACCAGTAAGGGACCAGAAGGAGGGAAAGTCAAGATAACCCCAGAGACATGGTCTTGAACTTGCCAGGCTACTGAACCAAGGCCCTCAGCTGCCTGCCTTTAGGCAAGAAAATTAGAAACCTCCATTTTTCACAGCACTGTGAGACAAGTTTCTTTTACTTATAGCTGAATGCATTCCTAGCTTATGAAGTCCTTTACATGTGTCCATCTCTGATGTACTTGATCCGTCTTTGTTCTATGAGCTCTGGAAATATGCTGACCTGAACCCTTCAGGAGCTCCCCAGTATGCTCATTTCAGTTTTAGCTGTGTCTTCCTTCAGTCCCCAGTGGGCAGCCCATGAGCAGTCATTAGGATACATCTCCTTGCTATGGCCAGATGACATTGTGACAGACTTATCAGCCCTCTCCTCCCAGTAAATTCTGGGCCACACATGATGCCCACTGGAATATTAAGTCCCTTCTCCTATACCATTCATGGGCTGTGGGCAATTACAGGGTTGGTTCTGGTCCTCTTCTGCCTAGAAGTGCTATGCAGGGACTTTTGCTGCCTTTGCATGCCCTTGCGTATAGGGAGGTGGGGAGAGGGATGTTGGTAATCCTCCCTGCCTTCAATAACCCTAGATGGGAAGCAGGATATGAGTGTTTTCTACTCTTGGCTCTCACTGCATTTCACAGGATGTTGACTTTTCTACTCTCTGAGCCCCTCCATTTGACTGGAGTGAGAAAGAGAAAGAGAACATGGCCCTCCAAGCATCTCACTGCCTTTCTCCATACTTTTCTCCTCTATCGATCGCAATTGGAGGACAGGAATAAGTAACAAGCACTATTCCTTTTCTCTTCCCCATTTCAAATATATCTTATTCTCATACTAAATGTTGGCATTTGATCTTTTGACCTAGGATCCATGTGGTCTCTTTATTCTCTTTACGAACTAGTTCTGTAACAACCTGACTGCCATATAGGGGAAGGTTGCGGTTCAGCTGGGACACTTCTTCCAGATGACTTTTGTAAAATGCAGTCTCGTCATGTCAGTTCCCTGACTCTGATCTCCAATAGCTCTACCTCCCTCCCAGCTTGGAGTCCAAACTTCTCACTGTTGTTTTTACCGTAAGATCTCTTCATGATCTGGTCCCTGCCTTTTTTTCTAAACTTCCTGTCTCACCACTCTCCTGCTTGCCACTCCTCATTTGTTTGTTCTCTACCTAAGTTGATCCAATGGATAAGAAATCCTTGGTAGATGCAAGTCTAGTCACTTTGTTTTGTTTTGTTATTTGTTTGTTTTTTTGAACTCTGTAGGTGAATCTAATGCATAATGAGGAATTGAGAAGCAGCAGTGAGATTTCACATTTCCCAGAGTATTCTCACATACCTAATTTCATTTGGTTCCTAGAGGAATCCCATGATGTAGGTAGCATATACTAATATACACAGCTTAGAGATGAGAAGACTGGAGACCCAGGGAGGTGAGGCAAAACTGGACTCAATCTTGGTGGTCTGGGCTGTTTCCACTCCACGGTGAATTTTTGTTGCCAGTAGTATCACATCATGTCGTTTGTCCTATTTTTTTTTAAAGAATATAATATAATTAGTATAAAGCTATATCTTTTGGTATCTAATTGTTCTTTTAATGGAATAATAGCCACTACACAGCTATTATCTCAC
Organism: Homo sapiens; assembly: GCF_000001405.40. Taxonomy (NCBI): domain Eukaryota; kingdom Metazoa; phylum Chordata; class Mammalia; order Primates; family Hominidae; genus Homo; species Homo sapiens. The sequence goes on along the minus strand of NC_000004.12, from coordinate 146,910,018 downwards.
AATTCTGTTTATTTCCTTTCTAGAAATTTTCGTGATTTGAAATTATTTCTCATTTGCTTACTTATTTGTTAGTCATGTTCTGCCCCTAGAATGTAAGCGTCACAAGGGTATGGAATCTATTTGGTCTAGAACAGCGCCTGGCACTTAGTAGGAAACTCAGCACCTATTTGTCGCTTGACTAAATGGAATATTCATTTGTCACTTTATCTTTTTGCATTTGATTATTGAAGTGAGAATATAATTATTAATCATTAACTTAATTCTAACTGAAAGTAATTAAAAAATATATAGTTAGTAATAGATTTCAATAAATATTTTCTGCATGAATGAAAGAATGATGAACTTCTGTAACATACAGTGAAACTACTAATATAGAGAGAATATTGTTTTGATATTAAATGGCAAGTTTTATTTTTGCTTGACTTGTTGAGGTTTTTTTTGGTGGGAGGCTGATATATCAAGTATTTTTTAATATTCATCAGTCAACTAGCTTATTTGTCCTTATCAAATGGAGCTCAGCTCTGGAACTGATATGTTTATAATGTAATTTCATTAAAATTACTGTGTTTAGATAGCTCCTGGCATCTTTCATTAAACAGAAGTTGTTCAATTATAAGTGTTTGAGGCAAAGATCTTTTGATAGTTTTCAGTGCTTTCACTGAGGGATAAAAGGCAACATGATTCAACCTTTAATTATTAGAGAATGAAAATACCGTGCAGACTGAAAGGATTAACATAAACCTGAGAGTGTTCTGATTCATATTTCCAGTTATAGGAACTCCTACAAGAAGAATATCTGTGTGGACATGCTGCGAGATGGTTATCATAAGTCCTTCACCGAGCTCTTCGCTCTGATGGAGCGGTGGGATGCCCTGAGGGAGGCTGCGAGAGTCAGGTCCCTCTTCTGGCTGCAGAAGCCCCTGGAGGAGCAGCCTGATAAACTGGATTACCTGTACCATTACCTGACCAGGGCTGAGGACGCTGAGAGGAAAGGTAAGTGGTGGGACTGTGGGCAGAGCACAGAAGGAGCCAGAACACCGAGCTCCTGGGGGAAGATTCCAGATTGTTTCATGTATGAATTTGAAACATTAAGACAACTTAGCACACTTCAACCCAGTCAATTAAACGTCTTTATGGAATTAAGGAAAGGGAATGTTGGATCACGAGGCTGCCCAGACACGGGGGCATTCTGGTGATGTCCTTCCGAGCCAGGGAAGACAACACATAGCACCTAATAATATCTCCAGAACTTCCCCCATGAATTAACATAGTTCCTATCATTAGGTTTAAACCTTTCTACAGTTTTTCTGTATACGTAATCTGAATATTGACTTTCATAGAGGAGATACTTTCAAAGAGTACTATAACTTGAAAATCACACTGATTTTCCTAAGTTTAGATAGTGGACTTTGAAGTTTGGGTCAAGAAGTCCTACTGATTTGAATCAGAGAATTTATCTTTGTAAATAGTAAAAAGACATGAAAATCCTGCAATTCACAATTGCAAATAAAATTGTCAATTTTATATTTTCCATGACATCATTTCTAATACATTTTTTGTATTTCAAAATTTTCCAGAAAGTTAGTATACATTCCAAGTATTAAATATTTTCATTTCTACACTAATTATACTGATATTGTTGTCATAAATATTTCTTAGTTACATATTAGGAACTGGTCATTTTAACTAGTCATCTATAATCAAATAAAAAAATGAAATTCTAGAATTTGGCATGTAAATTTGGTATTCTAAATTATTCTTTTCTCCAAATTTTTTGGGGAAAATACCACAGGATTCAAAAAGAAAAACTCAGGCCTCAACATGACAATGTCTACATGTCATTTCAGGCTTTTCTATGAGAAAATAGGGTATCAGCAACTTTTTGTTACCCAATGGTACCATGGAGAAAATTTATGGAGTCATGTAAACAACATTAGAAGAGTCTCTATATGTTGGAGCCAATACATATTTCCCATCAGGTTGTGACCTGACTTATGAATATGAGACACACAAAAATGTGAACAACAAAACAAATGAACTAGGGTGTGTGTGTGGCAGGGGTGGGATAGGAGGTGGTTATGTATATTATGAAAAGGGTTTCACTGCAGGATGGATGTGAAAAAAAATATTTTGGTGAACTTTAAAATATTATTTACAATTATTTCTCAAGAAATTAACTATTGTAAATAAAAAGTGCTATTATAAAAAACCTCCATTTTGGCTGGGCGCGGTGGCTCATGCCTGTAATTCTAGCACTTTGGGAGGCCAAGGCGGGTGGATCACCTGAGGTCAGGAGTTTGAGACCAGCCTGGCCAACATGGTGAAAACCCGTCTCTACTAAAAATACAAAAAAATTAGCCGGGCATGATGGCGGACGCCTGTAATCCCAGCTACTCAGAAGGCTGAGGCAGGGAATTGCTTGAACCCGAGAGACAAAAGTTGCAGTGAGCTGAGATTGCTCCATTGCGCTCCAGCTTGGGTGACAAGAGCAAGACTCCATCTCAAAACAAAACAAACAAAACAAAACAAAACAACCTACATTCTAGTATTTGCCCAAAATTCTACAGTGATATTTAAACTGAAAGTAGAACTAAGATAATATTTGCTCATTAGCTGTTTTATTCCATTGAATTTTATCATATTCACTGTTTTAAATTGAGGCTTTCATTGGAGATAGTGTAAATATAAGCTAAATATGTCACTTGTCATAAGGTGTCATAGATGTGAGCCAGCTTGTCATAAAGCTTTTTCAAATTTATAAGAACCTAAAATGCCAAATAGTCTATTTGAGGGTAGAAAACATTTTAATATATAATATTTCTTAAAGGAAAGTTACTATAAGTAAAAATGTTTCTCCAATCCAAAAGTTAACAAAGCCTAACTTTTTGTTTTGTTTTGAGACAAACTCTTGTTCTGTCAACCAGGCTGGAGTACAGTGATGTGATCTCAGCTCACTGCAACCTCCTTCTTCCAGGTTCAAGTGATTTTCCTGCCTCAGCCTCCCGAGTAGCTGGGACTACAGGCACAAACCACCATGCCAAGCTAATTTTTGTATTTTTAGTAGAGACGGGGTTTCACCATGTTGGCCAGGCTGGTCTCGAACTCCTAACCTCAAGTGATTCTCCTACCTTGGTCTCCCAAAGAGCTGGGATTACAGGCGTAAGCCACCGCACCTGGCCCAAAGTCCAAAGTTATAATAGCCAAAGTCTCTTCTGTAGGATTATCTCCCACAAAATGCAGTGGCTTTTGTCTGGTTGAAATATAGAAAATTAAAATTATTACAAAAGTATTACTGGAAAAACTTCAGCTGAAGGACATGTAAACATTTGTGTCACCTTTTTTCAAAAATTGTTATAATTTTTTTTCCACATTCAACACATGAACTTTATTGGAGGAAAATTGTGGTTTGAATTAGGGATGTACCAGAAAATGAGATATGCACATTCACTCTTATTAACTTGAATGAATCCTAAATCTTAAAATGTGTATGTAAGCCTAGAATATAGAAATGTGTTAATAGTATCTTAAAGTTCCATTCCATATGGTTGTGACATTAGAGGCAATTTTCCTGAGATAGCATATAACTGAGCAATCTCGTTGCTTCTCATTGGAAGAACCATCACTCTAGGGTCACAGTGAAGTTCATTTAATCAAAGCTATGGCATTAACAATAGTCATCTCAGGTCAGTTCTATCTCTTGAGACTTACAGAGCAGTAACCTAGAGTTATTTAAATTACTTTATAAAACACTTGCTGTTTTATAGCAAAGGTGTGTTTAAAGTAAGCCAATCATTTCTTTTTGGGTTATTTTCCATTTGTTAAAGTGTTTCTTTGTCCCTGATACTTTTTTTTTTTAAATATTATCCATTGTCATGAATCATTGCTGTGCCATCTGTGACATCTGATTTGAGCCTTATGCCCCATGGGGCTAGGGAAGAGATGACAAAAATGGTAATGGGTAAGAGAATCAATAGATAATTCAAACATTATTTACACTTGACTTTTAAATTTATTAAGGGTTGAGCAGCAATTTTTTTCTAATAATGTTTGTTTAAGATACACAAATTATGTTCTAAGGCAAAATTCCACAGGTGTTTACAGATTTGATGTAAAGCAAAACAAAACAATTTTCTGGCCAAATAAGCTTGAGAAATACCCGGTGAACTAACATTGAGGTTAAGCAGGTTAATTTATTGCAGGACTAATCAGAGCATTCAGCATGCTGATGTATATTGTGTGGTTTACTGAAAAAGGAAATTTGCAAAAATGTTTCCCAAATTTATTTTATTGTAGAATCTTCTTTTTAAGGAGCATAAGAAACCCACAATAAAATTGATTTTCATCTTCTGAATATACCTGCTGTCAATTCAAGGAAGTGGTCTACAAGCAAGGAGAGAAGGCTACTTGTAGCCTTTGTAAAGGGTACAGGACACATATTTGGATTGCCCAAAGATTTGAAACTTGAATATATTCTTTTATATTTAATATTCTAGAAAACAATCCTTTATTCATAGAAAAATAGCTTAGCTGACAAGTAGTCTTTAAATATGTAATCTTGGTAGCTTATCTAACTCATTCCTAAAAAAAAAAACCTTATGAAATGTTGCAAATATTTTTACATTAAGGTTTAATTACTAAAATATAAAAAAATTGTTTCGGGACTACATATATTTTTAATTATATATATATATATACTTTTTATTAAAGTGGAAAATATGAAATGTTTTACTTACTGACTTCTAAAAGCAATAACTCTCTAATCAGTAAATATAACCAAGAATATGAAATATTACAAAACAGACTTTAGTGTTGTATTCACATTATGTAGGAAGTTCATAATGGAAAGACAAAGCACAGAAGTATTCTGAGGTGGGAGTATTTGCGTCAGATAAATAGCTTAGGTCATGCGCTACTTTTCACCTGAGCTGTCACCTGGTGTGAGTGTCCTCGAAAAGCAGAATGGCTCTCCAGAATCTCCAGCAACTTCCAGGATAGGGAGACCTTTTTATTTTGTTTTCCAGTTATTAAATTTATTTTGATATAAATGTTAATTTCCATTGGAATTTTAAAGAAGTATATGTAAAGGAATAGAATCGGTTTTAGAAATTTCTTTTGAAACATTGGGGTGACTTACTTACGGTTCTGCAGAATGACCCTTTGTTGTAATCAACCTGTTTCATTTTTTCTGACTTTTGGTTTTAATCTTACAGGTGTCCTAGTGGGCAATATTTTTCATAATTGTAATCTCTTCAGGAATATGTGGGTTGACTCCTCTGGTAGTAGTGAACAATTAATATCAGTGAATTCTAATAGATAATGACTGTTACTAAAAAATTATTGGAAGGGTAACCCAGAGACCACTGCATTTTATAATACAACTATGATTTCAGCATAAATACAAAAGACATAAATATTATGAATTTGTTCATATTCACCATTAGAGTGGAGTTTACAGGACTGAGGCACAACTTATTAACACACAGACATATTCGTTCAGGTTTACTATCACAGTGGGGTTTATAAGACTGATTCACAATTGACGGACACATTTTTTTATGTAGATATAGGTTAGATACCCTTTAGGAAAAAAAACCTACAAGAGTTTAATTAAGAACTTTCTGAGTAAAAACGACAGTATTTATGCATTCCCAGCAAAAAAATACCCATAGAAAACAGAAGCGTAGAAGTCTACTCTTTCTTAACATTGCTAGAAATTTGTATTGCTAGAAACATTGCTTGAAAGCATATGGAGCTTATAGGGTCATTCTGATCATCATTTGTTGTATCTATCAGGCCCGTGACATTTTTATGATATGAAATACCTTGGTATTTTCATATCCATTTTGCTCTCTTCATTTACATTATCTTTTGCTATGGCTGAGAAACATTGCCATCTCTAGAATCTCTAAGTACTTTCAAACCTCCAGTGGGAAAAGTACTCAATGAAACTACATAATCCTTTCTTCCAAAAGCACTCAGCATGTTGCTAGTAGGTATTGTCCTGTCCTACATCTTAAAGCCTCCTGTTTCAACCAGATAGTGTCAATTTCCTACATGTTCTAAGTTTTCAGAAAGCCTTTTGTTGCTTTACTCATCTGCACATCCTTTAATTAATGTAATTAATATAATAGTTAAAATAAATTAATTTTTGCTTTTAGACCCAATTTTTAAAATTGGTAATCACATCTTTAAGGAAAAATAGGAAGTCATGATATTGGTTTGCCGTTCTAAAGGGTGTGCCATGAGACATCTTTCTAATGCCATTCATGGTGCTTTTCTCTCTTTGAAGAATCCTTCGAAGATGTACATAATAACTTGTATGCTCTGGCCTGTTACTTCAATAATTCTGAAGACAAGTGGGTAAGGAACCACTTCTATGAACGATGTTTTAAGATTGCTCAGCTGATCAAAATTGACTGTGGGAAGAAAGAAGCCGAGGCACACATGCATATGGGTCTTCTCTACGAGGAAGATGGTGAGTGGGCATTTGCCAGGATGCCTTGGGTATGTTTTGGTGGATCCTGAGATCACACAATGGAAAAACACGTGGTGGTCGAGAAAAAAGACCTGAGATTTCAGCATAATCATGTATATTATTGAGATCAAAAAGCAAAACCATGTGACTTGTGGACCCAGCTTCAGTATTCCTTGCAGAATATTTTTTGCAGAATCCCTTGCTCATGCTTCTGCCTGAGTGCTCAGCCTACAGTTCCCACCCGGTAACATCCTCACCAAGAGAAAGCATTCTCCCCAACCCCTCTACACACAGGATGAAAAGAATGAAAGGTATACTTTTAGATTTTCATAATGCCCCATGCCCCTTATATGAAAACCAAGAAATATCTGTATAACTCACGTAACACCTCATCATGATTTTTAAAATAATTCCTGAATGTAATACTCATTTAAAAATAACTTCATACTTAATAATGTTAAGACAAGCCAAAATCTAAAACAACAACAAAATTGTCAGAAATAGATAATATATAGTGGCTGATCAAGGATTGCAAATAGGAATTTAAGAATGGAAAATTTTTATGGCAGAATAGTGTGTAGATAATATAAAAAGAAAATATAGGGAAAGATGAAAAGATTTGATCTTGAATAATGCCATTTCTTCCCTCAAAACACTATCTCATTTTGCATAAAAGTTTTTACTTTGGTGAAACTGCTAAATTTTAAAAATATTTATTATTTTGTGACTAGGACTGCATAGGACTTTGAAAGTGCTTCAGGAAGTTGCAGTTCATGTGATTGTAGCTAAAGCTCGCAAGGCGCCTGAACATTGTCAGAAGCCACCATGCGTGCTAGACATAGGGAGTATTAGAAAAGCTCAGAGAAGTGAGAGATCATGCAGACTAGATTCAAGGAAGGCACGATGCAATCAGGAGGGACTGGCAAGGGACTTGGAAGATGGGTGGAATTTAGGCTTGTAAATAAATAGGAATATATTCTGTGAAGAGGGAACAGTGTACACTAAAGCATAATTAGAGCAAATGGTAAGAGGGACAACCTGCGTCCAGTGGGAAGTGTGGAGTGTTTCTTCGAATAGTTAAATTATTTTTTTAACTTTTATTTTAAGTTCAGGGGTACATATGCAGGTTTGTTACATAGGTAAACTTGTGTCATGGGGTTTGTGGTATAGATTATTTCATCACCCAGGTACTAAGCCTAGTACCCATTATTTTTTTGTGATCCTCCCCACTCTTCCCACCCTGGGAAACTGCAGTGGGAAGATAGAATAAGGACACACCAGCAGTCAGAGCTTGGACTTAAGCTTCTGTACACGGAGGGCAAGGAAAGGAGTGTGATATCAGTCTGTCTGTGATACAAACTGTCAGAGGAGGGAAAAGAGGAAGGGGGATGGCTAGGAAGCTGCTGCACTCAATGTAATTAACTCGGATAAAACAATGGAAAACTACTGTATTTAAGAGAACATATTTAAGTATTCCACTGCAGTGCAATCTATAGTATCCCAGAAAAGGGAATTAGCTAAATGTATTTAGCAACATCCATGCAACAGAGTTCTGTGCAGTCATGAAATAGGTTAAAGCAAAAGTCATTGGTTCATTCAACAAACAGTGATTTAGAACCTAGTGTCAGGGGATAGCAGAATGAACAAGACAAAGTCTCTGCCCTTGTAGAGCTTACATTCTTCTAGGAAAACCAGGTCTTAACAATCAATAGCTATATAATATAATATTAAGTCAGTGTTAAGTGCTACAATAAATAATAAAGTAGAGCAAGGGGATACACAATGGTTATCACTTTATATAAGGTGCTTATCTATTATAAGGTGAGACAGCAATGAAATGAGGGAGAAGCCCTTGTGAAAATCCGAAGAAAGGGGTTCCAGAGGGAAGATGCAATAAGTGCAAAGGTCCTGAGGCAAGTGCATGCTGATCATTGCCTAAGGACCAGCAAGAAGGCCAGTGTGACTAGAACACAGTGAGTGGAAGGTGGGAAGTGGAAGAAGCTGAAATTAGACAGGGAGGCTTAGGATAGATCACACTGGGGCTTGTAGGCCAAGGTGAGGACTTTGGATTTTATTCCAAATTAATACAGGAAACTCCAAATACGTGTTAATTTCAGAAAATGCTCCTGATACCTTAAATAGAAAAATAAGATATAAAACAATGTAAAATATATTTATATGGTGCATATATCATACACTAACACGTTAATAGTAGTCATTTCTGAGTGCAGAGACTCTAGGTGATTATAAATGTACACACTGGGGAGATATGGCTTACTATAAATTGAGAAGTTATATCAGAAATTTGAGAAGTTATTGAGAAATTTGTTAAAAATTTCTAGCCTGTTGCTAAAAGTCAAGTTTTAATTTTCAAACTGTACAAAAGGGTTAAGTTCTTCCTTATATAAAATTGAAAGTAAAATTGTTTTTATTTTGTTTTTGTAATTACACCATCAAATTCTGTCTGGACTGTCAAATGGAACTGTCAGTTACTGACCCCCCCACCAAAAGAAGTCATAGAATAAATCATACATATTATGTGAAAATAGGACAAAGAAGTCAGGGCTATGTTGATGAAAACTGAAGAGTGGCTGCAGTGAGATTCAGATAGCTGTCATAAGTGTATTTTGAATTTTTCTGTAAATTTTATTTCTACTTTTTTAAAATTTTGTTTGATTTTTAAATTTTTTATGGTGGTGAAAAACATAACATAAAACTTAGACATCTTCATCATTTCTAAGTATATTTAGCAGTGTTAAGTATATTCACTTGGTTGCACAACCAATCTCCAGAATTTTCTCACCTTGCAAAACTGAAACTCTTTACTCATTAAGCAGCAACTCCCCATTCCCCTCTCATTCTGATTTTTAAAAATATCTTAAAATATTTCTATTGGAGGATTTATACATTGCTCAATTTATTTATTCATTCATCTATGCACCCATTCGTTCAAAAAATACTCTGCCTATGGGCCCTGTGGTTAGTACGCACGGCACCATGTTGCACCTACCATTTAGTGGCAGCCACGCAGCAACTGAGGGAAAGGATGAGGTTGGAAAATGTGAGCAGTCAGGGAGGGTCTGCCATGAGATTACACTCTCAGGTCCTTGGCTTGCTTGAGTTTAGATGCTCCACCCTATTGGATGATGAAATACACTCATATTTCATAAGTAAGAAGTTTGGGTTACGAAGAATTGTAAAGGCTTTTGCTTTTGAGATCATTTGAGAGTGTGTTATTTTGTTTTGGAACTACTTTTGTCAGTCTAAAATATTTTTCTATGCCCTTAAATAGTTCATAAACCCTAGAACCATATCTTTATTGCCTGACAGATAAAACAAGTAAGTCAGTGTTGATGAAAACTCTAGAGATTAACTTTGAGTGTTTGATGTACCTAGTGAGGGTGAAAATTATCTGTGAAGCTTCTGTAATATGGGGTAGAATTTTCAACCTAAAAAAAGTGAACTAGGAGTTTCAAGAATATGTGACTAGAGTGGAGTGGGGACTTGCCTGGCTGAAGGGTTCCCTCTGAGGCGATGGTGGTCCAGCTTCCACATATCTGATCTGATTGGTCCAGACAAGCGAATGGAGGCCTTGCAGCAACAGCTAGGTGGCAGCTGTGCCCAGGGGCAGGTGGCAGCATCCTGATTCCAGGGGTGCCCTCATTCATGCTAAAGTGGGACATTAGCTGGCAGATGGCAACGGGCAGGTGGTCAGGGCCCAACCAAGCAGTCTATAGTCTTTGGCAGGGCTCCAGCACACTCAGGGAACCATAGAGCAAATGAGGAACATGAGCAGAAGCCAGAGCCACAGAGACTGGGCACATGGCTACAGTCAAGGGTCATGTTCATCCCACTGGTGTAAATGTGACCAGAGCCCCACGCAGAGCTCCCTGGCCAGAGTCACAAACAGTAGATAGGTTCAAGTCCCCACTGCTGCTAAAAATGGGTCTTTGGTGTGCGGCATGGCCTGGTTCCCTTTGACTCAAGGGCTGGCAGTCTCATTCTTCAGGTCAAATATCTTTAGATCTTTACCTGGGGTGGCTGGTTTGGAGTTGTCATCAACTGAAAAACACTTGGAACAAATCAGCTGTATCTTCTTTCAGAATTGTGACCTTATTTGTAAGGTTTTTATTATGCAAACAGGACAAACGGACAAGCAGCATTCTCACTGTGTCTGTGGGGCACAGGAGAAAGCTCTCAGACACTGGATCAATAGACGTTCCCATTCATTCTAGAGCTGCACACAGAGGTCTATCGGGGCCAGACATGACTGGGGAAACACCAGCTCCTCCTTTGGTATGATCTGAGGCCAGGGAACAATAGCAAGATGAGTGGCACATTCTTCATTTCAATCCTATCCTGCCAGGTCAGCATTAGTGGTTGGATACAATGCCAGCCTCTTCTCTGGCATAATGAGGGACTGGGGTCCAAGCCTTGCAGTTGCAGCTTTATTGGTGAGGTTTGGGGGGCATGCAAACTAGCAGTAGGGTTTACCACACCAGCATTCATAGTTGAGGAAGCACCAGCACTTTCCTCTTTCCGCTTCCCCATGATGAGCTAAGTTCAAGCCTTGCTTTTGACCAAATTCATGGACTTAAGCACTGAGACTAGATGGTTTACATTGAGCTGTGCAGGAGGCCAGCCTTCTTTGTGAGGGGCTAGACTGGAGAGGTCAGTCTTGGACAAGTTAACCCTTCATTTCAGTCCATATTTTAGTCCTTTCCCTTCTCCCAATTCCAGTGGGTGGCTTGTAAGTATCATCTCCCACTTCATTAGCAGCCCATTCCATTTCAACCCATTAGCTTTGAGTCTAGATATTGACTTTGCTGTGGGAAACCCAGAGGAAAATTAGATGTCCTCTTGGATGATAGATGATTGGTGACAACCCCAAGTTACTGAATATGTTCACTGCAGACAAGGCAGGGGAGATCATTGTAAGAACAACGTAGAAAGTGCACATTTTCCGGTTTGGAAGACCCTCCTGTATGACTTTATTACAGAGTTGGAGTAAAGGCTAACCATAATCTAAGCATTAATTCCAAGTTCTTCCAATGACTGGGGGACTTCTGAAGAAAGAAACAGCTGTCCTGACTAGCTTGCTCAGTTCAGATCCTTAAATTTATTGTTGACAGTTTTTGGACAGACACTAGCTAGTGTATCTCTATAAATTGCCAGGAGCTCAGAAGGCACCAGGAGCAGCACAGTATTGTGAAGACACATTGAAATAACTACCAGCACTCCCTTGAAACACCCAGCAGTGGAAGGCAGACCCAGCAACAGACTTCTGGAGGAGGCCACCACTATAAGGGACTGTCCCCTTTCCCGTTTTGATCTCATAGAGAGGAGTTAGAATTGGGAGTCCACTTATCCCTGTTTGCTGATGGTCAGTACCCTTCCCTAATTATCTCCTCTACCCATTCTTTAGTGATCATGACACTATGTGATTTTGTTTTATTTTTCCATGAGTGTTATGAAGCAGTGGTTCAGCTTTCTTCTCAGTACAGTATCCATCCCATCTTTAGCAACTTATTTTACTCTCACTAAAAAAACAATAAATTCTATCATTGAGTCTTAACCCTGTAGGTCTCCCACTCCTCAGTTTTCCAGGGGTCATTCCTGCTGATAGTCACCAACTCCCAAAGGCTGACAACAACTCTGCTACTAGACCCTCTCTTTGAGTCTTTAATCTATCTCTGCTTTCCTGACTTGCTTCTGGAAGGCCATGATGTGTGCCTAGACAAATATTCCATTTACTGGAACAATTGCCATGCTAGCAAGGTAACTTGGTAAGCAGCACTCACAGCAGACCAACTGGGAGCAGCATTGCTTTGTGAGAACTTGCAGAGGCAGGAGCAATAGCAGGGTGCTGGTCTCCCATTATCCTATCATCAGATGCTGTATGATTAGGAGCCAGACGCAATAGCAATATGACATGGCAAAGCCTTGGTACAGTTCAGCATTCATGATTTGATGTAACATCAGCCCCTCCCCTGCATGATCAGCAGGGGGTGGCAGGGAGCGGGAGAGGGACCAAGGAGAGAGGCCCTGTGGTTGCAGTCATAGGGCATGGCATACAAATAGTAAGATTTACCACATGGGCAATCATAGTTTGGGGAACACCAACCTCTCCCCTGTCAGGAGAGAGAGGCCCCCTGACAAGCCTTTGCAATAGGTCACGATTGATTGCCTTGAGCACTGAGCCTAACTAGTTTCTATGGAGCTTTGCTAGCGTCCATCTTCTTTTCTGAGAAGCTGGCCTGCAGGGGATCAGTTCTGGATGTGTTAACCCCTACCTCTCAGGTCTTCAAATTATGCATAAGGAGTGCTGTTAACCTAAAGAGATTTTGGTTATATTATGACCACCAAAGTCCTGTCCTTTAAGAATGAGGACAAAGATGGGACCATGAGTAAGTCTGTAGGCTTCAAAAGAAGCTTCACCCCTAAGACTAGAACCAAGGGGAGACTGTCCACTCTGCTTGCCTTTGAATACCAGGACTAAAGAGCATCCTCCTAACTGAGGAATGTAGGAGATGAAAGAAAAACTAAGCATTAATCCAGAGGCTTAACTTGGGAAAAAGAACACACCTGTTAAAGTGGTAGTTTTAGAAAACTGCTTCGTATCTTCATAAAGACAAAAGTAGAAACTAGAAAGTCATAAGGATAGAACCAGATGATATGAGAATGAGCACCAGATAAAATCAGGAAGGCATTCAATACAATGTCCTGGGAGAATTAAGGTACAGAGTAGAAAAAGAGTGAAATTGACACAATGAAAAACTGAGTCCATGATGCTGAGGACAAACTTGAATAACGATCTCAAATTGCAGGGGAAGGACTAAGAAATGAAAACAATGAGAGAAGACGACAAATATGGAAGTTCCTGAGGAAGAATACACAATAATTGGAAATGAGACAATAATCAAATGTATTTTAAGAATGCTTTCTTGTTCCTCACACACCCTAAAATTCTGAATATGCACATTAAAATAGCTTTTCATGCTCTAGTCACAATTAATAAGGAGATATTCATAGCTAGAAAAATCATTGGGAATATTTTGAATATTCAAATAGAGAGAGACTCCTACCTGTATCCAAGGAGAAAACACAGATCACCTGCATTGGACTAAAAATTAAACAAGTATTCAGCTTTCTCCTTTGCAACAATAAATGCCAGAAGGTAAAAAGAAGTAGAGTCTACAAAGTTTGAGGGGAGAGAAAAGAGAGTTGAAATGCTGTACAGTTGAGAATTGAGGGCTATAGAGCAAACTTCTGGTTCCTGGGTGAAACAACTGGAAAACATTCTTAGATATGCAAGGTTCAGAAACTGCATTATGAATACAGTTTCTGTATATCATATTCTGGAGCCCAACAAAAGATAAGTCAAAATTAAAAGTTCAAGAATAGAGAAATCCTGCTGTAAAAAAATTGACAGTAAACAATTAAATCAATTAAACATAAAGTTAAGTTTGCAAAAAATCGCACATTAGTAATTTTGGCAGTAGAAGCTACACAGTATAAAATTTAAGTATGATTTTAATTTTTATCTGCATTTTTAATATTTACTATTGTACAGTAATGTTGATTACTTCTCTATCTTATTTTAAAAATAAATTTTTTGAGAAACTTTTATAAATACACTATTAAAAAAACAAGTAGAAAATATGGGCTAATATTTATGCAATTTTAGATGAGAAAGACCTTCAAAACAAAAACAATTGAACAAAGCACAAGGGAAAATGATGGGGTTTATTGAGGGATAATTATATCCTCTCTGCTCCAAGTATAAAACAAATTCATAAGAAACAAAGGAGTCAGACAGATCATAATTGTTAAGGTTGATTAGAGAATAGAGCTTTAATCTGTTCTAATCAGAGTCTCTATTCTCCCCCAGAATTAATCTTAACCACCTAGCTACTGGCAGACTGGGCAAGTTCAGGCTCTCGTACAGGCTCACTGCTTGCTCCTGTGAGCTTCCTCATAGAGTTCAAAGATCACCCTCCTTGAGAACTGAGTCCAGAGAAGATGAAAGTAAAGAATTTCACCAGTCGGATATGTCCTGCCTCTTCCCTTGATGAGAAGTGAAGAATGAAGGAGAGAGGAAGTCCCCTCAAGGAAGACTAAACCCAGAAGGAAATAATAGACCTCTTAACTGACACAGTTTCCTAGTGTTTCCTTCTGGACCAAAGACTCAATACCTTGTCATGGATCTTGGGATTGGGATCCACTACTCAAAAAGTGAGCTCCCTGGTTCAGTCCTGCATTCCTAATTTCCTTCACTCAAGTTTCTTGGAAGCTCCTGCCAGGCTAACTCAGTAACTCAGTGTGAAGAAGAGCCAGCCAATAAAACAGAGGTGTCCATGGAATACTATGAAGCCATAAAAAGGAACAAGATCATGTCCCTTGCAGGGACATAGATAGAGTTGGAAGTCATTATCCTCAGCATACTAATGCAGGAACAGGAAACCAAATACCATATGTTCTCACTTATAAGTGGGAGCTGACTGATGAGAACACATGGACACACCATGGGGAACAACACTCACTGTTTGGGGGATAGCAGCAGGAAGAATAGCTAATGGATGCTGAGCTTAATACCTGGGCTATGGGATGATCTGTACAGTAAACCACCATGGCATGCTTTTACTTATGTAGCAAACCTGCACATCCTGCACATGGTACCACTGAACTTAAAAGTTGGGGGAAAAAAAGAACAACAGAGGTATCAAAGGAGTAGGCACAATAGTTACGGTTGTCAACACTGAACACAGCATACAGACTATATTAGTCTGTTCTCACATTGCTATAAGGAACTACCTGAGACTGGGTAATTTATTTATTTATTTATTTATTTATTTTATTTTTTATTATACTTTAAGTTTTAGGGTACATGTGCACAACGTGTAGGTTAGTTACATATGTATACATGTGCCATGTTGGTGTACAACACCCATTAACTCGTCATTTAACATTAGGTATATCTCCTAATGCTATCCCTCCCCCCTCCCCCAACCCCACAACAGGCCCTGGTGTGTGATGTTCCCCTTCCTGTGTCCACATGTTCTCATTGTTCAATTCCCACCTATGAGTGAGAACATGTGGTGTTTGGTTTTTTGTCCTTGTGATAGTTTGCTGAGAATGATGGTTTCCAGCTTCATCCATGTCCCTACAAAGGACATGAACTCATCATTTTTTATGGCTGCATAGTATTCCATGGTGTATATGTGCCACATTTTCTTAATCCAGTCTATCATTGTTGGACGTTTGGGTTGGTTCCAAGTCTTTGCTATTGTGAATAGTGCCGCAATAAACATACGTGTGCATGTGTCTTTATAGCAGCATGATTTATAATCCTTTGGGTATATACCCAGTAATGGGATTGCTGGGTCAAATGGTATTTCTAGTTCTAGATCCCTGAGGAATCGCCATATTGACTTCCACAATGGTTGAACTAGTTTACAGTCCCACCAACAGTGTAAAAGTGTTCCTATTTCTCCACATCCTCTCCAGCACCTGTTGTTTCCTGACTTTTTAATGATTGCCATTCTAGCTGGTGTGAGATGGTATCTCATTGTGGTTTTGATTTGCATTTCTCTGATGGCCAGTGATGATGAGTATTTTTTCATGTGTCTTTTGGCTGCAGAAATGTCTTCTTTTGAGAAGTGTCTGTTCATATCCTTCACCCACTTTTTGATGGGGTTGTTTTTTTCTTGTAAATTTGTTGGAGTTCCTTGTAGATTCTGGATATTAGCCCTTTGTCAGATGAGTAGATTGCAAAAATTTCCTCCCATTCTGTAGGTTGCCCGTTCACTCTGATGGTAGTATCTTTTGCTGTGCAGAAGCTCTTTAGTTTAATTAGATCCCATTTGTCAATTTTGGCTTTTGTTGCCATTGCTTTTGGTGTTTTAGACATGAAGTCCTTGCCCATGCCTGTGTCCTGAATGGTATTGCCTAGGTTTTCTTCCAGGGTTTTTATGGTTTCAGGTCTAACATTTAAGTCTTTAATCCATCTTGAATTAATTTTTGTATAAGGTGTAAGGAAGGGATCCAGTTTCAGCTTTTGATATATACGGCTAGCCAATTTTCCCAGCACCATTTATTAAATAGGGAATCCTTTCCCCATTGCTTGTTTTTCTCAGGTTTGTCAAAGATCAGATGGTTGTAGATACATGGCATTATTTTTGAGGGCTCTGTTCTGTTCCATTGGTCTATATGTCTGTTTTGGTACCAGTACCATGCTGTTTTGGTTACTGTAGCCTTGTAGTATAGTTTGAAGTCAGGTAGCATGATGCCTCCAGCTTTGTTCTTTTGGCTTAGGATTGACTTGGTGATGCGAGCTCTGTTTTGGTTCCATATGAACTTTAAAGTAGTTTTTTCCAATTCTGTGAAGAAAGTCCTTGGTAGCTTGATGGGGATGGCACTGAATCTATAAATTACCTGGGGCAGTATGGCCATTTTCACGATATTGATTCTTCCTATCCATGAGCATGGAATGTTCTTCCATTTGTTTGTATCCTCTTTTATTTCATTGAGCAGTGGTTTGTAGTTCTCCTTAAAGAGGTCCTTCATGTCCCTTCTAAGTTGGATTCCTAGGTATTTTATTCTCTTTGAAGCAATTGTGAATGGGAGTTCACTCATGATTTGGCTGTCTGTCTGTTATTGGTGTACAAGAATGCTTGTGATTTTTGCACACTGATTTTGTATCCTGAGACTTTGCTGAAGTTGCCTATCAGCCTAAGGAGATTTTGGGCTGAGACAATGGGGTTTTCTAGATATAAAGTCATGTCATCTGCAAACAGGGACAATTTGACTTCCTCTTTTCCTAATTGAATATCGTTTATTTCCTTCTCCTGCCTGATTGCCCTGGCCAGAACTTCCAACACTATGTTGAATAGGAGTGGTGAGAGAGGGCATCCCTATCTTGTACCAGTTTTCAAAGGGAATGCTTCCAGTTTTTGCCCATTCAGTATGATACTGGCTGTGGGTTTGTCATAGATAGCTCTTATTATTTTGAGATACGTCCCATCAATACCTAATTTATTGAGAGTTTTTAGCATGAAGCGTTGTTGAATTTTGTCAAAGGCCTTTTCTGCATCTATTGAGAGAATCGTATGGTTTTTGTCGTTGGTTCTGTTTATATGCTAGATTACATTTATTGATTTGCGTATGTTGAACCAGCCTTGCATGGAGACTGGGTAATTTATAAAGAAAAGAGGTTCAATTGACTCACAGTTCCACAGACTGTATAGGATGCATGGCTGTGGTGGCCTCAGGAAACTCACAATCATGGCAGAAGGTAAAGGGGAAGCAGGCACATCTTCAAATGGTAGAGCAGGAGAGAGAGAATTAAGGGGGAACTGCTACACACTTTAAACAACCAGATTTCATGAGAACTCACTCACTATCATGAGAACAGCAAGGGGGAAGTCTGCCCCCATGATCCAATCACCTCCCACCAGATACCTCCTCCAACACTGAGGATTAAAATTTGACATTAGATTTGGGAGGGGACACAGATCTAAACCGTATCACAGACATCTCAGAAACTCAGTCACATAAAGATACTTAACAGAGTCCTTACAGTATCCACTTAGACATCAGGGGTGCCTGAACTGCTTTCCCCAAGATAATCTACCCTGAAAGCATCTCTCACCCAGTTCCACTTGAGCCATATCCCAGGCAATAATTCCATACAACTAGAAACATCTTCTAAATGTCTGTGAGCATTCCCCAAAGAGGCTCCATTGCTGAAGAACTGCTTCAGAAAGACTTGTATGTCCCAAGACACTCGTGCTCTGGCTGTGCCTCAGCATGGTTCTGTCTGCAGAAATATTTGGTGACCTAAAAGCACACCAGTATCTGCCCAGGCCAAGGAGTAATATCAACATCAAAAGTCCCTGTAATCCTTGTCACCACCCAATGTCTGTGGGCTTCTAATATCCTGTGTTTTATCTCCCAGCTGCCCAGCGTCAGAGCCTTGATGTTGTACATGATGGTGATGGTTTCAACATTTTCTGTCACAGCAACAAATATGTTTGTCTGCATTGACTTAGATAATATTCCTATGAGAATTCTGAGATTAAGACAAACACTGTCCCCCAAAGCAGAAGTAAACACCATCACTAATTATTGGCTACGGTCAAAGTAAAATAGGCTGAAGGTTATGTGCTACCTATAGCTCTATAGCCTTTCTCCCCCACCTAGAAAGCACATTGGAAATCAAACAAACAAGAGTAATTAACATTTTTTAAGTGGATAATGATAAATCAACATTATATATTTTAAAAAGTAAATCATTCAAAAACTTTGGTTGTTTATTGCTATAAGAAAATCCTTGCAACACATTTCGGAACTGATCAGGACAAACCTCTAGGCATCAGCATAGTCACTGTGAACTAGTAGTTTAGGGTAGAGTTTTTGGCTCTGCTCTACTCATCTACCTGGAAGTTTGACTAATAAACTTCTGAGCCCCTTCATCATCATTGCTGTTGTCAGTCTGGTTTCCTTCTCTTGTACTTTCCCTTCCGTATCCCTCTATGTACTCCATATTTGTGAATCCACCATCTGCCAGACATCAGACTTCATCCTTGATATTATGTCTCTTCCAATAGCTCCCCCACTAGTTAAAGGAGACCACCAAACTCAACCATGTGAGCTGAACTCTGCTCCCATTGGCATTAAAAAAAAGCAAAAAACAAAAAACAGAAAACAAACAAACAAAAGAAACAGGCTGAAGTGTGCATAAACCAGAGAACTTTCTGGCTTCTGGAGCAAACCCAGTGTCTTGTGACAGCTTTCCCAGTGATGGATTCTACCCCACAAAGCCCAGGCCCTCTATGTGTGAGGGGAATATTCAGCCATCTGGGCATTAGGCCCAATCATAGAAGCCAGATTTCATTTTTTCAAATGAAGCCTTCCTGCTGTGAAGCCTCTGATGACTATCCCTACACAAGGCTTGTCTTTGGCCCTGTCTCCTCTCTGCTTTGACCTCAGGTTCACCATGGGCACGGGCTCCCAGGTGCACCTCACTTGTAACCGTGTCTGTGATTCTAGTTATCTCTTTGCTGGGTGGGGTGGGCCTTTCTACCTCCAGCCCTCAGCCTCCTGTCATGAGTCCCACATGCTCCCCATGCCTCGCCCTGCTTCTCATGTGAGGGCTGGAAGCTCTTATAGCCCCACAAGTAAGATGGGACTACTACCCTATACATTGGTGGTACTTTTGTTTTCTCAGTTTAGAGAACTTTTTCAACCATGTTTATTATGAGTTGAATTGTAAACCCTTAAAAGATGTTGAGCTCTTAACCCCCAGTACTTATGAATGTGACCTCAGAAGGAATAAACCCTCCTGACGCCTTGAGTTTGAACTTTCAGCCTCCAGAACTGTGAGACCATAAATTTTTGTTGTTTAAGCCACCCAGTTTGTGCTGCTTTTTTATGACAGCTCCAGGAAACTAATATAATATTCAATGTGGTGTCAATGTTTTTCCTTAAGTAACCAAAGATGTTATTTCAGAAATAAAAAAAAGAAATATACCAATGGTGGAGTGGCATGACTCAATATATATGAGAAATTTAATGTTTCTTCATTTTAAGCTCTACACATAAAAAACAATTATGTGCATGGTGATCAATTGAATACTATCTAAAATAATAAAAGATGATTTTCAAAAACTAATATCTCATATAAAAATTTTTTCTAGAGTTTTTACTTTTTACCTCATTCTTTATTGCATTGTAAATATCACTTTATTTTTTGGCATTTGAAGTGAGGTTGATTATCACAATATTCAGTTCTCCAAAAAAGGTAAAAACATATTTAACATAAAGATGTCACATCAAAATTGATCAAAATTTCATTGTAATTTCTTATTTGTCATGGAATAACATTTGCCAGTTTATTAGAAAAACAGCCTTAATAACTAAAAGAAATGCAAAGGACATATCAGTTTTTAGTGTGGTATTTTATTTTCTCTTTCATTTTATTAAAAATTAATAGAGATGTAAGTGCTATTGAGAGGATTTAAAACCCATCAAATACACAAAATCTTAACCAGGACAGCCTCTGGAGAAGGGCATTGATGATGCAAAATTATGGGGAGATTTATTATTCCTTTTCACACTGTTAGGATTGGTTACTTTGTGCATGTATTGTTTAGTTATAATTTTAAAAATTATTTTAAGTATTATTTTTTAAAACTAGCTAATTTTAGAAATCTCATTAAATTACAAATTATTGAAAGGGTTAGGTTTTTACAGCTGGTAAAAGATAATCATGAAGATTAAAGAATTATTGTGGATCTAATCACAACACTATTAATGAGGTAGACAATATGTTTTGGGTGGGGGAATGTTAATTAACCATGGATTGAATGGTCTTTAGGCAGTAAGGGATATTAAAAATAAAGGACACAAATATTGAATAAAAATAAATTAGAAACCTGCAAATTCATACATGGGGGTTAAATTAAGGAGAGTTGATAGATGTTGAATGTATATCTTGGCCTTGTTACTTAAAATGACATTTGAGCATCACTCAAGTGTAGCAGTGGAAAAATGTGTTAGACTGGGTAGTAAACCTAGACTCTCTTTTGACACTGCCATTAGCTAATTAACTATGTAAATCTAGGTGAGTTATTTAATCATCGTAGATCTTGCTTCCCTCAGCTCTAAAATGAGGGAGTTGGAGCAGACGCTGTCTGCTCTTAGTTCACCTCCAGCTCTGATTTCTATGGCAGCTTAAATGATTATTGAAAGATCAGTCATAAAAAAAGAATGATTAGTAATTAAAAACTGTGTGTCAAATTATTTACTAATTAGGGGGAGAAAAATGTCACTTTATGAAAAGCAGAGAAGGAGCCTAATATTAACTTCTTTGTACCTCTCTTTAATTATTAGAAAAAAAATTCTAGTCCTTCAGATAATTGTTTTGAAACTAAATGTGATAAGTAAAGTGTCTAGTGCTCTGCTTGGCACATGGGCCTGTATAAATGCTGCTTTCTCTTTTCACTTCCAGGGCTAGGAAGAGTTAGCTATACTGTTGTAACCCAGTGTTAGGTCTACAAGCAGCAATTTCAGTGAATCCCCATGTAAAACTGGTGAATGACCTCAGGCAGACCAGCATAGGAAGCCCAGGGCTGCAGGGGTGAGAAGCTCCATGTTAGCGAACCCATTCAATGCTTCCCCACCTGGTCTGCTCTTTACCTTCCTTTAGCGTCTCTCTTCATCATATCTCATTCTTCCCTTTAACTCCTGACATTTTATCTTGGTAATCTCTCTGCTCCATTGTTTATGTCCTCCAGGTTCTCTCTGTAGTTCTACGTAGAGGATGCAAATCTACCACAAAGCAGTCTAGCAAAACTTTAAACTATTCTTTTTTGGGACTTGTGTCTTTGATTAAAAAACGAAACCACCTACTCCACTTGTGTTCAAGAGTTTCATATCTTTGTCCTCAGAACATTAAACACATACAGAGTGGGGAAGCTTTGCTCCATTAATAACTTCCCCATTGCCTTTCCAAGTGGTAAGATCACTGTTGTGTGTGCAGTGTCTCCTCAGCACATATTCTCTTTGTCTCGGGGAGCATGAAGGCTTTTCTGCTTGTCCCTATTGTTCCACTTTGATGCTGGGCCACTGCATACAAATGAGGTAACACTTTGAAGAACAGTAGCTTGGGTGGGAAATAGAAGAAGGAAGAATTGTTCTCTGGTGATTAATTGTTCATAAGTGCTTATGATCCCTAAAAATTGATGTCCAAGAAGAGATGCTGTAAGGGTGGCACTAAGGGTCAGGAAAACCTAGTGTCTATGGAATAACATGTGGAGATGGATTTAGCAAATTGTAAAATAGTCCTCAATTGTTTAAAACTGGGTTGAGAATTTATGTTCAATTCTTTTAGACAAATGAATTTTAGAGTCATATTGGATCTTCAAAGTAATCTAGTCTAAACCCTAATTTGATAGATAAGTATTAAGCTGAAGCACTGTAATTGAACAATTTTGCCATGGCCATAAGGTTAGCAGCCGGTGCTAGACTTGAATCCAGAGCTCCTAATATCCATATCAGGCCCTTTTCCCCTCTCCCTATCATACTCTACACAAATAAACACAAACAATCTCTACACATGATTTTCAAACTGATTTAACGGTAACATTTAGACAAACTTACAACAAGTCAGATGTATCTACAAGCTACATAATGGCAGTAACACATAAGAAAGTATATTGATGGAGACTGAGTATTTTTTTCATGCATGCATATCATCCTCATTTTAAGGAAGCAGAAACTAGGATACTAAGAGGTTATTTTGTTTCTTTTTTATGTTATTGTGGTAAGAATACTTAATGAGATCTATCCTCAAAAGATTTTTAAGTTCCCAATAAATATTATTATCTATAGGCACAAAGTTGTACAGAGGGTCTGTAGAACTGATTCATCTTGCATAGCTGAAGTTTTATACTCATTGATTAGCAACTTCCCATCAACTCCTCCCTCCTGCCCCTGGCAACTACCATTCTATTCATTGCTTCTATGAGTTTGACTATTTTAGATACCTCAAGTAAGTGGAATCATGAAGTATTTGTCCTTCTGTGACTGGCTTATTTCATTTAATATTATGTCCCAAGGTTCATCCAAGTCACATATTGCAAAATTCTCATCTTTTTTAAGGCTGAATAAAATTAAATGACAACTAAAACATGTCAGAGCCGGGATGGAAACCTGTGTCTTTAGATCTTAGATTCACTGTTTTTTTCCACTACCCAACACCATCTCCTTATGCAAGGATTTGCTCAGCAGAGACCTTACAAAGTCAACCTTCTGAGTTTTTTGTTCTTGTCTTATTTTATTAAAAGTATGATAAGAAAAGGCTTCTGATATAGGACTCACCCAGGAAAAATTATAAATTTAAAAAAATTTCCTTTTTAATGTCCTCTTTCATTTGCCAACAGTTCTGGCCATTTGCCTTTATCAGGCCTTCTCTCCTCAGCCCTACCCTAGCCCACGCTTCCCATGTCGTGTTCAATGAGTATCCCATTCTATCAGTGGGTCCAGCACATAACTCCCTCATTACTTAATCCTTGATGCCATTTTAGTCTATTCAGATTATGCATTATAAAGGATGGTTTTTTAAGAAAACTAAATCCGTGAAGGTTAATAGATGTGGAGAGCAAAGTTGAGGAGAAACAGATTAGCAAACTGAGTCAGTGGGAAGAGACAGGATTGGACGGATTTCTAACAGGTTTTTTGTCATATGAATTGGGCTGTTCAACAAATGTGGGTGACGTAACCTACAACAGAGGAAATAAAAAGCAGAAGGAAGATACAGGAGGCATTCAGACTGGTGAAGAGAATGGGTTGGAATGTGGCTGAATAAATTGAAAGAAAGGATGATTATCAGACATTACAGCAGAGGAGACAGCATCAGTATTCAGATATAGGGCAGGAGGTAGGGAAAAAGAGAAAAATTAACTTTATATGCATTATATATAATACAGATTTAGTAACTTTTAATGTATCCATCAATTGGTAAGAAAAATGTTGGCAACTATAATTTAATGGCAAAAATACAGAAAATTCACCAAAGATGAAATATGGAAAGTAATGAATACATAGAAAAATAACCAACTTCCTAAAAATCAAATTGAATGATTATAAAGAACCATTTAACACTTCTTATAATAGGGACAAAAAAGTAATCACGATTTCTTAAAGTAACACATGTGTATTGCTGCTCATGATGATGTGAATCATTTAAATGGTTTTGGAAAGTAATATGGTAAGTGGTTTTAGGTTAGTGCAAAAGTAATTGTAATTTTTACCACTACTTTTAATTGAAGAACTGCAATTACTTTTGCGCCAACCTAGCAATCATAAAATTTGCCACACTCCCTTATGTATCAATTCCAGTTCTAAAAATGTTAAGATAGTTAAAAACATTACTTAAAGAAGTAATCTAAATACCTGAGCACTAGACAGATGATTAAAGTGTATATCCCCCCAAAAATATTGCACAGCCTTTTAAAATATGATTATGAAAATAAATAATATGGAATGTCGTTCTAATAAAATAATCTAGATACGTAGAAAATTTGTATTCAATTCTTTACAACTGTGTAAAAATTATGCATGGATATATAACAGAATAGAATGAAACTTGACCAAAATAAGTACATTTTGAGTGATTAATGGTGTTGTCAGCAATACTTAAGATTTTTCCTGTATTGTTTCATTCATGCCAATATATTTTTGCCCTCAAAATAAGTAAACTTATATTGCATTTTATTTTTGCTAAATATCCTTTTTTTTGCTTTATTGCATTACATTTTCAAAATCTTTTGTTATTTTGGGTCAGTTATAGGGTAGTGTCACCCTAATTTGCCTGGGACTGAGGAGGTTCTCAAGACTCATGATTTTTGGTTGCTAGAACCAGGAAAGCCCTGGGTAAACTTGAGCTGGTCACCTTAAATAGAGTGAATGTGAAAATTTTCTTTTGCCTTTCTTAATCTGGTATTGTATTCATGTATGAGATAATAACATCTTTGTTTGCTGTCAATAGATTTTGACAAGCATAGTATGGTTATTTTTGGTTTTAAATAACTCTTATTTTCTATTTTAATTACTATCATATTAAAAAATTTTTAACAATAAAGCCTCCTTTATGTACAGGGTGTTGCAAGAGAAAATGGCATAAACTGATAAAGGACATCTTATTAAATTAAAACACAAACAAACAAAAAACTCCAGCAAGAACTCCTAATGGCTGCAGCTGAGTCATGACCAAAGCTCTCTGTAGGTTTCTCTATCTGGGTGTTAAATCCTAGTGTACTTTCCAGTCTCGTTACACCTTTTGTACAACTAAGCAAGTTCCTTGGGAGCATTTTTTCTCTTCATAGTCAAAAAATAAATCCTACTTGTTCATTTCCCCCATTTGTAAACTGCTTCCAAATTTGCATCTTAAAAGTCCCTCTGGAGGAAATTTTTCCAAAAAGATTCCCTGGAAGAGCAAACACATTATTCCATTCAGGCTTCCTAGTAACAACATGGAATAAAGCCAATCAAACTAGTTCCTAAGTGTAAAGCATTGATGATTGTAATATACCCTTCACTAACACTCAAACTGCAGGTCTCTTGAAAGCACCTCCTCTTTAATGTCTGTGTGATTTAGAGGCTAACTACTTCCCACTGCCACTATATGCACACTTCATTTTTCAGAGTAAATTCCAAGAATGGATTTAGAAAGCCAACCCTAGTAAACATTTTCGAAGGTGCGTCCAACTAGACCAGTGTTAGAAACTGAGTCACTTTATAGTTGAATGAAAGTGAATTTGATAGTTAGAAACTTTCTTAAAGAAGTGGATTAGCATTCCTATTTCTACATAAATTAATTGTCACTTTTTGGGGCATGTCAGTTTATTCTTCATCTACTATGTGTACATGTTCATAAGACCTTATAGTATTTAATGAAGAGATCCTTTTTAAGTATTGATAGCCACAAGAAAATTATACCATGTTTGATCTATGTTAAAGAATCAAAGTCCAAGATCTTTGAATGGAATTTAGAATAAAAATGTAATTGGGTTACATCCCTAAAGTCTGATATATCTTTAAACAAGACTGCAAATGAAACTTTATTAGAGCTTCAAATGAATTATTTCATTGCTTCTTTTTTTTCAATTCATTTTCTTCCCCTTCTCTTTCATGTCTGTGATACTGACATTGCTGCTTGTATTTTACCTGTCTTTTTCAGGGTGTTTTAATTATTTACTGCTTAACGAGTAGCACGGAGAGGAAGCCTCATTCAAAGGTGCCTGCTCTGCAGCAGGTTTTTCTTTTTTCAAAGCTTTGCAAGGAGATCTTGAATAGTTGCACCGAGCCCACAGTTCTTGCTACACTGAATAAACTGTTCAGGAGGCAGTATTTCCTCTGTCTAGGAAGAGGCACTGCCCCTAAAATATCTCTTCAGAGGTACAACTGACCAGGAGTGTAAGGATTATTTATTGTGTTAGAGTTGGATGAAGTGTGCTGTTTCCAATTAGTGCCTCAACTGGCATTTAATCTGAAAAACTGATATTATTCCATAACCTTTAACAGGGGTATTCCCTATAAAAGGCCCATCCAGATTCACAACAAATTGCAAACTTGAAAAAAAAACAAAAAGAAACTATATAACTCCACGTGAAAAGTTATTGGATGTCTGTGAGGCACCAGGCACTGAGCAAGGTGCTAACAATTGTTTCCGCACCCGTTGCAACTACATCTGGAGCTTGGCATAGTTACCCATACTTCAGAATTCTTAAGGAAAGGAAGCTCAGAAGTAGTGTGTGAATGGTCCAATGATATCACTGGGGCAGATGGCCAAAACCTGGTCTCTGGCTTTGAAGTTAAATACTTGACCCATTTTCTAAAAAGGGGAGTGACCCTGAAGAAGTAAAGTCACAGTAGACTTTGGACATTGATTCACCACCTACTGAGTATGTGAATTTAGGCAAGAGAATTCCTGAGGCTCAGTTTCCTCATCTCAAAAATATACTAACACCTGAGGGTGATGAAGTAAGGTTATACACAGACAGACACATACACACATGTGCACACACACAGAGAGAGAGAGAGAGAGCAGCAGCTAGTGTCACGCCTGGCACATAGTAGAAGTTCAACCAACATTATTTCTCTCCCTCCATACTCATCTAAATATCTTATTTTCAGTTTTTTGGGTTTTGTCGTAATATCCAAAATAACACGTTAATCATCCATCAAAACAAAGAAGTGGAGGGGGAAAGTTAACTCTCCTCACTCTCCTCGTCACCATCTTCAATAATCAATACTGATACTTCGGCATAGATGCTTCCGCACCTTTCTCTTTGCTCACATAAACATATAGAAATCAAATTGAGTGTGCTTTATATAAAATCATGAGCAATATATAATTCAAGTAAAAATTACATTATTGATTAAAGCCTGTGCAAATATAATTCAATAGTTGATCTAATGTCAATATTAACTTTATTTATCCTCAGATGTTTATACCTATCGACACTTTTTAGTTAGTATTTTAAGATAAGGTGGGAACATTAAAGTAAAACAATTTATTATATGAGGAAAATAGTCGACTACCAACTATACAAGTTTCAAAATGGCTAATATAAATTCCTTACTTTTTATACATTATACACGTTACATTTTTCAATAAATTTTTTGAGTAACTTTGATACCTCCAATTATGCTCTTTTAAGAGTAAAGCTGCCTAATGCTTATCTTTAGAAATTACAAAACTTAGATTGAAACCAACTGTGGGAGGTTTATTGGCCAAGAGCAGTCAGACTTGCTCACTGGCCACAATTCAGCTATCTAAAATCATAAGCAGCAACAATTAATAACACTTCCTCCGGAATATTTTGGAGATCTAGGCAAATTTTCTGGATTTAAAAAAATGAACTTTTATTTCCATCATCAGTAATAAAACCCTGGGTGAGGTTCTCCCAAACCTGTCTACATGGGATTCTTTACATTGTCTGGTCAATATGACCGATACTCTTTAACTGGTGTGGGGTAGCATTCCTATAACGTCCATTTGAAATCAGCACTCCAAATGACAAAGAGAGGATTCCGTTTTTAAACTAGCATCTTATATTTCATCTAAATATCTAAAAGTAGCTACTCAAAAGTTATGGGCACATTTTCTTCTCAGTGTATTAGGGATGCTATTGAGTTACAGAACAAAATCTTTGTTTTCCAGTGTTCCATTTTGCAATGGTGTGCAGTGGGTTATAGTGCACAACAAATCTCTTGTGACAGGAGATAAACCCTTGAAAGTGATAGTTTCTGTTGGAAGTGTGGCAAGCCCTTAACTATTTCAGCATGTGTAGTGCCGTTATAATTATCATAATTAAATGTAAAAACCTAAAGATAATATAAATTGTTCATGCAGTTAAGCCAAAATGGAAAGCAGTGTCTTTTGTTTTTGCAAAGGGGCAATAACATTTTTCCCTTTTTGCTACTGTTCAATATTGCTTCTAGCAGATTTTATCTCTATGTTGTACAGAATAGTAATTTACACCAAAGATGTCCAGTAGCTCTAGATTAAAATGTAATATAATACACGTAAAGCTTTATTGTTCCTTTAGGTTGTTGTTTTAAACTAAAGTGGAATATTTCCCTAAAGTCTTCAGCAAATGTGCACAATTTTGAACTAAATATGCTTAAGACTTATACCAGTGCTGCTGAAGAAATAGGTCTTATGGATCTGTCAAATTATTTTTATGCAATTGTTTCTGCAGCATTGTTTTTACTGGCAAATGTACAAGTCGATAGAAAAGGAAATAATTAGCTATTTTCAGAATTGCTGATGCATGGAGCTAAAACAGACCAGTCTATGCGTCTTAGAGATTGTGACATTTTAAATTACCTGAACAATACCAGCAGCCATCTTTGGACATAATTAACACCTTGTCTAATTAATGTCAGATCTGGACAGAGTCATGCTGTATTTATGAGATATTATTTTATTTAAACTTGCTTTTGCCCTTATTGCGTTGCAAACTTTAGATTTGTATGCTGTTTTCTTAAGTGGAGCAACTTCTTTTTTTCCTTTTTTTTCTTTTTTTGTTTCCCTCCCCCTTCAAGTAATCAATGCACTGCTGAATGAGTTCATTTTAATGCACTCAATCATGCCTCTAATGTTCGTAGCTTACGGGCGCAAGCATCAGTAATACAGGAATGTTATATGGCTTTAGTTTGGGCCATTTCATAAAATATTCATAGAATCAAAAATGTGCATCAAAATAGCGGCTGGGAGAATTACATTTATGTTCCTGCCTTTATGGCAGCTTCACATTTAAACCCATTTGTGTTAATATCTAGTCAATCTTCCTACTTTAAAAAAAAGCTAAAATGGGAGAGATCATATACATTCTCCTTTGCTTAATATTTGTTCTAGACATCTGCTGTGATACAACAAATATCTATAAACTTGCAAAGATGTTGTGCAGGGAAGAGGGTAAGCAACAATTTGGATAATACCCAACTATATAAAATCTTATTTTCCCTACATCGTGTTTGTCTTAACATTCTACCAAGCATTTTGCAGTTTACAACATTGTTTGGGTTTTGTTTGTATTTTTAAATAAACGGATAGATTTCTTGTTTGTGTGGGCTTTAGATAAAGTAAAACTCCCTTGTAGTAGTTTTATTTTGAGTGCTTGTTCCTTTAGGTAAAAAACTATAAATGCATGCCAAACTCCTCATTGTTTATGTAGATGTCATATAATTGATAAACAAAACAAAACTGAGGCTTAGGCTATTTCTGTTCATACCTGGATACTCTTGTTTGATGCAGTTGTTCACAGTGTTCTCCTAAGCTGTGTTTTCTGATCCTACTTCGTATTATTGAAATAAATTGACTACTAAGGGTATTTGTGGAGGGCAATCCCCAGCCTCTCCAACAAAACATTTTGGCTCTATTTTCTTCCCTGGTTCACATGAAATGTTGGTGGACTATCTGGACTTTTGCTTGGTATAGAGCCATGCATGCAGGCCTTTAATTCAGCAGTTAGTGTGTCTTCCTTACTGTGGTTACCACTGTGATCTGGTTACTCACAGTGATGATGAAGATTTGTGGGTGATTCCTGGTGCACCATGATAAAACTCACTTTCCCCTACAAAGACTTTAATACCTGTGAATAGTCCCCAGGCCTTCTTTTTTTGTCCTGTTTTCTGTTAACCTTTGTATTTGTGATACGTTGGTAAAATTATTCCACTTTTTGCTGTCCCTATTCCTTGATGGAAAATAATGTCAACACTTGATAATTCCAGAGGAGGACAGTCCTTGGACACTTAAACACTTGTTCTTGTCCTTCTAAAAGATTGACATCAGAACCAAGTGAGATTTCTAGATCCTGCTGTGTTAAAGTTTATTTGGTGCCAAAAGGTACACTAAATATGAAAGCTTTGTAGAAGTTATAAAGGAATGCTATAAGCCATGTTAGAAAATCTGATTCATTATCTACATTGATATTTATATTTAGCTTAGTAAAAGTGATCACCATATTGAGGTCTTTTATAATATTTCTCTCAGGTAAATTGAATTTAAAATTTTCAGTTAAAAGCAGTATGCATTATGTCTTAATAAATATCTAGTCTTAATATCAGAACCGTTACTCAGAAAATAAGATGATTTTAAAAATCCAATTCACAGTTGGAAATAGAAATTGGATGGAAATCATATCATTGTTAATCATGCTTAAAGGGAAATGCTTGCATATTTAAATTATTATGCTCTCTTCATAGCATGGGCATATCTTTTAATATTTTTAAATCAAATATTCTACTATATCATAATATATGCTTTAAATTCTGGCCAGCCTTTAGAAATTGCAGATAAGTCATTTGTGTGCTTGTGGTCATTTGGATCAAATCTTTGCTGGCTTATCTTCTTGCTGGCTTATTTACTGCCACCAAATACTTTTAGAAATGAATCCCTACATATGAGAAGGACTGGAAAACTGCTTCTGTGTAGTAGGGACCTCCATTTAAAATACTACTAATCAGGACCCCACTGACCTCATCTGTGGGAAAATGGTGAAGCAAGGGGAAATGAAACCATGAATAGTGAGATGAGGCCACAGGTGCCTGAGTCGAGTGTACCCATGGAATTCCAGAGCCCCCCACAGATGTCACTGCATGGCTTAGAAGAGAGCAGAGAATTCAGATATAGCTGGTTATATAACAGTTTCTTCAGAAAGACCAATCAGAAACACATTAGGGGCTCACATCTGTGTTTTTCTTAGAGGTGACCTATGATGGCCTGAGCAAAGTCAGAGAATTATAGAACTGGAAGAGACTAGGAATCATGCAAATTTGATCATTATTTTTAACACAAGAGATTCATGTCCAGAGAATTTAACTCACTCCACCTAAGTTTCCTGGCTCTCGATCTGTTGACTAGTATCTGATGTGGTGGAACCAGTTGTGTGGGCTTTTGGTGACCTTGGGTTTAAATCCTAATCATCACTTATGAAAACTCTGGAGCATATATTTGAGTCATGTAAACTTTGTGAGTCTCAGTTTCCTCTTTAGTGAAAAAGCAACTATCATATATACTTCACCAGTTTTTGGAATGTTCATTAAGTTAATGTGTAGGGGAGAGAAAAGCCTTGCATTTTGACTAGCACCTAATAGGCCTTCAGGAAAGAGTAGGTCACTGTTCTCTTTTACCCAAGCATCTCAGGCTCCGTCCTCAGGGAAGACTCCAAATAGACCCTTCTGAAAGCTGAACTTTGGCCAATAACCATGAACTAAGTAGTATATTGATACTAGCCCTGAAAGCTCTAGCAAAAAGCAAATCCAACCGAAAAGCTACTGTTATTTCTAACCATCCCAAGGTTGCCTTCTGTAGTCACCAGCTGAAACCAGTGTCCTGAGGACCATCCTCACTTCATTCCTGCTTGGACAGCCTTATCCAGGACACCTAACAGCAACCCAAGACTCAGTAAGGTAACACAGAGGACGTCTGGCGGATAAGGAATACGAAGACACAGCCCCAGCCTTCCCTCCACTCTTCCCACCTCCCATTTTGTCCTGATTTCTTCCACTTCTCCTTTTCCTACTTGACCCTCCTGTCACCTCCCCTTTCTGCCCCCATATAGATCAAATTTTGGAGATGGATATCAGTTCTCATTTGCTATTTACATCATTATACCTCATTTGCCTCTAATTCTAATTGAGTTACCCAGAACTTCATTTCCTTTATGATCCATATCTATTCTGGAACTATCTGTTTTTCTCACAGTATTCTACATCCCTTCTCCCCACTTACATGGCCAAAAAGAAATATGTGTCTGTACTTTATGAATAGATGGACGCTAGATGAAAAAAGAAAAGGAACTCTTGTATACATCTTTCCAGGGCTACAGTGCTATACTTCATAGGCAGAAATATAGTTAACAGAGGAAATATAACACACAGATATGTCAATGCTCCATTCTAGTTTTAAAAAATGAGGGTCATGGGTATTTGGAGCAAGGTGTTTCTGGCAAGAGGTGCTACGTGGGAGAGATGAAAAACTATGCCTGTTTTTCTGGAAGGTAAGAAAAAATATCAGCTAAAAGTAAAGATAGATTAGAGCCATGAACTTCAACCTTGAGTATTGGTCTCAATGTGAAAAAGGTACTGAGCATTATTTCTTAAATAACTTTCATTGTATATCCTGATGACAAAATAAACATGCTTTGATGATAGAAACTTTAGGAAATGCTAATAAGCAAACAGAAAAAAAATCAAGAAAAAGAAAACAGAAAATCAGAAAATAAACCATAAGTTACCCATAATCCTACCTCCCAGACATAACACTGATAATGCTTTCTAAATGTTTTTTTATGTTTCCTAATATATTTACTTATTATAAACACTTGTTTATGTAACAAGATCGGCTTCTATAATATCCTACTCATGGCCTGCAGTCTCCTATCATGTGAAGTTTCATAATATAAATTTATAAACAAGTCTGCAGTACACATTGCCCCTTCTGTATGTATCTTCGCTGACATGTCCTCCTGCACGGCTCAGCAAGGACTTAGACTGTCCATGTCTACTAAATTTTGCTTTTTTTTTTTTTTTTTTTTGAGATGGAGTCTTGCTCTGTTGACAGGCTGGAGTGCAGTGGCATGATCTCGGCTCACCACAATCTCCACCTCCTGGGTTCAAGCGATTCCCCTGCCTCAGCCTCCTAAGTAGCTGGGACTACAGGTGTGCACCACCATGGCTGGCTACTTTTTTGTATTTTTAGTAGAGACGGAGCTTCACCATGTTGGCCAGGCTGGTCTTGAACTCCTGACCTCGTGGTCCACAGGCCTCAGCCTCCCAAAGTGCTGGGATTATAGGCGTGAGCCACTGTGCCTGGCCTGTCTACTGAATTTTTCTACAGACCGTTTACTGATTATCCACCACCACTGGTTGTTTTTCTTTGAGAATACTATTCTTATTTCTATGTGCATTCTTTAATACTCATTCTGGTAACAAATTCAATGCAACAAATAGGAAGAAATTATATGCAATAGTCATGGAAGTAGCTCCAACCCACACTATTCAATGAAATTCATTTGAGGAAAGATATTGAGTCTAATATAACCTGCATAGGTTAATTTAATATGTCATGATGTTATTATTATAGGGACTCAACTAATTTTTGGTTTTTGTGGGAAGAGTAAGTTATACTTAATAAACATGGTAAATTAGTGGCTATATTTCAATTTGCCTGCTGGAGTTTCTGAAGATATTATTACTGTACCAATTGATAACATTAGCCGTGTTTCTTGAGCACCTACCCTGTAACATATAATTGTACATGCATGAATTCATTTCTCACAATAGTACCTCAAAAAGTTACACAGTAATCCTGTTTTGCAGAAGAATAAAGTAAGGCACAGAGAGAGTAGTAATTAGCCTGAGGCTAAACAAAAACTGGGAAAGCTGGGCTAGGAACAGGCTGTCTGCTCGGAGCCCACACTCACTCTTAACCACTATGGTTGGAGTGCCTAGATATAAGTGTTCTTTGTATCAATTCCAATTATGTAACTCCAATACCATAAAAGAGTATTTACATTTCAGGATATTGTGAGCATTCCCATGAGGCAATTAACAAATAAAATACAATCCACTGTATGGAGCTGCAAACTATTCTTCCAGAAATATGTTTGCTCATATTTTAAGGAAAGAAATTACTTACAGCTAATTTGGAATTTTAGCTTGGAGAAGATATATTTTGGATTTTATTATAGGGTAAAATCCAAAAAGGCAGTTAGTTACATTCTAATTATCCAAAACTAAACAGCATATACAAAAACCTCATTGGAAAGTCCAGTCAAACTTTGAGAAGCAGTTTAAGGCGCCATAATGTTTGGATTTGAAGTTTGTAACAGATGCATTCTTTTTTAAGAATGATGAAATTGGGAGGCTGAGGTGGAAGGATCGCTTGAGCTCAGGAGTTCAAGGCTGCAGTAAGCTGTGATTGCACCACTGCACTCCAGCCTGAGTGACAGAGTGAAAAGAAAAGAAAAAAAGAATGATGAAATTGTCATCTGTTGGAAAAGCAGTAGAGGATATTGGTTGAGAGTATCAGCTCTAGAGTTAGATTTCCTGGATGTTATAGCACCAGACTTGCCATCTTGAGCAAAATTCTTAACCTTACTAAATTTTGGCTTTCTATTCTGTAATATGAAATCAGAACAGTCCTACTCCATTGGATTGTTTTGAGGATTAAATGAGAAATGCATATAAAGCACACAGCAGAGTGCATGGCATACATAATGTTAAAGAAATATTAGCCAATATGATGGCTATTAATAAATATTGCTGGCCTTTTACACCCTCTCTAAACATATGCAAGCCCAGTAAATTTCTACTAGCCAGAGTACATCCCTCTTGCAGGTGTGTATCTAAAATTCACGCTGAAACTGAGGTCCAATTAGAGATCACTCCTTTCCCAGTTTAATTCATCTTCAGCCTTAGAAATCCTTCACCATAATCCTCGGTGTTTCTCCATTGAATAATAAAGCTAAAACGTATGCAAAATTTCTGAAAATACGTTCCGTCCTCTGGTTTATACTTATGAATGGCTTTTATTCTCCAGGTCAGCTTCTGGAAGCTGCTGAGCATTATGAAGCATTCCATCAATTGACACAGGGGCGGATATGGAAGGATGAGACAGGCCGCTCTCTCAACTTGTTGGCCTGTGAGAGTCTCCTGAGGACTTACAGATTACTCTCAGACAAAATGCTAGAAAATAAAGAATACAAACAGGCCATCAAAATTCTAATAAAAGCTTCTGAAATAGCCAAAGAAGGTGGGTGGAAAAGAACTCTCTCACATTGCTTTCTTTAATGGGTAGACACTGTTTCTCCCAAGAGTGAAGTAAAAATCGTCAAGTGTTAGGGTGATTATTTCCTATGAAATGCAAAGACAAATGCCATCAATTTACTTTCAAATTTCACTGTAAAACGAAGGTGCCTTAGTGCTGACAACAAGAAATCCATTAGTTTCCTGAAAGCTTTATCTCCAAAATTACAATCCGCTGGGGGTAGTGTTGTAAAACAAAGAACCTAAAGTGAGCAGGTAAGATCATCTGCAAAAGTTAAGCATGTGTGTGTGCATGCGCATGTGTGTATGTGGTTGTATATTCCTTGCAGTCTTAGAGACCTTTCATTGTTTGTAAATTCCCCATGGTCAGGTAATAAGGAAAATATGATATATATTTAGTTATTAGTAACAGGAAAATAGGACTGTAACATATTTGAGACCTTTTTGCCTCTCAAAATGTGGCCTTTGGAACAGCAGCTTCAATATGTTATAACAGCCAGGGTCTCAGGTCCCAACCCAGACCTACTGCAGCAGGATCCTCAGGTTAGCAAGATACCCAGGTGATGTATATGCACACTTAAAGCAGTAAAAATGCTTCTATGAGAGCTGCTCATGTCTTTCATAGTCTATATCATTTCTGTATGTATAAAATATAAAGAAAAAATTTGGAGCATATTCTTATAAGCTTTTAATTTGTGAAATGCACAGATATTTTGTTACCATATAGTAAATTATTACTAGAGTAGCCTTTTCAGGAAGGAGAAAAAGATAAAAGTTATGCTCCTGAACTAAAGTTTATTAGCTTATGGATATATTTAATTGATTGGTTTATTAAGTAATAGATGGCTTATTAAGAGTGAGCAGGACTGATTTTCTGGGTGTAATTTTAATTTACTAAAGAGGAAAAATAAACAGCTTAGTCTCCCTGTAACTTCTTTTAATAATATTAGTCAACATACTCACAGGAAATCACCCCCTGAAAGATGTATCTCATTAAATGAACTGCTTTTGAATAAATGGTCTAGTACCTTCCCCCAAAGGGGTAAACACAGAGTTAGCTCTTATATCAATTTCAGCAGCAAACTTTAGTCACATGGAAAGTTACATGGAATTTCAATGAAAAGGAATGCATTGATTAGGAAAAGATATGTTACTTTAGGTTTACATTTGCTAAGTTTTAAGGTAGTTCACAAAGAAAGAAAAGTTCCTTGGGTCTCTTCCAACAGTCAGAGCCTGTCAAGCAGTCTTCTTTCAAAAAATATCTCTCTCTTACCAAAGATCAGATCAGGAGAAGAGAAGACTTACTTCTTACACTGTTATAGTTTTTAATATCTTTTAAAACCAAAAAATATTTGTCCCCACATTTTTCATCTAAGAAAGTACATAGGTTAAAGGATTACACAATACTTTACAGAGCTCTTAAAGAGGGTAAATATTCTGGGACAAAGCATCCCTTTACTCTTGTCTCCTACTTTGATCAGGGAGCCTGAAGGAGCAAGCTGATGATTACCTGAATA
Source organism: Homo sapiens (assembly GCF_000001405.40). Taxonomy (NCBI): domain Eukaryota; kingdom Metazoa; phylum Chordata; class Mammalia; order Primates; family Hominidae; genus Homo; species Homo sapiens. Next base: position 146,873,184 of record NC_000004.12, on the reverse strand, counting down.
AAGCATGCCCCTCACATTGGTTTACATGGTATTTAAGCGATACTGACACCAACCGTTGGCCAATTCCTTTGTTAGGGTACGTTGATGTAATGCACAAGTGTAGCATCAGCCAACACCTTTTACTTAACATAATGTTTTCAAGGTTCATCCATCATATAGGGCCAAATCGCCTTCTATGGCATGGTTATACCACATTTTCTTTATTCATTTATGATGGACATATGAGTTGTTTCCACCTTTTGCCTATTATGAATAATGCTGGAATGAACATTTGTGTACAACTTTTCAAAGATCTTGATTATATGCTTAGGAGTGGCATCGCTGGGTTATATGATAACTGTGTTCAACTTATTGAGGAGCTGCCAGTTTTCCAAAGTGGCTTCACCATTTAACATTTCCACTAGTTTTATGTGAGGGTTTAAGTTTAGCCATTTCCTCAGCAGCACTTCTTACTTTTATCTTCTTCATTATACTCATCCTAGTAGGTGTAATGTGGTATCTCACTTTAGATTTTATTTGCATTTCCCTGTTGGCCCGTAACATTGAGCATTTTTTTTCATGTGCTTCTTGGCCATTTGTATATCTTCTCGGCAGACGTTTTTATTCAGATTCTTTGCCCAGTTTTAATTGGGTTATTTTTTTATTATTGAGTTTTAAGAATTCTGTATATATTTTATATACAAGTCTTTCATCAGATATACGATTTGAAAATATTTTCTCCTATTCTGTGGGTTTTATTTTCACTTCCTGATGGTATTCATTGAAGCACAAGTTTTTAATTTTGATAAAGTTCAGTTCGTCTAGTTTTTCTTTTGCTGTTCTTGCTTCTGATATCATCAATAAGAAGGCTTTGACCAATGCAAGGTCACAGTGATTTACTCCTATGCTTTAAGAGTTTTTAGTTTTAACTATATTTAATCTTATCATCTATTTTCATGTGTGTGTGTGTGCACATGTGGTGTGAGGAGGGTACGACTTCATATTTTGAAAGTGGATATCCAATTGTACTAGTACTACTTGTTGAAAACATTATTCTTTTCTCAATACATTGTAATGATACCCTACATAAAATCATTTGACCATAAATGTGGAGATTGTGTCTGGATTCTCAATTCTATTGCCTTGATCTCTCTTGTCTAACTTACAACTACAAGAATACATAGATTTTATTACTCTAGTTGTGTAGTAAGTTTTGAAATTGGGAAATGTGCTTTGTAATACTGTTCTTTTTCAAGTTTGCTTTAGTTGTTTTCAACACTTGCATTTCCATGTGAATTTTAGGATCAGCTTGTTAATTTCTGCAGAAAGGGGAGCTGGAATTTTGATGGGAATTGCATTGAATCTGTCAATCAATTTAGGGAATATTGCCATCTTCAAACTAAGTTTTTCAATCCATGAATATGGGATATCTGTCTATTTATTTAAATATTCTTTAATTTTTTTCAATGATTTTTATAGTTGTCAGTGTATATGTACTGCCTTCTTTTGTTAAATTTATTTTTAATATTTTATTCTTTTGATGCTATTGTAAATGGAATTGTTTCTTAATTTCATTTTCAGATCGTTCATAACCTGTATGTAGAAATAAAACTGACTTTTCTATATTGATCTTATAGCTTGCAACCTTGTTAAACTCATTTATTAGCTTTGACAGTTTGTTATGGATTCTTTAGGATTCTCTATATACAAGACTATGGTATCTGCAATTAAAGTTTTGCTGCTTCCCTTCTATCTATGTGCCTTATCTTTTCTTGCCTAATTTATCTGACTAGAACCTCTAGTGCAACAGTTTTAAACAGAAGTATGATATTTACTGAGGGTTTTTTTGTAGATGCCCTTTACTACATTGAAAAAATTCCCTTCTATTCCAAGTTTGTTGAGGGTTTTTAACATGAAAGGGGGTTGGATTTTGCAAAATGTTTTTTTCCTACATCTATTGAGAAGGTCATGTGTTTTTGTCTTTTATCCTATTAATATGTTATATTATACTAATTGATTAGCATATGTTGAACCAACCTTGCATCGCTGGGCTAAATTCCACTTGATCGTGGTGTATAATCCTTCTTATATGTTACTGATTTGGCTTTGTGAGTAATTTTGTTAAGGATTTTTGTGACTATATTCGTAGGGGACATTAGTTTATAGTTTTCTTTTCTTGTAATGTCTTTGGTTTGATGTCAAAATAATACTGGTCTCGCAGAATGATTTGGGAGGTGTTTTCTCTTAATTGCTTAAAAAGTTTGTAAAAGATTGGTGTTAATTCTTAAAATATTTTTTAAAAATTCAGCAGTGAAATCATCTGAGCCTGGCTAGCCTTTTCTTCATGGGAAGTTTTTAAATTACTAATTCAGTTACTTTACTTGTTATGAATTTATTCAGAGTTTTTATTTCTTCTTGAGCCAATTTCAGTAGTTTGTATCTTTCCAGGAATTTGTCTATTTCATCTACTTTATCTAACTTGTTAGTATGTAATTGTCCACAAAATTCTCTTATAATCCTTTTCATTTCTGTGAGGCCTACAGTTATTTACCTTTTTTCATTCTTGATTTTAATAATTTAAGGGTTTCTTCTTTTTCTTTTTTGTTTGGTCTAACTAAACATTTGTTAATTTTGTTGACTTTTTCAAAGGATCATTTTTTGTTTTGTTGATTTTCACTATGGTTTTTCTATTCTTTATGTTATTCATTTCCACTCAAGTTTTTCCTATTTCCTTCCCTCTGTTTGATTTGAGTGTAGTTGTATCCTCTTTTTCTAGTTTTATAAGGTGGAAAGAACTTTCTTATTTTAAAATATAGACATTTATAGCTATAAATGTCCCTCTATGCACACCTTAGTTGTATCCCATACATTTTGGTTTGTTGTGTTTTCATTTTCATCCATCTCAGAGTATTTTTTGGTTTACCTTGTGTTCTTCTTTGACCCATTGTTTATTTAGGATAATTTTTAATTTCCACATACGTGCAAGTTTCCCAAATTTAATTCCATTATGTATTTTTAATTTCACAGTATTGTGAATACCACCTTTTCAATGGAGTCTACTCTGATGACCATACTTAATATTGAAACCTGCTTTGTCCTCTGGACCCCCACTTGGCTCTCCCAATTCCCCTTACCTTGCTCTATTTTCCCTCTGGAACATTTGTCAGCATACACCTTACCACATAATTATTCTTTATTATTTATTTTCTCTCTCTTTATGTCTCTGTCCTCTAAAACATAAGTTTTGATGTGTCACTCAATTTTAGTAGTGCCAAGATTTTAGATCTAACCTTTTCTTTTTGGTTGTTTTTAATCCTATTCTTACCGACATTTTTCTCTGTTATGTTATTGCTTTCATTTTATCTTAACTTTGTTTCTATTCATGTACAAGAAAAGTTCTCATGCTTAAATACTATTTAAAAACTAATATTTGGTGTTTCCAAACTGTATCAGTAGCAATAGATGTTTTCTTTCCTTTCCCCTCTTTGCTGAGCTTCCACTCACATAAAATTAGATGCAGATGATGGTGCCATATCAGCCCGGCCAGTTGCTAGTGCTTTAACACAGTTACACCACTTGACACAGAAAATACATACCACATACAGCCAACTTTTAACTCTCTAATAAGTAGCTTCCTGTCATAGCCTCGTTCTTCTATTCTGTTTTTCCCTTCACTAGTCCCACATTTATCCCCAGAACCCATAATCCTGTACCAGAGAAAAAGTTAGGGCCCAGCTGAATTTTAAGAATTAAAGTTCCCCTTAGTGGATTACTGGCATCATCAACTCTGCTAAAGTGAGATCTTGAAGGTATAATTCTCTGCAATCAGGGAAATAGCTAGAGAAGAAAAAAATACTGTCACTGGCATTTGCCATCCTATTTCCTTGAAGTCTTCAAAGAGCCGCTGCTTCAGCAGCGGTTATTTGGTGAGTGGTGAGAGTGAATGCAGCAAGAAATATTGTTCCTGCTGACATCCTTCATGGTTGGAATGTGGAGCTCAGAAATCTAAGGATACTTCCTGTATTAGTCTATTTTGCATTTCTATAAAGGAATATCTGAGGGTGGGTAATTTATAAAGAAAAGAGGTTTTTTTTTTTTTTTTTTTTTTACTTAAAGCTCCACAGACTGTACAAGAAGCATGGTGCCAGCATCTCCTTCTGGTGAGGGGTTCAGGAAGCTTCCAATCATGGCAGAAGGCGAAGGGGAGCAGGCATGTCATATGGCGAGAGAAGGAGTAAGAGAGATGGTAGGCTCTTTAAAGCAATCAGCTCTCATGTGGACTAATAGAGCAAGAGCTCACTCGTTACCATAAGGATGGCACCAAGACATTCATGAGGGATCTGCCCCCATGACAGACACCTTCCACAGGCACCACCTCCAACATTGGGGATCACATTTCTACCAGGAGATTTGGAGAGGACAAACACCAAAACCGTATCACTTGCTTTCCAAAGACCAAAAACTAAGGTTAGATCACTCAGCATTTGCATTAGTCAGGAGTTAGTCACATTGGAAGCCAATGTTACATTTAATATACTAAATATAAGCAAGTTATATATTTGCCAAATGGTATGAGGTATGTCATGTTGAACCATGTTGTATCTTTACGCATTTTGCTTTTGGAAAGAAGTGGTTAATTTCTGAAATAAAATTAGTAAGATATTGCAGGAATTAGAAAGACTAACTTTATTGCAGAAAAAATGATGAAAAGCATTACCAGTGATTAGTAAAGAAAAGTGTTTGGATTTCAAATATGCATGGAATTTTGTACCAGGAAATTAAGCTGTCAGTTACTCTCACCTATTCTTTAATCAATAGCTTTTTTTAATTATTATTATACTTTAAGTTTTAGGGTACATGTGCACAATGTGCAGGTTAGTTACATATGTATACAGGTGCCATGCTGGTGTGCTGCACCCATTAACTCGTCATTTAACATTAGGTATATCTCCTAATGCTACCCCTCCCCACTCCCCACACCCCACAACAGTCCCCAGAGTGTAATGTTCCACTTCCTGTGTCCATGTGTTCTCATTGTTCAATTCCCATCTATGAGTGAGAACATGCGGTAGCTCTTAAACAGAACATAATCAAAATAAAAATTCATTAATTTGTGAATTATCTGCAGTTAGAAACTTAGCTGAATGTCAGTCCATGTGATTGAGTATGAATGTTTGTGCACCATTTAAGGTTGTTATCCATTATCAGTTGTTTTATGTATGTAGCAGCAACTATGCTAGATGACTGTAAGCCTTTACATGCTGGACTAGTATAAAAATTATACATGAATGTCAAAATGATAATATTGGGCTGTGTTTATAAAGGGAAACCCCTTTATAAACTAAATATAAGCAAGTTATATATTTGCCAAATGGTATGAGGTATGTCATGTATGAGGTATATAATTATATCCTTAAAGCATCTTAATTTAATATCTATGATCCAGGTAAATTGTGTTTACATCAGCCTTTTTTTTTCAGTATATAGCTAGGTTTTGGGGATTATTGATAAAACTGCATACTTTTAAAAATAATTTTCTACTGTCTTGAAAAGCAAGGATTCTGTTTGTTGTAATAAATCATTTATTGAATACTTGGTAATTTTTTTACATCTTCACTTCAGGAAGTGACAAAAAGATGGAAGCGGAAGCCTCTTACTACTTGGGCTTAGCACACTTAGCTGCTGAGGAATATGAAACAGCATTAACAGTAAGCTAAACTTTTAATCACTGCCATTTTTAATTTTTATTTTAGTATATTTATTTTATTTTCCTATATGTTATTACAAGGCCAATAGAAATGAGTTAGGCCTGACATAGGTGTGCCTATTTACTGAGATTAAAGCAGAATAGCAATATGCTAGAAGCATTTTAAAAATCGGTTTTATTGTTTATTGAAGGTACAGTGGTATGTAATCAATTACTATGAAGTGCTTTGGGATATGTGAAAATTAAATAAATAGAGTAATATGGCCCTCCATATGCCCATATCAACAAGGACAAGAGGAAATAGGTTTAAGTGATGGTAAAAAGTAAGTAACAAAAAAGAAATTACAGTCATTTTATAATATGATTTGGGAAATTTTGCACACACAGAAATGCAGTTATAAAGCAAATACAGTGAGCTGCATTGATGTATATCTTCAGTGCAGGTAGTGGGGAGGCAACAGAGGTGGAGGTGGGTGTTAGTCTCAGTCTGAGAAGTAGCCTGCCGTATAATCAAATCACTGTTAGGCTATTTTGCAACCAGGTTTTGTTTGGCTAAAAACAAACAAATAAAAATGTCAAGAGCGATCTTTCCTGAATTATAACTGAAGTCATTTTTTCTTCTTCTCTTACCTCTACTATGTATTTAAAGCATTTCACCTACATCTCTTATAATAATCCAATGTGATACACAATATTGGATTAATTTTTAGCTTTTGGGATCTTCTTTGTTCCTTTAGATATTTTTTGCTAAGTAGAATTCCTATATTTGGGCTAGATATTTTCCTCTAGCCCCCTTACAATTGGATAGCATAGAAAACTTAGGTTTTCCTAGATGACTCTTATGCTTAATATTTTTTAATTAATGATTAGCATTCAGCAAAACTTTGTTTCTGATACCTTGGGGAACACAGAGACAACCAGATGCACACTTCTCTTGAGGGGTTAATTTAATGAGGGTAAACAACTTGCAAGCATAACCACAATTCAAAGTAGGATGAACAGGGGCTTTTTAAGTGCAAAGGGAAGAGTGGCTGGTTCCAACACTGAAGACCAGGGAGGCTGCACCAAAAAAAAAGTTTTTGAGAGACAGGATTTACACATGTAGAAAACATGAGAGTCCACAATGATAGAACAGCAAATATACGTGTGTGCACACATGCGTACACACTCAACATGGACATACTCAGTGTGTTGGGAAGCAAGGACTTAGGTGGAAGATGAGATTCAGTTGTAGGTCAAATTGGAAAATTAGGTGAAAACTAGCTCATAGATATTCTTTCTCTCTCAAGTAATGCAAGCACAAAATAAATTCAAACAATACAATAAAATTCACAATGAAAACTAAATTTTCTTTCCTTCCCTGTACTCAGTCTCACAGTTCTTTTCTCAGAGACAAACACAGTTACACGTTTCTGGCTTATCTTTCTGAAAATATTCTATATATTCAAATATCATAAAGTGCATATATATGTTTCCTTTATGTTATTTAGAAAATTGTTGCATTTTATATGCACTGTTCTGCACCCTGAGTGAATTTCTTCCATACTAATGCATAGACATGCCTAGTTTTATTATTTTAATTTTTCCAGCTTTATTGAGGTATGATTGGCAGATAAACATTGCATCTATTTAAGATGTACAATGTGATGTTTTGATATATCTATATATTGGGAAATTATTTCCCCAATCAAACTAGTTGGCCTGTCCATCACCTCCCATATTAACCTCTTTTGTATGTGTGTGAGGACACGTAAGATCTAGTCTCAGTAAACTTCAAGTATATAATATACCATTATTAACTATAGACGAGTCTCATTGTATTTATTTATTTATAATTTCAACTTTTAGATTCAGGGGTACATGTGCAGATTTGTTATCTGAGTATGTTTTGTGATGCTGAGGTTTGGGGTATGATTGATCCTGTCACCCAGATAGTGAGCATAGTACCTGATAGTTTTTCAGCCATTGCTCTCCTCCCTCTAGTCGTCTATTGTTCTCATCTTTATGTCCATGAGTACCCAAGGTTTAGCTCCCACTTGTAAGTGAGAACAAGTGGTATTTGATTTTCTGTTCCTGTGTTAATTTGGACAAGCCTTATCTTAAGGGGTCTACATGATATCCCATTGTGTGGCTGTGCCATAATGGATTCAAACATCTTCTACTGCTGGGCATTAAGGTTGTTTCACATAACTTTTATTGTAAAGGATGTGGCAGTGAACAGTTTCATCAGATGTGACAAATTTATCCATAGAATAGATTCCTAGAGGTGGAAATGCTGGTGTATCCTATTCCTAGTGGTGTAGGATAGTCTAGTAATGAATAGATTGAAGAAGGAATATTTGACATCCAAGGGATGAACTACTTTACTTGAAGCTGTTACTCCTTTCAGAAGAGTATTGAAATTGTTTCTCTGAAAGTATATGTGAAGCTTAAGTCCCTACAACCTATTAACTGTGTGACACTGGGCAAATCCCTTACACTCTTTAAGTCTCAATTGCCCCATCTATCCAGTGAGACTAATAACTGTACTTATTTCATAAAGGGTAGTGAGTTAAATGTTACTCCCCTTAAAAAAAAAAAAAATCTACTTCCTAATCCCTGGAACCTGTGAATGCAGAGGTAATTAAGTTAAAGATCTTGAGATGAAGTGCTCATTCTGGATTATCTAGGTGGGCTCTAAATATGAAGACAAACATTCTTATAAGAAAAAGGCGGAAGATTTGAAACAGAAGACAGGAAGCCACATGTGCAGAGGAAAAGACCATGTGAAGACAAGGGCAGAGAGTGCAGTGATACAGTCACAAGTCAAGGAATCCCTGGAACCGCCAGGAGATAAAAGAGGCAAGGAAGGATCCTCTCCTACAGCCTTTAAAAAGATCACAGCCCTGCTGATGCCTTGATTTCAGACTTGTAGCCTTCAAAGCTAGAAGAGAATATATTTCTATTATTTTAAGTCATTTAGTTTGTGGTAATTTTTATGTCAGCCTTAGAGAACTAATACATAGGGTGATAATAAGAGATAATTTATGTAAAGTTTTAAAAGACTGTCTGCCTGGTTTATAATAAACCTTCAATAATTATTATTTTTTTATTTTTTCTAATCTAAGTCTCTGGACTTGAGCAGTAATAGTGAAGATGGAAGGAATTAGACAGATTCAAAAGTTATAAAGGACTTGGTAACAGGCTAAGTATAGGAGGTGAGGGAAACAGAGGTGCGAAGATGGGCCCTGAGTTCCTGGCTGTGGAACTGGGTGGATGCTGGTGTTGTTTTCGGGGGTAGGGAATGTGAAAGGCTTGCAGGGAAATGGAGAGTTCAATTTTGGATATGTAGAATTGGAGGAGTTTTAAAGGTATTCAAGGAGAGTTCAAGTAGACAGTTAAATATGAGGGTCTGGAGCTTAAAAAGAAGTCTAGAGTGGAAATATTATATGTGAAAGTTAATTTTATGTGCCAACTAGGCTGGGTCATGGGATGCCCAGATAGCTGGCGAAACATTTCTGGGTGTGTCTCTGAGGGTGTTTCTGGAGAAGATTAGCATTTGAATCGGTGGATTGAGTAAAGCAGATGGCCTTCCCCTATGTGGATGGGCATCATTTAATCCATTGGGGACTTCAATAGAACAAAAAGGCAGAGGAAGGGCAAATTTACTTGACCAGACTGTTTGAGCAGAGACATCGATCTTCCACTGTCAGCACTGATGGTTCTCAGGTCTTCAGACCCCGTCTGAATCTACATCACTGACTCACCAGTTTGCAGGCCTTCAAACTACACCACCAGCTCTCCTGGGCATGCAGTTTATGGACAGCAGATGGTGGGATTTCTCAGCCTCTATAATCACGGCAGCCAGTACCTTACAATAAGTAACAAATCTTTTCATATACACATGAGAGGCTATGAGAAATGCATTTCTGTTATTTTAAGACATTTAGTTTGTCACAGTTTGTTCCATCAGGCCTAAGAAATGGCTACATAGGGTGATTAAAAGAGATTTTGCATCTATCCTATTGCTTCTGTTTCTCTGGAGAACATAATACATTCTATAAATTTGTATGTTTTCAGCAAATTGAAGCTGTGGAGTGGATGAGATTTCCTAGAGAGAGAGTTAATAGTGTTGAAAGAAAAAGGCCTAGAGCCAAATTGGATGAAGGAGGAGGTACAAAAGAGCTTAAGCAGGAGTATCCAGGAAGGCAAGGGGAACATAGAATAGATGGTTTCATACCAGGTATTTCTAAAAGAAACAGACATGCAAACTGCATATTTTTGCAAACTGCAAAATCCTGGGATTTGGGCTGGAACGAGAGAACTCTATGCAGATATTTCCAGTAAATGTACCTGGATTGGAATTAGGTTTAGTTAATTCTTTTTTTTTTTTTTTTTGAGGCGGAGTCTGGCTCTGTCACCCAGGCTGGAGTGTAGTGGCACGATCTCGGTTCCCTGCAAGCTCCACCTCCCAGGTTCACACCATTCTCCTGACTCAGCCTCCTGAGTAGCTGGGACTACAGGCGCATGCCACCACGCCCGGCTAATTTTTTGTATTTTTAGTACAGACGGGGTTTCACCGTGTTAGCCAGAATGGTCTCCATCTCCTGACCTTGTGATCTGCCCGCCTCAGCCTCCCAAAATGCTGGGATTACAGTGGTGAGCCACCACGCCTGGCCCAGGTTTAGTTGGTTCTTGTTATTTAATTCTCCAGCCAGAGTAGAGGCTTCGGGAAACTAGGCAAGGGCGTATTCCAGCCCTCAGGCTCACTGCTATCATCCAGTAGCCTTTGCAGTTGGGAAAAGCCTGGGACTTTCTTCAGAGCCTACATTTTGACAGAATATTTGTGGAAGAATATTGTTGGCTTCTTGGACACAGCACACCCAGAACTGTAGACTTGCAGAAGCCAAGCACAACATTTGAACAGAGCTTTGCTTTGACTTCAGATTTGAAGGCAATGTCTTTTCACTCTCCTTAGTGTCCTATCTTAGACACTTTTTCTATTTCCTTTGCGTTAAAAGGACATTCTTCAAATTTTCAATTGAATCTCCTTTTACTTTTTTCTTTCTGGACCTGATGAAAGTAACGATGTTACATAAGTGATCCATTATCTGCTTGCAAATTTCAACATATCTTCCTATCTGCAGGGTCTTCTGTGATGGCATTCCTTCTAGCTTACAATATTTCTATTAGAAATCTATAGCAGGAGAGAGCACTCCTTATTTAGTGAATATATTTTGTGTGTATATGTATATATATATATATATAATGATAAAATATAAATAAATATGTAGGATCGATTCCCTGATTGGAGATCTAACCAGTTATGTAATCACAAAGTAAATATTCAACATATATTTTTTAAAGTTTTCTTTCGAGATCCTCTTTTATTCTACTTTCCCACCTTGCATAGTGTTACCAACATTGTCTTCACCTGTTTTAAAGCACTACTGATGGTCCTGTCATAGTGTAGCTGTGAAGAGAGGTAAGAAGGCTCAGAAACAGCTTTGTCGTGTTAGGTTTAGCGTTTTCCTTTCCTTTTCGTATTCAGTCTATCTTTAATTGTTGTCATTAATTCTATATACAATTTTATCTTCTCACTTGTATTTCAAATTGATGAATTGGAATATTTTCAAATTCTCAGTGTCTTGCCTCTGGATTCAACTTCTACCTCTCATAATTTTCTCCCTTCCAATAATGTTATTCATCTATCTAAATATTTTTACTTTTTTTTTTCAAAGAAACTTGGATAAACACAAGTGAATATTCCCAATCAATAATAGTTCTATTAATCTGAAATAGAAGGGATTTTGAAATTTTGCTAATGTATCTTAATGGAAAGGCTTTAATTTATCAGTAAAGTATTAATACAGTCATAGAAGAATGTGCAGACAAGCATATGAATAAAACTTTGGTGATTCATTCCTTGTTGATAAAGGGCTCTTTACTGAATGATAGAATACAGCTAAACTAAAAACAAATAATAGATTTATTTAGGACTGAAACACCTACTAGTAAGGAAAGAGTATTTGGTAAAGAGAAAAAATAGTTACACTAATAAATCTGTGCAAGGGGTCATAGAGACCCTGACATTTAACGAGGAGAATGCTACCTGCATATGCCATGTGCTGGGGAAGGAAAACATAATTCCCTTTGGCCATCATCAAATTAGACCTGTAAATGTTCTAAGTAGGGTAAATTCCAAATTTTAAGAGGTATATTATAAGGTCCTAAGATTTGAAAGAGAAAAATATTTTACCAAGAATCACATCTAAGGTCTTGTGCAAAATTGGACCAGCCACATACCAACGTAAAGTTATTTTAAGGAAAAGGAATGGCCTCTCTTAGCCGTTCGTTTTTATGTATGAATTTCCTTTCTCCCTAAATATATCAATTCACTTAATGATTCTAGGAACACCAACTTTATTCAATCTTTAAAACAGGCAGAGAATTATTTGCTTTCTATTATTTTGCAATAATTTAACTTAAAAATGATACTATGAAAACAAAATTCAACAGATTGATATTTCATTTGCTTTTAAAATACAGGATTCACCCCATTACTATTATTTATTCCATATACAAAGCAGTAGCCATCTCTATGTTTACATACATTAGCATCTTTGTAACAGTTTAGAATGCTTCTAACATTAGTGTTAACTTGTAGATGTGGTTGACCTATATCTCCAGCCTCACCAGTAGCATCACATAGAAAAATGCAAATAAGTAATACAAAATAGTCTTCCCTCATCTGAGGTTTTACTTCCCACGGTTTGTTGGTGGTGGTCAACCGCAGTCTGAAAATATTAAATGGAAAAATTTCGGAAATAAAAATTTGTAAGTTTTCAATTATGCACCATTCTGCGTAGCACAATGAAATCTCGTGCTGTTCCACTCTGTCCCATCTGGGACATGAATCATTGAGAGTATCCTTCATTGAGAGTATCCATGCTGTATATGCTGCCTGCCTATGACTGTATAGGAAGAAACAGTGAATATAGGATTCAATACTATCTGAAGTTTCAGGCATCCACTGGGGGTCTTGGATCATATTCCCCACATATAAGGAGGAGCTACTGTATCAGAAAAAATATTCCAAAAATTTTTATTTGATATATATTTATTAACAATGGAAGATATGTATCATGTGTGTAAAATAATATATCCTTAGTGTTTCACTAAAGTAATACATTTTTTCAACTCAATAAATGTAAGCAAAGATAAAGCCATACTGTATGAGAAACAATTTCTATCAATGATTTATTTGCTTTGTAATGTTTAGCTGACAGAAAGTTTTGGGGGGAGAGAGTTCTTACAGTTGTTTCCATTTAGTTGCTTTCTGTATATAGTTTACCTCTCTTTTAAAAGTCAACCCATTGTTTATAGCAGTGGGCTCTTAAATCAAGTGATAATCTAGCTGATATGCAAATACCTTGGCAGATTTAATACTGACAAACCGAAAACTAATCTCTTCTTTGGTCACTTTAATAAGTGAAGACACATTTCTGTCTACTGCTGAAACCATTATGCAACCCAAATAAATCTCAGAGTTCTCCATGGCTCAGTCTTTGTATGATGACATATTAAAAGAAAAGAAATCCAGCATTCTAAACTAAAAGTAATTTTAATTTCTACTTAATTACCCTTAAAGAACAGTAAAAGAGATGATCTTAACTCACAGCACCATTATTTCTTAAAATCCTCTTTCCTTCTATTTCTCTAACTTTTAAATTTGTCTATCACAGGATATTCAGAAGCCCATATCTTTATGTCACTCCCTAAACCCAAAACTCCCACCCTGTATTCCACTTCTATGTGGTTATCACTCCTCTCTCTTCTCTCTCCTGCCTTCTTTTCTCTTTCAGGTCAATAAATCTTGACTCTTTCAGCAGTCTTATCTCTACTTTGCACAACCCATTCCTCTGAAAAATTATAACTGTTATGTGCGTAATAGAACCCAGTAGGGATAACGCTGGTTTGAGAGAAAAAGGAATGTCAAATGGGTTATGCCAGAATTCATAGTCTGGGAAAGGCAAGGCAAGCAAATACACTTGCATTAATCATTTTTTAGATTTTCTTACACTATATGTAAGAAATTCTTGAAAAGTGTATGTCAGAAGAAAAAAATGTAAATAAAAAATAATAAACAAGAGGGGAAGGAAATGAGAACAAAGAAACCAAGGCAAAGGAGGAATCAAGAGAGAGGATGTCTGAGACTCAGTGTTCCTTTGGGTCCTTTCTGTGTCATTTCCCATACTTCAGCTCTAGAGTTCTGAATGTCTGCAGGATATAATAATAGGATGAATCTTCTGATGGATACCCCATTTATTCTATCTGTAGTTTGAATCAGTTTGTCTACAAGAGCAATGGCTTCTTCATGTCTGCATTCTCACTCTTCCCTATCATCTCCTGGCTGCATGTAGATGACAGTTGGGGCCCGTTTAATATGACATCATGACATTAGAGTTTCCTGGAATGCATATAGGTGCTCATATCTGCTATCAAATCTTTGATCGTTAGACATTTGTATGAAGTAAAGGCAGTAAGTACTAGCATTTCTCAGATAAGGCACTCTCAAAATGCTTTTTAGAGAGTACATTTATCAACTCTTTGGAGTGAGAGGACAACAACATCATTAATTGATGGGCTCTAAAATCAAACTAATCAAGCATGGAATCCCAGATCTGCTACCACCTCACCATGTGACATTGAACAAGTGACTGACTTAACCTTTCTGAACATTAGTTTCCTCTTCTGTAAGATGCGGATAATCCTACTCTAACTCAGGACAGCCTTGTGAGAGTTAAGGAAGAATATATGTCTGAAATTTGTAGCATGGGGCTTAACACGCAGATAACTAAAACTATTATGTTACTATTAATATACATAAAATATTTTTTCCGAAGTGCTAGATGATCATACATCTATGAAATCACAATGTCGGGCTTCTGCTCTAGACCTACGGTATTCTCAAACCCCTAGTTAGCATAGGAACAAATGTTAAATGTATTGGTAAAGTCTACACAGTTAAAAGTGTTGGAAGGAGAAGTTGATGTACATATATTACATGAAAAAGAGCATTTTAATGGAATATAGGTCAAGTCATACATAGCAATGGCATTCTAATTATAAGTGGCCAAATATGTGAAATGGCTGTAGGTTTGGATGTACAATGTTCATATCAGAGGTAACTGTGGTACAGAAAGAGCACGTGAGCCTTGGAGCTGGAAGACATGGATTTCAGTCCTGTCTGCCATGCACTAGCTGTGTGACCTTAGGTTAGTCACTTAACTTCTTGGAGGCTCAGTTTCATTTGTGAAATAACAATACTAATGGCAGCTTCACTGTGTCTTTGTGAAGACCAAAATTTAAAAATGTGTGTTTACACTTTAAATTATAAACAGTTCTCAACTGTAAGATACCATTATCACTACAGATTGATGTAACTATAACTGGATAATGATAGCAATGATACTGTAGTAGGTAGTATTTATTGAGCATGCATTCAAAGTCTCTACTTCATTCTTACTTTATTCTTAATTGTAATTTACTATTTATGATATGTACATTACGTAGTACCTAAATTTATCTTTGTATTGGCACATATTTTTATATAATGGAAAGAAGATAAACCAACATTTTGTGAAAAATATTTTATTATTAATTTGTTAATAACTTCTCTTTGAGTTAAAAATATGACATTTATTTTTTAAAAATTGAGTTATTTCTTTCTTTAAACATAGAGCTACTCATTGCCCATTAAACAGAAGTTGTCTTTACTCACCAGTTAGAAATCCTTACCTAAAATTTACCCTTCCATCCTTGGTTTAATGGTCTGGGTAACTGAGGGGAGCTCAGATGCTGCCAGAGAGGAAATCATGGCCCCTTCTCCCAGAGGATGGCTGGTTATCATAATATATAACATGCAGACAAGCCTGCTTGCAGCCAGTTTGCCTCCTGGTCGTGTGTAGTTCATCACCAGCTTCTAAGGCATGCTAAAGAGGGCTCGCCACTCAGCTTGAGATGATTCAAGGTGTAGGCTCAGCGGTCTCAGCAGTCATTTTCCTGCTTTACATCAGAGTTTTCATCTGCTTTATCCTTTTGTCCTGTGGCCCACCTCAGGCAGTCTCTTTCTTGGGGAATCTAAAAGGAGCAG
The DNA here is from genome assembly GCF_000001405.40 of Homo sapiens. NCBI lineage: Eukaryota > Metazoa > Chordata > Mammalia > Primates > Hominidae > Homo > Homo sapiens. The sequence goes on along the minus strand of NC_000004.12, from coordinate 146,857,363 downwards.
CTGTTACAGATCCCATTTCCCCCAACTGTTGTGGCTCAGACCTCTTTCTATTTAGCATTACCCTCCACACACACACACACACACACTCTTCCACTAGTACACAAACAGCGCCTACCTTATTTTCATTTCATAAGTTTTGCTAAGTAATATTCAAAATATTCAGTGTCTGATGTGCAAAAGAAAGGGTTTTTTAAAACCATTAAAAGGAAATAATATTTTCTAATTTTAAAATATGTATTTATTTACAAATTGTATAGAAAATGTCTTATTCAGAATTATTATATAATCTTAAGGCATAGTATAAAAATATATTCCATATCTGATCTTATTTTGAATAGTTACTTGGAAATAGCCTTACTTGGAAAACAGCATTTTAGGTAGTTTATAAAAATATGTTTTAATACTTGGGGAATTACAAAAACTTAAAATGTTTTACTAATAATTTTGTTATTGTTATCTTAATATTTAAAGTTGTGTCCTTCCTGAAACATTGAAACAGGTAACTTTATGGTACTAATTTAACATAGTTTCTGTAGTAAAGATCACAGAATAGAATCTTAGTAAATTGAATTTTTTTTCATTTCCTCATCAATAAGGAGTAGCTCTTTAAATCATTTTTAATTTTTTAAAATGTCTCTAGTTTTTTTACATATTAATAATATTTTAATTAATTAATAAATAATAATGTTACAGCTTAGGAAAATATGCATCTGTTTCTTTTTTTACCTTGATTATAGTATTTGTCATATAAATTACAGTATTTGTCATTTAAATGACAAAAGCATTGTAGAAAATCAGAAAGCTCAAAAAAATTAAAATATTTATTTTTTGAAACAAATCTGTTTGGTAATAATTTACAATTTACAAACTTTCCTACAAATAAAGAAATGTTTTATGTCAGGAAAGAAAGTTTGTGGCCTAAATTAATATAAATACAAATTTTCTAGTAATAAAATTTATTGATTTTTTTTAACATGAAAGCTGGTTTTAGTTTCCCTTGAGATCTAGAATACCACTTGGGCCAAAACTTCATGATTATTTTACTTATTCGTTTTTTAAAAAGTACTGCTACAGTAGCTCTTTACAAAGCTGAAGTTTTTGTATCTAGGTATTCACATTTTAAGAAACAGTGCAAAAATTTCTGATACTCATTGTGAGAGAAAAATGAAGGAAAGGATAAAATTTTTTATTTAGCGCATCCTAAGAGGATGAAGTTCAAAAATCTGAAAATTGAGTACTCTAATCAACTATACTAAATAGTGACATATGGAACATAATGTATGTATACTCCTTAAAGTTCAAGGCCTAGTGTATGAAAATGTTCGCTGGAGCAATAAAGCAACCTGCATAGTTCATCACAAGACTAATTTTGTGACAGACCTAGAGGCAACGCACAGCTGTTAGCACTCGTTGATCTAGAGGCTGCGAAAGAAGAAGAGGCATTACACCTAGAAGAACCCAGAGAAGATTATAGGATTAGATGTGTTAAACAGGAATAAGTGTGTGGGTCATACTTCATCATTACAAATTTAGCCAAATTATGTATAATTCCTCTAAGAGATGAAAGGGGTAACTTCAGAAAGAAATAATGTAATCAAATATATTAAAACTTATCCAAAACATTCTCAAAGGTGTCTTTAGTGTAAGTAATTATGGATCTACAAGTAACAGTAATATTGCATTTAGAAATTATACAGTATAATTGGTGCACAATAACAATAACATATGCTAGGATTTAAAAATAGCATTAATACCATACTCCTAATATTCAATCCATATACTTGTAAAAAACTCTTTTACCCAGTAATTTCAACTTTCTCCCTTAATCAACACATAAGTTTCATTAATAACTAATAAAATGAATTTAAGATTAAACCTCCATTTTTTCCCACGACTGTCCTCTATTGACCCTTATTTATTTGTTTGTTTGTTTGAGATGGATTCTCACTGTCGCCCAGGCTGGAGTGCAGTGGCGAAATCTCTGCCCACTGCAACCTCCACCTCCTGGGTTCAAGCTAGTCTCCTTCCTCAACCTCCAGAATAGCTGGGATTACAGGCGTGCACCACCATGCCCAGCTGATTTTTGTATTTTTAGTAGAGATGGGGTTTTGCCATGTTGGCCAGGCTGGTCTTGAACTCCTGACCTCAAGTGATTCACCTGCCTCAGTCTCCCAAAGTGCTGCTGGGATTATAGGCATGAGCCACCATGCCCAGCTAATTTTTGTAGTTTTAAGAGACAGGGTTTTACCATATTGGCCAGGCTGGTCTTGAACTCCTGACCTCAAGCGAATCACCCATCTCAACCTTCCAAAGTGCTGCTGGGATTACAGGCATGATCCACCTTGCCTGGCCCCTTATTCATTGTTTTTAATGATGAAGATGATGGCCGAGAATAGAAAAAGAGAAAGAAGATAAGGAAACCAACTAATCCACAAAATGGCATTTGGCACCTGAACAATCAAGGGTTGATTATATAGATGTGTGTAACAGCTTTCTTTTGTGAGCATTTCGAGGGAGGAATTTAATATTCTTTTGCACAAAAGCATGACTTTGAGGCAAAACATTAGAAAGTTAGAAAGCCAAATAGTGTGAAAGTTTGGCAAGGATGTGAGATTACAAGAACTGCAGTTAGGAGGGTAAGCTGGTGTGGCCATCATTCCAAGAGTGACGGTGTGAGTGAAATTCTGTATGTGATTTCCTGGTGGCATACCAGCCCACTCCTGGGAATATCTGTCCCAGAAAAACTCTTTAGGGATACATTAGAGAGGGCTTATGGAGGGGAAAGGGAGTAAGAGTGAGGACGGAGGATGAAGGAGAAAAATTTATTAAGAACAATTGAGGGGGCACACACAGACCAATGATAAAAGTGTGCCCTGCTCTAGGGAGTGTGGCTAACTCGATTCTATGTGCCAGAGTTTTCAAATAAATAACGTGAAATAACGTGGCCACAAAATATTTTTGATTGCAACCCAAATGTGTCACATAGTTCTTGCTCAAATACACATTTTTGGACATTTCATAAAAGCTTACAAGGCATTCTCTGAGTTTTTACAAAAGCATGGGCAGCAATAGGTGAATGCTTTTGCACCGTTGAACTCAATACCTTGACGACTTGGTTCGGGTTTTCCCAGAAGCTGACTTTGAGATGTGGAATTGAGTACATGTGGCTTATTTGGGAGGGATTCTATCAGCCAGGGAGTCAGGCAAAAGAAGGAAGCCAAGAAAAGGTGTATTGCCAAGCCAGTTATTACTGTGGGCAAATGGATCAGTCCTGCTGGGACGCTCTAGGAAACAGTGTAGAAACAAATCAGTTATCCCAGGGGAGGGATGAGGGAGCTGGTGCATTTATCCACCAGTTCCCACCATTCATTGGTTAAGAGTTGCTTCCAGGGACACTAAAATTCCCTGGAATTCCAGTTTACCATGAGCCCAGCCGTCAAACAGAAGATCCCAGGTGCTGGCCTGAGTAGCCCTTGGCCACTCTGTCAGTGCAAGTCACTGACAGAATGCAAGTCACTTAGCTTGTAGGCTTCCTTTTCTGTATGTGAAAAATAGGAATGATAAAGTTGCTGCGGCAGTTAAATAAGATAAAGAAGTAATGTGCCTGGCACTTAGTGAGCATTCAGTAAATGATAGCTTTGTTTTAAGGTTTAAATTTTGTACATCTTTTGACTCAAGAGTTGCTCATTTTGGAATTTACCTAAGGGAAATAATTAGTAATGTGTGAAAATATTGAGCTGTAATATTGTTCATAAAATCATTAATATATACCGAGATCTAGCTATAACCTCTGTATACAATGCTATAAATGCTGTTTGGAATGGTGAAAAATTCAGAAAAAAAGTAAATGTAAAGTAATATCAAATTGAATAAATCATTTTTGGGTATCCTATGCTGAAATACAATGCAGCCAATAAAAATTACAAAATGAATAAACATTTTATAACAATGAAAGTATTACTGATATGTTGAACAAAAAAATCAGGTTATTAAACAGTGTACATTATGACCCTACTTATATATAAATACATATATATGTAGTGCATAAATAATATATGAAAATGCTAGAACTACCAAACTGTTTTTGGTGGTTATCTGTAGAAGCTGGAATAATGAATGACTTTAATTTTTCTATTTTTGGGGGAGATTGGTATCTGTATTCTCAACATTTTCTACAATTAACGTATATTGATTTTGTAATAAAAAATAAAAGAAAAACTACTTAAAAAGTAAACTATTATATCTTTCCATTCCATTAAAATTTAAAGGTTTTAATTAATGTTTTTAATAGGTTTTACATAGGTTGTTCATGGTAAAAATCTTTAGTATAGGATTGATTGTAGCAGGTTAGTCATTTCAACAGCTTATCTCAACCCACAACATTAAAGAAAATTATTAAATGCTTAACAAGTAATAAAAGAATTTAAAAATGAATTCATAAAGTAAAAAATAATCATATAAATTATAAAGCAAAAACAATAAAACAGGGAGAAAAATACAGCCGTATAGATTCCGAAATCCTGAGTAATTTTGTCCAAAGTCCCTATGATCAAAAATGGTAATAATTATGTTGATGTTTTAAACTTCAGTTTGGTGCACAGTGTTGAATAACAGGTCTGAGAAGTTTCTTTTTGGTCAGGTAGATTGTTCCTGTAGTGCAAGACTGCATTATCTACATGGAAAAGAGACATATACCAGTGCCATTCTTACAATAGGGAGCAAGAGCTAGAGAAGCAACAGGGAAGCTGTTGTTCCCTCATTGGAGCAGGAGCAGCAAGAGTAAAGGCCTGGGAGGGCAGCCAAATGCATGCAGCCAGGCTGGAGTAGGAGCCTTGCAGGAGTGAAACTGTTCTGAGTAGGGCTACTGGGGCAGAAGCTGTTTGAAAAGAAGGCTGAGACATCCATTAACTAGTCAGCCCGTGGTCACAAAGCTAGCAGATGCAGAGCCAGACAGGAGCCCACGCCTCTAACTACTGATGTTGTTGTAATTGGTAGAGTTGTCAGTAAGATGATTTTAAACTCACTTGTTGAGCCTCTTCACAAGTTTCCCATATAAATGTTTAATAACATTCTCATCTGTTCCACTTAATGAACTACTTATTGGCATTAATAACATTTTGTTATTCTTGTTCAGTGGAAATTATTATTGAATAACACTTGAAGCTTAAAAAAGAAATCGCCCCTCTGCTGCTGGACCAGTTGGGAATCAGCACAGTTTGGAGAAAAGCACAACAGGACACAGAAGTAGAAGATGCAAATGGCGGGCTGGGTGCGGTGGCTTACCCCTGTAGTCCCAGCTACTCGGTTGGCTGAGGCAGGAGAATCACTTGAACCCAGGAGGTGGAGGTTGCAGTGAGCTGAGATCATGCCACTGCACTCCAGTCTGGGCGACAGAGTGAGACTCCGTCTCAAAAAACCAAAGATGTAAGTGGCATCAGGCTAGAAATGACCCACTGCTTTGTAGCTTCTCCAGAGAAAAAGATGTCAGGAATTCTTACTTTCCATTTCTTATTTCCATTTCCTTCTTCCCCTCCATTATTATAGATAATGGGATACCATGGATTCTTCCTTTGTTATGATGTAACTTCCTAGCTGAATTTGCCTTGAAATTCAGAAAAACTCTGGATGTTTTTCTGACAGTGAAATATGTCCAGCTCTAAAGTTAAGGCACTTGTAAAAAGAAAAAGTAATATTATTCTTTTCTGAAAGCAGTGTAATCAGCATATTATACCTACAATCCTCAGTCTCTTCTTGCTGCAGATGCAAATTTGCTATCTACTAGCAACTCAGTAAATGCAAGGGAAAGAGCATGTGAAAGTGCTGATTGCTAGATTTTCAGTTGAAAGATCTGGTAGGGGAGATGCTTATAATTTTGGATAAAATGAAAGAAGAGGAGGGGTATGGGGTCCTTTTCATCAATCTTAATTTTCTCTGTTGCCATCTCAACCATTGTCACAATATGATTTTGATCTAGTGATTAGGAGGTTGGCCCCTTGGAATCACAGTGCCTGACTGCAAATCCTGTTCCTGACACTTCTAATCCTGAAGCCTTGAGTGAGTTATTTGGCCCATCTTGTGCTTCAGTTTCTTCACCTGTGGCATGAAGATTACTCTAGCATCTAAGTTATAATGTGGTTGTGAGGATTAAATAAGTTAACATACAGAAAGCACTTAGACCTATGTCTGGCATATGCTACTTCCTCAATAAATGTTAGTGAAAATTACAGAATAGTAAAAGTATGATTTGCTGGGTTGGTGCAAGGATTATGCTATTCATGCTGCCACAGCTGGCTTAACAGATCACAGACAAATCTCTTAGCACCCCTTGCTTTGTAAAATGAAGATGATATATGTTAATACAGCATATTGATGAAAATTCCAATGGAATAGTAAAAAGTGGTATGTTTATTGGTCCTTACTGTTGTAATGCAAATGATTTAACGATACATTTTTCCTAAATTTAATTAAACATATTCATTTTCCCTATGAGCTTATATTAGCTTACAGCAGAATGATTGTTTATATCTCCATTTTATAAGTTTATAATATCATAGATATTAAAAAATAAACATTTTCCATTGAAAATATTGTGTAACTAAACGTGAATATTTGTCACATGGTTTCAAAGCCAAAATTACTTCTTAATTGTTTTTTGTAATATGTTACATAGGAATGGGAAAGCATTAGCCAGATAATCATTAGGATCTTCAAAATGGGTTTTGAAAATACCAGAAAGACCACCAAATTGGGAATCAGACATCCTGGATTCTGGTTGTGGTTTTTGTCACCAAGCTCTTGGCCTTGGGCAAGTCATTAAACTTTGTTCAGTTCCCTTATGGGCATTGTTGCAAGACACCATTGTTGTAATCTTGGTCAATCCACAATAGGACAGGTTGCACCAAAAAGATCCAGAAGCTGGAGCCCAGCCTGCATGGTGGCATTGTCAGGCAGCTACTTGTCAATGGGGTGGAAGAGAGGGCTGGATGAGTATGCTGTCTTTGAAGCCAGATGGCTCAAATGTGAGTCCTTTCTTGACCATTTACCAGTTGTATGACCTTGGCCCTGTGGCTTCATCTCTATGTGCTTTTGTCTCCTTAACTTTAAAGAGACAAGAATAATAATAATGCCAATGCATGGGGTGTTAAGAAGATTAAATTAGCTCACACATGTAGTCTTAAGAACATAGTTTTGGAGCACATACTGCCAAGCCTTGTTTTAGATGCTTTGGGTACAGCAATAACAATGCAGACAGACATCTTTGTCCTTGTGGACCTTCCCTCCCATTGGGGAAAACTAACAATGAAGATGAAACATAATTGACAAGTGAATTAAACAGTATATTAGACAATGAGAAACACTATGGGAAAAAGTACAACAAAATAATGAGTCAGGAGTTCCAAGGCAAGAGGTAGGGTGGAGGGAATTATAAATGGGTGATCAGAGAAGGCTGCATTGAGAGGCTGACTTTTGGGAAAAGACTGGAAGCCTGTGAGAGAGTGGGCCATGCAGATACTCGAGGGAAGCACACCCAGGCAGTGGTAATGGCCAGGGCAAAAGCCTTAAGGTGGCAGTGTGCCTGGGGGCCTGGAGCCAGTAAGGCTGGAGAAAAGCAAAAGGGGAGAAGAGTGGAGATAAGGAGTAGGATCATAGCTGACCTTGGAGGTCATTTTCAAGCATGACTTTTTTTTTTTCTAAGTGAAAAGGGGTTCATTTCAGGCAAAGGAATGACCTAAAAATGCTAAGTTAATATTGGCTATTATTACCTCTAATCATTGATCTTCATGATGAAAAAATAGCAGCTGCTAATAGGCAACACTGTGACCAGACAAGCATGAGGTTGACATCTAAAACATCAGACACTGGGCTGCGATGAATGTCCCTGTATGTGAGTGGAGGATAGCTTCTGGCAACTGGGGCAGAAGGCAGTGAGCTGTAGGTGAAGGTCAAGGTCAGCACAATCATGCTTAGTGTGATCTAGCTGCAAGCCTATCACAGTGCTGAAGAACATGGGTTTCAAAGTCCAATGAACCCAGTTCAAATCCTTTCTCCTTCACCAATTCACTGTGTACTCCAGAGCAAGGCACTCAGCTTCTCTGTATTGTATTTCTCTCAGATATACAATGGGAATATTAATATATATTTCGAGGTTCTGTGAAGATTGAATGCACTATGGATATAAGACACCCTGCACATGTAGTTTTGCTCTATAAATGGTAGTGACTACCATTGGCAAGTGACAAGCACCAAGCCACAGGGACTGGGGCTCAAGGGTGAGACTGCTGACTCAGGCATACTGAGGGCAGCAGGGTAGGTCTCCAGACTCGCAGTGAGTAGGGACCAGGCTAGGCACCAAGATAGAGATTCAAGCAAGAAGAACAAGACTGGAATATAGCTCCCCAGGCTGGGATGCACCTTGGGATGTGTGCTTGGTCTCAAGGGACAGGACAAAAGTCCAGTCACTTTAACAAAGGTTAAAAACATTATATGATCCATAGCAAACTGATGTGATGCCAACTTTCCACCCTTTCAGACCAGGAACAGGAGCAGTCCTGGGGACAGGTACAGGTCTAAGTTCCTTCCAAATGGGTGGAACCAGCTGGGAGAATGGCAGGGCTAAGGAAGCAGGGCAACTGGCAATGTTCTCTACTGTTCCTCCTGGGCTCTGTAATTCTCAATGTCTAAGTATTGATAAGTAATTCAAAAGCACCAAATATAACAGTTCCTGCTATAAAACCTAAAGCTTACTATAAGAATGCTAGCAGCAGTTTGTTTTGCCATTTTATTTTCAGCTTGTATGTTATTTCAGAGCTGATCAAAGGCATTGGTTGCAAAGAATAAAATAAATCACACCTCTAAATAAACCACTAAAGAGTGTTAAATTGATTTAAGTGATTTTATGAATATTAATATTTAAAACTTCTCTGTCCCAAGCCTCTTTATGACTACCTATAGCAATAATAACTACCATTTTATCCTACCATTCTTCATCTTATAATATTACACAGTAAACTGTGTAAAAACATTATTTCTTAGCATTGGAATGGAAGTACAGGATTTCAGCTGCTTATTTGTGGAAGTATATCTTGAATTTTATTCAGTCAATAAAAGTATACTCGATTAATGCTTTATTATACTCTTTGCATAGGCTGAGGTGAAGAAAGTATAATGTGTGTTTTCTGTTATTAAAGAAAACTTTGCCTTCCACTCACGTTTCTTTCCAGTACATTTGATTCTAAGCAGCATCTATTTCAGGTTAGTTCCAGTGTTGAGAAACTTTGTAGCTTTACAATTTTGTATATTTAGTTCATCTGAAAATATTGTTAAAGTTGTACAAGTGATTTTTGTGGACTTTTAAAAAAAATGCATAGGGGAGGAAAAGGTATCCACAGTCCACACTGTTAAACGCAGTACCTGTGAAGTTCCCTCAGTGGGAGGATTTAGGCACCAAAGCATCCCATACATCCACTTTGGTGTTGGAGTTATCCAGGCTGCACAGTTTGACAGCAGGTATGCGAGTGAAGACACGCTGCGTGATAAAAGCAACTCAGACATCTGGATCACAGTGCGAGCATTCAAAGGCACTTCTGAACTTTCGATGCATTTGTACTTACCCTGGTCCCCAGCCTTGTCCGTGGCTCACTCAGCATTTTCTCCACCTCGGCATGTCTTCATCTTTTTTTGTACTTCAGCAGCCTCCCTTCTCCCTGACAAGTCACCTCCATCTGCTTCTGTGTCAGTGTGGCCCTTCTGCACATGGCTCGCTGAGGAATTCTCAAGATGAAGAGCCGCATAGTCCTCCCTGTCTCTGCCTCAGTGCCGGCTCCTGCCTGTCACTGCTCAGCACTCTGCACCACACTGGCTTGTTTTGTCAATAACCATTTATTTGTTGCTGGAATAGTAGCAGCCATTACATCTGACCTCCCTGTTTCATCAATTATGGATAGATTATTGAATGTGAACATCTGCAAAAGCTTGCTGTTGAACTCACCTCCTGGCTGGGATTAGATAAAGTACTAAACTGTTGTTTATTGTCAGGCCAAAACTCTACTGGGAAGCCAGGGAATTCCAAGAGTAGCAGAACCCCATCAGAAGTACCAAAAATCATTTCCTATTGCCACCGCTTCCCCTAAGATCCCAGACATTTATTATTTACACTTATTACTAGTTGTTATAACCTACTTGATAAAAGCTCTTGGCAGGCATCGCATTTCCAGTCATTGTCGCTCCTGTCAGAATGGAAATGACTCATAAATTGTTATCTTGTCTCTTCTATCACTGTGAAAGGGTAATAGACGAAGCTTCTTCTGTGCGAAAGCATTCAGTGGAAGACTTTCCTACCATGTTTTATTTTAAAGGAACATGTTCACACAGCCTGATATGGAAGCATTACATCATGGATCTAAATTAGGGTTTACCGAGTTTATCAGAATAATGGCCTGAGGTGGAAAGGATATCAAATTGTACAGACAGGATATGCTCAACATGTTTTTCAAGGCTTTCATGGATTTCTGAGAAAAGGAAACTACAATGAAATTTTATTGAATCCTGCCTTAAATGAGAAAGAAATCCAGTAAGAGGTATGATGAATAGATGATGGCTTTGCTGCCAGCGGAGAGACAGATTTCCTCATGGTAATCAGTTCATGTGGAAATATAGAAATTTTCGTAGGATTAGTGTTTATTAAAACCTTCTAGATAGTCACCCACAAATGTAAAACACCCCCTGATCCTTTTCTGCAGAGCCAGAAACCATTTCGTTCAAGGTGGCCAAAAGGAAGAAGGTTAGGTGGCCACTGGGGAGAAGTTGAGAGACTTGTCACCATGCTAGTGACTTTTCACAGCTTCTCTGCCTCATTTTGGTACTTATCAGGATAAAAACTGTATTTGTCTCCTATTACTCTAGAGTAAATGGAAGAAAAAATGTTTTATATTTCCTCCACAGATAAGAAGAATCGTTCCAAATACCAGGACTATTGTAACGTGGTTCAGTCTCTGACCCACCGGTCCACACTTAGCATAATGACCCCTTGGGTTCGTAATGGGGGAAACTTTTATTTGTCTGAGAATGTGATCAAACAAACCAAATGCACCTTTAGATAGGGGGTTCTTGTGTCAATCTGAAATTTCATGTAAGTCTTCTTCTATGAAGATTGTGCTGATACTTCATATCTCCAGGACTGGCTGTTAACTGAAATTTTTCATACACTTTTCATTTACCATAGGTATAAACTGTCATTTTTTTTTCTCTTATTGAATGCGGTAGAATGCAAAAGTCAATACATACAATGGTTTGTTATAGCCATGTTAATGTTTCTACAGGTACTACTAGTACCTCCCAAGGGCTCTACAATAGTCATTCAACAATATTCAAGGTTAACATAAGACGAGGAGCTAGAGGCACAATGGAGAGCAAAACAGGTATGGATCCTGTCCCCAGGGCACTTACAGTCTAACTAGAAGGAGAAAATAATAAGTAGATATGTTTCACAATGTGGTGAGTGCTAGAATAGCACAAAGAAGTGGTGTGTGTGTGTGTGTGTGTGTGTGATTGTGTGTACAAGTACTGGAAGAGTAGGAGTAAAATGAGAAAGAACAATGCAGGCAGCGGGGCCTGCAATTAACAAGGGCCTGGAGGCAGAGAGAGCTGGGCCCATTCCTTAGTGAAAGGTCTGTACGGCTGGGGTGAGATTCCTAGAGTCCTGCACATCGTAAATCTAGTTGTAGATATTGACATTTCTGCATTGGCAAAGCAAGTGACAATACCTGTTTGGTCAAATTAGACTTGACTGGCACTTTATTTGATTCAGTTTGCCACCACCATCTTTAGTTTCCATAAATAACTGATAACTGATATTATTGGTTATGTTATCATAGGTATAATGAAATTATTTGTCCCACTCACTTTGAATCCTCATAGAAATATAACCAAGTGAAGTGTGAGAATTTATTAATAAAAAAATACACAAGCAACTTACTTTCTCTCATATCTTTTCTGACAAGGATGTCACTAATCATTGTATGTAACCTGTGTCTACTGGCCTATTTCTCTTGCCAGTAGACACAGGCTGAAAGAATCAACCTACATTGTGTCTCACTGATACACATGGAAGGAAAAGGCCTATTTACCGCCTTAACTCTAAGGCAGCTGTTTCATCTCTCAGTGCTTCTCTGTTTTATTCTTGAGGTTCAAGAAAGAGATTCATTCAGATTACCTCAAGTACAAGAGTTGATTGTGAAGATTGCTGTGGCAAGGAGAGAAACCCTAATCCTACGAATTCCCAGGAGAAGCAAACAGTTGGGCCACACACAGACCAAAAGATTCTTGGGAACTGGAAGACCCCTGGAAGACGAGGGGCTGAGTTTTCTTATTTCCCCCTACACAGCAGCAGCAGTCCATCAATTCACTCTGCTGACACGAGTCAGTTGGTCTCTTGCTGTTCCTTTATGTCTGAGTGCCCTCCTACCTCTGCCATTACTAACGACTCAGCTGCTCTGAACTCTCTAAGAGGACATGATGGCACTAAACTAATTGCTTTAATCTTACATTGCACAGAATTTTTGTATCAGGCTGCCTCAGAGATTGCTGGACTGCCAATGAATTGGCTACTCATTCTTCAAGGCTTCCTAGCAAAATATAACCCAAGATCTCCAATGGATTTCCTTAGCAAAAGGTTAAGGGCTGGGGGCTGGGCACAGTGGTTCATGCCTCTAATTCCAGCACTGTGAGAGGCCAAGGCGGGTGGATTGCATGAGCCCAGGAGTTCAAGACCAGCGTAAGCAACATGACAAAACCCCATCTCTAAAATAAAAAATAAAAATAAACAAAAAAAAGAAGGTTAAGAGCTAGGAAATTTTTCTTTCAAGGAGCTGTAAATATAACTCACACTGTGATTGGACTGTACAGGATAAATATTCCACATTTTTTTATTTATAGTACAGTAACGATTGAGAGTTAGAATAAAATCTCTTCATCAATATGTATCTTGTTAAGGTAATACAAAACTATAATGACCAATTTAGGAAATGGCAGTTTTGAGCTGTATGTTCCAATTTACTATTGAGGAAAACTTTTATTTCTAACTGTATATGAAATTTTGTCTCATTACTTTGAGGTTTCAGAGCCATCTGCCTGTTGGATGTTTAAAGAGAGAGTTTTAGATGAAAAAAGATTCTTGGAAATTTTCTGATATATTTATGTTTTTACAGCTTTTGAAAATACAATGTAAACTCTTAGCATGTGAAAGATAATTGGGTATTCTTAACCAGGCTATTACATTTAAGGCTAATCTTGATTTTCATCAAATTATTAAAAACTTCTGACTGTAAAACAAAAATTTGCTATTTTTGTACAGCACTGATTATTACATTTAACTGCTGTTTAATATTAACCAAATAGTATTGTTAATTGAGCTTTCCTTTCTGCCATTTATTCTAATGTAGGGACATTTTAAAAAAGCGTTCCCTAAAACTCTGCAGGACTTATCACATGAGGAGAGAGTATGAAAATAAAATTTCAATCAAATACAATGATTCATCCCTTTGCTTCTTACAGAGAAAGTTTAAAGAGATAAAGTAAATTGATCAGGAATTTTGAAGCCAAAGATAAATTATTGAAAACAATTAGGACATATGTTTGATTATTAAAGATACCAATGTAGAGTTCCAAAATCCAAATCATACTTTTGGAAGGGAGAATTTGAGACCATTTGATTCATCTCCATCATCTAGTAGATTTGTAAACTGAAGCACAAGGTAACCAAGTGACTTGCCCATAGTCACACAATGAGCTCATGGCAGAAGAGAAACTAGTGCTCATGTCTTGCAATACTCAGCCCTTCCCGCCCTTGACCATACAGCCTCCACTTCAGGTGTTGGGCAACGTAAGCAGTCAATGTATGGGAGATACTCTGAATGATGAGTCATGGATTTCAGGGAGAAAGTGTACGTACTCAAATGATCAATATTAATAATTATAAGGCCAGACTATTCCCAGTTTAAGAGTGTAGTTTCAGCGGAATGCAAAAGATGTAACCACTTTTGTGTATTATAATTTACAAAGCGACATCCCTAATTGTCCTCAGTGTCCACTCAAGATAACATATTTGTAGAAAAGAATTAGTGTTTTTATTACATGTCAGATACTTTTCATAAAGTATGTAAGAGCCTTTAAGTGATGTGGGGCCACTGCTATTTGCCTTCATGTGTATTATCTTCCACCAGTGCCTATTTGCTGGCTCCTCTAAAACATCCCTGAATGCTATGGCTGCCCAGTCTGGTCCTCAGCCTGTTACTGCAGTGCTTGTCAGAAATCATTAGCCACTGATTCCTTTGACTAATGTTGCAGTTGATTGTCTGAATCATGTTCAGACACTGTAAATGAGGCAGAAACATCCTCTCTGCTCACCAACTGTGAAACGGCTAAAGGGGGTTAGATTGCCAGAAATCAGAATAAATGTATTTCCAATAAGATTTGACAATGATTTCAAGCTCAAGATGGCAAACTTGATTTTTTATTTCTGTATTTCTCATTGCATAAGTATAAATCTGTATCTTTGCCCTTTTTTCCTCAAAGTAATACACTGCATGGAGAACAGTGCTAAACTTTTGTTATAAAATGACACAATTTGGATTTTGTGTAGGGGATGTATAACACAATATTAGCTATGCTGACTTTTTATGGTGGGGAAGGAAGAAACGGGTAAAAAATGTACCCTGGGCAAAGGACTCATAACTTCTTGTTAACAGAGAAATCTGTTTGATGCTCTTTATGGTTTTATAGACAATTTTTGATCTAGGTGGGTTTATTTAAACTCTTCTGGTTCTCTTAGACTTGTAGACAAAACTGGAAACAAAGCATCCAAATATGGCTAACCTGTAGGGGTTTCATTCTCATTTATTTCAGAGTGTCCTGCATGACTCTCTATAAGTCTGTGGGGTTTGGGGAGGGAAAACAGCCACCTTTCACTATTGGGAGGACTGTCACAAGAAGAGGAATGGGCTTATTTTGCTGTCGCACAAAGCACAACCTTGGCTGGCAGGTGAGAGTTACAGATTTTGCCTGGGCTGAACAAATGTTTTTTCTCAGGTAACTCTCCAGTGATTGAATGGCTAGCCTCACTAGGAAATAATTTCCTATCATGAAAATTGTTCAAGCAAAGGCCAGCTGAGGGTTTCTCAACAGTGACACTATGCACATTTTGAGCTGCATAATGGTTTGCTATGGGGAAGGCTATGGTGTGCGTTGTAGGATGTTTAGCAGCATCCTTGGCCTTGACTCACTAGATACTAGTAGCACCCCCCCAATAATTATAGCAACCTAAAACATATGCAGACATTGCCAAATGCCATCTGGCAGGGGCAAAATAACCCCCATTTGAGAACAACTAGGTTAGATAAGCACTAAGGCAAATTAAGCAGTTGTTTTGTTCAAATCCTTAGACAGTACTTTTACATACCTAATCTTATTGGAACCTTGTAACACCCCTTCAAGGTAGGCTTCATTCATTTCCATTTTGTACCTGAGGAAACAGGCCCAGAGAGATTAAGTCACCTGGCACCATCAGTCAGCTCAGTAGAACACCTTCCAGGCTCAAAAGCCTATGATGTTTGGAGAAAATTTGAACACCCAGAGAAAGATTTCATTATCTCACAAGGCTCCTCCAAGGCCCGGTCTGTGTCTTCAGAGTAGGAGTCCTTACTGCTTCAAATATTGAGTTAACTCAGGAAGAAAGAACAATGGGAAGGGTGGCAAGCAGAGAAAGGAATAGGTACAGAGGAAAAAAAATAAGAAAAAAAATATTCGTGTTCACTGAAGTTTTTGCAAAATTGCAAAACTCCCATCTCAAATAGGTTACATTCTAGAACTTGTTTCATATGATGGCTTCTATGGTGTTTTTTTTGCTTGTTTGTTTTTTTCACACAGAAATAGTGGTAGTTAAGGTCACCAGCCAGAGAGCAGAGGCCCATTTAAATTCATGTCACTGACCTGTGTGATCTGGTCATAGTAGTTTGAGCTGTGCATGCACAGTGCTGTGCCAGAGGGAGAAAGAAAAATACTTCCTCTCCTTTCCCTAGGCACAGGAACAACGCTGAATAAAATCTTGAAAACTTGGAATAACAGAAAACGAGGCAGCCACCTGCACCATCTTGAATGCGGCAAATTTCACCAAACATGTTGAGGTGCTCAGAAAGTAGAAAGACAAAAACTGTGAATTTTTTTAAAGTCCTGCAAAAGACTACTGTTATGTGCATGTAGAATAAAGGGATGAAAATGAATGACCTGCCTTACCTTCTCCACAACAATTAAATACTTTCTTTGAAATCAGAAAGATAAATTGCCATTTGAAAGTTTGTTCTTTAATTTATCAGTTGAAACTGCAATAACTTAGTCCACATTACTAGACAAACATTCTGTGAATGCTTTTTAAAGCACACTTTCTATTGAACATTGCTGCATCTATGTATCCTAGCAAAGCTTTCTCTTCTTTCTCATTGTATCATTTATTCTCATTTCCAGACTTGCTCCAGCTTCCCCAATTCTATTATTCCTTTAAAATACAGATAGAGTTCTTACATGAAGATAGAGTTATTATAGAGTTCTTATATGAAGCTTCTCCTGGTTGTATTCCTTTGTAGTTCTTACAACTATCTGAAATTCATTTATTTATTTATTTCATTACAAATTGTCTTCCCGTTGCCCAAATACAACGTAGGCTGCAATGGGCCAGGGATTTTGTATTATTGGCTGCTGTATCCCTAGCACCTAGAACAAGGCTTTGCCCATAAAAGACACTCAGTATTTATGTAATGGATTAATGTTTTTGGACTAAATTTTTAGCCCTTTATACAGACTTACAGCACTATATAATTTCAGTGTCTGTAAGTCTTATTTCCTTACATAGTAAGGTCTTTAAGAGCAGAAATATAATTTTATATCTAGCAGCCACATCTAATGGAATATACTGGAAGAGTTCTTTGCATAATACATTGGTTCTGAAGGTTGGGCGTTATGAAGAAAGTGATAACAAGGTGGAATGGAAATAGCTGCAGTTCTCTTTACTGGGATCACATCTGCTGCTGCACATTTCCCTCTTCCTTTTTTCATCTCTTCCACGCTTATGTGATAAGGGACATTGTGAAAAAGCTGCAGAGCTTCTAGAAAACACAAAGGTACAGTAGACCAAAAAAAAAAAAAAAGATAAAAACCAGTACCCACTTAAAAGATTAAGAGATAGTATCAAAGGTTAGATTTCAAGACAAGGAAGCTGGCTTTTTATTTTATAACGTTTGTCCCCAAATTTTCCTGCCGCACACTGTCTGAATTATCTTACTGCACTTTATTAAACTGCATAAAATGTAGTTTAGAAGAAATGATGTGGGGCTGACAAACATTTTCTTTTTAAAACTGCAACTTCCTCTGCCAGAGTTAATGACGTTTGAGTCATTCACACCTATGTATAAGTATGAATTAATTCAGTCAACTCCTTTTTTTCTATCACTTAGCTGAGCAAATTGCCAGGGAAATACAAGTGCTCAAGTTAAAGGAGGTGCACCAAAGGGGTAGAGAAGAGATGCCAAGGTATTGCGGAATTTTTCCCAAGGAAGAACTTTTACTCAAGGAAAAGAGAAAAAAAAAAGATTTTCCTTTATCATTTTTCTTTTTTAAGGAGCAAACAAAAAATGAACTAGGAAAGAGTATCATGAGGCATCCTTGTATGATGGAATTTTTCTGTATCTTGATTGCAGTGGTGGCTACATGAATATATTCATGTGATAAAATAGCATAAAACTTACACACACACACACACACACACACACACACACACACACGAGTTCATGTAAAACTGGTGAAATCTGAATAAGGCCAGTGAAATTTAAAAATTTTTATTGCTATATAATAGCTATACATATTTGGGGGTTACCCGTGACATTTGGATTCCTGTATAAAATGTATAATGCTCAAATCAAGGTAATTGAGATATACATCACCTCAAACATTTATCTTTGTGTTGGGAACATTACAAATCTTTTAGCTAGTTTTAGGTATACAATAAATGATTATTAACTATGATTTCCTAGCTATTTTGAAATATATAATTATTATCTATAATATCTCTACTGCACTATCAAATATTAGCGCTTATTTGGTTAGCACACAGTACTTATAAGGCCAGTGGGTATATATCAATGTCATTTCCCTGATTGTGATATTATGCGATCATTATGAAAAAAGTCATCACTGGGATAAAATGGAGTGTAGGGTATATGGGATCACTCTGTGTTATTTCGTACAACTCTGTGTGACTCTACAGTGGTCTTTAAACTTTTTTAAAACAAATGAACTGGAACAGTGTTTTCTTATAAAGGCTGGCTGGACAGAGGGGTCAGGGGACAGTTCCATCTAATTTGGAAAAGGTAGGCCTGAAGTGATAGTTCTCATAGTGATTTAAAATTTCACTTGTTAAAGTGAACATAAGGGCCAAGACTGGTAGAATTTTATGTTTTAATAGTTTCTAAAATAAAGGTATATAAGAGAGGAATTGCAGTGGGGTGAGAAATAGGAAAACAGAGGAAGTTAGAAAGGAGGATGAATACCAAATACAGTTGTTCCTTCAGGCAGGTTCCCAATCCTTCAAATACTGTATTTTCGATCTACATTTGGTTGAAAAAAATTCGCATTAAGTAGACTCATGCAGTTCAGACCTGTGTTGTTCAAGAGTCAACTGCAGTTCATTTTTGTCTGTCCAAGGTACCCTCCTAACTGGTAGTCCTAAGCATAGAAAGGAAAAAAGACAACTGGGTGCTTGAAATTATTAGACCTAATAATGTCTTCCTATGTGTCTCCTTAAAAATGTCAAAGCTCAGGCACAAAATTTATGCTTATAAATTTTAAATTCCTATCTTCTGAAAAAGCAAGGATATTTTTCTACTTTCTCTAAGACAGATAGATATTCTATTTTTTTTTTGACAGTTGACAATCTTTGACTTAAATCTGATATTCCCTCAGGCTATTGCAGTAAAAATAAATTAATAATCCTTAAATTTCATTTTACAACAACACTTCTTCAAAGAATCTGTAGCATATCCCCAGCATTGTTCTTTTGTACACTCTCATTTTTTTCTGATGAGTATTCTAGTAGTTTTGTTTTTAGGTGACCCATAGTAATTATTTTATTTTAAGAACTTTGGATTTTATTTGAAAATGTTTTTACCAAGTACATCTATTTCATTTTGGTAAGAAGATAGTCTGTTTTCTCTGAAGTCATGGAAATTGTTTTTAAAGCTTCATCTTCATTACTCACTGAAACTATTGGAGCAATTGGATAGAGTGGCCATGTAGCACTCAATTCTTATTAGGTGTATGAACTGACTTTGCCAACTTTGGTAACTTTGGTTATCATGTAGTTTGGTGTCCATTGAAACTTACATAGTAACATGCTAAATTAATGTTCTCCTCTGTCTTTTGCCAAAGGTTAAGTTGGTTCCCATGAACTTTAAAAATAGACAAATTCACTTATATTTTATATATTATATATATTTTCAATTCATCAAAATATTTGTACCTGGAGATCCTTTGTTTGCCTATCTCTGATTTGCGATGCTAGATTTTAACCATCCTGATCCTGGCTCTGTTTCCAACATATTATCTGCCACAGGGATAGTCAATCAAGTGCAGTGCACCCCTCAGATTGCCACACTGTATTTTCTTATAATACTTGAAGTATTCTTTGTAAAAGTGGTTCCACTCTTTGTCTAGTGATTCAAGTTGATCAATATTTATTAATTTGTAGGTTATACCTTACCTGCTTTAAGCAGATAAAGTTGCCTACTATAAAACAGTATAAAACATCTGTATCTTTTTAAAAAACTTTTAAGTTCAGCGGTACATGTGCAGGATTGTTATATAGGTAGACTTGTGTCACAGGGCTTTATTTTACAGATTATTTCATCACCTGGGTACTAAACCTAGTACCCAACAGTTATCTTTTCTGGTCTTGTTCCTCCTCCCACCCTCCATTCTCAAGCAGGTCCCCAGTGTCTGTTGTTCCCTTCTTTGTATCCATGAGTTCCCATCATTTAGCACCCACTTATAAGTGAGAACATGCAGTATTTGGTTTCCTGTTTCTGTGCTAGTTTACTAAAGATAATGGCCTCAAGCTGCATCCATGTTGCTGCAAGGGACATGATCTCATTCTTTCTTATGGCTGCATAGTATTCTATGGTGTATATGTACCACATTTTCTTTATCCAGTGAGCATTGATGTGCATTTAGGTTGATTCCATGTCTTGGCTATTGTGAATAGTGCTGCAGTGAACATTTGCATGCATGTGTCTTTATGGTAGAATAATTTTTATTCCTCTGGGTATATACCTAGTAATGGGATTGCTGGGTTGAATGGTAGTTCTGTTTCTAGCCCTTTGAGGAATCACCACACTGTTTTCCACTATGGTTGAACTAATTTACACTCCCACCAACAGTGTATAAGCATTCTCTTTTCTCCACAACCTTTGCCAGCATATGTTGTTTTTTGACTTTGATAATAGCCATCCCAACTCATAAGAGATGGTATCTCATTGTGGTTCTGATTTGCATTTCTCTAATGATCACTGATATTGAGCTTTTTTCCATATGCATGTTGGCAACATGCATGTCATCTTTTCAAGTGTCTGTTCACCTCCTTTGCCCACTTTTTAATAAGGTTGAGTTTTTCTTGTAAATTAAAACATCTGTATCTTCTACAGAATTTGTAGTATCATGTTATTTTTCCACTCATTTTAATGCTTTTTTATTTTAATGAAGACCCTCCTACTCTCTTTAGTTTGAACTACACAATTCACCAATGCACTGGGTTTTGTCTAGTAATCTCTTCATGATTTCACCTATATGCACTCCTCTCTCCCACTGCAGCTCATGTTCCTGAGGATCAGAGGGTGTGTCTTTGATTTAGAGCAGCTCCTTTGCAAGACCCTCATGTGAATTTCATGTGATTGACATTTTCCCTACTTGGTCAATAATGAACTATACTCGTCCTACTGCCTATATATTTCCTGTTTTTCTGTAAATTGTTTAAGGAAATACCCACACTCTCTCAAACCACAAAAAAGATCAGTTGTCCTTACTTTGAGGAGGGACACTCCTACCAGGAGCTGTTCACTGGCAGCTAAATAACAGGTTCCCAAATAATTCTTGTCCTAATATCTACATAGCACTTTATATTATCTCACAGCATTACAACCATTCTCAGAAGTAGATTTTCTTTTTTACTATGAGGAAATTCAACTTAAAGAGATTTCCTGGCCCAAATGTGTTGGGTATGGAAGGCTAGGACATGAATCCAAGTATTCTTATTCTAAGGTTAGTGTTCATTTCAGCAGGCTGCATCTGTCTCCAATGGGAAGCTACTATGGAATCAAGTGCAAGGCCAAAGCTGTCTTTTGCCCCTCTGCTCCCAGGAATTATGGCACAGTGGTGTGGGATAGGAGCCATCAACACTGAAGTATCTACCCATAATTTCTTGGGAACCTACCCTTCTATCCATGGGTTCAAGAGTCACACCTCACAGATAAAACTGGGCACCTCTGATTGTTGCCATGTGCTTCAGAGCCCATGGAGATCAGGGTCATGAGAGAGTGGTGCAATATAAGCACAGCTTAAGTCCTGGGGAAACCTGTCTTCAGTCATTGTTAATTCACACAGTTGTATCAGTCCAAAGTCTGGAGCACTGAACTGTAAATGCCTTGAGGGTTACAGGCATATTCTCATCTACTTAAGATCCTACGGTCTAACATAGTGCCTGAGACACAATAGTGGTATTTGCTGAAAAAAAACAAATGAACTATTTTGGCAGAAAATATAATTATATTCAATCTTTACTTTAAACTTCTAGAATGTCATGTAAATTATATGGACCTTAAAAAGACACCAGAAAATCTTTTCCTAAATATTTTGATATTAGGATTCCAAAAGATCTCTTATAAATTCACAAAATTCAGAGGTACTGCCCTTTAACTCAGAAAGGTCTACGTCAATTCATATCAGATTAGATCTAAGTGCTACTTGTTATGTAAGATGGTGAAAAGAATATTCTCAGGTTTACACAAGGGTTATTAAGAGACTTAAAAATGTTGGTGTGCTGCACCCATTAACTCATCATTTAACATTAGGTAAAGTATAAGAATAAAAAAAAGAGACTTAAAAATGAAAATCAAAGGTAATAATAATGTATATTTCAAAATTGCTAAAAGAATACATTTTTAACATTCTCACCACATTAACAAATGGTAATTTGGTGAGGTGATAGATATGTTTTTATTTATTAGTTAAGAATAAATACATTTTTAAAGTACAAAATACCCCAAAATTTTTAACTTTGTGGTTTTTAGCAGGAATTAAAACCCTGGGTCAGTATATAGCCATAAGTTTTAACAACAGTATTATGTCAAGCAGTCACTTGCAAACCATATGAAACTCAAATTTTTTGAAGTGTCGCAATAGCCTCATTGAAATTATTTCCCAAATATTGACACTAAGGAAGCAAATAAAATATCAACCCTGCCGCTCAGACTTAAACCTTCTAGGCTGCCTGATTCAGGCAGTAGCAGACAAGGTGTTTTTATGTCGTCCCTCACACTGACTCTGTCTTCCAAATGCCGTCAAATGACTTTTGCTAATTCTTTCTTAGAAAATGTGCAAAAAGGATTTCCATAGAGGTCTTTGGAGATTTCCTGTGTCCTCATGTGTGTAATAGGTTGGGTCAAGTAATAATGAAGGAAAAAGGAAGAATGGGGATTCTGTTTTATGTATTTTTCTCCTTCGGGCCATTGAAAGAGGGAAAAGGGAAAATTATACCATACAGATGATGTCAGTGTTAAATTAAATTAAGATCACATGTTTGGCTGTGGCAGCTGTAATCTTTTGATTATTGAAGAGATTGTTGGTAATGAAATACATTTGTAAGAAATATTTTTAGTGTAAACTGTATACATGCACAAACGGTGAGCTATGCATCTAATAAAATGATAGATTTAGAAATTGCCTGGCACCTAAATTCATGCTTTTCAAATAGCTATTTTTAGAAAGAAAAGTGATATTTAAGCTATCATAGTAGAATATTATAATCTGCCTTATATTACGTTAGATAATAATCCCGTATTTTAAAATAATGTAAAAACCATTAAATTATTTATTCACACCTAAGTTATATAAATTGGAAGATTTGGGCAATTATGCAAGAAAAGAATTATTTTTTCCAAAAGTAAGGCGTCACTGTCATGGCTTAAAGAGATTGCCACAAAACAAGTTATACTATAGATAAAAATAAACCAAACCAACATGAATTTTTAATCAACAAAATTTTTTATAGAGACATTAAAACCAACTATTAATTTTATTTTTTTCTGTTATGAAATGAAACATCAGCGTATCTGGCTGTGCTATATGTTCAATATGTATTTCTCTTCCTGATAGGTCCTTGACACTTACTGTAAAATCTCCACAGACCTGGATGATGATCTCAGTCTGGGGAGAGGCTATGAAGCCATAGCCAAGGTCCTGCAGAGGTAAGTTAGCACATTCTCATCTTGCTGTCACTGTGAATTCACTCAACTGTGAAAGGCTTAAATTGTTTGAGGTCTGTCGCTTTCCATTACTGCCTGCTTAAATTTTAAGCAGTGCCCTTCTTAAGTGACCCTTTCATCATAAGTTATTTTAAACCAGTTTGGTAGTTTAAAATATGCATCTAAACTCTTCTTTGTCTGTGCCTCCTTCGTATTATTTTCTTTTTGGTTTTCTGTAAGTTTAGTGATGACCTTGAATAAAAGAGAAAAAAATCGGGTCACATCTCACAAGTTAAGAAAGCAGACAGCACAGAAATATGTAGTACGCTTCAGTGGCTGTGGCTCACCATAACCTTTCCAGATCTCTTCTTTGAGGAAAGTTTCCATTTATGCTTCAGTCATGCTTTTCCATTAAGACATCTCTCCTTTGAGCACATCTGGATAAACAATTGGGGTTAAAACCAATATTCCCAATATTTCATTTAAAACAGAAAATTTTAGATATATGAACAACTTCTGATACCTGTTTTTCCATGGAAGATATATCATTCACCCTTCAGTCATTGTCTTGCAATCATTGTTTACTCCATTTGATTGTTATAGAGTAGCATTATGACTTAAGAAATAATAACAATAAGAAAAGTTATCAGTTAAGGCCTTGGTTTTTACTATGTTATCTTATATCCAAGATAGAGCTTTTTAATAATAGTAATGTTGGTTGCAGTAACTGTAGTAATATAGATTGTATTAAGTTCTAATTTCTTCCCATTTGTACTTCAGTTGTAAACACATACAAGGAGGTGTTTTAAAAGTAAAATTGTTATTTGAAAGGCATTTGAAACATTAAAAAGTACCTAGTGAGGTAAAATTGGAATCATTATATAAGTACCATTACTAATATAATAATCATAGTTTAAAATATCAGTACCAATGAAATTAAAGATATCCTACAAAATAAATAAAACGCAGTCATCACTGGATAAATGGTTTAGGAACACAGACATATTTAGAAGGAGAGGCCAGGCACGGTGGCTCACGCCTGTAATCCCAGCACTTTGAGAGGCCGAGGTGAGCAGATCACCTGAGGTCAGGAGTTTGAGACCAGCCTGGCCAACATGGTGAAGCCCCCTCTCTACTAAAAATACCACACACACACACACACACACAAAATTAGTTGGCCATGGAGGAGGGCTCCTGTAATCCCAGCTACTCGGGAGGCTGAGGCAGGAGAATCACTTGAACCTGGGAGGTGGCGGTTGCAGTGAGCCAAGACTGCACTCCAGCCAGGGCATCAAGAGCGAAACTGTCTCAAAAAATAAGGAAAAGAAGGAGAGTATGGGTGTTTACCCAAGAAAGACAGAGCCAGTCATGGATAAGGCAAGCAGCCTGTGAGTGTTGTGATCCTTCTAAATAAACATTGGTAACTAGTCCATGGAAGACCAACTCAGCTATTTTTCAAAACTTTTACTTCCAAACAACAACCCAGAAGACACAGGTGGTTGAATACAAAGAAGAGACTGATAAGAATTCAATTTATGTCTGTTTGGAACTAATCAACTCTGTTGATTGTACATTTTGATTATGAAATTACTTGACTCTGCTGTTATCACTGCCCAAAAATCAGCAAAAAAAGATTGGATTCTTTGCTTTGCTTTGTAGTAGCATGTAAATGTGTCCCCTAACATGTTTATAAAATAATTTTTACAAAATGATATTTCCATTGTGTTCCAGCATAACTGGAGAGATAAGCTGGGTGTGGTGGTGGGTGTCTGTAATCTCAGTTACTTGGGAGGCTGAGATGGAAAGATCCCTGGAGCCCAGGAGTTTGATTCCAACCTGGGCAACATAGCAAGACCTCATCGCAAAAATAAATAAATTAATTAATAAAGAGATAAAACTTCAAGGGGAAAATTTATTTATAAACATCTACTAAGCGCTTACAATTTCACTGGACAAATATTGAAATGCCCCTTTGGTTACTGATGGTCTTTATAATTATTTTTGAAACTTCCAGAGACATGAGTCTGTCTTCAAATAATTCTCACCTCTTAGCCTTGCTTCTTATCTGGAATATTTTAGCCTCCTTCCCAGGATTTGAATTCCTGGTCGATTCAGTCAAGGCTAAGTGAAGAGTTGAACAATTATCTGGTGAATTTTGGCACTACCAGGTAATCTGATGTTTTAATTTGCCTATTTAAGTATTATTTGGAGCTTGGGAGTGGGACGGGATACAGCTATATTTGATATATCATGAAGTTGAATTTGTTTTGGGTAGGACTGGGGACCATTCTGTTCCAACACTCTCAGCAGCCTGCCAATGTGCCTTAGGGCAAACATTTAAAGGAGCAAGAAGATTTATCTCCATTTTACTTTTATGCCAAGTAAACTAATTCTTTTTATAGGAATTCCTGGCCAGGCACAATGGCTCACACTTGTTATCCCAGCACTTTGGGAGGCCAAAGTGGGAGGATCACTTGAGTGCAAGAGTTTGAGACCAGCCTGGGCCACATAGTGAGAACCTATCTATTTTTTTTAATTAATTAAAAAAAGAATTCCCATCTACTAAAGTACAATAAAGCTACCAGTGATTTCATGGTAGACATGGATTCTTAATTTTATAATGTTATACAATGCCACAATGCACAAGACAGTGCAGGGGATGCTTATTCTGAGGTCATAGTGAAAAAGTGTCCCAAGGCTACAACCAGCTTTCCAATCCAAATCTGTGATTTTGCAGCATTGTTGTTGGTTATAGAGGAGTACTCAGGGGAGTGCAAGCCTCCACATATTATTTCAATATCTGTGCAAAATAATTCAAAAAGTGATCTACTAACAGGCAGATTTTCCAAACCTAAAATTCTATAAGATAGACAACAGCATCCTGAATAGCGCAAAGCATTATTAAATCAAGTCCACTCATAGTATAAATGCTTTGATGTAAATTCTGTGATCATTTTTAGAACATTTTGCTTGAAAGGCTTTATATCCTTCAGTAAACATGCATGTGCACACATACATACATGCACATACCCACACATATAAACACAAACACACACATGTACCAGCCCTTTCATAGCCCAAAATTGTCCTTCTCAGGTTAGTAGCAACGTGCAAGAAACAGACTACAGCCCAAATAGAGGAAATTATGGTGGTGGCAGCTGAGAAATAAATCAAGTTGCATATGAAGCTTAGCATCACCTCTAAATCTCTTTTTCCTAACCTGTGCAATTGCACAAGTTTCACTAATGGTAGACCTATCTCTATAAATATATTTTATATCTTTAAAGGAAATGGAAGAGGATAGCCATGTCTAGGATAAGTGTGTGTCTAAGGCCATCAGCTGAGCGTGCATGAATGGTGAATAAGATCTAAGGCTGGAAGCTTCTAAAATGGTTATAAGAATTTATACTAAGCCCTCAATTGAAAAACACACCACAATCCCTCAAGACTGAGGATTTGGTAATACAGAGTTGCCTGCCTGGTGATATTATTAATAGATACAGACTTGGTGTTAGAGTTATTGGGGAAGGTGTTAATAAGTGAACAAGTTTTGTTATTTTTGCCATTGATCTGAATAATATTAATTGGTTAAGACTTTAAGCAGCATAGCAGAAAATAAGCATTTATAATATCATTCTTCCCCTACTTGGAATAATAGTGAAGAAAAGATTTGATGCTCTAAAATACTAACAATTGCTTTGTGAAACTACAATAAAAGCTAGAATTATGGTCCATAAAACAAAGAGAAAGCCAGTTGAGAAATTACAAGTAAATATTATTATCATACAGACAGACAGTTTGAGTAAATACAGAGAGGGAAAATCCCTATATTTTCCTTATGGCGTTTCTCTTTTTGCCTCATTTACTGAAGTGTAGTTCATTTACAGAAATGCCACAACTTTCCAAAATACTCAGATTATTTAAAAGAATACAGAGAAAAACATTCACAAAAATATGTTTAATACATATTGGTCACAACTAACCCATCTCTGGGTTTATTCCATACCAATTGTAAATTTTCTTGCAAACTCAAGTTAAATTATTTCCTAGAAAACTTTCCACAATGGAGATCTTTAAATCAATCAGTACAAAGTTTCAAGTGTGAAAATTACCTTTCTGTTATAGCTGAAAATTAATTTTTTCTTGCTTGAGAGAAATGACACGCCCTAGTAATTTTCATATATTCTTTAAAATGGAACATCCAGGCTTTGATGTGAAGTTTCCTAAAAATGACCAAAAAATACATCAAAACATATCTATTAATTCATGAAATTAAGAACAGCTTTTTGCATTTTCTCCTGTCACTGATCCCATTTGCCTTATTACTTTCATCTGTGGCCCACAAACTTGGTGGCACAATCAACAAACCCCTTAGTGGCTGTTTCATCTCTGCTCTATTTGATTTCTTCTCTCTGAGTAAATGATTAAGTTTTCATGCATTGGTTCAACCAAAATCTATGTTCACTCAACCACATCCTTTATTGATTACTTCTACTGCAAACAGTAGGCCAAGTGTGATATACATAATTGGACAGTTGTCAAGGGACGTGGGTGTTAACGGTCCTGTTTTCCCAGTTGGAAACTGGAATCACCTTGATACACAAATATTCTGCACTGTTTCATTCTCATTCTTTGGACCGAGGAGTCCTGTTCCTCCGAATATATGTTTTTAACTCTCTAAGGTCTGGTTGAATGAATTTAATGATTATACCATATAATATGCTGTTCAAGTTGCACCTGTGCACTGCATATAGAAAACTGGAATTAATATTTATCTAACATTTTAACCTTGTCCTTTAACTTATACAAATAAGCTGTACCCTTTCTGTAAGAAAATATTTGGTGTTTTCCCCTTCCATAAAAAGAATGGCTTCTAAATCTGTCACTAACTTTTAAATTTGGAAAACCTTTAACCAGCATATAATGTTAATATTTCAGATGTTACATTAACAAGTTTGCTGGCTGTAGACCTATACATTCATTGAGTAAAGCAAATGACTTACAATAATAAGACTTTTTTCTCTAGCATTATTTGTTAGAGCAAGTTC
Source organism: Homo sapiens (assembly GCF_000001405.40). NCBI lineage: Eukaryota > Metazoa > Chordata > Mammalia > Primates > Hominidae > Homo > Homo sapiens. The sequence continues at coordinate 146,828,760 of NC_000004.12, read as the reverse complement.
CAGATAATTTTGTATGTTTTGGAGATCTATTGCTCCTTTGGAAGAAAAATGACATGAATTACCCAGCAATAGTTTTATTTATACTATTTTGTGTTTCTCATACTCTAAACTTAGTTTTTTTTGCTTGTTTCTTTGTTTGTATATATCTTGATTTAACAATCCTCAGCAGGCCAAATCTAATTCAAAATGTACTTTCTTCAAAAATATATTGGTTTTTAGAAACATGAACATAAATAAGCTTCAGTGAGTCCATCTTAGCTAAATAATTAATAATAATAATTTTCCCTAAGGTTTTGAAGTGATATTCAGAGAAATCATCATGTTTCCCCCATCAATTTTTTCTTGAATAGTATAGCCTAGGAAAGAGTGTAAAAAATTAACAATTTGATAGAACATTTTTAGCCCTAGAAATCCATAAGTTCACTCAAAATTCTAAATAATGTATTTTCTTTATTAATATTTTATACTCAAGTTCTCTCAATAACTTTTAGTTTCACAAAACAAATATTTAAATTAAAATAATCGGTGAACCTCTCATTATATTTTACTCTATGCCTGCATTTGAAAATTTCCTCCAATAATTCATGATTTTTCTGGAGAATTGACCTATGCCTATATGTGGAAGATCGGTCATAATTTTAGTATGAAAAAGTGAGGACAGAATTATAAAAAGTATTCACAGCTGCAGTAACATAAAATTTCATCCTATTTCTGATATGTAGAAGACTCTTTTACCAATAAGAGGAAAAAAAATGTATTTGATAGTACCTGATACTCAAGTAAACAAAAAATGTTAGCTCTTTGATTTTGCCCCTTAGAAAATAGACACCAGGACTTTATGTGACTGATTTGCAGAGCATACATTAAAATCAAGGATGTTTAATTCATCACATGATGAATGTTTTCAGGAAGGATTGCTTAGCTAAATTGAATTTGCCTCTTGGCTTGTGGTAGACAATGTCAAGTAGAGAGCTGTGAATGTGATAGTTGTTTATTTCACTGAGAGATAATAATAACACTAGTGCCATTTATTGAATCCCTACTACATGCCAAGCTATACATTTACACAATTTTTAATCCCACAGCCACTTGTGGCCATTTTTGAAATGAAGAGACAAAAGTTTTCTTCAGTTTCATAACTTTAGTATGATCAAAGTTATTAATCTAAGAGGCTGAGCTGAGATTCAAACGTACATCTTTCTAAATTCCACCATAACTCATTTTGACTTTAAAGTAATCTAACTTATTTTTAAAAACATATCACTGTTTACCTGTGAAAATGAATGTTTTCCAAACCTTGGGAGGTTATGCAAGGAGATAACCCTAATCCTACCAATACTTGTTTAAAATAAACTTCTTTGAAAATACCTTCTGGGGCATATAGAAATGCTACTGTGGGGGCGGGGCCAAGATGGCCTACAAGAAGCTGGGGCTCCCATCAGAATAAACCATAATAAGTGTGTGAATCCTTCACCAGCAACCAAGTTATCCAGATGCTGTCATCAAAATTGACTAGAAGGCAGGCAGGACCCACGGAGAGAGGGAAGAGCAGTGTGGTGTGGTGGCCCACCTGAGAGCCACATGGGGAAGGGGAGCCCCCTCCCTCCAGCCAAGGGATGTGGGCACAGACATGGATGAAGGATCAAATGGATGAAGTGGCAGAAGTAGGCTACAGAAGATAGGTAATAAAAAACTACGATGAGCTAAAGGAGCATGTTCTAACCCAATGCAAACAAGCTAAGAACCTCGATAAAAGGTTAGAGGAATTCCTAACTAGAATAACCAGTTTAGAGAGGAACATAAACGACCTGATGGAGCTGAAAAACACAGCATGAGAACTTCATGAAGCATACACAAGTATCAACAGCCAAGCAGAAGAAAGCATATCAGAGTTTGAAGGCCACCTTACTGAAATAAGACATGCAGACAAGAATAGAGGAAAAGGAATGAAAAGGAATGAACAAAGCCTCCAAGAAATATGGGACTTCATAAAAAGACCGAGCCTACAAATGATTGGAGTACCAGAGGAGAGGGGGAGAATGGAAACAAGCTGGAAAATACGCTTCAGGATATTATCCAGGAGAATTTTCCCAACCTAGCAAGATAGGCCAACATGCAAATTCAGGAAATACAGAGAATTCCATTAAGATACTCCATGAGAAGATCAAACCCAAGAAACATGATCATCAGATTCTCCAAGGTCAAAATGAAGGAAAAACTGTTAAGGGTGGCCAGAAAGAAAGGCCAGGTCACCTACAAAGGGAAGCCCATCAGACTAACAGCAGACATCTCAGCAGAAACTCTGCAAGCTAGAAGAGATTGGGGGCCAATATTCAACATTCTTAAGGAAAATAATTTTCAATCCAGAATTTCATATCCAGTCAAACTAAGCTTCATAAGTGAATGAGAAACAAAATCCTTTCCAGACAAGCAAATGCTGAGGGATTTTGTTACCACCAGGCCTTTCCTGGTGCTTCCCTGAAAGAAGCACTAAATATGGAAAGGAAAAACTGGTACCAGCCACTGCAAAAACACACCAAAATATAAAGACCAATGACACTATGAAGAAACTGCATTAACTAGTGTGCAAAATAACCACATAGCATTATGATGACAGGATCAAATTCACACATAACAACACTAACCTTAAATGTAAGTGGGCCAAATGCCCCAATTAAAAGACACAGACTGGCAAATTGGATAAGGAGTCAAGACCCATTGGTGTGCTGTATTCAAGAGACCCATCTTACCTGCAGAGACACACACAGGCTTGAAATAAAGGGATGAAGAAAAATTTACCAAGCAAATGGAAATTTTTTTAAAAAAAAAAGCAGGGGTTGCAATCCTAGTCTCTGACAAAGCAGACTTTAAACCAACAACGATCCAAAAAGACAAAGAAGAGCATTACATAATGGTAAAGGGAACAATTCAACAAGAAGGACTAATTATTCTAAATATATATGCACCCAATGCAGGAGCACCCAGATTCATAAAACAAGTTCTTAGAGACCTAGAAAGAGACTTAGTCTCCCACACAATAATTGTGGGAGACTTTAACAACCCACTGTCAGTATTAGGCAGATTAACGAGACAGAAAATTAACAAGAATATTCAGGACTTGAACTCAGCTCTGGATCAAGTGGACCTAGTAGACAGCTACAGAACTCTCTACCCCAAATCAACAGAACATACATTCTTCTCAGTGCCACATGGCACTTATTCTAAAATTGACCACATAATTGGAAGTAAAACACTCCTCAGCAAATGCAAAAGAACTGAACTCATAACCAACAGTCTCTCAGATCACAGTGCAATCAAATTAGAATTCAGGATTAAGAAACTCACTCAAAACTGCAAAATTACATGGAAATTGAACACCTTGCTCCTGAATGACTACTGGATAAATAACGAAATTAGGATGGAGATTAAGAAGTTCTTTGAAACCAATGAGAGCAAAGAGACAACATAACAGAAACTCTAAGACACAGCTAAAGCAGTGTTAAAAGGGCAATTTATAGAACTAAATGCCCACAGGAGAAAGTGGGAAAGATCTAAAATAAACATGCTAACCTCACAATTAAAAGAGTTTGAGAGGCAAGAGCAAACTAATCCAAAAGCTAGCAGAAGACAAGAAATAACTAACATCACAGAAGAATTGAGGGAGATAGAAACATGAAAAACCCTCCAAAAAATCAATGAATCCAGGAGCTGGTTTTATGAAAAAATTAATAAAATAGATAAACTGCTAGCAAGACTAATATAGAAGAAGAGAGAGAAGAATCAAATAGACACAATAAAAAATGATAAAGGGGATATCACCACTGACCCCACAGAAATACAAACTACTAACAGAGAATATGGTAAACAACTATACACAAATAAACTAGAAAATCTAGAAGAAATGGATAAATTCCTGGATGCATACACCTTACCAAGACTAAACCAGGAAGAAGTTGGATCCCTGAATAGACCAATAACAAGCTCTGAAATTGCGGCAGTAATTAATAGCCTAACAACCAAAAAAGCCCAGGATCAGACAAATTCACAGGTGAATTCTGCCAGATATATGAAGAGGAACTGATGCTATTCCTTCTGGAACTATTCCAAACAATTTAAAGGAAGGAATTTCCTCTAACTCATTTTATGAAGCCAGCATCATCCTGATACCAAAATCAGGAAAAGACACCACAAAAAAAAAGAAAATTTCAGGCCAATATCCCCGATGAACATCAATGTGAAAATTCTCAATAAAATACTGGCAGACTGATTCCAGCAGCACATTAAAAACTTACCCACCATGATCAAGTCAGCTTCATCCCTGGGATGCAAAGCTGGCTCAACATAAGCAAATCAATAAATGTAACCCATCACATGAACAGAGCCAATGACAAAAACAACAGGATTACCTCAATAGATGCAGAAAAGGCCTTCGATAAAATACAACACCCCTTCATGTTAAAAACTCTCAATAAACTGGGTATTGATGGAACATCTCTCAAAATAATAAGAACTATTTATGACAAACCCACAGCCAATATCATATTGAATGGGTAAAAGCTGAAAGCATTTCCTTTGAAAACTGGCACAAGACAAGGATACCTTCTTTCACCACTTCTATTCAACATAGTATTGGATGTTCTGGCCAGGGCAATCAGGCAAGAGAAAGAAATAAAGGGTATTCAAAGAGGAAGAGAGGAAGTGAAATTGTCTCTGTTTGCAGATGACATGATTGTATATTTAGAAAATCCCATTGTCTCAGCTCAAAATCTCCTGAAGCTGAGAAGCAACTTCAACAAAGTCTCAGGATACAAAATCAATGTGTGAAAATCACAAGTATTCCTTTACACCAACAGTAGGCAAGCAGAGAGCCAAATCATGAATGAACTCCCATTTACAATTGCTACAAAGAGAATAAAATACCTAGGAATGCAGCTAACAAGAGATGTGAAGGACCTCTTCAAGGAGCACTACAAACCACTACTGAAGGAAATAAGAGAGAAAACAAACAAATGGAGAAACATTCCATCCCCATGGATAGGAAGAATCAGTATCATGAAAATGGCCATACTGCTCAAAGTAATTTATAGATTCAATGCTATTCCCATCAAACTACCATTGACATTCTTCACAGAATTAGAGAAAACTATTTTAAATTTCATGTGGAATCAAAGAAGACCCCATATAGCCAGGACAATCTTAAGCAAAAAGAACAAAGCTGGAGGCATCATGCTACCTGACTTCAAACTATACTACAAGGCTACAACCAAAACAGCATGGTACTCATACCAAAACAGACATATAGACCAGTGGATCAGAACAGAGACCTCGGAAATAACACCACACATCTACAATCATCTGATCTTCAAGAAGCCTGACAAAAACAATCAATGGGGAAAGGATCTCCTATTCAGTAAATGGTGCTGGGAAAACTGGCTAGCCATATGCAGAAAACTGAAACTTGACCCCTTCCTTACACCTTATACAAAAACTAACTCAAGATGAATTAAAGACTTAAATGTAAAACCCCAAACCATAAAAACCCTAGAAGTAAACCTAGACAATACCATTCAGGACATAGGCACAGGCAATGACGTCATGGCAAAAACACCAAAAGCAATTGCAACAAAAACAAAAATTCACAAATGGGATCTAATTAAACTAAAGAGCTTCTGCATAGCAAAAGAAACTATCATCAGAGTGAACAGGCAACCTACAGAATGGGAGAACACTTTTGCAATCCACCCATTTGACAAAGGTCTAATATCCAGAATTTTCAAGGAACTTAAATATATTTACAAGAAAAAAACAAACAACCCCATCAAACAGTGGAAAAAGGATATGAACAGACACTTCTCAAAAGAAGACATTTATGCAGCCAACAAACATGAAAAAAAGCTCAACATCACTGATCTTCAGAGAAATGCAAATCAAAACCGCAATGAGATACCATCTCACGCCAGTCAGAATGACAACTATTAAAAAGTCAGGAAACAATAGATTCTGGTGAGGCTGTGGAGAAATAGGAACACTTATACACTGTTGGTGGAAGTTAAATTAGTTCAACCAATGTGGAAGACAGTATGGTGATTCCTCAAAGATCTAGAAGCAGCAATATCATTTGACCCAGCAATCCCATTACTGGATATATACCCAAAGGATCCAGAAAATGATTCAGTAAACCTACATCATTCTACTATAAAGACACATGCACACATATGTTTATTGCAGCACTATTTACAATAGCAAAGACATGGAACTAACCCAAATGCCCATCAATGATAGACTGGATAAAGAAAATGTGGTACATATACACCATGGAATACTATGCAGCCATTGAAAGAATGAGATCATGTGCTTTGTGGGGACACGGATGAAGCTGGAAACCACCATCCTCAGCAAGTTAACACAGGAACAGAAAACCAAACACCACATGTTCTCACTCACACAAGTGGGAGTTGAACACTAAGAACACAAGGACACAGAAAGGAGAACAACACACACCAGGGCCTGTTGAAAGGTGGGGATTGAGGGGAGGGAACTTAGAGGATGGATCAATAGGTGCAGCAAACCACCATGGCCCAGGTAGATCTATGTAACAAACCTGTGTGTTCTACACATGTATCCCTTTTTTTTTTTTTTAAAAGAAAATACTTTCTGAACTTGCAACATGTTCTTTTAAATAGCCCCAGTTGAGAGGTGGGTTCGGTCTTTAGAAATAGCTAAAAGAATTTGGAGTCACACTTAGAAAACCCAGAAAAAAAAAAAAAAAAAAAAACACTAGACATGTTCTTACGAGGATAGGTGAGTGAATGTACTCCAGGTTTCAAAGCACTGTATACAAGTCAGTACCTGTCACAATTGATCCCATGTATGAATTTATACACTTATTTCTCCAAATTGACAGTGAAACTCTTCAAGCACAGGAACCTTATTCCCCAGCAACTAGCAAATTTTGGGACATTTGCTAGGCTCCCAAAGTTTCTTGATGTTACTGGAATATCCAAGGGTCAGGAGTTTACAATCATAGACTCCAAACATCTATATGCCTTAAGGTTCTCACAGTTTACCTGGATGCTTAGCTTTCATGTGTGCAGCATATGTGTCTCCCTTCTCAAATTTTCAACATTACTTCATTGAAAAATGTATTAATGCTTACTATATGCCAAATTCTCTGCTAGAAATTATATGTCTTCCTGAACATTTTGTGAGGATATGTAACACTTGTATATGTGACTTTAGTGACACCTGAGCTTTCACTACCAATGAAAGCTTTCAAGAGTAAGCTAGTATTCGCCTTTTATAAACTTTTAAAAGTTTTTTTTTAAAAACAGCTTTAGTGAGACATAATTCTTATGCTATACAATTATGACTTTAACAATTGTAGACTTTAAAAGCCTTCAATTTAAAAGAGTCCTCACTTTAAAAATTTAAAGTCTACAATTCAGTGGTTTTTAGTGTACTCATGGGGTTGAGCAACCATGGCCGCTATCTAATTTCAATCACCCTAAAAGGAAACCTTGTACCCATTATTTGTCATTTCTCAATCCTCCACTTTCCTCAGCCTCTAGCGACCACTAGCCTACTTTCCATCTCATGGATTTGCCATTCTGGACATGTCGTATAAATGGGCTTATATGGTGTGTGATCTTTTGTTGTCTGGCTTCTTTCACTTAGCATATTTTCAAGTTTCATCCATGTTGCAACATGTATCACTACCTCATTCTTTTTTTTTTTTCTTTCTGAGACAGGAGTCTTGCTCTGTTGCCCAGGCTGTGATCTCAGCTCACTGCAAGCTCCGCCTCCCAGGTTCATGCCATTCTCCTGCCTCAGCCTCCTGAGTAGCTGGGACTACAGGTGCCCACCACCATGCCTGGCTAATTTTTTATATTTTTAGTAGAGATGGGGTTTCACCATGTTAGCCAGGATGGTCTCAATCTCCTGACCTCGTGATCCGCCCACCTGGGCCTCCCAAAGTGCTGGGATTACAGGCATGAGCCACCGTGCCCAGCCTACCTCATTCTTTTTTAAGACTGAATAATATTTCATTGTAGGTATACAACACATTTTGTTTACCCATTCATCAGTTGATATACATTTCAATTGTTTTCATGCCTTGGCTATTATGAATAATGCTGCTATGAACTTTCATGTATATGACTTTTTGTGTTGACATATTTTTGCTTCACTTGGGTATATATTTTGGAGTAAAATTTCTGGGTCATATGGTAACTCTATGTTAAAGTTTTTGAGGAACTTCCAAGCTGTTTTCCCCAGAAGATGTACCATTTTACATTTCTGTTAGCAATGCATGAGGATTTAAAAGTTTAAGTTTTAACTCAATGTGTGCTCCAAGAAAAACAAGCCATATATTTTAATTTGGTATTTACACATTAAATCTTATTATCCTGATAACCATCTTGCATTTTCTACAGCAAAGACACAAGATACTTCCTCTTTACTGTGACATTAAGTGAGATGATACTCCATTGACTTCCTATTTCATTCATTCTAGCCAAGGAGAGATGACAGAAGCAATTAAATACTTGAAAAAATTTGTGAAAATTGCAAGAAACAATTTTCAAAGCCTAGATTTGGTGAGAGCAAGTACAATGCTTGGGGACATCTACAATGAAAAAGTGAGTCTATGTGTTTCTTGTTTATAGAGAAATTTGCGGTGTTTAGGGAGAAATTTCCCATTTTAAAAGTATCTTCTCATGTCATCCTTGTCTTCCCACAATATATTATGCAGAATGGCCCTGGACTGCAGGGTGTAGTTAATGTCCATGGCAAGGACTAGTAGGAGAAATGCCTCCTCCTCCTTCTCCTTTTCCAATATCTTAGGGCCATGCGGGGACAGTCCTTATGAGCTGCTAACCCTGATTCATAGATTCACATCCAGTGAGGATTCTAAGTGACACAGGATTTGAGGAGCAATTAAAATATTTAATTCAAAGGAAATTGATTATAACTGTTGGCTATTATCTGCTTCCACTGACATTCATCTCTCTCGCTCCAAATTCTTTATTAATCCAGCTGTGGCACCCTGCTAGTTTCCTTAGAAGAAGAAACGACAATCCTAAAAATAATTCTGCAGAAAATTTAGAGTGGATTTTAGCAACAGATTCATTACATGAAAGAGAAAACAGGAAGAAGAACAAAAAAGTCCAAAATAAAATTATCCAATTCAAGAAGCTGTTATTAGTAGAATGTACTGGTCACAATGGACTTTTGTCGTATTTTCTCCTGATTTTATCTTTTTATTACCGATTCTCCTTTAGAAATAGTGTGAAAGAGCCTTGTTTCTCTAGTTATAATTGCTGTTTTGATCATGAATAAGATCCATCATTTTTAGGGTAATTATGTTCTCAAATTATGTTTATACACTTTCTGTTAATCTCTTTCAGAGTCTGTGTATGTAGTGAATAAAATCACTAATTCCAAAACCACACTGCTTGAGTTAAAAACCCAGCTCTTTCACTTGTAAGATCTGTGACCTTGGGCCAGTTACTTAAATTTCTAGGTGCCTCGGTTTTCTCACCTCATAAAGTTATTGTGCATATTAAGTTAACGTATGTGCTTTACAGCTGGAGAAGTACTATCTTTTTTTTATTTTTTTATTTTTTTATTATTTATTTATTTATTTATTTTTATTATTGTTATACTTTAAGTTTTAGGGTACATGTGCACAATGTGCAGGTTAGTTACATATGTATACGTGTGCCATGCTGGTGTGCTGCACCCATTAACTCGTCATTTAGCATTAGGTAACTCGTCATTTAGCATTAGGTATCTCTCCTAATGCTATCCCTCCCCCATCCCCCACCCCACAACAGTCCCCAGAGTGTGATGTTCCCCTTCCTGTGTCCATGTGTTCTCATTGTTCAATTCCCATCTATGAGTGAGAACATGCGGTGTTTGGTTTTTTGTCCTTGCGATAGTTTACTGAGAATGATGATTTCCAATTTCATCCATGTCCCTACAAAGGACATGAACTCTTCATTTTTTATGGCTGCATAGTATTCCATGGTGTATATGTGCCACATTTTCTTAATCCAGTCTATCATTGTTGGACATTTGGGTTGGTTCCAAGTCTTTGCTATTGTGAATACTGCTGCAATAAACATACGAGTGCATGTGTCTTTACAGCAGCATGATTTATAGTCCTTTGGGTATATACCCAGTAATGAGATATCTGGGTCAAATGGTATTTCTAGTTCTAGATCCCTGGGGAATTGCCACACTGACTTCCACAATGGTTGAACTAGTTTACAGTCCCACCAACAGTGTAAAAGTGTTCCTATTTCTCCACATCTTCTCCAGCACCTGTTGTTTCCTGACTTTTTAATGATCACCATTCTAACTGGTGTGAGATGGTATCTCATTGTGGTTTTGATTTGCATTTGTCTGATGGCCAGTGATGATGAGCATTTTCTCATGTGTATTTTGGCTGCATAAATGTCTTCTTTTGAGAAGTGTCTGTTCATATCCTTTGCCCACTTTTTGATGGGGTTATTTGTTTTTTTCTTGTAAATTTGTTTGAGTTCATTGTAGATTCTGGATATTAGCCCTTTGTCAGATGAGTAGATTGTGAAAATTTTCTCCCATTTTGTAGGTTGCCTGTTCACTCTGATGGTAGTTTCTTTTTCTGTGCAGAAGTTCTTTAGTTTAATTAGATCCCATTTGTCAATTTTGGCTTTTGTTGCCATTGCTTTCGGTGTTTTAGACATGAAGTCCTTGCCCATGCCTATGTCCTGAATGGTAATGCCTAGGTTTTCTTCTAGGGTTTTTATGGTTTTAGGTCTAACGTTTAAGTCTTTAATCCATCTTGAATTAATTTTTGTGTAAGGTGTAAGGAAGGGATCCAGTTTCAGCTTTCTACATATGGCTAGCCAGTTTTCCCAGCATCATGTATTAAATAGGGAATCCTTTCCCCATTGCTTGTTTTTCTCAGTTTTGTCAAAGATCAGATACTTGTAGATACATGGCGTTATTTCTGAGGGCTCTGTTCTGTTCCATTGATCTATATCTCTGTTTTGGTACAAGTACCATGCTGTTTTGGTTACTGTAGCCTTGTAGTATAGTTTGAAGTCAGGTAGCATGATGCCTCCAGCTTTGTTCTTTTGGCTTAGGATTGACTTGGTGATGCGGGCTCTGTTTTGATTCCATATGAACTTTAAAGTAGTTTTTTCCAATTCTGTGAAGAAAGTCATTGGTAGCTTGATGGGGATGGCATTGAATCTATAAATTACCTTGGGCAGTATGGCCATTTTCACAATATTGATTCTTCCTATCCATGAGCATGGAATGTTCTTCCATTTGTTTGTATCCTCTTTTATTTCATTGAGCAGTGGTTTGTAATTCTCCTTGAAGAGGTCCTTCACATCCCTTGTAAGTTGGATTTCTAAGTATTTTATTCTCTTTGAAGCAATTGTGAATGGGAGTTCATTCATGATTTGGCTCTCTGTTTGTCTGTTATTCGTGTATAAGAATGCTTGTGATTTTTGCACATTGATTTTGTACCCTGAGACTTTGCTGAAGTTGCTTATCAGCTTAAGGAGATTTTGGGCTGAGACAATGGGGTTTTCTAGGTATACAATCATGTCGTCTGCAAACAGAGACAATTTGACTTCCTCTTTTCCTAATTGAATACCCTTTATTTCCTTCTCCTGCCTAATTGCCCTGGCCAGAACTTCCAACGCTATGTTGAATAGGAGTGGTGAGAGAGGGCATCCCTGTCTTGAGGTACTATCTTTATAAACTTCTGTTTTTCTCTACACCCTTAGTGGTATCAAACAATTCCCCTTTGCCAGACCCTCAGATAATTCTGGGTGGCAATGGTATTCAAACCCATTCTCCTAACCACTACAGTATTCTGTTGTTTGCCATAAAATTGACTTTATTTCAGAAGGATTTAGGATTTTTTTTAAGGAAATCGAGTTTGAAATTAATTTGAATGAGTGAAACTAATATTTCTTTAGTTCCTGATATAGAGTAAGTGCTTTCAAACAAGGTGTCTCATTTCCTTTTTGTCTTACATCCCCTCTCTTGCTCCCCTGGGCTCATTTGCCTCCCCTCTCTCCTATTACTTGAAATCTAAAAAGTCCCCTTTTCTTCTGGCCCTTCTTCTCCCTGCCTCCCTTACCCATCTTGCTCCCTCCTGTCCTGCATCCTTCCTTCTCGTCCCTCCTCCTTGCTCTCTGACCCCTGGGTCATCCTATCCCTCTCCCCCATCTCCACCACGTTGTTTCCCCTCTTTTTTCGAGTCCTCCCCTGCCTGTTGCTCTAGCTGTGCTCAGGTTTTGCATGTCGTGTGCTTCCTCTGCTACCCTCTGGTTCCCTGCCCATTTCTTTGCCTTTATTGACTCCTCTCTCCTTGATTTTTTATTTGCTTTTGCTTACTTTTTAGGATACAGTGGTGAAAACAGACAAGACCTAAACCCTTGTGAGGCTCACAGTCTAATGAGGGAGCATCTCCTATAGCATAGAAGAAAAGATATAGTATATGAATATATGCAGTATGATATGGTGTATGAATCAACTTGTATATTTGAAGGCATATATATTTGAAGATAGTGCAAATACCCAGAATCCTCCAAATTTTTTGTTAGAATAGGGATGAACTGATGAAATTTAACTTCTGGAAGTTGACACAGCTTTTGGATATTATTTCTTATACCTTAACTTCAGACACTAAACTCTTCTCCAAGAATCAAAAATCGGAGAATTAAATACACATTGCTGAGATATAAACTCTTGGCAAAAACATTAAGAAAATGCAAGTATAAAAATATTGCCCCTCAGAAAAGTTTATTTTCCTTGTGCTTTCTGTTATTAGGAAAATATTGGTTAGCAATGTTCATGTTGTACAGAAGGGCTGGGTTTGGGTGTTGTTTGGAGGTAGGCTAAAAAGTTGTGTTTTTTGCCCTTCTGTTTTGAGGAACAATCCTTTTAAAAGCTCAGATCTCTCCCCTCAATTCCAAATGCATACCCCACCACCTACTTGATGTCTTCACTTAGATATCTTCAACTATAATGTACTAAAAACTGAACTTATTGTTTTTTTCTCTAAATTTTTTCTTCTAACAACTTAAATCTCAACTGCTTTAGAATATTATTTAGGCATTTTCCAGGCAATCTTCTCTTTTTAATCTATGAGCTCCTCTTATCTGCCCCATCCAGGCCCATGGCTTTTAAATACTATCCATATGCCAGTGACTTCCAGATTTGTATCTCCAATCCTGATTTCTCCTGGGACTCCAAACTTTGCAAAGGCAATTGCTTCTTTAGCACCTCCACCCAGATTTCTAACATATTTCAAATGGAACCCACTCCTTTCTACTCTTCTCCACCTTAATAAATAGTAACATTATCCATCCACCCAGTCACTTAAGGCAAAAATCTGAAAATCCTTCAATTCTCCTCTCCCCCGGCTCCATATTCAATCCAAAAGCAAACTCTGACCTTTATGTTACCAAATATATATCTCGAATCCACCCTTTTCCCTCTATCTCTGCAACTGTCACATCAGTTTATGACACTATATTGTCTCATGTAGACACTGCAGTAAGCCCTAAACTCAGCTTCCTGCATGCACTCTCTTCCCTCCCACCCCCGCATAAGCAGAAAGAGGCCAAAGTAATTATTTTAAAATGTAAAATGCGATTTCTCTGCTTAAAATGCTTCCATTACTTCTCATTCTTCTGAGAACATAAACATAAATCCCTACCCTGTCCTAAAATATGAGATAGCCCCACCCCTATCTCTGACCTCATTGCTTCCTACTCCTTTTTATCCACTCCACCATAGCGAATTGACATTCTTGGAGTTCTTTAAGCATGTTAAGCTAGTTCCTGCCTTAGAACATTTGCCTTGGCTGGAATGCTCTACATGAAATGCTCTGAACTTCACATTGCTGGCTTCTTGTCACTCAGATCTCTGTTCAATGCCACCTCTTCAGTGGGGCCTTCCCCTTAGCAACGAAAGAATGGCCATCAAGTCGCCCCCCTCCCCTTTTTTTTTTTTTTTTTTTTTTTTTTGAGATGGAGTCTCGCTCTATTGCCAGGCTGGAGTGCAGTGGCACAATTTCGGCTCGCTGCAACCTCCGCCTCCCGGGTTCAAGTAATTCTCCTGCCTCAGCCTCCTGAGTAGCTGGGACTACAGGCGTGCGCCACCACGCCCAGCTAATTTTTGTATTTTTAGTAGATACAGGGTTTCACCATGTTGGCCATGATGGTCTTGATCTCTTGACCTCATGATCCGCCCACTTCGGCCTCCCAAAGTGCTGGGATTATACGTATGAGCCACCGTGCCCGTCCCCCCACCACCCCCCAACTTTTTTTTAAATAGAAGCAGGGTTTTGTCGTGTTGCTCAGGCTGGTCTTGAACTCCTGGACTCAAAGGATTCTCCTGCTTCAGCCTCCCAGAGTGCTGCGGATTACAGGCATGAGCTGCCCCACCTGGGTCACTCTTTAAAATTACTGTATTTGAATTATCCATGTAGCATTTATCTCATAGTTTTCTTGTTCATGTTATTTTCTTATTATTGTTGTTTAATTTGGCCAAAATGTAAGTTTAATGAGAGCGGAAACTATATCTGCCTCGTTTATTATTCTAGTGTCTAGAAAAAAACCTGGCACAGAATAGGTGATCAAAAACATGTCAGTTCCTTGGACCAATAAATAAATTTGTAACCAGTTTCATACCACTTAAGAGTAGTATTCTCTCACTTGTGAAAGTTCAGACTTCTATTTCATTTTGTCGTTGTTGTTGTTGTTTTGAGACAGAGTTTCACTCTTGTTGCCCAAACTGGAGTGCAGTGGTGTGGTGTCAGCTCACTGCAACCTCTGCCTCCCGGGTTCACGTGATTCTCCTGCCTCAGCCTCCCAAGTAGCTGGGATTACAGGCACATGCCACCCCACCCAGCTAATTTTTGTATTTTTCATAGAGACGGGGTTTCACCATGTTGGCCAGGTTCGTCTCGAACTCCTGCCCTCAAGTGATCCTCCCTCCTCGGCCTCCCAAAGTGCTGGCTACCTACAGGCATGAACCACCATGCCCAGCCTCTATTTCATTTTTGTATAATATTTTAGCATTTTGAAAACTTGTCCTGAAACTTTAAAAGCAAACCCAATATTTTCTGGCTTCATATTACTCCTGCAAGGTATTGTAATTGTATTCTTAACAATTTTCAAGAAATAAAAATATTATAAGACCAAAATTATAATAATTGGAAAAATATTGGAGTTACCTTTTCTGTAATTATTATAGTAATTATAATTAGAATTAGCACATCTTAAAAATATCCTGTATCCTAGTTATTTACCTTTTACTATGTAATCATAGAAAATGGACCACTCATCCTACCCTCCGGGTCTTTTGATGGACTGTTAATTGAAAATATATAACTAGTGTAAAGTGGTCAAATGAGAATGTTTCAGAGGAAATAACTAGGTTTATAAGATTTCTCATTCCTTAATAAAATCATAGACTAATGACATAGTTAAAAAGAATGGTGGTTCCAACGCTAAAATTATAGGGAAAATGGGTAGGAAATGATTTATCCTTAGTACTGAGAAAATGCTCATTTATTTTGAGCTTGCTCATTGAATAGAGTGACATTTTAGACACTAAAAATCAAAATAATGCATGAAAATTCTATGTTATAATGTAATAATTCGAGCGTTGTTCCAAGGTCTATGATGTCATCAAGATCCTGTCCTGGAATTGTCCACTGAATGCTTATCAGGAATATTAATAACATTAAACGAAGTTGTTCTCTTCCCGTAAGATTCATTTAGGATGCATATTGTCAAACTCATATTTGAGATTACCAAGACTAATTACTAGAATCTTCTGAATTTTATAATAGAATAGGGATTATCTGATAACAGAAATAAACTGTAGAAAGTTGTATTTAACCTTTGGAGAAGAGATTTAGACAGTAAACTCTAAGAATTAAACATCCACAAGTACAATATACATTAGCAAAATCTCATTCTAAAATGGTACGTATACAAATGTTTGCATCTTAAAATAATTAATTTTTTATTTCTTTAGTAGTGTTTTAAAATAGAGAAACTAGAAAAACTGGTAGGTTTATATCTATTTAATGTCAGTTGTGTGCATCTACAGATGGAATACTAAGTACAATTTGAGGGAATAATAATTAGCTAATTATAAAGCTCCCATTTTAAGAGTAAAAAGGCACTTATAAATAAGATCTAATCAAAATTTTAGGCATATCACTACTTACACTTAACAGTAACCTCAAAAACTTGAGTGGAAACTCCATTTACTGCTCCTTCTGCATGGCCTGGCATTTGGCCTGGCTCAGCGTGGTTGCCAAATGAATGAATGAGTTAATTTTAACTTAATAACATATAAAAATAACTGGAAATTCATATCTATGTCCACTTATTTGTGGTCTCTAATTTTCCTAATTAAGACTCTCACCTAAAACAATAAATAATTGAAATCTCAGAAATATAATTAGAATATCAATTAGATATTTATACTTTTGTTTCTAAAAAAATGGTTATGTTTGGCCTAATTATATATTTTCATATATTTTGTCCTATGTCTTTTATATCTACCAGGAAAATCTATAATTTTAGTGACATTTATTTTCATCATCTTCAATATTTGTAATATTTGTATGTTTCTCAATTATAGTTTACTTCATTGGCATACAAATATCTTTGATACAGTTTTATTTTTTCTAATTAACTTTTTTTCTTATATAAATTTTATGTTTTATGCCTTGAAGAAAGAGAAAGAATTGTTCACCTCAGCAAACAAAAGTTATTTTTGATGTAATATGGAGAGACTCTGTTTCAATTAACAAAGTTGGTTGAAATGAATCATTTGAATAAACAGTTCTCCTAAACTGTCTGTGTGGGCATATAAGATAGTGTTATATGTGCTCTTCCTGTTTCTAACAAAATGATCACAGAAGTTCTATTTCTCCTCCTCCTCACCTTGCCAGAAATTTCTTTATTCAGTCAGTTTGACCGATCTTGGAGCTTCATGATTATACAGAGGTATGCAGAGTTGAAGATGTGTTTTACCTCTACTTGCTGTAATGGTATAAAGCTGTTCCTGTGTTGTTTTTATGTTCATTTCCTTCATAAAATATTAGAAACTGACAACAACTCATACGGCAAAACTTTCTCCCATGTAAGGGTTTCTGTTCAAAAGAGTGCACATGCATGTTTTTGGTTTTTGTGTGTTTGGTGGGGTGAGGAGGAGAGAGATGAGTGGAAGGGAGGAGATGGTGGAGCCTAAAGGGTTAGAAGTCAGTGAAGAAAGGAAATTTTGTCTCCTAGAGCCTTTACAAATGTAGATCAATCCTAGATAATATCCTCCTCTTAGAAAGAGATTTTCATGAGGATTTTTAGAAGATTTGGGGGTGGCAGAAGATGCTCTTTTCTCTGAGGCTCAATATGATTATCTGTAAAATAAGAATAATATTTTCCTCATAGGGTGACATGTGAAAGTTAATGACATAATATATACGAAGTATTTAGCATTGGCCCCCATGCTTCATAAGAGCCATGTAAACAGTATTTATTTGTGGAGGATAGCTTTTAATAGAGGTGACACTGACTAACAAACAACAACAACAACAAAACCCTGAATTTTTGCAGCTCGAGCTGTTGCAAAGGACTTCTTGAAGAGATATTTAAATGATCATTTGATTGGTGCTAGTGACATCACGATCATATTTTTCAGAAATTTTGGATACTTCAATATTCTCAGTTAAGAAGAATGGCATATGAACATGGGAAAATAAGAGCAGTAAACGAATTAGAGGATAGATACATTTATTTTCACCATCCATTAACTAAATGACTTGGCTGAAATGACCTTTTGCTGTGACTGAAAACAAAACATAGTAATCCCAGCACTTTGGGAAGCGGAGGCGGGTGGATCACTTGAGGTCAGGAGTTTGAAACCAGCCTGACCAACATGATAAAACCCTGTCTCTACCAAACATATAAAAAATTAACTGAGCGTGGTGGCATATGCCTGTAATCCCAGCTACTCGGGAGGCTGAGGCAGGAGAATCGCTTGAACCTGGGAGACAGAGGTTGCGTGAGCTGAAATCATGCCACTGCACTCCAACCTGGGCAACAGAGTGAGAGTCCACCTCAAAAAAAAAAAAAAAAAAAAAGAAGGTATGTAAAAAATATTTCATTAGCTAAATCCAACTCTACGAATAGTAAAATTCCATCCAAATCAATGTGAATTGGTTCACTCATTCCCAAATTTCTTTTTACTACCATGTATTAGGTTGAACCATATGAAACTGCCAATATTTGACCACCTTTTATTGATAAGAACATAAGACTTTTTTTATATATACTTTAAGTTCTGGGATAAATGTGCAGAACATACAGGTTTGTTACATAGGTATACACGTGCCATGGTGGTTTGCTGCACCCATCAACCTGTCATCTATATTAGGTATTTCTTCTAATGCTATCCCTCCCCTAGTCCCCCAGTCCCCAACAGGTATGTGATGTTCCCTTCCCTGTGTCCATGTCTTCTCGCTGTTCAACTCCCACTTATGAGTGAGAACATGCGGTGTTTGTTTTTTCTGTTCCTGTGTTTGCTGAGAATGATAGTGTCTAGCTTCATCCATGTCCATAAAAAGGACATGAACTCATCCTTTTTTATAGCTGCATAGTATTCCATGGTGTATATGTCCCACATTTTCTTTATCCAGTCTATCATTGATGGGCATTTAGGTTGGTTCCAAGTCTTTGCTATTGTGAACAGTGCTGCAATAAACATATGTGTCCATGTGTCTTTATGGTAGAATGATTTATAATCCTTGGGGAATATACCCAGTAATGGGATTGCTGGGTCAAATGGTATTTCTGGTTCTAGATTCTTGAGAAATTGCCACCCTGTCTTCTGCAATGGTTGGACTAATTTACACGCCCACCAACGGATAAAAACGTTTCTATTTCTCCACATTCTCTCCGGCATCTGTTGTTTCCTGAGTTTTTAATGATCACCATTCTAACTGGCATGAGATGGTATCTCATTGTGGTTTTGATTTGCATTTCTCTAATGGCCAGTAATGATGAGCTTTTTTTTCATATGTTTGGTGGCCGCATAAATGTCTTCTTATAAGAAGTGTCTGTTCATATCCTTTGCCCACTTTTTGATGGAGTTGTTTGTTTTTTTTCTTGTAAATTTGTTGAAGTTCTTTGTAGATTCTGGATTTTAGCCCTTTGTCGATTCTGGATTTTAGCCCTTTGTCAGTTGGCTAGATTGCAAAAATTTTCTCCCATTCTGTAGGTTGTCTGTTCACTCTGATGATAGTTTATTTTACTGTGCAGAAGCTCTTTAGTTTAATTAGATCCCATTTGTCAATTTTGGCTTTTGTTGCCATTGCTTTTGGTGCTTTAGTCATGAAGTCTTTGCCCATGCCTATGTCCTGAATGGTATTGCCTAGGTTTTCTTCTGGGGTTTTTATGGTTTTAGGTCTTACGTTTAAGTTTTTAATCCATCTTGAGTTAATTTTTGTATAAGGTGTAAGGAAGGGACCCAGTTTCAGTTTTTTGCATATGGCTAGCCAGTTTTCCCAGCACCATTTATTAAATAGGGAATCCTTTCCCCATTGCTTGTTTTTGTCAGGTTTGTCAAAGATCAGTTGGTTGTAGATGTGTGGCATTATTTCTGAAGACTCTGTTCTTTTCCATTGATCTATATCTCTGTTTTGGTACCAGTACCATGCTGTTTTGGTTACTGTAGCCTTGTAGTATAGTTTGAAGTCAGGTAGCATGATGCCTCCAGCTTTGTTCTTTTTGCTTAGGATTGTCTTGGCTATACAGGCTCTTTTTTTAGTTCCATATGAAATTTAAAGTAATTTTTTCTAAATCTGTGAAGAAAGTCAATGGTAGCTTCATGGGGATAGCATTGGATCTGTAAATTACTTTGGGCAGTATGGCTATTTTCACGATACTGATTCTTCCTATCCATGAGCATGGAATGTTTTTCCATTTGTTTGTGTTCTCTCTTATTTCCTTGAGCAGTGGTTTGCAGTTCTCCTTGAAGAGGTCCTTCACATCCCTGTAAGTTGTATTTCTAGGTATTTTATTCTCTTTGTAGCAATTGTGAATGGGAGTTCACTCATGATTTGGCTCTCTGTCTGTTATTGGTGTATAGGAATGCTTGTGAGTTTTGCACATTGATTTTGTATCCTGAGACTTTGCTGAAGTTGCTTCTCAGCTTAAGGAGATTTTGGGCTGAGATGATGGGGTTTTCTAAATATATAATCATGTCATCTGCAAACAGAGACAATTTGACTTCCTCTCTTCCTATTCAAATACTCTTTATTTATTCCTCTTGCCTGATTGCCCTGGCCAGAACTTCCAATACTATGTTGAATAGGAGTGGTGAGAGAGGACATCCTTCTCTTGTGCCGGTTTTCAAAGGGAATGCTTCCAGCTTGTGCCCATTAAGTATGATATTGGCTGTGGGTTTGTCATAAATAGCTCTTATTATTTTGAGGTACATTCCATCAATATCTAGTTTATCAAGAGTTTTTAGCATGAAGGCATGTTTAATTTTATCGAAGGCCTTTTCTGCATCTATTGTGATAATCATGTGGTTTTTGTCATTGGTTCTGTTTATGTGAGAGATTACGTTTATTGATTTGCGTATGTTGAACCAGCTTTGCATCCCAGGAATGAAGCCAATTTGGTCATGATGAATAAGCTTTTTAATGTGATGCTGGATTTGGTTTGCCCGTATTTTATTGAGGATTTTTGCATCAATGTTCATCAGGGATATTGGCCTGAAATTTTCTTTTTTTGTTGTGTCTCTACCAGGTTTTGTTATCAGGATGATGCCGGCCTCATAAGATGAATTAGGGAGAAGTCCCTCTTTTTCTGTTGTTTGGAATAGTTTCAGAAGGAATGGTACCAGCTCCTCTTTGTACCTCTGATAGAATTTGGCTGTGGATCTGTCTGGTCCTGGGCTTTTTTTGGTTGGTGGGCTATTAATTACTGCCTCAATTTCAGAACTTGTTATTGGTCTATTCAGGGATTTGACTTCTTCCTGGTATAGTCTTGGGAGGGTATATGTGTCCAGGAATTTATCCATTTCTTCTATATTTTCTAGTTATTTGCATAGAGGTATTTATAGTATTCTCTGATGGTAGTTTGTATTTCTGTGAGATCAGTAGTGATATCCCCTTTATCATTTTTTGTTGCATCTATTTGATTCTTCTCTCTTTTCTTCTTGATTATTCTGGCTAGCATTCTATCTGTTTTGTTAATCTTTTCAAAAAACCAGCTCCTGGATTCATTGATTTTTTGAAGGGTTTTTTGTGTCTCTGTCTCCTTCAGTTCTTCTCTGATCTTATTTATTTCTTGCCTTCTGCTAGCTTTTGAATTTATTTGCTCTTGCTTCTCTAGTTCTTTTAATTGTGATGTTAGGGTGTCGATTTTAGATCTTTCCTGCTTTTTCAATGTGGGCATTTAGTGCTATAAATTTCTCTCTACACACTGCTTTAGCTGTGTCCCAGAGATTCTGATACATTGTGTCTTTGTTCTCATTGGTTTCAAAGAACTTATTTATTTCTGCCTTAATTTTGTTATTTACCCAGTAGTCACTCAAGAGCATGTTGTTCAGTTTCCATGTAGTTGTGCAGTTTTGAGTGAGTTTCTTAATCCTGAGTTCTAATTTGATTGCACTGTGGTCTGAGACACTGTTTGTTATGATTTCTATTCTTTTGTATTTTCTAGGGAGTGTTTTACTTCCAATTATGTGGTCAATTTTAGAATAAGTGCGATGTGGTGCTGAGAAGAATGTATATTCTGTTGATTTGGGGTGGAGAGTCCTGTAGATGTCTATTAGGTCTGCTTGGTCCACAGCTGAGTTCAAGTCCTGAATATCTTTGTTAATTTTCTGTCTCGTTGATCCGTCTAATATTGACAGTGGGGTGTTAAATTCTCCCACTATTATTATGTGGGAGTCTAAGTCTCTTTGTAGGTCTCTAAGAACTTGCCTTATTCATCTGGGTGCTCCTGTATGGGGTGCATATGTATTTAGGCTAGTTAGCTCTTCTTGCTTCATTGATCCCTTTACCATTATGTAGTGCCCTTCTTTGTCTTTTTTTTTTTATCTTTGTTGGTTTAAAGTCTGTTTTATCAGAGACTAGGATTGCAACCTCTGCTTTTATTTTGCTTTTCATTTACCTGGTAAATATTCCTTCATCCCTTTATTTTAAGTCTATATGTGCCTTTGCACATGAGATGGGTCTCCTGAATAAAGCACACCGATGGGTCTTCAGTCTTTATCAAATTTGCCAGTCTGTGTTTATTAATTGGGGCATTTAGCCCATTTACATTTAAGGTTAATATTGTCATGTGTGAATTTGATCCTGTCATTACGATGCTAGCTGGTTATTTTGCCCATCAGTTGATGCAGTTTCTTCATAGTGTTGATGGTCTTTACAATTCGGTGTTTTTGCAGTAGCTAGTACTGGTTTTTCCTTTCCATATTTAGTGTTTCCTTCAGGAGCTCTTGTAGGGCAGGCCTGTTGGTGACAAAATCTCTCAGCATTTGCTTGTCTGTAAAGGATTTCATTTCTCCTTAGCTTATGAAGCTTAGTTTGGCTGGATATGAAATTCTGAGTTGAAAATTCTTTTCCTTAAGAGTGTTGAATATTGGCCCCCACTCTCTTCTGGCTTGTAGGGTTTCTCCAGAGAGATCCGCTGTTAGTCTGATGGGCTTCCCTTTGTGGGTAACCCGACCTTTCTCTCTGGCTGCCCTTAACATTGTTTCCTTCATTTTAACCTCGGTGAATCTGACGATAATGTGTCTCAGAGTTGCTCTTCTCGAAGAGTTTTGTGGTGTTCTCTGTATTTCCTGAATTTGAATGTTGGCCTGTCTTGCTAGGTTGGGGAGGTGCTCCCATATAGTATCCTGAAGGGTGTTTTCTAACTTGGATCCATTCTGCCCATCACTTTCAGGTACACCAATCAAATGTAGATTTGGTCCTTTCACATAGTCCCATATTTCTTGGAGGCTTTATTTATTCCTTTTCTTCTTTTTTCTCTAATCTTGTCTTCACACTTTATTTCATTAAGTTGATCTTCAATCCCTGATATCCTTTCTTCTGCTTGATCGATTCAGCTATTGATACTTTTGTATGCTTCACGAAGTTCTTGTGCTGTGTTTTTCAGTTCCATCAGGTAATTTATGTTCTTTTCTAAACTGGTTATTTTAGATAGGAATTCATCTAACCTTTTGTCAAGGTTCTTAGCTTCCTTGAATTGGGTTAGAACATGGTCCTCTAGCTCGGAGGGATTTTTTATTACCCACCTTCTGAAACCTACTTCTGTCAGTTTGTCAACCTCATTTTCCATCCAGTTTTGTTCCCTTTTTGGTGAGGAGTTATGATCCTTTGGAAGAGAAGAGGTGTTCTGGTTTTTGGAATTTTCAGCCTTTTTGTGTGGTTTTTTCCTCATCTTTGTGGATTTATCTACCTTTGGTCTTTGATGTTGGTAATCTTCGGATGGCATTTCTGGGTGCACATCCTTTTTGTTGATGTTGATGCTATTCCTTTATGTTTGTTAGTTTTCCTTCTAACAGTCAGGCCCCTCTCCTGCAGGGCTGCTGGAGTTTGCTGGAGGTGCACTCCAGACCCTGTTTGCCTGGGTATCACCAGCGGGGCTGCAGAACAGCAAAGATTGCTGCCTGTTCCTTCCTCTGGAAGCTTCGTCCCAGAGGGGCACCCTCCAGATGCCAGCTAGAGCTCTCCTGTATGAGGTGTCTGTCGACCCCTGCTGGGAGATGTCTCTCAGTCAGGAGGCATGGGGGTCAGGGACCCACTTGAGGAGGCAGTCTGTCCCTTAGCAGAGCTTGAGCACTGTGCTGGCAGATCCACTGCTCTCTTCAGGGCCGGCAGGCAGGAAAATTTAAGTCTGCTGAAGCTGCGCCCACAGCCTCCCTTCCCCGAGGTGCTGTGTCCCAGGGAGATGGGAGTTTTATCTATAAGCCCCTGACTGGGGCTGCTGCCTTTCTTTCAGAGATGCCCTGCCCAGAGAGGCGTAATCTAGAGAGGCGGTCTGGCTACAGGGTCTTTGGGGAGCTGTGGTGTGCTCCACCCAGTTGGAACTTCCCAGAGGCTTTCTTTACACTGTGAGGGGAAAACTGCCTACTCAAGCCTCCATAATGGTGGGCCCCCCTCCCCCCACCAACTTCGAGCATCCCAGGTTGACTTCAGACTGCTATGCTGGCAGTGAGAATTTCAAACCAGTGGATCTTAGTTTGCTTGGCTCCCTGCAGGTGGGATTCGCTGAGCTAGATCACTTGGCTCCCTGGCTTCAGCCTCCTTTCCAGGGGAGTGAATGGTTCTGTCTTGCTTGCATTCCAGGCAACACTGGAGTGTGAAAAAAAAACTCCTGCAGCTAGCTCAGTGTCTACCCAAACAGCCGCCCTGTTTTGTGCTCAAAACCCATAGGCACCAGAGGGAATCTCCTGGTCTGTGGGTTGCGAAGACCATGGGAAAAGCATAATACCTGGGCCACAGAGCACCATTCCTCACAGCACAGTCCCTCACAGCTTCCCTTGGCTAGATGAGGGAATTCCTCAACCCCTTGCACTTCCCAGGTGAAGCAATGCCCCACCCTGCTTCAGCTTGCCCTCCATGGGCTGCACCCACTGTCTAACACTTCCCAAAGAGATGAGCCGGTTACCTCAGTTGGAAATGCAGAAATCACCTGCCTTCTGTGTTGAGCTCACTGGATGCTGCAGACCAGAGCTGTTCCTATTCAGTCATCTTGCCAGACATTGCAGAACTTAAGTCTTATATAGCTTAGTCTAATAGATACAACTTTCCTACTAAGTTAATTTCAAGATATTGAATGGTGAGTAATCACAGGTCTTTAAAAGAAACTTATCCTAATAGCCTGCTTGCCATCTGTTTCTTCTTGAAGATGAACTGCTGTAACTGTCGAAAGGTCAGTGTGGGACATGCCAGGGTAAGGTCAGAAAATATGTGAAATGGTGACATTAAAAGTAAGAAAGAAAATTATTTCTCTTACCTTTTTAGGGATACTACAACAAAGCTTCTGAATGCTTTCAGCAAGCTTTTGACACAACAGTAGAGCTAATGAGCATGCCTCTGATGGATGAGACAAAAGTTCACTATGGAATAGCAAAAGCTCATCAGATGATGCTTACAGTGAACAACTATATAGAGTCTGCAGATCTCACCAGCCTCAACTACCTGCTGTCATGGAAGGAGAGCAGAGGTAACATTGAACCTGATCCAGTTACTGGTAAGGCATTGGTTTTTAGAACACTTTAGTTTTCATATCATTCTCAATGATTAATTTACTTTCATTGGAAAGTTTCACTCAAATGTCGGTGATTTTAATTTGATTGGTAATTTCAATTTTATGGATCCATTACTACATGAAGGTTGGATATACTTTTGTGCTAAATTATACCTTTGATGTTTAAGAGAAGCATAAAATAGTGGTAATAATGTGGTGTACCTGATAAATCACCATTCTCATGCTGTTTTTTTTTTCACCAGTTATCTTAGTCAACAATAGGTACTGATGAGGCATAAGGAATGTGAAATAAGCTTATGCTTTTTTAGCATGCGCCATGTTATACCTTACTGAAAAGAGTGACTGTAGATGAATGCTAATTTGTTTTATGCGCTTACTTTACTGATAAGTATTTTTATCAGTTTGAGTTGGAATATTAATTTAGAAAATAGTTGGTAGTAATCTTTCTCAATTCTACTTTTTTGCCACATGCTTTTTCTTATTCAATAGAATTGAAGAATTCTATTCAAAATAGTAAATTAAAACCAAACAACTAGAAGGGATGCAGGGGTCAGTATTATGTGCCAACTAGGTTTGGCTCTAGTTCCCAGTTAAGAACTTTAGAATGGGATATTTTAAAAACCAAAACAATATAAAATAAAAAACAATACTGCCTATGACAGCCTTTAGAGTTCTTTTATTTGTGTGCAAATCAAACTTTTTAAAGTAAAATATTTTGGCATAACTCAAATGGAATCATAAGGCAAACCTTTTGTAATGTGAAGTATCTTCTATTTGATTTGAACTCTTTGTTTTCCCCTGTGGTCATTTAGATGAAACAACAATCTATTTTGATATTTATTTATTTCCTCCATAGAATAAATTGTAAATAATAGCAAATTAAGCACAAATAAGTTTTGTTGACTTTTTTAGGTCAGTAGAATACTACTTAACTACCCACCGTCCTCTAGTTATAAAAAAGAGGAAAGATCTTCTTCCAAATACATCCATAGTAAGAGAAAACAAGATGAAGTCTTCAAAAAATTGGCAGCTTCTTGAATTTCAGTGTGTTCAAACACCCCCAAAATATTTACAGTCCATTATTAACTGACTGCTTTCAGGTCATATTGTGCTTACTTCAGCATGCTGTCTTGTCATCACGTATTTGAGAGGTCTGTAGTTTTGAGTTATGTATCCTTCAGGTTCGCATATTTTCTGCCCAGAATGGCAGAAAACAATGCAGAGGAAACATGACCTATATTAGATTACTTATTCTGATGAAGGTTTAGTAGAAGATGAGTAAAGCTTCTCACATTTTCAGATTTATTTTGGATAAACTCCAATCATCACAATGGTAATTATGAAAAAAAAAATACTCCTGAAAACAGTATCTTCTGATCAGATCTATGTCTATTCGAGGCCATCCTGATTTTCGCTTTAAAAAAGTCTCTTTTTTTTTTTTTTTTTTTTTTTTTTTTTTTGAGACAGAGTCTCGCTCTGTTGTCCAGGCTGGAGTGCAGTGGCATGATCTCGGCTCACTGCAAGCTCTGCCTCCCGGGTTCACACCATTCTCCTGCTTCAGCCTCCTGAGGAGCTGGGACCACAGGCACCCAACCATGACGCCCGGCTAATTTTTTTTGTATTTTTAGTAGAGATGGGGTTTCACAGTCTTAGCCAGGATGGTCTTGATCTCCTGATCGCATGATCTACCCATCTTGGCCTCCCAAACTGCTGGGATTACAGGCGTGAGCCACTGCACCTTGCTCTTTTGTTTTTCTTTATTCTGTAAAACTATTTATTTTTCTATACTTTTTATGTTTTATTTCCATGTTTTTGTAAGGTCATTTTTTTTTCCAACAGGACTTAGGAGCAGAACAAAAGCATATCAAAATATTATTCAGATATTAAAAACAGCTATTTGTATGGTAGAGGGGGGCAGATTAAGTTGTTCAGAATGCTATAAAATAAAACACTCCTTTGCTGATTTATTTCACCTACATTAGAAATATATGCATGGATGAGCCACAATATTATAAAACTGAAAAATAATAACCTTTTGGGTCCAAGTACAAGTGAGAAATTAATTCTCATACTACTGGCATGGTTTAACATTTTCAGGGGTAGCCCTTCTATTTGGAAAATAAAATCTGTAGGATATTATCAAACAGGTTTGTTTACATAAACATATTTTTTAGTTCAAAAGACGTGAAATTCTGCTTTAAAATGCTTCAAAAATACTTCTTGAACCACAACTCTTAACACCATCTCTGCTCTGCTTAAAAAATCTTCCTCGGCTCCCCACTGCCTGTTCATTAAATACAAGCTTCTCAATCTTTTCTGACCACTTCCCTCCCCTGTCCTCTGCCACTCCCCCTGCCCTCAGCATACCACATGGTTTATTATCACCTACTTTCAGTTCTAGCCCCATCCAGGAAAATCTTGCCCGTTTTGCTAGGTCATTCTCAAATGCTGAAACCCTCCATGATGCCCTCTTATTTAAATGTGGTCTCTTCTCTGTCCCACATTGAATGTCATTCATTTCTCTCCACTCGCTTTTCATTTGGCATATTCTGCATCCTACCACGGCCATTTCTGTAATCGCCTTAACTGCCTGATTAAGGGTAAAAGTCTCTTGAAAACAGGCCCTTGTTCTTGGTATTCCCTACAAAAGAAGACACGATGTTTGGCATCTACTAGGTACCAAGTAAATATTTGTTGAATCAAATAGAATTCAAAATGAGTATGTATGCCCTAATCATAAACTAGTTTGCATTAACGACTTTTTAAACAAAATGTGTAGTATCCCCCCTTCTTGGAAAACCTGTGATCCAACACTGTATTTTGATTACCATCCAATTATCACATGAATGAAGGATGACACTCACCCAACATGATGTCAACAAAATGAAAAAATACAAAAATATTATTTGGAAATCTGAGCAGCTTTTAAGTTTTCAACTTTTGCCTTTCTTCTAAGAAAAGGCATCTTTAATCTTGCCATTGAAGAGTCCCATGTATTCAGAAAAAAAACAGATCAAAGATCTGAAAGATACATTTTAAAAGCTGTGCAGTTATCTTCACCTCTGAGACTTCCATCCTCCAAACAAATCATTAGCTCAGAGAGCAGGCAATATTCTTTTAAGCAGAGGAACATGACCCCCTAAGGGAATAGAGCAGTGAGAGCATTCAGGTCTCTAGATGAAATAGAACAGTGACTCACCAGCAATCATCTCTCATCTTTATACCTTTCAGAGGGAACACAGCAAATGTAGGCACCTTCATTCTATTCTAAGACTCTTAGATATGGTTAGACCTGAGTGCTTATTCTTTCTTTCCAATATTAAAATAAGAATAGATTATCCTCCCAAACTTAGGGATTTAGAAGAAATTCAAATTGATTGCAGTTCAATAAAATTGTTCATCCTAAATCAACTGAAATTGTTTGGCTCCAGAAGGCTTAAGAGCCCATGAATTTCTGCTGATTTCTCCAGAATATAGTTTACTTTCCTTACTAGAGCTATTATCTCTACAATCAAGAAGAATTTTTTTAAATGAAAGGCTCATTCATCTGGCCTTTTGGAGATCTCAGACCCACATGTGGAACAGCAACACAGAAGCAAAAGCTTTCCATATTCAACTTAATAGCAGTGTCAACCTAGAAATGTAATTATAGCCATTTAAATACCAATATTGTTAACCACTTCACTGATAATAATTATATCAGTAACATGGTTTTCATGTACTTTCTTATTGTAGCCAAATGTAAATGACATCAGAGAAATAAGATGCAAATCCTGACTATAGAAATATAGTAGATTAAACTGCTGGCAGTCAGTACTTAAAGACACTGTTTTCTACAAAATGGCATGTAAAGGTTTCCTTGACTGGCAACGATATCATCGTAGTTTTATGCATCATTTAGTATTCTTAAAAGAGAATGATCAAAACCATGACTTTGTCTCACAGCCCTTGGTTTATGTTGGCTTAATGTGGGTCCCTGGGCTTAATATTGAGTCATGTTTTTGTAACCTGTTCCTTGCTTGTATTTTTCATTCATGAACTCAACCCTTTAAAAAAAATGAAAAAAAATCACACTCACTAGTGATCCTCAGCTTTTATTACAATCAGCTACTTCTGTTGGTTATTAACTTTAATAATGAGGAGGAGGTCATGGAATTAGCCAAAAAGTCAGCAAGCAAGTAGGTTTCATCCATCTTATAATCACAGAGGAACTCTCTGTCTTTAATAATGTTTTCATAACCAACACAAAGAAAAAGAAGAATCTGGTGAAAAATATGACTGAATCAAAGCTCACCTACTGGCAGCTTGGTGTCATTCAGAGAGGCTACTAGTCAAGAGTCCAGTGATCTGAGCTCTAACATCATATTGAGCACTAATTAGCTTTGTGACTTTCAGCAAAAGATTTCATTTTGTGTCCTTAACCTGTTACCTGAGGTTCAAAATATATGTCGACAAGATTCCTCTGGAACTGACCATGATTTCTCAGTAAGAGCATCTTTCTCACTAAATATGGTATTTTGTAGTCTTTTTTTTTTTTTTTTTTTTTTTTTTTGAGACGGAGTCTGGCTCTGTCACCCAGGCTAGAGTGCAGCGGTGCAATCTCGGCTCATTACAAGCTCCGTCTCCCAGGTTCATGCCATTCTCCTGCCTCAGCCTCCCGAGTAGCTGGGACTACAGGTGCCCGCCCCAATACCTGGCTAATTTTTTCTATTTTTAGTAGAGACG
Source organism: Homo sapiens (assembly GCF_000001405.40). NCBI lineage: Eukaryota > Metazoa > Chordata > Mammalia > Primates > Hominidae > Homo > Homo sapiens. Next base: position 146,798,713 of record NC_000004.12, on the reverse strand, counting down.
GGGTTTCACTGTGTTACCCAGGATGGTCTCAATCTGACCTCGTGATCCACCTGCCTCGGCCTCCCAAAGTGCTGGGATTACAGGCATGAGCCACCATGCCTAGCCCGGCCAGTATTTTGTAGTCTTTAAGAGTACAATCTAGATGTTCATGAGCATTTTATTTGTTGTTTTTCTCCCCACAAACATCGGCTTCTGTGAGTTTCCACAAAAGGAAACTTATTATTATCATTATTTTTATTATATATTAAACAACTATAGGAAGACCAAGTGTATTTGATCCTTCTGCTAGAATTTATAATAAAAGTTTTACTTTTCCCTGGTTGGCACTCTTGAGGCTGCTAATCTTAGTGAACTATTTTATCTGAAGACTTTAATTCATCCTCCTGTATCCAATCCTGTGTCTTACTTCCCCTTAGCATTTCCTCAACCCTACCCTATCCCCCGCTGTTCCTGGGGCTCCTGATTTCTGAATATTCCTGCTTTTCTCCTCATGATTATTCCTCTTCATATACTTTACTTTGTGGCTACCTCTTCCCTCCTAAATCTGATGCCACTCCTATATCCTATAGTCCATATGTTCAAGTAGGTAGTAGGAACTTAAAGAGTCATGGAATAAAATGTCCAAGATGAAAAATAAATTGAATGGGATTAGCAGCAGATTACACAATGCAAAGGAAAAGGTTAGTGAACTTGAAGACATAGCAATAGAAACTATTCACAATGAAATACTGTGAAAAAATACTGAAAAAAAAATTGAACAGAGAATGTCAGAGAACTGTGGGTCAACTTCAAGAAGCCTAATATATGATTGAATTGGAGGCCCCAAAGGAGAGGGAAAAGAAGAGAGAACGAATATATATATATATATATATATATATATAAAACAAAGTAATCAGTGGCCAGTTGTTTTACAAATTTGATTTAAGAAAAACCACAAACTGGAATTTAAGAAGCCCAGTAAACTGTAAGCAAAAGAAACATGAAGAAACTAAATGGAGGCATACCATAGTCAGTGCTTGAAATCAGTGATAAAAAGAAATATGTTAAAGCAGCCAGGGTGAGGTGGGAGAGGAAGGACACTACATACAGAGACAGGACAAACAAAAAAAACCAGAAAGATCTTTGTAAAAAATACAGTTCAGAAGAAGATATTTAAAGTACTGAAATAAAAAAAAATAAGCATCAAACCTAGAATTGTATACTCAGTGAAAATATCTTTCAAAACCATAGGCAAAATAAAGCTTTTGCCAACCATATAAAAGCTGAGAGAATTAATCACTAAACATCAGTACAAGAAATGTTACAGTCCTACACACTGAAGGAAAAGGGATTCATTTTGAAATCTGCATCTGTGCAAAGAAATGAAGAACATGAAAATTAGAAATATGTCAGTAAAAATAATTTTTCTTTTTAAATTTGCTTTAAAAATAATTGGTTAATGCAAACAAATAATAACGCATTGTAGGGTTTATAACAAATGTGAAAGTAAATGTAAATTAAATGGAGAAATCTGATTTTGTAGAGGCACCTTCAGTTTCCACCAGGCAGACAACTGCCAGCCTGGGGTCCACCATAGCTCAATATTTGAACTGAATGTTGTCAGTGCTCATCAGTCTCTTCTTTGGGAACTCACTGTTTTAGCATCCATATCTCATTGCCTAGTTGTTGGGTTCCTCTAAAAGGGATTTGTTTTTAATTTTGACCTTTTTTTTTCTTAGATTACACAAACTTTACCTGGCTAAGGGTGGGTGATATATTTTGATACTGGGTATTTTGGGGCCCCAGATCATCACAGCCTACTGCACAAAGGGGCCTTCTAATGTCAGCTTTGTGGATTCTGATGGCTTTCTATTTGCTATGAGAAATTGTTTCAGACTCATGGCATACATCTTTGCATCCAGACCTGGAATCTACCATTTCTACAAGGAGCCCCAACAAAAGAAATTTTTGAAAAAGCAAAAGTAACTTCTAAAAATCTAAAAATAAATAAACAGATAAAGCCAATGACCCTAAATATGTATCCAGTTGGTGATATAATCACACAGGAAGGAAAAATTCCAGATGGCTTTAAAACAGAGAAATTTGACCATACATCTCTAATGGATTATATCCTAAAAAATGCCTCCCACCCAAAAAATCTAAAATTTTTTTTCAGTAGTCATGTTATTGGTGTTGATGTTGACATTATTATTATGATGTGTGTTTTAGAAGACATTAAATGGATAATTACTAAATATACTAAGTATTTTATTCAGTGTCCCTATGGACAAAAATTCTCACCTTGTGTAAGTTTCTCATTTGAAAATTGGGGTGCAACAGAGGTGATTAGACTACATGATCTCTCTGAATTCCTTTTTTTGTTCTTTAAATCTATGATTCCTAGCTTTCTGAGAAAATTCTTATGCTTTTAAGTTTTATTTTACTCTAATTGAATTTAAGATAATCCTAAAAACTAATGAAATTATTATGGGTTTTTAAAACATCATTCTCCCTGATATGGTTTTCAACACTTCTTTTAGATTCTGCTCACAGTTCTTGGTAGCTGGTGGTGTTACCAGTTTTAACTTTCCAATCTACACTGAACTCATCATCACTTGTAAGAAAAATGTAGCTGGGTTTCTCTAATCTGATTTTATTTCAACTTTGTCTTTAATTGCTAGTTTGAGGAGCTTATGAAAAGTTTTCAGTTAAACCATAGCAAAACGAGAGTGAATCAGTAGAAAGGAAGAGTTGGAGAACTCAGCTGTCACCCCATTTATATTTGTCTCATTCTCAGCAAGGGTCTTACCTCTGCCTCTAGCTATGTCATTTGGCCTGTGGCCACGGATTCCAAATATTATACCAGTTCAGCTAGATGCTTTCTACCATTGCTAGAATTTGGAAGCAAAATGATCCTCTCCTATGTGTATTTAATCCTTTTTTGGTAAGGCTTTCTTAGGACAATTCTAGTGGTTCTTGGTCCATAAGATTTCTTCTGAAAAAAGAAGCAATATGACTGTATTTAAAACATGAACACATTAAAGGCACATGTGTTGTTGGCTTCTGATTCTTTTAAACTTTTCCTGATTCAGGGTTTTTTAGAAAAAATATATTCATGGTCCCATAATTTACTTTTCTTAATGTTGTTTTACTCTGTCTTCCCTGCCTTTTTAACTCCCAGATGAGGATAAATATTCTGTGATCTAGATTATTTAGCATAATTAATACAAAAATAAATGCTTTTCATGACAAATATCGCTTTACAAATTATTTCCAATGCCTTATCCCTGGATACATATTTCACTTCTGGTGGATGATGTCTGGAATGATGTCTGCCTCCTGGTGATGGGTCAGTGGGCCCAGTATAGGAAATGCTGGGCAAGACACTAATGACAAGAAGTAGTAGCATATGTCTTCATTTTAATGCCAGTCCATCCTGACCAGTGTTTTCATCTTCCTGGAATGAATTTTTGAATCACTATGAATGTACCTGCACACATTTACTTTCTTACTCCTCTGAACTACTGTGGCAATGAAATAAATATTAAAAGGACTAACCAATATTCACCATACCCAAATCTTTTCACACTACATTATACTCACGTTTTCTCTTCCTTTCATTTCATTCTAAACTTCAGTCAAAAAGCCTGAGAAAATAGGCATTCTTTTACCATGCTCTTAAGGTAAACAAAGTTGGACTTTGTCAAACCAATAGGAAAAACTAAAGTTAGTTCACTTAAGTGCTATTTCTTTGAGGGATTGCATTTATTAACCTCTAATATGAAATCAGATACCTAAAAGGAGAAAAAGCTGAGTTAATTTCAAACTTTAGTGAGATAAGTCTGATTTCTCTGAATTAAGACTGTGCATTTCCATTTACCTATGTAACACACCTGCACATCCTGCACGTGTACCCTGGAACTTAAAATTAAATTTTTTTAAAAAAAGGCTGTGTATTTCATGATATCGGCAGCTAATCAAGTATATTTTGCATTATTACCAAAAGAAGTTTAGTGCAACCCTTCAAAGGGCTTCTAGCCTTGCTTATGAGATAGTAAGCTCCTAAGGAGGGAAACAGTTTTCCAGTTTCCACATATTTTTAATTCTAATACTAACGTATCAGTGGGGAAAAATGAAATGAAATGAAGCTTCAAGATCAATAGGAAAAGAAAGGGTGAGAAAACTTGGGAAAATTTGGTCAAAATAACCATCTTAAAACTTTGAGATTAATATTTATACTGTACCGTACAGATTTATTTGGCCCAAGTTTTTACCATCACCAGCTAACAGGATTATGGAAAAGGGGAAATAAACTATGCAAGAGGAAGCTATCACATTCATCCTTTAGCTACTAATTTCCTTCTATCATAATATGAAAAAACTAATTGTGTTGAATACAATGTGAGCAAAAGAAACAATATTTTTTCATTAAAATCTTAGTAGGCATGGATGAGCAGGCTATTATAATTTGATCACAGGAATATTCCCTAAAAATATAGATGGCCAAATAGCTACATTAACTACCTCTCATGTGAATGACTTCATTCGTCCACTCACCTTTATCCAGGGCTTTAAATTGTAATCACTTTTGAAGATTTGTATGATGAATTGTGAATATAGTATTTTTTTAGTAATTTGATTGGCAGGAAATAAGAAGCAAAACATTACAAGCACAGCTTTTTAATAATTTATCATTACTTACATGAATCTACTAAGTTTGGGCACACAATTATATGACTAATTATGTTGAAAATCCAAGTGGATGCTTAAATAGATGACCATGCCCTGAGGCCCTTCCAGTTGTTTCTGCTGTCTCATTTAACCATGCAAATGTTATTAAGCATTCCTGGCTAAAAATTTTCAAGCATGTGCAAGTGTAATTGCATAGGTAATCATGCATAATGCTGTCACTTACCATATCTAACATAGGAATTTTTCTTTTTTAAAAAACTTCAGCTTTCTACTGGATAGAGTTCTCAGTACAAATATGATTTATAAAAGATAAGTAGATGAAAACCAACCTATTGCTTTTCTTCAGGGCCTCTCCTAGACTCTCTTTTGCACATCAATTTGAAGGAAAAGAGAAAAATATCAAGCCAAATAGAGGCATACCTTGGAGATATTGTGGGTTCAGTTCCAGATCATTGCAATAAAGCGAGTCACACAAATTATTTGGTTTCTTAGTACATATAAAAGTTATGCTTACACTGCACTTTAGTCTGTTAGGTGTGCAATAGCATTTTTCTAAAAAAAAATGTACATACCTTTATTAAGAATACTTTATTACTAAAAACAAAATGCTAATTGTCATCTGAGCCTACGGCAAGTCATAATCATTTTGCTGGTGGAGAGTCTTCCCTTGATGTTAATGGCTGTTGATTGATCAGGGTGGTGGTTGCTGAAGATTTGGGTGGCTCTGGTAATTTCTTAAAATAGGACAATAATGCAGTTTGTCACATTGATTGACTCTTCCTTTCACAAAAGATTTCTCTGTAGTATGCAATGCTGTTTGATAGCATTTTACCCACTGTAGAACTTCTCTTAAAATTGGAGTCAAACCTCTCAAACTCTACCACTGTTTTATCAACTAAATTTATGTAATATTCTTTGTTGTCATTTCAACAATGTTCACAGTATCTTCACCAGTAGTAGATTCCATCTCAAGAAACCACTTTATTTGCTTATCCATAAGAAGCAACTCCTCATTTATTCAAGTTTGATTATGGGATTGCACCAATTCACTCAGATATTCAGGCTCCACTTCTAATTCTAGTTCTCTTGCTATTTCCACCACAACTGCAGTGAATTTCCCCACTGAAATCTCAAACCTCTCAAAGTCATCCATGAGCGCTGCAATCAACTTCTTCCAAATTCCCATAACTATTGATATATTTTGACCACCTCCCATAGATCATAAATGTTCTTAATGGCATCTAGAATGATGAATCCTTTATAGAAGATTTTCCATTTACTTTTACCAGATCCATCAGAAGAATCAACTACCTATGGAAGCTAAAGCCTTACAAAATATTTCTTAAATATTAAATAATATTAAAGCTGTACAAAGTATTTCTTAAATAATAAGACTTCGAAGTCAAAACTTCTTATTGATCCATGGGTAACAGATGGATATTTTATTAGCAGGCATAAAAACAACATTAATCTCTGTATACATTTCTATCAGAGCAATCTTGGGTGCCTATAATCTCTGTATACATTTCTATCAGAGCAATCTTGGGTGCCTAGATGCATTATCAATGAGCAGTAATACTTTGAGAAGAATCTTTTTTCTAAGCAGTAGGTCTCAATGGTGGGCTTAACATATTAAGTAAACCATGCTACAACAGACTTGATGTTATCCAGTCTTTGTTGTTCCATTTATAGAGCACAGGTGTGGTAGATTTAGCATAATTCTTAAGGACCCTGATTTTCAGAATGGTAAATGAGCATGGGCTTCAACGTCAAAGTCACCAGCTGCAGTAGCTACTAATAAGAGTTAGCCTGTCCTTTAAGGCCAGGCATTGACTTCTCCTCTCTAGCTATGGAAGCCCTAGATAGCATCTTCTTCCAATGAAAGGCTGTTTCATCTGCATTGAAAATACGTCGTTTAGTGTAGCCACCTTCACCAATTATCTTAGCTAGATCTTCTGGATAACTTGCTGCAGCTTCTCCATTAGCATTTGTTGTTTCACCTTGCCCTTTTATGTTATGGAGATGACTTCTTCTCTTAACCAATTTCTGCTAGCTTCAAACTTTTCTTCTGAAGCTTCCTTACCTCTCTCAGCCTTCACAGAATTAGAGAGTTTGGGGCTTGCTCTGGATACTGGTTTTGGCTTAAGAGAATGTTGTGGCTTATTTAATATTTTATCCACACCACTAAAAGTTTCTCCATATCAGCAATACAGCTGTTTTGCTTCCTTTTCATGTGTTCACTGGAGTAGCATTTTAATTTCTTTCAAGAACTTTCTTTTCTCTTGTATTCACAACTTGGCTAACTGTTTGGCACAAGAGGCCTAGCGTTTACCTATCTCAGCTTTCAACATGCCTTCCTCACTAAGCATAGTAATCATTTCTACCTTTTGATTTAAAGTGAGAGTTATGCAATGCCTCCTTTCACATGAACACTTAGAGGCCAGTGTAGGGTTATTAGTTGGCCCTTTTTCAATATTGTTGTGTCTCAGGGAATAGGGAGGCCCAAGGAGGGGGAGAGACAGGGGAATGGCTGGTCAGTGGAGCAGTCAGAACACACACAACATTTATCAGTTAAATTCATTGTCTTTTATGGATGCAATACATGGCATCCCAAAACAATTACAATAATAACATCAAAGATCACTGATCTCAGATCACCATAACAGATGTAATGATAATAATATTAATAGTAAGTTTGAAATACTGAATTACCAAAATGTGACACAGAGGAACTAAGTGAGTACATGCTATTGGAAAAATTGTGTTGATAGACTTGCTTAAAGCAAGGTTACCATACACCTTCAATGTGTAAAAAATGCAACATCTGCATAGTGCAATAAAGAAAAGCACAATGAAACAGTGCATGTTTGTAACAAAATTAAAGGAAATTTGAAATACTTATAAATGGAACAATCTATATTCACAAATTGAGAATTCTCAACTCAGTCGAGAATATAATTCAACCACTCTACTTATGATAGTCATAATCATACTTACATGGACTTTGGGCCACATAAATATTGACACAAACTTGGTAACAGGGATACAAAAGAAGTAGCTGCCCTGTTCTAGGAATAAAACTATGGGCTGCAAATTTTTCAGGTTTGCATATACTAAAGCTATGTAACAACAAAAAATGTCCAGAAAATTTGTTTACCAGTACATACATGTTGGTGGGTGAATTTCTTGTCATGAGAACTATTAAGGAAGCTTTACAATACAGAACCCTGCCTGGTGCCATTCCTTGCTGAGTGGGATTCTGCACAGTCTTGCTTAGCAAGTCCCAGCTTCTGATGCAAAGTTTAGTGTGCACAGCACACATGACTCACATGGTCAGGAAGGATACTCACTTCCTGAAGCTGGAGGTGAGTATCTGGCTTTTCAACACCTACAGTGAGAGCAAGTCTTGACTTTCCACCTACATGTATAAAGTAGAAAATTACTTAAGCATAGGAATGGAGATTTAGATGCTGGTGGGCAATCTCTAGAAATAGTGGTAAGTGCTACAAAAAAAAAAATAAAGCAGGTATGAAAATAGAAAGTGATTGGGTTTAGTGGCCGGGTGCAGTGGCTCACGCCTGTAATCTCAGCACTTTGGGAAGCTGAGGTGGGCAGATCACAAGGTCAGGAGATCAAGACAATCCTGGCCAACATGGTGAAACCCTGTCTCTACTAAAAATACAAAATTTAGCCAGGCATGGTGGCGGGCGCCTGTAGTCCCAGCTACTTAGGAGGCTGAGGCAGGAGAATGGCGTGAACCTGGGAGGCAGAGCTTGCAGAGAGCCGAGATCGCGCCACTGCACTCCAGCCTGGGCGACAGAGTGAGACTCCGTCTCAAAAAAAAAGAAAAAAAAAAAAAGAAAGTGATTGGGTTTGGATTTGGTGAGGGCTGTTTTAAATAGAAGGTTTTGAGGAGTCTGAAGAGAAGCCTAATTGAAATAAGGAATCAAGGCATGTATATGTAGGAGGGTGGGGAGAAGATATCCAGATAAAGCAAGGCTTGTTTTACCTGGATAGAAACCAATATGGCTGGAACAAATTAAGTGAGAGGGAGAGAAGTAAGAATTGAAGTTTGAGGGGAAGCCAGTTAATTTAGGCCTTGTAAGCCGTGGTGATTACTTTAGATTTTATTCCAGTTGTTACTGAGTTATCACTGAGGTCTGAGAAGAGAACTCTAACTTTCCAAAAAGAAAGATCACCTTGGCTGCTGTGTGAAGAATAGCTTGTAAAGCAGTGGGCTTTTTTTTTTAATTAAAATCTACAGTAAAAAATATATTTTACCTTGTGACATAGAATACATAATTGAATAAAGAGTTTGACAAAACAGAACTTACTATGTGTGAAGTACTCCGATACTTTTCTATTGTAGTCTAGCTTAGTCTATTTCATATTTCAATTATTTCAAAGAAATTATAAGTAGAAGGTTTTTAAGAGGAAAAAATGACATTGAAGTTAAAAATGTTCAGTGGTGACAAGATATTCTGTTGCATTTCTAATATGAACAAGTATTTTAAGATACCCTGTGGAAAATTAAACTTCACAATAAGCCTTAGGCAGTTTCTCAAGGTGCAACTCAAGGACCACTTGCATCGAAATGATGAGGGGTAGGTGGTGTTGGGTTGTTAAAAATGGATCTCTCTAGGGTCCTATCTTAGAATTATAGAATCAGAATCTCTAATGAAGGGGCTTAAGAATCTGCTTTTAACAAGCTCACCAGGAGATTCTTATATGCAGGAGCTGTCCTTAAGTTTCTTGAATTTTTCAGTATTTTAAGGTGGTAATGCAAGGTTAGCTTTTCTTCATGAATACGTGATAGTTCACTAATATATGTAAACCCAGTTAGTGAGTCTTAAGATAACATTTCCTTATCCCTAAACTCATCCAGTTGTATACATTAAATATGTACGGCTCACTACATGTCAATCATACCTCAACAAAGTGTATTTTTAAAGGATAACATTTCTTAGTAGTATTAGTACTGCAGAACATTATTATAAATTCACAGATGGAATATGGAAAGCACTTCAAATCAGTGCTTTTATTCAGTGCATCTATCCCCATCACCTCCTTTAGATATCTATTTAAAAATCAGTTCAAAAGTTCCTCAAACTCTTTTCCTCTCTGATCCCAACTCTATCAATACTTGTCACTTCACATAATTTATCCAAAATAATCTACTTTCCTCTGCTTTCCTTTCCCCTTCCAAAAGTTTCTTAAGTTTTACTTCCCCAAGAAACCTACCTTCGATGGTTGAAATGTGACTAAATGCCACATATTGACAACTTTACAATTCTAAGTGGTATATGACAGCATCATTTTTCCATACCTTTGTATGTCATTGATTTTCACTAAATATTATGCTCCACTGTGGCACAGGTGGAATTTTCTCAGCATGTCATTCTATTTAGATGCATTCTAGATACTACAGGTTAAATGGTCTTTCTAAAAAGCATTTTCGAACTATTATTAAATGGTGTGGGAAGTTTTTCTTTAGTTGGTTTTAAAACGAAACACAGGAAACCCTAGACAGTAGCTATATTACGAATCACATGCATGTAAGATCAGGCTCCAATCTGGCACATTTGATGTTTGTGAAAAATGGGGCTTAAGACCTGATGTTATAAAGTCATTTTGTAAAATGTTTTCCAACGTCACCTTCACTTTTACTATGGATGGAATAATGTGCCCCACATTAGTGATATCCCTATAGCAAAGCCTGTCACAGGGGCATTCTCCCCATCCCTTAGCCAAAGCAAAATATTCTGACATATGACTGTATGTCAAAGAAATCATCTCTCATCAATTCAGCTTCAAAAACAAAAAAGGGACAGAATTCTTATGTGTTCCTGGGAAAGCATGGGGTTAAACTGGACTGCATTCCAGGAAGTGTTCAGTTGACTTGCTATGTGGTGAAAGGCTGTGCAGTCCTAGCTAATGACTTGTAGGTACTGAATCCTCAGGTCTCTCAGGTGGTTTCAGTCGATCAGTTTCAGCAGCATGATGAAAAGGTTGAGATAAAATAAACTGACAGTTGCTACTCATCGTAGGCAGCATGCTGTACCCAGGCAGCTGAGACCCTGGGAGCCCTCTTTCTTAAACAAAGGCTTTCACTGCAGTGAGCAATGAACTCCAAATAAAAAAAAAAGGGGGCAGATTGGCAGCTGGTGACCGACAGGAGGAGGGGAAGGAGGGAAACTGGGAAACACAGCAATTGTTGGCTAATTAGAAGCCATTCCCACCTACTTAATACCAACCCATTAAGCAGAAAACACTTTTCATCTTTCTCTCCTGCTACACATGACATTATACTCCAATCAATACCCTCCCACTGGCTGCCTCAGTGCCCACAAATGAATACGCTGCAAGTTTAAGATTGCAGGAATTGACTTGGGACGGTGAAGCTGCAGCTTTCACAGAAGATTTTCTGAAGATACTAGGCTAGCGATGCTTAGATAAAGTGATCACATCTGTTAACTGGCAGCTGTCAAAAACTGGCAAACACAGGAGAAAACCTAAGCACGCTAGACTTATTTGAGTCTTAATAGCAAACAACTATGTAAATCAATTTTCCCACTTTGGAGGGAACAACTCAAGTATTTTGCTTTTGCTACAACTACTACCATTTCCACACACACACAGATGCAAACACACACGCATACAATTTTTAAGAAGAAACATGGAAAATATAATAGGTACATATCAAATTATGTTGCATTACCTATTGAGCATGATGTTTAAGTAGAATTCTTTCATTTGTCCCACCTATGATAATTTCTCTTAACAACCCAAATAAACTACTGGAAATGTATCCTCATGCAATATGATGCTATTCATGTACCATCACCTTCATATTATTTTGAACAATTTTTCATCCTTACTAGGTAGTTCTTTAGCTCTCAAAAGCAGATTTTATCCCAAATAACATTTACATGAAAATAATATATATCTAAAATGTTATTTTGATTTGTTTCAGTTCTGTGACTTTAAATTTACTCCCGGGCTCAAGCAACCCTCCTGCCCCAGCCTCCCAAGTAGCTAAGACTGCAGGTGCATACCACCACACCCAGCTAATTTTTTTTCTCTTTTTTTTTGGTAGAGGTGGGGTTTTTACTATGTTACCTAGCCTGGTCTCAAACACCTAGCCTCAAGCAATCCTCCTGCCTTGGCCTCCCAAAGCACTGGGATTACAGCCATGAGCCACCATGCCCAGCCTTAGTTCAGTGACTTTTATAAAGGTTAGATTTTTTTTCTGGGCCTAAATATTAGCTTCTAAAATTTATACAGATTTTCTAAATGTTATGTGGTCACTTCTTTGCATTCTTAGGCACTATTTCTGGGACATTTATCACAATATTAGTCAGCTTTCTGAGTAGGGAATAGAAAGAAAAACAAAATATTACCCCCAAACTATGTAAAAATAACTAGGAAAGAGTTGTGGAACCAATTACGATTTCGGAGCCTAAAGTTTAAATTCACTGTACAGAAGGCTGTTCTATGAGACTGCCTTGAGGTTTAGAGTAGAACCTGCAGCAGGGGAGAATATCTGGAAATCATTCTGGTCACAAAGGGAAGAGCATGGTGCTATGATTTCATCCGTGTGCATAAAACAAGTGATGTGACATCCAAATTATCTTTTAGTAAGAGTGAGTAGAGTGGATTAAATTTTACAAGTTGATTCAACCGTGTTATTTTAAAGCACATATTTCAAACACAGGCGTAATTATTACCCAAAGTGTTGCCTGGCAGTGCCAGTCTTTTAGAGAACAAACGGTCACTTGTGCATTATACCTTACAGCCATCTGCAAGGTAAGGCGACCTCTAAAGATGGTGCCCTGGAGGAAGAGAAAGACGAAGAGGGAGAGACTTCTTGTTTTAAAATTGTGGCTTGATTTCAGAAAACAACTCCACTCATAAGTTTTATTTATCAGCAAGCATTTACACTACTAGTATCAAGCCTCTTAGGTAATTCACAGGAATATTCTTCTGGTATCCCAAACCAACCAAGTTTACTATTTCAGTTGTAGGTGTGTGAGTGTGTGTGTGTGTGTGTGTGTGTGTACACATATATACTGTAGATATACATATATATATATATTCTTTAATAACCCAATTCTAGTACAAAGAATATAGTTTCCTTATCACTAATTTAGTGACCTTTAGTTAACTGTTCAAACTCTCTTATTTCAGTTTAATCATAAGTAAAATGCAGATAATATCAAAACTGTTAACATCATTTTAAGAAATAATAACAGAAATGTTAATAGAAATGTCATCTTTTATTATTAGACCACAGTTTTGGTTTTGAAACCAGACAGCTCAAGAAACATGTAAAAGAATGAAAAGGGATTTGCAGAATTACAACGAAAAAGTTTAATCATTTGGAAAATGAGTCACATGAGTAAAGGTTGAGATTTTTTAGACTGGGGGAAAAGAAGGTTCTCTAAGGACCCAATAACTGTCTTCAAATAGGTGTCATTAAGGAGATAAGTCTTTAAAAGCTGTCCTCCATCTCCTCAGAGGATAGAGCAGAAGAAAATGTATTAACAATTACAGCACAAGAGATTTATTTTGATTCTCCATTGACTAGTGCAGAAATATTTCACTTATTCATCAGTCAAACTTTGATGACTTCAACAAGCCAAACATTTTTGTTGCTGCCATTTGAGGCAGTGGCAACCTCCTTAATAGAAGGATATATTTATCCCTCAATAAGTGTATTAAAAATTAGAGGCTGAGGCAGAAGAATCGCTTGAACTTGGGAGGCAGAGATTATGGTGATCTGGGATCATGCCATTGCACTCCAGCCTGGGCAACAAGAGCGAAACTCCGTCTCAAAAAAAAAAAAAAAGGCAGCAAGTTATAAACAGACAGTGATTACATTAATAAACAATAGCTGAAAATATATTTTTAAAAGGCTCAAGTGTGTACACACACACACACAGAGACACACACACTCTTACACAAAACCTATCAAACAAACATGCAGCAATGCAGCAGTCTGGGGTCATTTTGCGTAGGAACAAAAGGATCTTACAAACTCAATAGCCTCTTACTATATCACATAATTAATTTTTCTATTGATGATCTCCAGCCACCAAGAAAAGATTAAATTATGTTCATTTTAGTCTGTTTAAGAATGCAGGGAAATTTTAAAGAAATATCATTTGGTAGACCTTAATGATGAAACAGATCCTCAGATTTCTGGTTTATCCTCCATTTTTTCAGATAAAGAAACTTAATTTCACAGAAGGTGAAGTGTACTATTGTCTTAGTCCATCCAGGATGTTATAACAAAATGCTATTAATTGGGTAACTTATAAACAGCAGAAATTTATTTCTCACAGTTCTGGAGGCTGGCAAGTCCAAGATTGAGGCAGATTCAATATATGCTGAGGCCTGCTTTTTGGCTCAAAGGCACCAACTGCTTGCTGTGTCCTCACATGGTCAAAGGTGCAAATGAGCCCTCTTGGGTCTTTTTTATAAAGGCACTAATCCCATTTATGAGGGCTCTGCACACATAATCTAATCACCTCCCAAAGGCCCCACCTCCTAATATCATCACCTTGTGGGGTTGGGATTTCAACATAGGAATTTTAAGGGGACACAAACATTCACACCATAGCACCTACCAAAGGCCACAAGGAGTAGGTGACAGGGTCAGAATTTGAAGACATGTCTTCATAAACCACATATGACACTCTTCCCATTTTACTGTGTTGTGTCCAACAATTTTACTATTTTTAATTTTTTTTAAATTTTTGTCACTTATTGGAGTAAGTTTAAATTATCTAAAAGGCTTACCACTTGTCTTCTCAAAAAATGTTAAAAAAGGGATACTATATTATACACTATATTTATGTCCTTTTATACAGTAAGTGTAGTATCCTCCTATTATATAGTTTATGGTATAGTAAATATGGTATATATTTTATAAACATAGTAAATATAGTATATATATGTATATACTATACTATACCTGAGACTTAGCTCCTTTCTCAGTTAAGAAAACTAGTTCAAGCTACTGAGTTAATTCACAAGAATCGATTTCACAAGTCTTTAGAAAGGTTAGAGATAGAAATGAGTCTTAGGTTTCCAGTTAGACATACCATTTGAGAGTAGAGTCCTGGTTAATTTGTCTCTTAAATCTTCATTAATCTGTGGATCCCATAGTTCTCTCTTTATCTTCAAAGAATAATTAACATAACATTTGTTAAATTAGTCAGTCTATCCTTAAAAAATGGTACTGTTTAACATAAATATAGAAGACAAATTTCTGAGATGCTCCTATAATGTAAAAAATAAGAGGCTACCTCTTCACACTTTAGAAATTTTAGTCAGTAGTCTACCTTCACCTGAGACTTAGCTCCTTTCTCAGTTGAGAAATACCAAAAATATGATGAACTGTTGAAACATTACTTCTTCTATGAATGCACATTTTATATGGCTGCTTCTGTCAGGAAAAGATGTTACTGAACTTATGTTAAGGCATCGCAGATTATTCTAGATTTATATTTTATAATAAAACATTTCCCTATGATGAATCAAAATGTGTTCACATGTGAGTGTTTACAGGCTCCCTTCATCCCCACATATGCTCCATTTTCCTCCTCCTAACCCCCAAAGTAAAAGTATTTTCATTGGCTGAGAGAGAGGCTAAGTTGATTTACATAGAGGCTAAGTTTTCATTCATAAAAAAAAAAAATGAAGAAGAGGGTGTATGGGGACAGAGACTAGGAAGCTAAACAAGAGACACATGAGAAAGGAGGTTTGTGAGTACTGTTGGGGGTTGTGGAGAGTGAAAAGGAATTTGATAATAAAGAAAATAGGATGTGAAGTAACAAATATGTTAACTAGCTTGACTTAGCCATTCCACAATGTATGCGTATATCAAAACATCATGTTGTACACCATAAATATATACAATTATTATTTGTGAATTTAAATAAGTAAATAAATAAACAAATAAGTTAAAAAGAAAATTTGGAGATTATGATGTGGTATGTTGAATTTTTATATCTGAAAAATGCAAGTGAAGAATTTGAGTTATACTTCAACTGCTTTTGATGCTGAACTGCTTCCTCTCCTATGACAGAACTCTTGAGGGGACCACATGGGTTTCTGGATTTACAAGGTCTTTTCTAGTTATCTGTTTATTTTCTGACGCTTATTTGATGATTAAAACTTTGGTTAACTTAAATAAAATAATATTCCTTGCCTTTGGGCTTTTATTTTCTATTCTAAATAATAGTCAATAGTAAAGTAATAATTACAGAATAAATTGTTTGGACAGATCATTTTCTACTCCTGTATATATCTCCTTGTATTATAGGGTAGTTTTTAAAGCAACAACACACTATAATAGACAGCATTTTACATCATGGAATAGATTACATTGATATGTGAAAAACATTTTCTTCATCAGTCTTCATCAGTCACTATCATCTACTTCTTACTAAACAAAAACAATGAGCTAAGTATTGCATTGAATGTGGTATGCCCTAACTTATTTCTCTGTAAGTTTCTCCAACAGAGTAATGCCAGAAAACTTGCTACAAGATAAACATTTCATTCCTTAAGTAACTTTACAGGAATGTAATTAACAATCATTTTATCTTGCTATTCAATTTCCTTTTATTCTTCTCTTGATAATTAATACATTTCAATAATCCATTGATTTCAAATAATAATATTTTTATATAAATGGCCAACAGATATTTAATATATATTAAATAATACACTAAATAACTTATTTTTAAAGTAGCTACTTTCTGCACAAAGTTATCAGAGAAGGGACTAGTAGAAGACAAGATAAAATTACTGAGAAAAAGAGTGAAAAAATGTACTACAATGAGTAGAAGTTTAAGTGTCTTCTGTGTGTATTAAATCAGAATGCCAGAAATCGATTTCTCAAAATAAAAATAAAGATAGAATTTGTAATAGGTTGTTGCACCTCTAGACTCAAAAAATGCCATGTTTTCATTGGCTAAATAGCATGTTTTATAGCTGGTATTCTTTTTTTTTCATTTATTTGCTTCAATTTCCTATTTGATAGAAATTGGCCGTGAAATTTGCTAATGATTGTCATTTTAGATTTTTATTCATTAAAAATTAAAAGTCAAGGTTTTCTCTTGGCTATCAGAATCCCTATCTAGTTTACTCTACCACTGATTTCTTTCATACTCCATGCACGCATAAAAATACTTTTGTAGAGAGGCACTCCATGTGCACAGCTAGGTGGAATTCATTTTCCCAAGATACCAAAGTGAAAACACTTCAAAGCACTACTGTGATAAAATTTCATTTTCTGGTAGTCCTATACTAGAGGTAAATATTAATAATTTGAGATAAGGCAGTATTGGAATAGTATGTTAGTGAGCCTTACTTGTAATGAAGTTCTACTGACCTCAACATATAGTGAGTTGGTTTTATATAATGCTTGCTTTTGTTGAGTAAATATTTCATAATACATTTCTTTACACTGTGCTGAGCAGATCTTACAGCCTACTGATTTGTCATGTATATTTCAAGGTTTTAATCTTACACTATAAAATTATATGTGATTTTGCCCATTATTTGTTTGGAGATATTGGGGTTGGGCTATATTTTCATCGTGATTTCAAAATCTCAGTTTCAGGAGCCTTAAAAGAAAGAAATCTTCCATTGAGAGCTCGAGTCTCTTAATCCCTTCTCTAGAGGTTAATATGACAGTTAACTCATTTCAATATGATGCAATCTAAATATTTATATCAAGTATATATCTTTTGATTGGGAAATATGTCAAGCCATATACTACTGGATTATTCAATCCAGCGATTATTCTACTCATGTATCATTATAGATTTTATTGTGTTTCCTTTTTGTTCCAGACACTATACTGACAGGTGTATTTCTGAATATATACTTATTTCAAAAAGGGGAGGATGTATTTTTATAACAAAGCATGTCTGGTGCCATTTTCTTTTCCATTACAATGATTTGAAATGGAAAAAGGAGTGATGAAGTATAATACAATTGCCTTTCTTGTGTACTTTATGTTATGCATGCTCATCTAACTAGCAAACTGAAATTTATCTAACCATTTTAATCTTCAAGTTCAAGACTGTCAGGATATTTTTATATTTGTGAGACTCATGCAGGTCCACAAGTTCCAATTCCCTGGGAAGGAAACAAGAGAAGCTATCTATAGTGAGACACAGAGATGTGGATTGTAATACCAATCCAGCCATCATTTACTCTCTGATTCTCCATTTTATAATTTGTTACATTCAAAAATCATTCTAAGTTTACAGGACTGTTGAAAGAATTAAGTGTGAAAAAAACTGGTACAGTTATATTATATATATGTGTGTGTGTGTGTACTTTAATATATATTTCTTCAGCAATTTAAGAGATGAACTGGAGATAAGGCAAATCTAGAGATATGAGAAGCTGAAACTAGCCCAAGGAAGAACACTTAATCATAGAGAAGAATTCCTGCAGATATTCTCCACTATATACATACCAGAATCCTGAATGTCTTATCTCATTTGCCCAAACAGGACACATGATCCCTGGAAGAGACTTGGAAATTGATGGCCTCAAAAGATAGTGCCCTGGAATATGCCTCTTTGTATTTTTGTGATTTTGATATAATTTAGGCATTTTAAAAAATAAGAACATTTACAATGGAGAGAGTGAAAATTCTTTTGACATCTACACACACACACACACACACACACACACACACACACACACACACACCCCAAGTTAGGAAGACTCATTCAGAAAATGACTCATTTGACGATCCTATACCCATTAAAATGCTCAATCCTTTACGCTTCTGAGATGACTGGAGCATTGTGGTCTCTACCCATACATGTTACCCAAAAAGTACTTTGAAAAGAAGTACTCCACTTAGCTTAATTTGGGGGAAGCAAGTAGTGTTTACTATCCTTGACATTTCAAAGAAAGGTAAAAATATTTTTAAAATCTTTCAAATTATAAGACATTCCTATTTTTGAGAATCTCTGCAGATCTAGACTCTCAAGTAGCTGTAAATGTCATTACTAAGATTGGGTGGAGGTGAAATATAACAAGTTAGCCAAAACAAAAAGTTTATTTGAATGTAGTGTTGAATTTAAGATTCACTTTCTGGTTTCAGCTAACTAGTTAATAGGAGGTTCTAAAAGCAGTGGAAATAGCTGGTGGGTCCAAGCTATATGAAAACCTATAAATTCAACCTTATTTTGACTAGCTTCCAGGTTAGTCTTCCATTAAGTGAGATTCAGAACCAATGTAAAGGAAGTAAAATGAGCCCTTGGCAGTTTCACCAGGAGTTGAGAGCCAAAGACTGTGGGATAAGTGCTGTGGTGCCCAGACTCAGCCAGATAGAGCCTAATCTGATATAATTCTAACCTGCTCTAAAACCTCAGACCATAGTAGCCTATCATGATGAAAATTAACATAGAGAATTATATCATCTACTCTTTTACTCAAAATATTTATTTACTTAATTAATGAGATAGATGTTAAAATTACCAATAGATTCCAATTAATTTTACCAATGGATCTGATTTAAGAATGTGCCACATATCTCAGTTGAATTCAATTTATAATATTACTTGAATGCTTTTTCTAAGCTATAGAAAATTACTTTAAAAATATATTGCTCCTATTTTTTATGCACTTATGCTATACCTAGACATTGGTAACATTATACATCATTTGGAAAAGTTTGAAAATTAATTGGAAGGAATCAAATTATAAAAGAAATGGGAGTGGAAGTTGCTCTTCAATATGTATACATGTGTAGTTGTAACCAGGATGTATTAATTGAGGATGTCAATAAATAACTATTATAAAATATTTTTTAAAGTCTTCATACAATAATTCTGGAATATGACATTTATTCTTATAGCTATAAATTATTTTTAAGGGAATTCTAAGCAGGCTACATTGGGACCAAGTATACTTCAGATTTAAGTTCCTCTTCTTATTGTTCAAAGCTGTTGTTGTCTAGCCCGTAAGTCTTACAACAGCATTTCTTTTTCTTTTCTTTTCTTTTTTTTTTTTTTTTTTTTTTTTTTTGCTTATTTAGGAGTACAAGTGCAGTTGTGTTACATGGATATATTGGGTAGCAGTAAAGTCTGCGCTTTTAGTGTAGTGTACCCATCATCTGAATAGTGAACAATGAACCCAATAGGTAATTTTTCAACCCTCTCTCCCCTCACTGCCTTCTTCCTTTTGGAGTCCAGGGTCTATTCTCCTCTGTATGTCCATGTATACCTGTTGTTTCACTCCTGCTTATAAGTGAGAACGCATGGTATTTGATTTTCACAACAGGATTTCAAAACTGCTTTCACAAAGTTGCTCTTTGTTGCTCATCATTTCTAGAAAGTAAATATGCAGTCTATTTCTTGATGTAGAAATGTGTACTCACATTTGAACAATCAAATTTGAAAATATGATGTACTTAATACAGCTGAAACTATTTCTAACAATAGGAAAACACATATTATTTTCAAGCACATATGAAACATTTTAAAAAATTGACACCCATGAAACGATCCTTGACAGAATCTATAGGATTGATATCATACAGACCATGTTCTCTATGCACAGTGTGATTATGTTAATTTCAACAAAAATTTGTTTAAAATTTTTTTTCAAAAAAAGCAAGTAAATAGGCTCTTCAAAAAAATCAAAAGTGAAGTTAGATAATTCTTAGTACTAAATAACTCTGAAAATATTAAAATTTCAAAATTAACGAAATAGAGCTAAAGCAACTCTTAAAGGGGAATTTATAACCTTAAATAGTTATATTAAGAAAAATAAATAAAGTATATGAATTAACAAACTAAATATATAAATTAAGAAGTTACAATAACAGGATAGACAGAGAAAGTAAAAGAGGAAATAAAGAACATAAATAAAATAGAGCACAAAGATAAAACACTATAACTAATGACTCCCAAACTTAACACGTCCACGAAGATAATCCATGAACTACAGTTCATTGTGGCCAACACTTGACATCTCCATTGAGATATTCAGTAGCCATCTGAAACCCAATGTGAGCTCCTGATTTTCACTCCAATTTTTTCACCCCAATCCACCCATCCTGTTACCCCTAGGCTTGCTCATTGAGCAATCTTCTCTCAGTTCAATGGTAAATCCATTCTTCTAGTTTCTCAAGGCAAAACCCTGGGAGACATCTTCATTTCTCCTTTCTCACACACCATATCCAGTTAGTGAGCAAATCCTATTGGCTTTTCTACCAATTTGATAACTCAAGGACTCTAAAGTAGAGAAACCCCACAAGCATTCTGTTACAAATCTTGATATAATTTTAGTCATGCCAGAGTCGGCATGAAATTTCAAAGGCACCATATACTTAAGTTATAGTGCTAAGAATCTAGTAAGACAAAAGAAAATTTAGAGGCTTAGAACACTGCAGCTGGAGAAGAAAGGACTGGCAAAGTATAGGTACATGAATTGTAAACAGCATAGAGAAAAAGTAATATGAAGGAAATAGTAAGATTATGTGGGAATTTCTTCTATGCTTCTAAAATGCCATCTTAGTTATTAGAACATAGACATTTTTGTCTAATAAATGTGTCCAGAACACACAAATAAAAATGATAAAAACTCCTCTCTCCTAGCTTAAAAAAAAAAAGTCAACGTAATATATAAAAAACCAGTTGGGGTCTAGTCCTGGCTCTGGCATCTGGCAGATGAGTTGGCAAAGGCAATACAACTCTTTGTGCTTTGATTTTCTCTTCTGTAAAAAGGAAGGCAGACATTCTGTTATCACAAAAGTATTAGGTTGGTGCAAAAGCAATTGCGGTTTTTCCCATTACTTGTGCGCGAACCTAATATCTTCCGCCTCAGAGAGCCATGACTGCAGGAGATAGGATACCCGACTGCACTACTGCTGTGATGTGAACACAACTACCTGTCCCCACCCCTGTGTGCAAGAGCACTCATCCGAACTTCCATTGCTGGTGTGAACATGGCAAAGACACTGGTAACCCCACCCCTCCCTGCACCACCGCCACCACCACCGCCAGTGTGAACGCATGCACTGATACCAGTGGCCCTGCCTCTCTGTTCCAATTCCGTCACCAGTACAAACATGGAGGCAGGCAGCCCCACACCATCCAGCACCCCACTCCCACTGCTGCTAGCACAAATGTGAGCACAAACACTGGCAACTCGCCCCGGCCTGTGCCCCACTGCCACAATGAGCACACAGAAGAGTGCAACCCTGCTTCCATCGGTACTCCACTCCAGCCAATGTGTATGCACCCTGCTGTGCTAGCATACTTGAGCAGGCACAGATCCCACTGCCCCAATGAAGTGCTTTTGCTAATACTGCCCACCAGACTGCTGTGGCCAGCGGACCAGGAGCACCTTGGCAGCAGATTCCTAACCTCCAGGGGCCAGAGAACAAAGTTGGGGGTCCAGTACTGGCCCTCCATAGTTGGAGCATGCAGAACAGGAGGGCTGAGCTAAACCTTGGCCCTCTAAAATCCTCCAGAAGCAAACCCAGTCAATTGAACCCAACTGAAACCAAAATCAAACACCCAAATGCATCAAAGAAGATAAAAGAAAAAAAAAAAAACATCCAAAGGACAGCAGCTTCAAAGATTGAAGGAACATCAGCCCACACAGATGAGACAGAACCAGAGCAAGAACTCTGGCAACTCAAAAAGCCAGAGTGTCTTCTTACCACTAGTTCCCCAGCAATGGTTCCAGGCTGAAAAGGTTGAAATGACAGAAATAGAATTCAGAATATGGATAGGAGTGAAGATCATCGACATCTAGGAGAAAGTTGAAACCCAATCCAAGGAATCTAAGGACTACAATGAAACAATACAGAAAATAAAAGATGAAATGGCCATTTTAAGAAAGAAACAAACTTATCTGATAGAGCTGAAGAATTCACTTTAAAAATTTCAGAATACAATTGCAAATATTAAAAAGCAGAATTGATCAAGCTGAGGAAAGAAGCTCAGAGCTCGAAGACTGGTTCTTCAAAATAACTTAGACAAAAATAAAGAAAAAACAATAAAGATGCATGAAAAATGAATTTCTCAAAGGGTAATATGGGATTATGGAAAGAGACCATTTGAGAAATATGGGATTATGTAAAGAGACCAAATCTATGATTTATTGGCATCCCAAAAGAGAGGGCGAGAAAGCAAGCAACCTGTAAAACATATTTTAGGATTTCATCCATGAAAATTTCCCAACCTCGCCAGAGAGGCCAACATTCAAATTCAGGAAATGCAGAGAACCCCTGCAAGATATTATACAAGACAACCATCCCTAAGACACATAAACATCAGATTTTCCAAGGTCAAAATGAAAGAAAAAATGTAAAGGGCAGACAGAGAGAAGGGGCAGATCATCTACAAAGAGAACCCCATTGGGCTAACAGCAGACCTTTCAGCAGAAATGCTACAAGTCAGAAGAGATTAGGGGCCTATATTCAGCATTCTTAAAAAAAAAAAAAAAGAAATTTCAACCAAGAATTTCATATCCAGCCAAACTAAGCTTCATAAGCAAAGGAGAAATAAGATACTTTCAGACAAGCAAATGCCAAGGGAATTCATTACCACTAGACCTGCCTTACAAGAGGTCCTTAAGGGAGTGCTAAATATGGAAAGAAAAGATTGTTACCAGCCACCACAAAAACACACTTAATACATAGACTATTGGCACTATAAAGCAATCACACAATCAAGTCTGCATAATAACCGGCCAACAAAATGATCACAGGATCAAATTCACACATATCAATGTTAATCTTGAATATAAACAGGATAAATTTCTCAGGTAAAAGGAACAGAGTGGCAAGTTGGATAAAGAAGCAAGACACAATGGTAGGTTGTCTTTAAGAGATCCATCTCACATGCAATGACACCTATAGGCTCAAAGTAAGTAAATGGATGGAGAAAAGCTACTGAGCAATGGAAAACAAAAAAGTAGGGATTGCTATTCTAATTGTTAGAAGACAAACAGACTTCTAACCAACAATGATCAAAAAAGACAAGGGCATTATATAATAGTAAAGGGTTCCATTCAACAAGAAGACCTAACTATCCTAAATACATATGTACCAAACACAAGAGCACCTAGATTTATAAAGCAAGTTCTTAAAGAACTACAAAGAGACCTAGACAACCACATAATAATACTGGGAGACATTGACACCCCACTGACACCATTAGACAGATCACTGATACAGATCTGAGATACAGATTGAGACAGATCATTGATAACTAACAAAGATATTCAGGGCCTGAACTCGACACTTGACCAAATGGACCTAACAGACGTCTACAGAACTGTCCACCCAAAACAACAGAATATACATTCTCCTCCTCTGCACATGGTGCATATTTTAAAATCTACCGCACAACAGGCCATAAAACAATCCTCCACAAATTCAAAAAAACAGAAATCATGCCAAGTACACTCTCAGATCACAGCACAATAAAAATAGAAATCAATACAAAGAAAATTGCCCCAAGCCATACAATTACATGGAAATTAACCTGCTCCTGAATGACTTTTGGGTAAACAATGAAATTAAGGCAGAAATCAAGACATTATTTGAAAATAACAAGAACAAAGATGTAACAGAGTCTCTGGGATGCAGCTAAAGCAACATTAACTGGGAAGTTTATAGGCTGAACACCCACATCAAAAAATTAGAAAGATCTCTCATTAACAACATAACATCACATGTAAGGGAACTGTAGAAGCAAGAACAAACCAACCCCAAAGCTAGCAGAAAACAAGAAATAACTAAAATCAGAGCTGAACTGAGGGGAATTAAGACATGAAAAACCATGCAAAAGATCAATGAATCCAGGAGTTGGTTTTTTGAAAGAATAAATAAGACAGATAGACTGCTAGCTAAACTAATAAAGAATATCCAAAGGAACACAATCAGAAATGACAAATGAGTCATGACCTCCAACACCACACATATACAAGTAACCATTACAGACATGAACAACTCTATGCACACAAACTAGAAAACCTAGAAGAAATAGATAAATTCCTGGAAACATACAGCTTCCCAATATTGAACCAGGAAGAAATTGAATCAATGAACAAACAAATCAGAGGTTCTAAAACTGAATCAGTGATAAAAAGCCTATGAATAAGAAGAAACCCAGGACCAGATGGATTCACAGCTGAATTCTACCAGATATATAAAGAAGAGCTGGTGCCATTCCTACTGAAAGTATTAAAAAAAAAAACCCTGAGAAGGAGGAACTCCTCACTTATTCATTCTATGAGACCAGCATCATCCTGATACTATAACCTGGCAGATATACACAAAAAAAGAGAAAACTTCAGGCCAATATCCTTGAAGAACATAAATGTAAAAATCCACAACAAAATACCAGCAAACCAAACCCAGCAGTATATCACCAAACTAATCTATGATCAAGTAGATTAGAGCCTATGATCAAGTAGTCTGTAAGCTCTGGTATGCAAGATTGGTTCAACACATGCAGATGAATATATGTGATTCATCACATAAACAGAACTAAAAACAAAAATCTCATGATCATCTCAATGGATGCAGAAAATGTTTTCAATAAAACTGAATATCTCTTCAAGTTAAAACCCTCAACAAACTGGGCATTGAAGGAACATACCTGAAAATAATAAGAGGCATCCATGACAAACACACAGCCAACATCATACTGAATGGTCACAAGCTGGAAGCATTGGTTTTGAGAACCAGAACAAGACAAGGATGCCTACTCTCAACATTCCTATTTGACATAGTACTGGAAGCCCCAGCCAGAGCAATAGGGCAAGAGAAAGAAATAAAATTCATCCAAATAGAAAAAGAGAAAGGCAAACTCTCTGTTTGCAGACTAGATGATACTATACCTGGAAAACCCATAGTCTCTGCCCAAAAGCTCCTTGATGTGATAAACAACTTCAGCAAAGTTTCAGGATACAAAAATCAATGAACAAAAATCAGTAGCATTTCTATACTCCCACAAAGTCCAAGTTGAGAGTCAAATCAATAAAGCAGTCTCATTCATAATAGCCACAAAAAGAATAAAATACACAAATACAGCTAGCCAGAGAGGTGAAAGATCACTACTATGAAAATTACAAAACACTGCTCAAAGATATCAGAGATAACACAAATGAAAAGATATTCCATGCTCATAGATAGAAAGAATCAATATTGTTACAATGGTCATATTACCCAAAGCAACTTACAGATTCAATGCTATTCCTGTCAAACTGCCAACAACATTCTTCACAGAACCAAAAAAACCAACTATTTAAAAATTAATAGAGAACAAAAAAGAGTCTAAACAGCCAAGACAATCCTAAGCAAGAAGAACAAAGCTGGAGACATCACATTACCTGACTTCAAACTATACTACAAGGTTATAGTAACCAAAATCACATGGTACTGGTACAAAAACAGGCACATAGACTAATGGAACAAAATAGAGAGCCCAGAAATAAGGCTGCGCACCTGCAATCATCTGATCTTTGACAAAAACAAGCAATGTGGACAGAATTCCCTGTTCACTAAATGGTTCTGGGATAACTGGGTAGCCATATGGAGGAGATTGAAACTGGACCCCTTTCTTACATCATATACAAAAAATCAACTCAAGGTAAAATCTAAAACTGTAAAAACTCTGCAAGATAACCTAGGAAATACCATTCTGGACATAGGACCTGGCAAAGATTTTATGACAGAGATGCCAAAAGCAATTGCAACAAAAATAAAAATTGACAAATGGAACCTAATTAAACTAAAGAGCTTCTGCACAGCAAAAGAAACTATCGACATAGTAAACAGACAACCTACAGAATGGGAGAATATATTTGCAAACTACACATCCAACAAAGGTCTAATATCCAGAATCTATAAGGAACTTAAACAAATAACAAGCAGAAAACAAACAACCCCATTAAAAAGTGAGCAAAGGACATGAACAGACACTTTTCAAAAGACATACACGCAGCCAACAAGCATATAAGAAGATGCTCACCATCACTAATCATTAGAGAAATGTAAATTAAAATCACAATGAGATACCATCTCACACCAGTCAGAATGGCTATTATTAAAAAGTCAAAAAATAACAGATGCTGGTAAGGTTGTGGAGAAAAGGGAATGCTTATATCCCACTGCTGGTGGGAATGCAAATTAGTTCAGCCATTGCGGAAGGCAGGGCAAAGAATTTAAAACAGAACTACCATTCAACCCAAAAACCCTGTTACTCGGTGTATACCCAAAGGAATATAAATTGTTCTACGTAAAGACACATGCATACATATGTTCATCATAGCACTATTCACAACAGCAAAGACATAGAATCAACCTAAATGCCTATCAAATGGTAGACTAGATAAAGAAAATGTGTTATGTATACACCATGAAATACTACACAACCATGAAAAGGAATGAGATCATGTCCTTTGCAGCAATATGGATAGAGCTGGAGGCCATTATCCTAAGTGAACTAAGACAGAAACAGAAAACCAAATACTGCATGTTCTCGCCAACAAGTGGGAGCTAAACATTGAGTACACAGGAACACAAAGAAGGAAACAGCAGACACTCGGCCTACTGGAGGGCAGAGGGTGGTAGGAGGGACAGGATTGAAAAACTACCTATCAGATACTATGCTTATTACCTGGGTGACAAAATAATCTGTACACTAAAGCCCCATGACACACAATTTGCCTATATAACAAACCTGCACATGTACCCCTGAATCTAAAATAAAAGTTAAAACAAAGAAACATCTGAGCAACATATAGTCTTTGACTAAAACCTAACCATAAAACTGACAACTAAAGTCCACATGTTTCTTAATAATGAAGGCTTAGCTCTCTGCTTCTGGGCATATTCATATAATGTGCCTGTGAGGTCTTACACTGTATCAAAAATTATGATGTGTATATTTAATCAATGGCTTCTGTTCTTATTGAGTATTAACATATCAAAACAGTATGTGCTAATTGGACATAATAACAGCTAAAACTTTAGAACTAATAGAAAATAATGACTAACATTTATTGAGCCCTTGCATGTTAGGCCCTATGCTAAGCAATTTTCATGCAGTTTCTCATTTATTCTTACAAATGTATTATAAGTTAGTTATTGGTAAGCTTCTTGGCAGCAGGGACCTAGGCTACCCTGCTTTCCTCTGAATACTGCCTGACATCAAGTTGGCTTGGGACATATCGAGAGAAAGACTAAACCAAACAGATATTATTGCTTCCATTTTACACATTAGAAAACTGAAGCTTAGAGATATTAGGGGACACATTGGTAAGTAACATAGCTGGAATCTGAACCCAGGTTTGTTTGATTGCAGAATCCATGCTTTGAACCACACTATCTTTGCCCTACTTGGTCACTGACTCTTGAGTTATCTGAATTGGGAGAATGTTATCTCTTATGCAATTATGCTTAATTTTGAACTTCCTAAAGACCAGAATTCAGTTGAGTGTATTTTTGTTAAGCAATTTGTAATTTATTTAAGTCAAAGACATTACAGGCCAATTCGAGGAATATTTGCCTCCAGTTTCTCAAATATGAAAGAGTTAAAAAAAAAAAGTGAAAACGTTTTCCCATCAAGGTGGCAGTAGAAAACTGATGTGAAGGAGGATAAATGACCCTACTACTAAGTGTGGTTCCTGGCAGTGTGGACATTACCCAGAAGGCTTTTTTTGAGAAATGCAGAAGCTCAGACCCACTCAGATCTACTAGATCATCCTCTGCATTTTACAAAATGCCCAGAGTTCTCTACTCTGGCTGCACTTCAGACTCCACTGTTAGTTTTTTTAAAGCTACTGATGCAGAGACCTCACACCAGGGATTTGGATTTAAATAGGCATTAATTGAGTGTCATTCAGAAATTTTTTTTTTCTAAAGTTCCCCAAGTGAGCCTAAGGAACAACTAGTGTTGAGAACCGCTGGAATTATAAGCCTGAAAACCATGAAGTCCAGATTCTTTTCCCAGTGCCCCCACTTGCTTGAGCAAATCATCGGCTTCTCTAGGTCTGCCTTTTAATCTATTTAATAAAGATGATGTTTAGCCTGCCTACTTAAGGGGAGTTGTAACAAACAGACACAAAAAGCTTTGAGAAGTTTAAAGCACCATTGCTTAGCATTATTTTTATTGTGCTTAACTACAGTTATCATCTATTGTGCAGTATCATTTTTTTAGAAATTTAGAAACAGTGAAAGCAACTGAAGCTGTTCAAGTTCCTTAAACTTGCATAAGAAATAACAGAAAAGCATCAGAACTAAACCCAATTCAGGGTCACTGTTGTGCAACACTGATTCTCGGCCCAAAGTATAACTAAAATGATTATTGGATGGAGAATATATCACCAAGTGAAGACAGACAACACATCTGTTCAGTATTGCTTAACTTACAGCAGAAGTGGGGACTGACTTTCTTTTGTTTTTAATGGTGTGTAAAGTGCTTTTGCATCTACATCTTTCTTCTGGGTAGGCATAAAAAATATATGCTTAATCCCTATTTTAGTATCTAAAAGCTAGAATTAACCAATGGTAGATCCTTATACTACCTTTCACTAGCATATTTTTTGTAGTTATACTTAGTCAAATCCCATAATTGATAAAGTAAGAGAGAAACCATTTTTTAAAAAAATTCTAGAAATCAGGAAAATATTAAGCTTGAATATTAGATTTTTATCAGATATAGTATTTTTATTGCTGATAAGTCAGTGTTTGTCTAAAAGGAAAGTCAAAAATATTCGCAATCACTACAGCAAAAGATTGACATTTTAATGTCTTATGTGTTCAAAATTTCAACCACAAACACCGATACTAAGAATTTTATTCAAAATTCTGAGATTATAGGGCAATATGTAGTTTTTAAGGAAAGAAAGATTTGAAGTGGGGAGAAATGCTTGAAAGCAACCATTTTGTCGCTGAAAGTTAGGCATAGTTAATAGGTTAATTTCTGTTTATTGAATAAGAGAGCCCAATGCTGATTGATATAGTAATTTCAGTGTTTGCTATGGCAAATATTTAGCTCATTATCAGTTTTAATAGCATTTTGCAGAACAAGCCTTTTCTTGACATCTAGAAAATACTATTAAATTTCCCTGCATAGATACATTGTTATGACATGCAATAACTACTTGAATATAAAGGGGATTAATAATTTAAAAGGTGTTAACAAATTAGGGCCATCATTAAAAATAGACTTTGAACCATTTTGTAGCAAAATCAGATTGAGGTAATGCTCTGCTCTTATGATAAAGAATTACTGCATTAATTCTGCAAAGTGAACTTATTGCTCCTATTCGTCTCCAAAACCCTGGAGCATTAAAAGACAGGAAGAATGAAATGATCACTGCATTTTTTTTCAGGCACAACAGCTCTAATATTTCCATCACAGTTTCACAGCTCAGCCAGCCTAGTTGTGTTAATGGAGGGGAAAAAATCTCTTCAAAATTGTCATCTTTTTCTTTAATTTTGCTTTTAGACTGTCTTATAAATTTGAGCCAGATTTTCTCAGACAGTTTATAGTAATAAAGAGAGAATTATATTTAACTTGAGCAACTTCGGTTTTGACTACACAGCTTAATACTGTTTTGCTTCTGACTTTTCAAAATGTAATCCATGAGTATGTTGATGATCTTATTTCCACATTTGTTACCTACTGATGGTTGGAGTTAATTTAGCTGATGGGGATAGCTAAGCAGGGTCCCCTTCCTCATCGACTGCTCTATGGACATCCCTCCTAAAACTAAGCACTTGTCAGTACACAGGACAACCTCACAGAAATTGTTACTTGGTCAAGAGAAAATGATGGCTACACTCTCCTATTTGAATCTTCAAACTTAATACTCAATTTTCTTTACTTTCTCTTCTTTCCTCTAAAAAAATTACATATCATAACACATTTTGAAATGCTATTTTACTTCCTGACAAATAAATTCCCTGCACAACTATTGATATAAACTGGAAAGAAAATGAAAATTGGTGTAGGAATTGCAGCTATAATATATATGTTCATAGAATCATGGAATATTAAAATGAAAATGGACCTAGAAGATCACCTTATCCAACCCTTGAATTTTAAAGGTAAGGAAGCTGAAGCCCAGGTATGTTAAATAGATGGTTTTCAACACACAAAGTTATGAGTGACAAGGGGGACCTCTCCATTTTTATTTTTGCAATAGCAGACATTATTCAGGTCTGAAATTCCCCTATTTTACAATATGAGCTGAGCATTTTATTGATTACAACTGTGAAGTAGAACAAATACTGCACATAGATGTAGCTGACCTAGAGCTTGACTCGCAAATTATGCATGTATCCTTGAGAAACTTACTTGAGCTCTTGTTAGTGTTAGTTTACTTATCCACTAAATATAGACAATAATATCCTACTTCAGGTATGTTATGTGAATTAACAGAGTACATATATGCCAAACAGCAACCTATAGATCTTTATACAAATATAAGTTATTATCATTTAGAAGAAATGTGCGCTTCCACTAAATTAAGGCATTTTGTTATCTGGGAGGGGAATTATTAGTTAGCTAACACATTAACAAGGCCCTGAAGCAATGGGACAAAACAATAAGTTTTCATTTGGGGGAGAAGAAAGGTAGGGAAAGATCTAAGGCATTGACAATTAGAACAGAACAGTGAGAGACCCAGAGCAGTTGTCAAAAACATCATTAAAAAATGGCTGCATTTTACGGTTGAGAAAATGAAAGCTTGGAGAGGTTAAGCAATTTGACCCCAGTGAACCAGGCAGAAGATGGTAGAACCAGGACTAAAACCAGGGCTCTCTGATTCTAGCTATCAGATATGATTAACTACAAGGGGAATGATTTAAAGTATCATAAATAGGATGAAATCTTTGCACTAAGATCATAAAAGAACATTCTTTTCTCATGTCAAATGCTAGAAGTGACATGTGTTACGAAGGAAACCTAGGGAAGCTCCAGTGGAATCTATAATACCAAGTTGCTAAAGCAATAGCTAAATGATGAATAAATGTTTTGTCTACAGGATGATTTCATGAATTATTCTAAAAGAATTCCAATTGGAATTTGTCAATTATCTTTTTTTTATCTTAAACAATTAATTTAAGGACTGGACAACTTCTAAATGTCTATCTCTAATAATATCAATTGCCCACTACCTAACTACTTCTTCCCAATTCACAATCCCTGTTACAAGCCCTTCTAACCTACCTAGGGGCTGCATTTTCTTTTTGGGTTGTAAGTTGATTGAGAAAAAATTATTTAACAATTTACTGAATCTTGTAGCTTCATACTTTGCCAAAGATCTTATAAAACCTAACACTAAAGTACATCTATACATAATGTCATTTAACCCAGTTTTGAAAATCACTGCAATGTAATTTAGCAATAATGAGACTAATAGCTTTATCACAAACCCACTTCTAAAAAATACTAATTCATTTTTTAATTTTTTTATCAGACAGGTTGTCCATATGCAAGAAATACATTATTTAAATAATTATTTAGAAATATTTAACCCTACCTATCCCTGCAAGACAATAAAGCTGCTTTCACCCATCAATGCTTTAAGAATGTCAGAAAGAACTATAAAAGTTATATTTGAGAGTACCAATTGGTGTAGAAGTAGAGAAGAAGAAACAGCTATGAAAATCATAACAAATGAAAAGAAGAATTTGTTCTGTGGTACTTGCCAACACAAAGACCATGTTTACACATAATGATCTCCTGTTCAGAAGCATCTTCTCTCATGTGCCAAAACTATTTGCTAACATACACGTTGCTCCTCTGCTTGGGGTTCCATAATTAGGTACTTCTTTAAGTTAACAGTTTTAAATGCAAACACCCATACAATGGTCATGGCCATTCATACACTAGAATATATTGGCTTAGTCTGATTGTTTTCTTTAGCTGAGCACAGTTGAACTAAGACACTGTGAATCCGAGTAAATAATACTTTGACTCAAGACCTCTCTGCTTCCCAGATTTACTTCATTTCTGAAGCCCCTAACTTACCTTTAGTGTTTTGCTCTCCTTGAGAATCCAGCTACCTGACCTGCATATGTGTTTATGGCAGAGGCCATATATTCCGAACAACAGTCCCCTCTAGAGAGTTGAAGCTTTAAAAACATTTCTGTCAATGTTATTGACAGTTGATTTATATCCTTTGAATTTGCACTCCCAGACCAAGTTCCTTTAAAAAAAAATCAGTCATAGAGTATCATCATCATTTAAAATGGTAAAATTGGGCAAATGCCCAGGTCTGTCTGTCTTATGAAGGCTGCTTGTCTAATCCATTCACTCCGTTTGGGGCCACATTACAACCCAAATCAAGTGGGAGTGTTATTGCTTAAGTAGAAACAAGAAATACCTTGTTATCACTGAAGGATCACGTACTTAGTATGCAGAGATGCTTTCAGGAAGAAATTACAGACGATATTCTCATTTTTGTAGGTAAGATAAAAATTAGGGTTTTAGTTCCAAACTTAGCCCATTAGAAATTAAATCGTGGGGCTGAGCGCGTTGGCTCGTGCCTGTAATCCCAGCACTTTGGGAGGCCAAGGCAGGTGGATTATTTGAGATCAGGAGTTCGAGAAATTAAAACCCGGTTAGTCAAATGCATTTTGCCTAAATGTTACCTTATGGTTTTTGGTCTCTTTTAAAGAAATGACCGAGCATTTAAATAATAATTTCACTTTATAAAGAATTACTTTCCATGAAAATTGTTATCTCTTTCATGTGACTTTGTCTTAATAACACACCTCTCTTTTTTATATTGAGGATTTAATGTTCTAAATTTTTTAAATAGCAGAGAATTACATTTTTAACATATCTGCATGTACATGCCTTTAAGTTATAAAAGACCAACAATTTTAAAATAAGCCCTAAAATTCTTCCAAACTTTTAATTGCATTTTTAAAATCTATAAAATGGTAAGTTAATACATTGAGGTCTGACATAACATTAATGAAGACTTTTTTGGTAATGCATAGAAAAATACACCAATAATGCTTATGGCTAAACTTAAAGTTAACAAGGCTGTACATGAAACGTGAGATCATGAAATCAGCAAACTGATGATCATCATGGAAAAGAAAAAGAAAGAGACAAACTCTCTTCGCAGTTGCTGTCACTATCAGTAGGCAATAAGAAAAAACACCAACGTTAGTGGTACCTCAGGACATGATCATCCTGTTTGAACTGAATTTATTCAGTACATTTCTGTTCCTCAGCACCACGTCTCCAAGCATTGCTTTACTCAACATTGTTAAAGCCTAAGTCTGGCAGTGATCCCTTTATTATAGTTTGATCATCTGCAGGTAAAACGTCAAGTACAAGCGATGAAATAGAAGCAAATGATACCTATGTTCGAACATGATTTTTTTAAAATAGGAAAAATTCTTACATAACTGAGCCTATGTATGGGTACGCTCCTAAACTGATTCTATTTTAAGGTTTTTTTTCTTTTTAAAATAATTATTTTTATTGAAGTACTTATAAACCAATTAACCAGGGAACTGAATGTCAGTAATGCCTTAAGAAACATTACTTATTGAGGTGATAAAGGTTTGGAGTTGTGGTAGGATATGATACTATCTGCCCTCCTCTCTCCTCCTCCCCACCGCCACAATGAGAGGGGTTAAGGCTGCATCTCTCTCGAGTAGCCCCTTGAGGTTAGCTTAGAGCAGCGGTTTTGCTTTGGAAAAAGCTGTCAGCCCTCTGGGCTACAGGAATATGCTGTTTTTAATAAGAATCTTGCACAATACAGTAGCTATGAATTGGAATCTATTTTCTCCCCTATACCACTCTTGAAATGGAACGGATCACAGGGTGATTGAATACTGAATGCAAAACTTGTTCTGAATGTTAGAAATCACCAAGAATTTCAAATCCATATGTTAAACTTTCAAAAAGTGGTTTAAGAGATGCTTTTGGGGTATATCCTCCATGTTGTGCACTTGAAACATTACTATGTTGCATTGCCATAGCAGGGGGATTTAAATGTGAGAATTGAGTGAGGTAGGTGCAGTCATTGTCCCCCCCTCTGCCTTAAGCCATCAAACCTGTTATTTTGTGTGTTATTTTTTTCTAGACCAAAGTTTAGAACTTGTGTGGAGTCAGCCTATAAATATTAATGCACCATACCTGAAAAAGGAATAAGATACAGATTGAAAAGAAGAGGCTTTCTGGTGAAGTCTGTAAGTGTAGCAAGTTTGGAAGTCACGGTATATGACTTCCACTTTCAGAACTCACTTTAGATGGTAACCAAGATAAAGAAACTGATATCACTTTTACTTCTGTCATCCTACTATGCTCTCTCCCCTGCCTCTGTTATTCACTGAAAGAATATCTTTTTCTGAAAATGTGATATTTAACTAAATCTATCTGAACATTATTAGATAAGTACACCTGCTCATCGTGTTGCCTTAAGAGCACTAACCTAAATTCAATTGCTCATCACCCTTAAAAAACCCTTTCCAGTCTCACAATACTTAAACTTCCAGTCATTTGAATATGGATGAATGTTACATTCTACCCTACCCTACACTACATTCTGGTAGAGCTGGGAGGCCTGAGATCTATAACCACCATGCAGTGGGCTGACATGGAACTGGATTATCATCAACAAAATTCCTTGTAGTTAAAAAAGTCAGAAATAGGAGAGAATGGGAAAGTCTGTGGGAATCAGGAAAATTCTTCATTCAAAACTCCAAGAATATATAACTGTTGAACATAAAGTTAATGAAAAGACTTATCTCTTCCTTAACTTTATATTTACTTAATGCAGTCATATTTTGGGGAAGGAAAAAAAAGGAAACATCAGAAGCATAGTACAAGCAACAGGGAACTGGTTGAATTCAGTGTGGCTAAAGAGCCTTGTAAGGCCTAAGAAACTGAAAGCTGCACAATTAAAATAAAGAGAGGTGAGAGAAGTTCTGGGTATCTAAAATTCCAAAGTACTTTAGAATAACCAAACAGGTGGGCAGAACTATTAAAAATGCAAAGGAATTGACTGCTATGAAAACTTCCGCCCTAGGGAATTGACTATAAGCCCTAAATCCAGAAATAATGTTAGCTAAACAATTGCAGCTCAAAGTTGAAATAACAAAGCTTTGTTTGGGTTGTCACATTGTAAATTATGGGCATATATTGCTTATATATTTTGTTTACTTTTTTTGAAATAAATAAAAAAATATTTTCCATGTTCTGGAAAATATACCAGGAATCCAAAAAAGTGGAAAATTATACTTCGGTTATATCCCTTAGTAGTAGACAAGCCAGGCAAACTATGAGTCTGAGGTCACTGAGAAATCAAAATGCATTTTATGATTACTTGAATCATGTTTTTAGAAGGAGGAGAAAAAGGGCAGATGACTAGGCTAGATAAACAATTTCTAAATCCAGATGTTTCAAAGCAGTGATCCTGTGTTAATTATGGCACCTTTTCTTGAAATAGAAATAGAACATACCAGTTAATAGAATTACTGTTTCAGTGAACCCTAATTGTGTATTTAACTGTTGCCTACTATATACGTTATCCAAGGAGATGATTCTTTGTTGACTGTAACAGCAGTGGGATCTCAGTAAGAGATAGCCAGCCAGCTTTTACACAGACTACATTGCCTTAAGAGACATTGAGACTCACAGGAAAAAAAAAAAAAAAAGAAATTACACTGATCCAATAGATATACTGCTGAGAGCTTTCTATTATATTCCAACCTCAGACGTTGTACCACCATTAAATTCACATATTCAGGCCCTGGGAATCAGGCCAGCCTGACACACAAGTTTGGCTGAAATGAATCCACTGTATTAGTTTTTGTGAAAATGATGGAGCTCTGTGGATTCAAGATCAGTTCTATTTTTCAAGCAGTCAAAGCCCTATAAAACTAGGCAAATAAACCTTAATAAGAGACGAAATGAAAGGAAGCCTAGCAGAGATAAAATTGAATAACAAGAGCAAGCAGACTGCCATAAGACATGATTTGAGCCCAGAAAAAAAACACAAGGTCATTTATTTGGCAGGTTTTTGTTTTTGTTTTTGTTTTTTTAAATCTGCTAACAGGCAACATTTTTATAAACGCCTTTTAAGAAGAATGTCCGTCACAAAGGCATAATTTTAATCAGAATTCTTACAACGTTTCTCAAATTCCTAAGGGCATTCAGCTCCACTCAAATTAGTAACTCAGATAAATCATCATTAATTAGCTAATATAAGCCAGCAGGTGGTTTTGAGCCCAGAGACATTCCCTGGTTATTTAAATTATGTATACTACACCATACTAAAAAAGAGTAAGTAAAAGGGAGCAAAGAGACAAGTCTACAAAAAAAAAAAAAAAAACTACTCTGTTTAGGGAAACTACTCAACTAAAATCTCCTGCAACCTCCAAATCTAACCCAGTGGAATACAAGGCAGCTTTGACCCCCTAACTCAAAAAATATTATTCACCCACACTTAGCTCTGATTTCAACATTGATTATGCATGCAGTGTACAAAGTGTGCATTGGAAGCTTACTTGAATATATTTGTTCTAGAAAAATTACCAATTACTAAAGAGTAAGAGAGAAAGAATTGTTTTCATGCATAATTTGTGACACAAGAGAATCTTCTTCATAATCTTTATGCCCTTGTGTTCTTTAATTGACCCACTCTAATTTGTGGAATTCAGGGTTACTTCCTAAACTGTAAAAAAAGATAAAAAGACCTACGTAGCTGCCTATCACCTAAGATTATATTTGTGATTGAATGATGTAGAAGATGGTTAGTTTGTATTTTTTTCCATTAGTTATTATTGGGGTTCAGGTGGTATTTGGTTACATGAGTAAGTTCTTTAGTGGTGACTTATGAGATTTTGATGCACCTAACACTGCACCATATTTGTAGTCTTCTATCCCTTGCCCCAACTCCCACTCTTCCCCCAAAGTCCCCAAAGTCCATTGTATCATTCTTATGCCTTTGCATCCTCATAGCTTAGCTCCCACATATCAGTGAGAACATATAAACAATGTTTGATTTTCCATTCCTGAGTTACTTCACTTAGAATAATAGAATAATAGTCTCCAATCTCATCCAGGTCACTGTAGATGCTGTTAATTCATTCCTTTTTATGGCTGTGTAGTATTCCATCATATATATATATATATAGTATTCCATCATATATATATAGTATTCCATCATATATATATATAGTATTCCATCATATATATATAGTATTCCATCATATATATATAGTATTCCATCATATATATATATATACACATATATATGTATATATATGTAGCTAGCCAATGATCCCAGCACCATTTGTTGAAAAGGGTGTCCTTTCCCCACTTTATGTTTTTGTTTGCTTTGTCAAAGATCAGTTGGCTCGAAGTATTTGGGTTCATTTCTGGGTTCTCTATTCTGTTCCATTGGTCTATATGCCTATTTCTGTACCAGTACCATGCTGTTTTAGTGACTATGGCCTTACAGTATAGTTTGAAATCAGGTAGTGTGATGCCTCTAGATTTGTACTTTTTGCTTACTCTTGGTTTGGCTATGTGGGCTCTTTTTTGGTACCATGTGAATTTTAGAATTTTTTTTCTAATTTTGTGAAGAATGATGGTGGTCTTTTCATGGGGATTGCATTGAATTTGTAGATTGCTTTTGGCATTATGGTCATTTTCACAATATTGATTCTACCCGTCCATGAGCATGGGATGTGTTTCCGTTTGTTTGTATCATCTATGATTTCTTTCAGCAGTGTTTTGTAGTTTTCCTCATAGAGGTCTTTCAACTCCTTGGTTAGGTATATTGCTAAGTATTTTAAATTTTTTGCAGCTGTTGTAAAAGGGGGTGAGTTCTCAATTTGAATCTCTTCTTGGTTATTGTTGGTGTATAGAAGAGCTACTGATTTGTGTACATTAATCTTGTATCCAGAAACTTTGCTGAATTCTTTTTATCAGTTCAAAGAGCTTTCTGGGGGAGTCCGTAGGGTATTAAAGGTAAACAATCATATTGTCAGCAAACAGTGACAGTTTGACTTCCTCTTTACTGATTTGAATGCCCTTTATTTCCTTCTCTTGTCTGATTGTTCTGGCTAGGACTTCCAGTACTATGTGGAAGAGGAGTGGTGAGAGTGGGCATCCTTTTCTTGTTCCTGTTCTCAGAGGGAATGTTTTCAACTTTTCCTCATTCAGTGTTATGTTGGCTATGGGTTTGTCATAGATGGCTTTTACTACATTAAGGTATGTCCCTTGTATGCCAATTTTGCTGAGAGTTTTAATCATAAAGCGATGCTGGATTTTGTTGAATGCTTTTTCTGCATCTATTGAAATGATCATGTGATTTTTGTTTTTAATTCTGTTTGTGTGGTGTATCACATTTATTGACTTGTGTATGTTAAACCATCCCTGCATCCTTGGTATGAAACCCACTTGATCATGGTGGATTATCTTTATGATATGTTGTTGGATTCAGTTAGCAAATATTTTGTTAAGGATTTTAGTATCTATATTCGTCAAGGATATCAGTCTGTAGTTTTCTTTTTTGGTTATGTCCTTTCCTGGTTTTGGTATTAGGGTTATGCTGGCTTCATAGAATGAATTAGGGAGGGTTCCTTCTTTCTCTATCTTGTGAAATAGTGTCAGAAGTATTGGTACCAATTCTTCTTTGAATGTTTCTTGCTAATTTTGTAATTACCATTTCAATCTCACTGCTTGTTATTGGTCTGTTTAGGGTATCTAATTCTTCCTGATTTAAGCTAGGAGGGTTGTATTTTTCCAGGAATTTATTCATGTCTTCTAGGTTTTCTAGTTTATGTGTGTAAAGGTGTTCATAGTAGCCTTGAATGATCTTTTGTATTTCAGTGGTGTCAGTTGTAATATCTCCTGCTTCATTTCTTAGTGAGATTATATGGATTTTCTCTCTCCTTGGTTAATCTTGCCAATGGTCTACCAATCTTATCTTTTAAAAGAACCAGCTCTTTGTTTCCTTTATGTTTTGTATTTTTTTATTTCAATTTCATTTAGTTCTGCTCTGATCTTGGTTATTTCCTTTCTTCTCTTGGGTGTGGGTTTGGTTTGTTCTTGTTTCTCTAGTTCCTTGAGTTGTGACCTTATAGTGTCAGTTCGTGCTCTTTCAGTCTTTTTGATGTAGGTGTTTAGGGCTATGAACTTTCCTCTTAGCACTGCCTTTGCTGTATCCCAGAGGTCTTGATAGGTTGTGTCATTATTGTCATTAAGTTCGAAGAATTTTTTAATTTCCATCTTCATTTCATTTTTGACCCAATGCTTATTTGGGAGCAGATTATTTAACTTCCATGTATTTGCATGGTTTTGAAGACTCCTTTTGGAGTTGATTTCCAGTTTTATTCCACTGTGGTCTGAGAGAGTGCTTGATATAATTTCAATTTTCTTAAATTAATTGAGGCTTGTTTTATGGCCTATCTTATGGTCTATCTTGGAGAAAGTTCCATGCGCTGTTGGATAGAATGTGTATTCTGTGGTTGTTGGATGAAACGTTCTGTATATATCTGTTAAGTCCATTTATACCAAGGTATGGTTTAAATCCATTGCTTCTTTGTTAAATTTCTGTCTTGATGACTTGTCTAGTGCTGTCAGTGGAGTATTGAAGTCCCCTGCTATTATTGTGTTGCTGTCTATCTCATTTCTTAGGTCTATTAGTAATTGTTTTATAATTTTGGGAGCTCCAGTGTTAGGTGCATATATGTTTAGAATTGTGATATATTCCTGTTGGACAAGGCCTTTTATCATTATATAATGTCCCTCTTCATCTCTTTTAACTGCTGTTGCTTTAAAGTATGTTTTGTCTGATATCAGAATAGCTACTCCTGCTTGCTTTTGGTGTCCATTTGCATGAAATGCCTTTTTCCACCCCTTTAAGTTTATGTGAGTCCATATGTTCTAGGTAAGTCTCCTGAAGGCAGCAAATAGTTGGTTTGTGAGTTCTTATCCATTCTGTGGTTCTATACCTTTTAAGTGCAGCATTTAAGCCATTTACAGTCAATGTTAATATTGAGATGTGAGGTACTGTTGCATTCATTGTGCTCTTTGTTGCCTGTGTATTTTGTTTTTGTTTTTTTTTGGTTTTGGTTTTCGCTTTTTAACCTGTATTTTTGTTTTAGAGGTCTTGTGTGATTTATGCTTTAAAGAGGTTTTATTTTGATGTGTTTCCAGGATTTGTTTCAAGATTTAGAGCTCTTTTTAGCTTGTAGTGGCAGCTTGGTAATGATGAATTCTCTCAGCATTTGTTTGTCTGAAAAAGACTGTATCTTTCCTTCATATATGATGCTTAGTTTCGCTGGATACAAAATTCTTGGCTGGTAATTGTTTTGTTTAAGGAGGCTGAAGATAGTGCCCCAATCCCTTCTAGCTTTTAGGGTTTCTGCTGAGAAATCTGCTGTTAATCTGATAGGTTTTCCTTTATAGATTACCTGGTGCTTCTGTCTCACAGCTCTTAAGATTCTTCTCCTCATCTTAACTTTGGATAACCTGATGACAGTGTGCCTAGGCAAAGATTCTTTTGCCATGAATTTCCCAGGTGTTCTTTGTGCTTCTTGTATTTGGATGTCTAGATCTCTAGCAACAGGCACTGGTATCCACGGCTGAGAGACGCATAGATATTTCACATCACAGTACTCTGTGCAGACTATCCCCAGTACCAGCCTGGAGCCAGGGAGACTCACTAGG
This sequence comes from Homo sapiens, assembly GCF_000001405.40. NCBI lineage: Eukaryota > Metazoa > Chordata > Mammalia > Primates > Hominidae > Homo > Homo sapiens. Next base: position 146,757,320 of record NC_000004.12, on the reverse strand, counting down.
TGGCTAGACCCAGAAGAGAGACAATAATCACTGCAGTTCGGCTCACAGGAAGCCACATCCGTAGGAAAAGGGGGAGAGTACTACATCAAGGGAACACCCCCTGGGACAAAAAAAAAAATCCGAACAACAGCCTTCAGCCCTAGACCTTCCCTCTGACAGATCCTACTCAAATGAGAAGAAACCAGAAAAACAACCCTGATAATATGACAAAACAAGGCTCTTCAACACCCCCCAAAATTGCACCAGTTCACCAGCAATGGATCCAAACCAAGAAGAAATCCCTGATTTACCTGAAAAAGAATTCAGGAGGTTAGTTATTAGGCTAATCACTGGGGGACCAGAGAAAGGCAAAGCCCAATGCAAGGAAATCCAAAAAATAATACAAGAAGTGAAAGGAGAAATATTCATGGAAATAGGTAGCTTACAGATAAAACAATAAAAAATTTAGGAAACTTTGGACACACTTTTAGAAATGTGAAATGCTCTGGAAAGTCTCAGCAGTAGAATGGAACAAGTAGAAGAAAGAAAGTCAGAGCTGGAAGACAAGATATTTGAATTAGCCCAACCCAACAAAGACAAAAAAAAAAGAATAAAAAAATACATGAACAAAGACTCCAAGAAGTCTGGGATTATGTTAAATGACCAAACCTAAGAATAATCGATATTCCTGAGGAAGAAGAGAGTTCTAAAAGCTTGGAAAACATATTTGGGGGAATAATCAAGGAAAACTTCCCTGGGTTAGTTTGTATTGAAAATCTACTTGTCCATATGGAGGCAACTTGTCTTAATGCCATTAGAGAACTATGCCTTTACTCTTACCATCACCCTAAACAGACAGTGAAACTTTAAACAGTCTTCACAAAATATTTCTTATACAAAATTATGTTAGATTCCAGATGTCTAATTTTATTCTGTTTTTGCTAATGTCATTCATAGTATCATTTTGAACTTCATGGATGTAATGCCTACTTGATAGGATTTCTAAATCATGAGCATAATAAAACAAGTAGACATTTGAATCTGACTACAGATTTTTTTTTTTTTTTTTTTGAGACAGAGTCTTGCTCTGTCACCCAGACTGGAGTGCAGTGGTACAATCTGCTCACTGCAAGCTCTGCCTCCCGAGTTCACACCATTTTCCTCCTCAGCCTCCCAAGTAGCTGGGACTACAGGCACCTGCCACTACGCCTGGCTAATTTTTTGTATTTTTAGTAGAAACGGGGTTTCATTATGTTAGCCAGTATGGTCTCGATCTCCTGACCTCATGATCCACCTGCCTCGGCCTCCCGAATTGCTGGGATTACAGGCTTGAGCCACCGCACCCAGCCTGACTACAGAATTTCTTAAACAAAATCACATTGTCTGATTCTGTTTAAACCTAAAAGTTGAATTTTAGTAACCTATAATAGGTTGAGATACATGTTTAAGATCAAAAGTCTTTTGGGGTTGCAGCTTCCAAAAATAAACTAGTTTTGGAATAGGGTAGACTTGGTTTTGGGTCATACTTTGTGCAACCTTTGGATTTGTGATACAGAACCCTAATTTTTTAAAGAGTATTTTAAAAACAAATTTTATTGGGTATATCTAAGGTATATAACATAATATTGTGGGATATATATATATATAGTTAAAAAAAGTTACTATCATGAAGCCAATTAACAAATCTGTCATGTCACATACTTACCTATTACTTCTTGATTTTGTGGCAAGAGCAGCTAAAATCTCATTTAGCATGAATCCCATATACAATACAATCTTATTACCTATCGTCCCTATGTGGTACATTAGATCTCTAATTTGTTCATCCTACATGTCTGCTACTTTTATCGTCTGATTTACATCTCCCCATTTCCTTTAAACGAGAAAGTGTGATGCTTCCAATTTTGTTTTTCTTTCTCAGAATTGTTTTGGCTATTCAGAATATTTTGTGCTTCCACACAAATTTTAAGATTGTTTTTCCTATTTCAGTGAAGAATGTCATTGGAATTTTGATAAGGATTGCATTAAAACTTTATATTGCTTAGATAGTATGGACATTTTAACAATATTAATTCTTCTGATCTATGAGGACAGGTGTCTTCCCATTTGTGTCTTCTTCAACTTCTTTTATCAGTGTTGTATAGTTTTCAATATAGAGACTTTTCACTTCCTTGGTTAAATTTATTCCTATGTTTTTTTATGCTATTATTAATGGGACTTTTAAAAATTTATTTTCAATAAGGTGGCTATTTGTGTATAGAAATCCTATGATATTGTATGTTGATTTTTTATCCTGCAATTTTACTGATTCTATTTATTGGTTCAAACCATTCTTTTGTGGGTTTTTCACATACAGGATCATGTCATCTGCAAACAGAGATCATTTTTATTCTTTCTTTCTGATTTGGGTATCTTATATTTCTTTTTCTTTTCTGATTAATCTTGCTACTACTTCCAATACTATGTTAAATAGAAGTGGTAACAATGGGCATCTTGCCTGATACTAGATCTTAGTTCATCTTCATTATTATGTTAGTTGTGGGATTTTAATGAATGGCCTTTATTATGTTGAGCTACTTTCCTTCTATACACAAACAGTTGACAGTTTTTATCAAGAAAGGATGTTAAACTTTGTCAAATGCTTTTTCCATGTCAATTGAGATAATCTTGTGGTTTTAATCTTTCATTCTGTTAATGTGATGTATCATATTGATTGATTTGCATATGTTAAACCAGCCTTATATGCCAGGGATAAATCCCACTTGGTCAGGAGATACCATTTTTTGATGTGTTGTTAAAATTGGTTTGCTGATATTTGATTGAGGATTTTTGCATCAACATTCATCAGAAAAATTGGCCTGTAGCTTTCTTTTCTTGTGAGCTCTTCTTTGGCTTAGGTATTAAAGGAATGCTATCTTCTTAAAATATGTTCAGAAGAGCTTAAGAAGTATTGGTATAATTCTTCTTTGTATGTTTGCGAGAATTTATCTGGTATGCTATCTGGGCTTTTATTTGTTTAAAAGATATCCAAATCTCTGTTCAGGCTTTCTAGTTCTTCCTGACTCAATCTTGGTAGGCTTTATTTTTCTAGCAATTTATCCTTTTAATCTAGGTTATCCAATGTATTGACATATAATTGTTTGAAGTAATCTCTTATGATCCTTTTTATTTCTGAGGCATCTGTTATAATTTCTTTTTTTTTAAATATATAAAATGATGGTAGTTTATTTAACAAACAGATTTACCAAAATATTTTTTATTTTTATTTTATTTTATTTTTTTGTATTATTATACTTTAAGTTTTAGGGTACATATGCACAACATGCAGGTTTGTTACATGTGTATGCATGTGCCATGATGGTGTGCTGCACCCATTAACTCGTCATTTAGCATTAGGTATATCTCCTAATGCTATCCCTCCCCCCTTCCCCCACCCCACAACAGTCCCTGGCGTGTGATGTTCCCCTTCCTGTGTCCATGTTTTCTTATTGTTCAATTCCCACCTATGAGTGAAAACATGCAGTGTCTGATTTTTTGTCCTTGCAATAGTTTGCTGAGAATGATGGTTTCCAGCTTCATCCATGTCCCTACAAAGGACATGAACTCATCATTTCTTATGGCTGCATAGTATTCCATGGTGTATATGTGCCACATTTTCTTAATCCAGTCTATCATTGTTGGACATTTGGGTTGGTTCCAAGTCTTTGCTATTGTGAATAATGCCACAATAAACATATGTGTGCATGTGTCTTTATAGCAGCATGATTTATAATCCTTTGGGTATATATATCCAGCAATAGGATGGCTGGGTCAAATGGTATTTCTAGTTCTAGATCCCTGAGGAATCGCCACACCGAATTCCACAATGGTTGAACTAGTTTACAGTCCCACCAACAGTGTAAAAGTGTTCCTATTTCTCCACATCTTCTCCAGCACCTGTTGTTTCCTGACGTTTTAATGATCGTCATTCTAACTGGTGTGAGATGGTATCTCATTGTGGTTTTGATTTGCATTTCTCTGATGGCCAGTGATGATGAGCATTTTTTCATGTGTTTTTTGGCTGCATAAATGTCTTCTTTTGAGAAGTATCTGTTCATATCCTTTGCCCACTTTTTGATGGGGTTGTTTGTTTTTTTCTTGTAAATTTGTTTGAGTTCATTGTAGATTCTGGATATTAGCCCTTTGACAGATGAGTAGGTTGCAAAAATTTTCTCCCATTCTGTAGGTTGCCTGTTCACTCTGATGGTGGTTTCTTTTGCTGTACAGAAGCTCTTTAGTTTAATTAGATCCCATTTGTCAATTTTGGCTTTTGTTGCCATTGCTTTTGGTTTTTTAGACATGAAGTCCTTGCCCATGCCTATGTCCTGAATGGTATTGCCTAGGTTTTCTTCTAGGGTTTTTATGGTTTAGGCCTGACATGTAAGTCTTTAATCCATCTTGAATTAATTTTTGTATAAGGTATAAGGAAGGGATCCAGTTTTGGCTTTCTACGTATGGCTAGCCAGTTTTCCCATCACCATTTATTAAATAGGGAATCCTTTTCCCATTGCTTGTTTTGGTCAGGTTTGTCAAAGATCAGATAGTTGTAGATATGTGGCATTATTTCTGAGAGCTCTGTTCTGTTCCACTGGTCTATATCTCTGTTTTGGTACCAGTACCATGCTGTTTTGGTTACTGTAGCCTTGTAGTATAGTTTGAAGTCAGGTAGCGTGATGCCTCCAGCTTTGTTCTTTTGGCTTAGGATTGACTTGGCAATGTGGGCTCTTTTTTGGTTCCATATGAACTTTAAAGTAGTTTTTTCCAATTCTGTGAAGAAAGGCATTGGTAGCTTGATGGGGATGGCACTGAATCTATAAATTACCTGGGGCAGTATGGCCATTTTCACTATATTGATTCTTCCTACCCATAAGCATGGAATGTTCTTCCATTTGTTTGTATCCTCTTTTATTTCATTGAGCAGTGGTTTGTAGTTCTCCTTGAAGAGGTCCTTCACATCCCTTGTTATTTTATTCTGTTTGAAGCAATTGTGAATGGGAGTTCACTCATGATTTGGCTCTCTGTTTGTCTGTTATTGGCGTATAAGAATGCTTGTGATTTTTGTACATTGATTTTGTATCCTGAGACTTTGCTGAAGTTGCTTATCAGCTTAGGGAGATTTTGGGCTGAGACAATGGGGTTTTCTAGATATACAATCATGTCATCTGCAAACAGGGACAATTTGACTTCCTCTTTTCCTAATTGAATGCCCGTTATTCCCTTCTCCTGCCTGATTGCCCTGGCCAGTACTTCCAACACTATGTTGAATAGCAGTGGTGAGAGAGGGCATCCCTGTCTTGTGCCAGTTTTATAATTTCTTGACTTCCATTTTTTATTTGCATCTTCTCTCCTTTTTCTTAGACTAGCTGAGAGTTTGTCAATTTTGTTTATTTTCTCAAAAAAACAGGTCTTAGTTTCATTGATTCATTTTATGATTTTTCTATTTTGTATTTGATTTATTTCTGTTCTGATTTTTATGATTTCCTTCCTTCTGTTTAGTTCTTCTTTTTCTAGTTCCTGGAGGTATAATGTTAAACTATTTATGTGAGCTCTTTCATCTTTTTTAATGTAAGTGTTTATTGCTACAAATGTCTCTCTTAGAACGGTTTTTGGTGTATCCTATACGTTTTGGTATCCTGTGTTTCCATTTTCATTTGTCTGTTTTTGGCGTATTTTTAATTACCCTTTAGATTTTCTCTTTGATCCGTTGGTTGCTCAGGAGGATGTTGTTTAATTTCCACAATTTGTGAATTTTCCAAGATACCTTGTGTTATTGATTTTTATTTTCATACCACTGTGGTCTAATGTGACTTTAGTCTTCTAAAATTTGTTAACTTGTTTTGTGGCCTAACGTATGGTCTGTCCTGAAGAACGTTTTATGTCCACTAGTGAAAAATGTGTATTTTCTGCTGTTTGGTGGAAAGTTCTGTATATGTTTGTAAGTCCATTTAGTCAAAAGTGCAATTCAAGTACCAGTATTTATGGATTAATTTTATGTCTTATTGATTTATCCATTTAAAGTGGGGTATTGAAATCTGCTACTATTATTGTACTGCTATCTATTTTTCTCTTTGTGTTCATCGATATTTGCTTTATGTATTAAGGTGCTCCAATGTTGGGTGCATATATATTTACAATGATTATGTCCTCTTGATGAATTGACACCTTTATCAATAAATAGTGACCATCTTTGTATCTTGTGACAGTTTTTGACTTGAAGTCTATCTTATCCAATATAAGTGTAGTCACTCCTGCTCTTTTTTGGTTACCATTTATGTGGGGTGTCATCTTTCATCACATTCAGCCTACATGTGTCTTTAAGCTTAAACAGGGCTTTTGTAGGAAGAGAATATTTAGGTGTTGTTTTTAATTCATTTAGCCACTCTGTATCTTTTGATTGGATAATTTAATCCATTTACATTCAAAGTTATTATCGATATAGGTAAAGACTTATCACTGCCATTTTGTTGTTTTCAGATTGTTTTATAAGTCCTTTGTTCCTTTCATCCTCTCCTGTTGTCTACCTTTGTGATTTGATAGTTTTCTGTATTGCTAAGCTTAAGTTCCTTTATTGTTTGTATATCTGCTATAGTTTTTTGTTTTGCGATCACCATGAAACTTACATTTAAAAATCTTATAATCTGCTATTCTAAGCCGATAATAATTTAACCTCTGTTGCATACAAAACCTCTAGACTTATACCCTCCTTCCTCAACAAGTTATGTTTTTGATGTCACAATTTACATCATTTTATATTGTACATTTCTTAACAATATATTGTAGCTTTAGTTATTTTTGGTCATTTTTATTTTTAACCTTCATACTAGAGATGTATATGTGATTAACATACCACCATTACAGTATAGGAGTATTCTAGATTTGACTATGCATTTACCTCTACTAGTACATTTTCTGTTTTTAAATGTATTAATGATAGTAATTATTATATTTTCCTTTCGGCATGAACTTTCTTAAATGTTTCTTAAAAGGCAGGTATAGGGCCGGGCGCAGTGGCTCATGCCTGTAATCCCAGCACTTTGGGAGGCCGAGGCGGGCGGATCACAAGGTTGGGAGATTGAGACCATCTTGGCTAACACCGCGAAACCCCGTCTCTGCTAAAAATACAAAAAATTAGCCAAGCCTGGTGGCAGGCGCCTGTAGTCCCAGCTACTCAGGAGGCTGAGGCAGGAGAATGGCGTGAACCCAGGAGGCAGAGCTTGCAGTGAGCCGAGATCGCACCACTGTACTCCAATGTAGGGCGACAGAGTGAGACTCCATCTCAAAAAAAAAGCAGGTATAGTGGCAATAAATTCCCTCAGTTTTTGTTTATCTGAAAAAGACTTTATTTCTCCTTCGTTTTGCTTCATAAGTGGTACAGTATTCTTGGCTGGCAGTTTTTTTCTTTCAGCAGTTTGAATATATCATCCCATTCTCTCCTGGCCTGCAAGGTTTCTGCTGAAAAATCTGCTGATAGTCTATTGAGGATTCCCTCATATATGACTTGATGTTTTTCTCTTGCTGCTTTTAAAATTCTCTCTCTGTGACTTTTGTCAGTTTGATTATAATGTGCCTTGAAGCTGACCCCTTTGCGTTGAATCTACTTGAGAACATTTTTAGTTTCATCAATCTGGATGTCCTTATCTCTCCCAGGACTTGGGGAGTTTTACCAACCCATTATTTGATTAAGTATGCTTGTTTTCCCTTTCTCTGTCTCCTCTTCTCTGGAAGTCCCATAATTCAAAAATAAATAAATAAAATAAGTAAATTTAATACTATGCCATAAGTCCCATAGGCTATCTTCACTCTTTTATTCTTTTTTCTTTTCTTTTCCTCTGATGGAGGTCATTTCAGAAGACCTATCTTCAACTTTACAGATTCTTTCTTCTCCTTGATCTAGCCTGCTGTTGAATCTCTTTATTATATTTTTTACTTTGTTGATTTAATTCTTCAGCTCCAAATTTGTTTTGTTCTTTTTATATCTTTTTAGTTTGTTTTGAGACAGGGTCTTACTCTGTCACCCAGGCTGGAGCACAGCAGTGAGATCACAGCTCACAGTAGCCTTCAACTCATGGGCTCAGGCGATCCTCCTACCTCAGCCTCATGAGGACTACAAACATGCACCACCAGACCTGGCCTTTTTTTTTTTTTTTGGTAGAAATGGGGTCTCACTATGTTGTCAGTACTGGTCTTGAATTTCTGGCTAAAAGCAATCCTCCTGCCTTGGCCTCCCAAAACACTGGGATTACAGGCATGAGCCACCACATCCAGCCAATGTATATCTCTGTTGAATTTCACATTCAGATAATAAATTATTTTTTTGATTTCATTAGCTCATCTCTCTATTGTATCTTACTGTTTGCTTAAGATCATTATTGTGGATTCTCTTTCAGGTAATTCATAGATTTCTATTTTGCGGGGGGGTCAGTTACTAGAGAATTATTGTGTTTTTTGGTGATGCCATGTTCCTTTATTGTTTCATCTGTCTTGTGTCCCTGCATTGATGTCTGCACATTTGGTCACCTCTTCTAAATTTCACAGAATAGCTTTTGTAGGGAAAGACTTTTACCTGCAGATTGGCCTGAGACAATGCCAGTTGGGCAGGGTGTGATGACTCTTGTTCCATGTGGGCACCGTGATGTAGTCTCCATGTAGCTTCTTCAGTTGCACTCAATGTTAGTGAGGACTGCAGGTGCCTCATTGGTTGAGACTGCAGGAGTTTGTGGCAGTGGTGGTGGCTGCATAGGTTGTTAGGGCAAGGACTTTAGGGATCCTCTTGTTATTGTCACAGTGGAGAGTCTTACCTGAGGGGATTGCTCTTGGTATTGTTTCTGACATGGTTCACAGGCAGTCACAGTGGTGCTGGGTTCCAGGGTACAGGTGTTTGGAGTGGCAGTGGAGCCAGGTTCCTGGGCTCAGGGTCTTGTGAAACTACTGTAGCATCTGGAACTTGAGATGCAGGCTCACTCTCCAAGACATGAGTGGATGTAGTTCTCACATTAAGCCAGGGTCTTGTTCTAAGGCATACCCTAGAAGCTCAGGCCCTGGGATGGGATGTTAGCTGTGGTTCTGATTCTGGGGCCAGTTCACAGCACTGGTGTATCTCCAGGGAAGAAGGGATGCTCTGGAGGCACAGGCCCCACAGAGCAAGGCACAGCTGCCATTTGGAGTCTGGAAGCAACAGGGCACTCTGGCAGCTCGAGCTTCAGAAGATGAGGAACCAAACAGTGAGGAATCTGGACCCTGGAATGGTGGGACGTGGCAGTAGCCTAGGCTCTGTGAGGCAGATGCAGAAGCAGCAAGGACCCAGGAATGGCAAGATGCCACTGTGACTTGGGCTCCAGCGGGTGGGGAACAGCACAGCAATGACTCCACTCCCCAGAGAGGCAAGGTGCCTCAGCAGCTCAGACTATGGGGAGCTAGTCAAGTTCCAGGTAGGTGGGGTGCTGGGGCCATTTGGCCTGATGACTGGAGTGGCACCACTAAGTCAAGCTTCTATTTCCTGGGATGTGAGGCAACACATATTCTTGGCTCTAGAAAGCACAGCTATGTGAGTCAATGGAGCCTCTGGATCCCTAGGGGTAGGGCACCACATCAGATGTTGTGCTGGGAGATGCAACTGCTCTGGTGTTTTGGAGGCCTGAGGTCCCCAGGGTGCTGCGTCAGCTATAGGATTGGGGGCACAACTGCTCCAGCGTGCAGAAGACCTGAAGCTGCCAGTGGGTGGGACACCACATTTGCTCTGGAGCCAGGGGAATGACTGCTCCAGTAGTGAAAGTCTCCATGTTCCCAGGGGTGGGGCAACTTTACCCTATGTGGAGGGTGCACCAGTGACTGCAATGGATATGAATGGAGCAGTTCTGCGATAGCTTAGCCCTAAGAGGCAGGGCATAGCAGAAGCTCTGATTGAGGATGGCATGCTACCAGGTTCCTGTGGTGCAGTGGTGGCTGAGCCTCAGGGATGGAAGGACGTAATGGCTACTCACCCCTGGAGTAGGACACACACTCTAGCAGTGGCTCCAGTATCAAGATGGTACAGAGCAGTAGCAGTGTGACCCAGGTGGGGGACACAGCAGGACACATCATGAGCTCCTTCTCTAGGGGTAGCTCAGTGTGCAGATTCTGAAGAGCTCTCTCAGCTAGGCTCAGAGCCCTTGAGGACTGCATGAGTCTCTAGTAGTAAAAACTGCAAGTGTCCACGGTGGTGATAGGGGATGCTGGGGTCCTCTATCCTACCTTTCTTCCATAGGGAGAAGTTTCTACTGGTTCTAAGTTGATTACATCTGGGGGACGGGGTGGCAGAGGTGACATGTTTCCTTCCCTTCTCAGTGTGGCCACCTTAGGTTTCTGTGTTCTACAGGATTTCTGCTGCTGCTTTGCTGTACTCCAGCACTCTCTTTTAATTATTTTGGTCAAATGTAACTGTTTATTCTTTTTAGGGGGTGGAGGAGGGAGGGAAGAGCACTACAGGTTTCTAGTCAGCCATTTTACTGACATCACTTTCACTGACATCACTCTCCCAGAACCCTAAATTTATATCTCATTCATGCTTGTATGGGGCAGAAACTAGACCAACCTAAAAAACTGGAGAAGTGAGGAACTGTTCCCTACAACATTTCTCTAAACACACTCTCTTTCATCTGGTGGGACAGGGGAGGGGACAGACAAATTCCTCACACACACAATAAAAATTGCTTGAAAATACTATTTTTGTCTAAACTGAAGTTATCTGGAAAATACTTGTAAACCAAAATTTTTTATGTTTGCATATATGCCACAGGATTAAACTAAACAGAAAATTATGACTATTTTAATTTCCTGAATTTAGGGTTCACCATCAAACTATCAAACTGCATAATTTCTTCACAAATACAAATACCTAACATCATAATGTTGACCTGGTTGGAAAATCAGTACTAAGTATATTTGGAATTTGTGATATTTTTAACATTTCTAATTCTTAATGCAACTGTCTATTCTTTGTTGAGCATACTAACGAGTCCTACACAGTGTTGTAGCCCTAGACAGTTCAGAGAAGCAAGTGCTGACTTGTTGCTCACTTCATGTAACCATGCCCTTTGATATCTTTTTTTTTAAGTTTGTAATAATGCTGTGACTACTGCTGTTCACAAATATTTTATTCATAAAATCTATCCTCCCCTAGGGCTGGTACAGAGAATCTACAAGCTGAAGGCTAGTCTATAAACTCCACTCACTCTAGGAGACTGAGCTTCTTTCTCAACATCAATCGCTGAACTGGGAGTTTAGACAGAGTAAACTAGCTGTGCCTCCCAATTGCAATATAGAAAGCAAAGTATCTCTTTGCAAATAGGTTTTCCTGTTGTGGTTGTGGCATTCTTCAGACAAAAAGAGAAATACATTGTGAGATAACAGTGCCCATTCTTTCAGTGTTGGCACTAGAGGCCAGTACTAAAAGCAAAAGGAAAAACAAATTAGCCTATCACCAATTTTAGCTTAACACTTGAATAATAAACCTTATGTAATACTATTAAAAATATTGGGTAGCCTTTATGTATTCCACACTATTGACAATTGACTATGCTATTATATAAATTATTGAAAACAGCGTAAGAGTCAATGTGGGGTGGTCAGAAGAGCACATTAGTGTGTATCAGAAGAACTGAGGTTTCTAAAGTCACAAATATTGTGACTATCAGCTGTAGTTTAAGCAACCGTCCACCTATTGAGTATTAAGCTTGGCTATATAGCTAAACAAGTCTAACCATTGTTCAGACTTTAGCTCAATTTCATTTAATGCCTAAAACAGGAAGGAAACTGCATTCTTTATTCCTCTCTCTTTTGCTCAGCCAAACTTTATTTGCTGCACCCTGCAGAGAACCAACAGAGAACACTGCCATGGCTAATCAATCTGAAGCTATCTCTCTCAAGGCTCAGAATCATGTGCCAGCCTCAGCTCCATGACTAGTGGTTCTCTATCTACCTGCCAGCATTTCATTTTCCCCTTCTAGTTCCAGAAGGCTCTGGTTCTTGCCAATAAATCTCTTCTACTTTCTCTCACTTTGCCAGAGTTTCAATTGTCTGAGCCAAAGGCCCTGTGCCCTTTTCCTCTAGGCTCTTGCTCGACTCCTACTTTACTCATCAGTCCACCAACTTCTGGAGCCCTCTCAAATCTGCCACTGTCTTTCTTAGACTCTTTGTCCAATATCCCCAACTGTGAACATGGCATGTGCTCGATAGAAACTGGTGGTAGTCTAATGCCCATACCAGGCATCTGGGTGTTGATGTTCAGAATTATTTGTTCTTTGAATCTTGGTTAAGTGGACTATTGATGATGAATGACAGGGATTCTTCTCCATTTTCTCCATAAATTTGCAGATTTTTATTCCTAAGATATTGGAAGGTGAGGGAATGATTCCCTCTCCCTACCTTTAATACAACTCACACGTCTTGTTGGGGAAGCTACATAACACACTAGCTATTCATTCATCAAACATGACTTGAATAGAAACTGTAAGCCAGACATTTCTAGGGCCTAGAAATATAAAATGAAAATATAAATGTAATCTCTGCCCTCAGAGATCTCATACACAGACAAGGAAGCAGCTGACAACATACTTTGATAGTTGGTGAGAGAGGCATATACAACACCTGTGGGCCCACAGAGAGGCTGCCACCCATCCTGCTCAGCAGAGAGATTTCTGTCACTCCACACTGTGCTGATGGAGTAATTTAATTATGGTGCTACCCCCTTCATAGAACTAGAATGTATAGAAGAAGACGGCTTGGAAAATTGCAGGCATTTACTAAATGAATCTCTTTTTATCCTGGAAGATCCATATTTGAGGAGCCTGTAGCTTCTATCTCTGCTACTGGTTACCTATTCATTCTATATCTTTCTTCTCTGCCTCCCACCCCACTCCTTCTTTCCTCATCCTCCTCCTCTCTCTCTCTCTCTTTTAAGAGATGGGGGTCTCACTGTGTTGCCCAGGCTGATCTGGAACTCCTGGCCTCGAGTGATCCTCCCTCCTCAGCCTCCCAAACTGCTGGGATTACAGTCATGAGCCACTGTGCCTGGCATCTCTCTCCCTCTCTCTCTCTCTTACACGTACGCATCCTAAGCACACATTTCCACATGGGAAACATCTAACAAAAGCCTTCTTCATTTGGAGTAAAAATGAATAAAAACCAGATACACTGGAATATTATCTGTACAGATATAGGAGTATTTCAGAGGATATCAATACTCTTTCCTTTCCCTCCTTCCCATCTCCACATCATTCTGGCCTTAATCCTCTTCTTTACCAATGAATCATATCTGGTCATGTAGGTTTGCTGGCATTTGCTCCTTGGATTGAATGAATGCTTCAAATATTCCCATTATGGGGTTCTATACATTCCTTTGATCAATTGCTCTATTAATTAGAAGGAATTTGTGAGGGAAGATCCCACTAGCTCCAATTTGTAAATATCTTCCTGAGGTCAACCCCAGATGTAAAGGGTTCACACATTGCTCATGGAGCAATTCAGTAACTGTGCAATACCCTCTTGATGGGACAATGTAGATGAAATTCTCTGTCAATTTAAAGTGCCATACAAATTTTGTATCTTCTAAAGCGAAATAAGAAGCAAAATTATCAGCAGAAGGAAATCAAAGCAATCTGTAATAATCTTCAAACTAAATGCTTTCAGCCTTGAATTTGGCACTTGAAGGACACCACTGTGCTAAAGACATATGAGTGAAGTTGGACTAAATATTTCTGGGAGTGCCATAAAACCAGAGTGTCTTACATTCCATGCTTTGTCGTCTTTAAAACATAAAAGAAAAAAAAGAGCAGTCTGGCTGTGCTGCTTGTTCACTTCTGAACTCTCTAAACCATCCACCTCTAATTCAACCTGACATTGCTAATTTTGGCATTAGAGTTTGAAATGAAAATCAGTATCTGTTTTGAGCTTGAAAACAGAGTGACTGTACCTTGGGTAGAGCACAACCAGGCACTTATTTTCAGTTATCTGGAAGTGAAGACATAGAAATTTCCCAAGTTAGAACACTCAAAATACATATTCAAACGAAATCTGTCTTCATGAAATTAATTATGTATTGCATTCACCCACCCTCCCAAGGCCAATTATAAAATATTTTTCAAGGTTTCTTGCATATTTTCTTTTTAAAAAAAGTGTGTCACCGAGAATGTTTTCTACATGAAATTTAAAGTCTTTTCCTGGCCCTTCCTGGCAGGACAAGAGGTCTTTGACTAACGCTGATGGAGAGTAAAGGGCCAGAGCCTAAGGACTGATTTCTTTTGTAATGTCAGGCAACAAGTTAGCTGATGCTTTTGCTTTAAAAAGTCCTATCTGAGGATTTTTCTTTCCATTGCGTTTTCTGTTGCCTTAGTTTGTTTTATATTTCCATTGAAATCTCTTCTGAAAAGCAGATTATATTATTTTAAATGTTTTATATACATAGCCTGATCTAATCTAATCTTTACTTCATTCTAATACTGAGATCAACTATTTTGGTTTAAAGGAGGAAGAAAGAGGAGGAAAAGAAAGGAAAGGAGAGGGGAGGGGAGGGGAGGGAAAGGGAGGGGAAGAGAGCAGAAGGGAGGGGAGGGAAGGGGAAGGGGGGAGGGGGAGGAGTAGAAGAGGAAAGAAGGAATTGAAGTAAAGAAGGAAGGAAGGAAAGAAGGAAGGAAACGAAGGAAGGAAGGGAGGGAAGGAAGGGAGGGAAGGAAGGGAGGGAAGGAAGGAAGTGGGTGAGGGAGAGGTGAAGGAAGATTAGTTTACACTGATGTGAATACAAATTTTTTTCAATGTTTTGAAGTATTTCTTTTACTTTTAATTATTAGACGTATTTACTGGACAAACTGTTAGCTATACCATCTCAGCTCTAGAAGATGCAGGGAGTCTTCCTTCACAGAGAGAATGAGAAGAATTCTCACCTGTCCCTCTAGAGTTCTTTGTTAGCCCCCTGCAATACAGTTCTTTTGCTACTCCAAAAGTGCCACAGAGAAATGCTTGTGGTTGGCTTGCAGCAGAGTCTAGTGTCACGAAGTGTGCACCTGCTCATAAGCTGGAAGTCAGACTGTGACCATCCAAGAGCCTCATGTCCAGTTATACCCTTGAGCAACTGAGAAAGAAAGAAGGAAGTGAGGAAAGAAGACTCCATGGAGGCAGGGTTCATTCAGCAAATGTAATAGTGATGCAAAGTGCCAACTCTGGGGTCACATGATCTAGGTTCAAATCATGGCCTCACCATTTACCAGCTGTGCCATTTAGACCCTGTGGGCTTCTGCATATGCTTCTGTAATATGGGGATAATAAGTTAAATGAGATAATGCATGTGAACCCATTAATTTCCCACAGTGCTAACTCCCATTGTGATAAAGTTCCTTGGCTGAAGGGCTAGTAGAATCTGATAAGTTCTAAAATCAAGGTATGCAGTGCTATGAAGAGCTAAGGCGAAGCACCTAACTTAGGAGAAGCTTCCCATGGAAATGCTTTCAAGTTGTGACGGGAGTAGAGTAGGAATTCACCCAGTAGCTGGAAAGAAAGGATAATCCAGAAAGGGCAAAGGCTCATGAGAAAACATAGAGTGTTTTAGGTATTGCAGTTGTACAGGCAGCTAGAACATGTTAGGAATATGGCCAGAGATTCTTGGGAATGTGCAAATGTAACTCTGTGGCAATGTAGAGGAGGAACTGGAGATAAGAGAGACCAGAAGCAAAGAGACCAGTTAAGAGTTATTGCAATAATCTAGGGAAGAGATGATGACCTGAATTAGGGCAATGTTCGATGGATTGGAGAAAAGAGACAAATAAAGTAAGCAAAAAAAAAAAAAAGAACAATTTTTTAAGATAATTTGGAAAAGAAAGAAAAAATATATCTCTGCCCATTGTTGGACATTATGGGCTGAACAGTTCGTCCCTTGGTCTGAAGAAATGATGACCATCCAAACCCATGCAATATCTTCTGGGGTTTTTTAATGGCTCTTTGAGCATTTGTGTCTTCCACTGGGTAAGCAAAGCCCACTCCAAAGCCAGTGGCTATTTCTTCAATAAAGTTCTTCAGTTTTTATTCCAGCATAAAAATACTTGCGTATAGTCATCTAAAAATTTCACACCCTGGATCTAAAATATTACTTACGTATCATGTGTTTGCACTAAAATGGCCTTCTTCTCAAAATGTCAAAACAAAGATTCTTCTATTTCTAAGGCAAAGTAAGGTTCACACTACTGGGTGACTTTTCCAGGCCAGAAAGATCAATTCAGCCTTCAACTCTGAAATCATTAAGGCATAAGATTGTTCCACCATGGTCGGTGGCTCGTGCCTGTTATTCCAGCGCCTAGGGAGGCTGACTTAGGAGGGTTGTTTGAGCCCAGGAGTTTGAACCAGCACATGAAACCTTGTCTCTAAAATATTTTTTAAAAATTAGCCAGTCATGGTGGTGCATGTGCCTGTAGTTTCAGCTGCTTGGGAGGCTGAGGCGGGAGGATCACTTGAGCCCAGAAGTTCAAGGCTGCTATGAGCTATGATCAAGCCACCACACTGCACTCAGCTAGGTGCAGTGAAGTGGCTTGAGTGAGACTCTATCTCTAAAAAATTTTAAAAAAATTATTTTAAAAATATTTAGGATGATTTTATATCTAATTTAGATTTTCCTTAATGAACTTTAAGTCTGGTACTTTGAATACCCTTCTCAATAAAAATAAAGATTTGTGTCTATCACATTTACTTATCCAAATACCCAGTTGTTCACTGAATACTGTTTCTGCCTGAGCTAGGTGCTAGGAGAGTGGTGGGCAAAACATACACAACATACATGTATACATATGTAACTAACCTGCACATTGTGCACATGTACCCTAAAACTTAAAGTATAATAATAATAAATAAATTTTAAAAAAAAGATTATTTTCAACCCATTCCCTGTTATCTATTTTCCATGCTAATAGATCCATTCCTTGGGTTCCTTCAACATCCTCTTTGTTACCCTTGAGCTACAATAAAAGCATGGCCATGCTAGCGATTCTAGCTGCTACACACAAGGACGTGTTTCTCCTAAGCCGGTGAAATGTAGTTTGCAGCCACCATTACTTTCCCTGCTGTGTCATTTAGGGTAGGCTAGATTGTAGTAACAAAAAGATACAAAAATACGATGGCTCCATGCAACGGAGGTTTGCTTCTTATTTATTTAATAGGCTAGAGAGGTCCCCAGTCAGCATGTGGAGCCTCTGCTTCTCATAATCATTCAGAGACCCCCCAGGTCCTTCCATCCAGTGCCTCCACCATCTCCTCTGACTCATTACTGTTTGCATCCAACCAGCTGAAAGATAAAGTCCTTAGGAGACTTTTCCTAGGACTCAGCCTGTAAGAGGCACACTTCTATTCATATTTCTTTGGAGGGAATTTAGTCCCAGCCACACCTACCTGCAAAGGATGGCTGAGAGATGTAGCCTAGCAATGTACCCAAACAGAGAGAAGACAAATCTGGTGGTTAACTAGCAGTCCCCACCACAACTACCTATTACCGCCATCTATACAATAGGGAATAAGATACAGAAGGGCACTACATTTATTGGTCAAAAGTGGAGATTGTAGGGAAAAGTATGAATATATGAATATAAAAGACAGCCTACACAGATCTTTTTAATGAAATGTTAGAACCAATTACTCTCCACTCCGAATATCCAAACTGCAGTTGTCTTTTTCTAGACAGTGCTGAAAATCATTCAATAAATATTTACTAAACATTTACTCTATGAAAAGCCCTGTGCTAGGATGTAAATTGGGTGACAGAATGGGGAATACAACTTTGAATCTTAAGTTCAAGGATTTTTACAATCATAATTTGTAAGAAAATCATGCATACAAATAACCAGAATATACAATAGAACATAATATGGACTACAGAAAAGAGAAAGTGTTAGAGGAGTTCCAAAAGAGAGAAAGATCACGTACAGTTGGAAGCATAAGGAATGACGTCAGGGTGAAGGGGGTATTTGAACAAGGCCTTAAAGAGCACTTTAAATTTTATTTTTTCTTTCCTCAGTAAAGGCAGAAAATCATCTCCTATAGCATTCAATTCATGCTACTATTTTTGTTGAATACCAAAACACGTCCACCTTTTTGCAATTTTTGTCATAGTCTTCATCCTATAATAGACAGTTTATATAATCTAGTTATCTCTCCAATGTAATAGACTTTAAATATTATTGGAAATTCATAGCTATTTCCTTTAATTCTGAAAAAGTGAAAGTTTATATTTTCTAAACAAATTTTAAAACAAAAATATTTTGCCAAAATTGTGCTCCAAAAATAATTTTTTTTTACATTTACCAGTTTATTATAAAGGCTATTACAAAGGTACAGGTGAAGAGATGCACAGGGTAAGGCACGGGGTAAGGGCTGCAGAGCATCCATACCCTCCCTGGGTGCCACCCACCAGGAACCACCACTTGTTCAGCTATCCAGAAGCTCCCCAACCTTGCCCTCTTGGGTCTTTATGGAAGCTTCATGACGTCAGCGTTCCTTCCCCCAGAGTATAAGGTAGGACACTCTCTGGGGAGGGTCTTAAGATGCGCAATCACAAAGGCTGGGTAAGATTAGAGTCTCGCTGCGGGGCAGGTGAAAGGAGGGCAGAAGAGAGATTCTGTTTCCTGAAGCCTACCCCTGAGACCTAACACTCCAACATTATGACAAAAGACTGTAACAGGGCTATGGGAGTTATGAACCGGGAACTGTGGATGAGAAACAACATATATCATAAGACCACAGGACACCTCTGGTTTTCAACCACAGATCCCTTCGAGCAAAAAAAAAATATGCAATCTTTAATAATTAGTCCAGTCCATCATACTATATGGATGTCTCTCAGGCTGAGGCCACTCAGGTTTGTAGGCTTCCTTTTAATCTTGTCAGCCTCCAAAAGCAGGAGTGGTCTTGGCAAATACACAGCTTCCCCCCTTCAGATACCTGGGATAACTGAGTTAAAGACAATGGCCTCTCTTGCTCTGAGGCTCCTTAAAGTTGTTAATGTAATATTGGATTTCTCTCCATTTATAACCCATTTATCCATTTCTTCACCATCAGCTATTATTTCTCCTTTTCTCCATTTGTTATTTATTTTTACCCCTACTTTTTCATTTTTAAAAGGAACATTAGATTCTGCCGCCATGCTGGTCCAGATCGCTGGGAGCAATACTAGACCGATAGTGCCTCCCGCTCAGTCCATTTCCATTCATAGACGGTAGAGTTACCTAGGTTCTGAACTAGTGAGCTGTTTTTGCCACCAGGCAATATAGTTGTATTTATTCTTAACCCCAATTTTGCCAGGTGGGGTGAAGACACAATCCAGCCCCATCCAGTCCTTAGGAACGCTGACAAAGTTTAAAAACATAGGGACAGTTTCTGGCTTAGAAATCATCCCTGCTTCCAGCACTTGTCATCACAGCCCTGGTCTTAGGACCACTGCATCAGGGGGGAGGGAAAAAAAAGATTTTTTAGATGATTTGGAAAAGAAAGAAAAACTATATCTCTGCCCATTGTTGTACATTATGGGCTGAACAGT
This sequence comes from Homo sapiens, assembly GCF_000001405.40. NCBI lineage: Eukaryota > Metazoa > Chordata > Mammalia > Primates > Hominidae > Homo > Homo sapiens. The sequence continues at coordinate 146,737,759 of NC_000004.12, read as the reverse complement.
TTGTTTGTTCCTTGGTCTGAAGAAACGATGGCCATCCAAACCCATGCAATATCTTCTGGGGTTTTTTCAATGGCACCCTGAGCATTTGTGTCTTCCACTGGGTAAGCAAAGCCCACTCCAAAGTCAGTGGCTATTCCTGTCAAGACCCGTTTGTAGCCCCCCCCCCCCCAGGGCTACTAGCATCAGCCTCACTTGCCAGATGCGTTCAGGGCCTTCCGACCAGATAATCTGCCCCGTAGTCATCAGCAGTCTCTATCTCTCTCGCTGGGAATCAGAACAGTTCTTACTGTCATTATACACCTGAGAGGGTGCAAAAGGAACATGTTTAGATTGATGCTGTGTTTGCACTGCTGCAGTGCCCCCATATCCATTCATTTCATGGACTCAAGTGACCACCTCAGGGAAACACACAGGAATATCTGCTTGTTGATTTCAGTCACTTTCCAAGCCTGGAAGGGAGTTCTTCTAATGAATATTGACTTGTTCTACTTTAATGCATCCCCCAATCTCCATAGGGCCATGCACCACATAGGCATTTCTTTAAAAGGGCAGGTTTCCATTGCCCTCTTGCCTGAGCTAATGGCCAGGCCATTGGTCACTGCCCAGTAAAAACCCAAACATAGGAGCTTCTATCACTGTTCAATTCTTCCAAAACTGTTAGGAAAACAGCACGGAATTCAGCCCACCAAGATGATCTGTTTTTACCTTCTTTGATCAAAGTGGCAGCTTTTCAAACAAGATGTTGTCCATTTACCTTGGAACTGCCATCTGTAAACCAAGTAGTTCCTCTTGTCAGTTGAGAGCTGTTCATAGTGCACTAAGTGTCAATAGAATCCAGCAGCACCTCACAGAGTTTCAGAGTCAGTCCCAGGGAGCCCAGAGGCTCCCTGCTTGTGACCATCTCCTCCTTTCATTCCCTAGGTACCAAGATCCTGCATAAACCATTTTCATTTTATTATGGAACACTTCTGAGCACTGCCATACCCATGACAGCATTGCTCAGACATCACTGAAGACATCATGAGTATTTCAGGTTTCAGGATCATTTTATGTCCTTCAGTCATCAGGGTAGCTTTACTTAATGTCCCATAACAGGTTAAATGTCCATCAAGTGGAAATTCTCTAGTTCAGAGTCTCAGTAGTCGTTGCTGGGAGGCACATAGGCATAAAGGGCTATCAGATGGAGAATTTGTCCCTGCCAGCACTCTGGCTTCTACTCTGTACTGTGTGGGCTTGGGCCATCTTACTGGTTTCTGTCTAGCATGTCCAATTACTGTTGCTTGAAAGGCAGATTTACATGCCTTCTGTTTTATGTTAGTAAGTAAAGATAACATTTCCCAATCAGATACGATGTCCATTCCCATGATACAGTCAGGTAAAGGACAGGCAACCACTTCACATGAAGTGTATTCAAGTATACCAACTTTCATAATCCTATCAGCCCTTATTTTTTTGTTGTCCTAGTTCCAGGAACTTCTCTTCTCCACTCTCACCGAGACCATTTTACCCACTCCTGTGCAAAAGGCTTTGGGTCCCCAGCCAAAGGTTGAGCCAAAGAACTCTGGCCCTTTCCTCAATCTTTATCTTGATTAATCTGCTTGACTATCGTTCCAGGCAATTTCAGATCAAATTTCTCATTGTAATCTCTGCCCTCCAACCTTCACATTTCTCCAAACTGGAGGAAACATAGCAAACTGGTTTGAGGTCCTTTAATGTTGGATGACCGGCAGGGACTCCCTTTGGTCCACCCAATCTTCGATAGTATTGTATTAAGACTTTTGTTTTAACCCCACCAGTTTCCATTTTATTTCTTAATAACCATCTAAATATTTCTACCTTGCTGGGATGAATCCTTTGATTTTCTGCCTTTCCCTATTGTCTTGTTAATTAATCTTATGTTTTTATCAGCTTCTGTAAGACCCATGAAGGGAAGCTGAGACAGCAAATTTGATAAGGCTTCTCGAACTGTTGTTCAGTTTTACAAGAGTAACATCACATTGGGTGCCCATGTAGAAAGGGCCCTCTTAACCACAACATTTACCATGACCTGGGTAACAGGCACATTCAGTGGTGAATATCCCTGTCATGATAAAGCCAGTCGCCCATGGCTTACATAGAAAGTATATCAGCTGTCTCATCTAGGGTGTGCCACTTGGCATTTATAGGTGGAGTTGAACAGTCCCCCTTCTTAGGGTAAAAAGACTTACACTGGCTTTTATCCAAGCTACCAGGCTGGCTATTCCCTCAAGAATAACCTCCTGTGTGTTTTGACCATGTATACCCATTTATGATTGTTCAGTAGCGAGCCGTGGGTCCTCCATCAATGTGTTCGTCCACTCTGCAGTATTTAAAACCAAAGATACTGTCCCTAAGTTAGTCACTCTCATAATCCATTTTAGTAAAGGTTCCTCAAAAACCTGATGATGCCCATCGACAAAATAGAACACTTCCTTCATACTGTACCCTCTGGTTTGAAGAGTTCCTTGGTTTCTCCCTTCCCCCACGTTGACTACATTCTTGGTAACCAACCACAGGTCTCAGCGGTATTTTCTGTTGTCCCTGCATCATTTTGCCTTTAGGGGGGTGGCTTTGAGTCCAGGGGCCTGAGCTCAGACTAAAATTTAAACTCGGTCTAGCATTAAGGTCCAACCCAGCATTCTCTTTTAATTTCATTGTAGTAATTGCAGATAACAATAACCAATGGATTGAATATTTTGCTTTTTTCTTATTAGTTTGCATTTCCTTATGCATCCAGTGAACCAACTCCCTGGAAGTTAGATCCATCTCTAAATTTCAATGATAACTTTTACCTTTAGTGACTGATCTCAACACAGCTGTGGCTTCATACCATGGGTGACCACGTGGCCACCGAGGAATCAAATATTCCTCAACCCCCACCCTTTTATCCTTTCTCTTCCCAAACCATATGTTTTCCTGAGCCTGGGCCAGTCTAGCAGATCCCATCACTGCCACCAATTGTTTCAGGAAAAACTCTCTCAAACCGTGTTTTTCCTCTACTTTCACACCACAGCAATCATCAACATAGAAGTCTTCTGTGACCAAATGTATTGGTTTTTTTCCCCATACACCAAGCAGCAGACACCAGCTGGATGTCCCCCAATTCAACTCCAAAACTATCTACCTGGAGATAGCATCAAATTCCCCAGGTTGAGGGTTCAGTCCCCAAGACTGTCTCCCACACCCCCAGACACCTGTCGCAAGTCCTGGAACTTCTGACAGACCAGTTTCAAGTTGGGGTTCCCCTGACTCCCTCTTTAGGTTTAGTTAATTTGTTGGAGTGGCTCACAGAACTCAGGGAAACACTTAATGTTTACCGGTTTTATTATAAGGACATTGCAAATGTTACAGATGAAGAGATGCATAGGGTGAAGTATAGGGGAAGGGGTGCAGAGCTTTCATACCCTCCCTGGGTGCACCATCCTCCAGGAAACTCCACGTGTTCCACTACCCAGAAGCTCCCCCAATTTATAATTATACATAAAGTCAGTAATAGAGTGACCTTATTGCCACTTCTTGCTGGCTGAAATTCTACCTATAAATCTCAGGTAATGAGACTATACCCTCCTACCTCTTTTGGTTTGCAATCAATCATATTATAGAAATAAAATAATAGAAAATGTTTTGAAAAAACTGACCAGTCATTTGATGTAGAGAGACACTAGGATTTAAAAGTTTTGTAGCTCTCCTTTGGCCAGTTGTCTAACATTTCTTCTTTAGTTATCCAATGTTTCCATTTATTAGAAAGAAAGGCTTACTTTATCATTTTCTCTTTTAAAAGTTGAGGAAACATTTCAAATCATTGATGCTATTCTGGCTACAAATTAAGTTAGACAGTCTCATGAATATTAATATCTGATTTTTTAAAAAATTACCCCACTGATGCAGTGAAAGAGACCCCCATAATCTCTCAGACAAAAGTAGATGTCTAGGTTACACTGAAAAGATGTTTTGTTCACACACTAATAACAGCCTTGCTTATTTCAATATTTATCTGAAAATCATTAACATAATACTTCCATTTCCCCAAGCTCTTATTTAAGATGTTGAGAAAGCCACTCAAAGAGACATTTTGAGTAGGCATTTGTCATCCTTAAGATGAAAGCCAGTTGATTTTAAATAATAAGTCACCTATTTCTATAGCCAGACAACACACTAACATAAAGTAGGATAAGTATGTAGAATTATTTCTAAGTAACAGGTCTAATAAGATTTTAAAATATGCTTCTTAAAGTCCATAAAGTGTTACCATATTATATTTTCAAGGGAAACAAGTTCGATATTAGGTTAGTGACTGCCATTATTTCATACAAGCTCATTAATTTTTTAAATTGTGATATATATATATCATATACTTACAGAAGTATATCAAACATTTATGTATTTTATCTAGATGTTCAAAAATTAATCAAAATATTATGCTAAATTCTTTAGCATGTAATGTCTATACTAAATAAGAAGGTTCCAAATCTAGGCTCATCACTCCCAACTTTACACCCTCTGCCTGTGACTATCAGGAGTAATTTCAAGATATCTATAGTCACTATTTACAGCAGTAAAGAAAAAATTCTGTCTCCCAAGACTCCCATATGCATAAGGTTCTCCACATATCCTTTTTTGTGACCTCATCTCCCAAATCTCCCCAACTACTGAGATCCTGCCTGTGAACCCCTCAGAAACTCAGGCCAGGCAAGGCAAAATCCACCACCTTTCTCCCACTATTCCTTTGGCTGCCTTGTGCTAATTGAAGCCTGGTTGTCCCCCAAGGATGCCGTTTCCTCTACAGTACTCTCAAGTGATGACTCTTTTCTCTCCCATGTCCTTTGACACCTTTGGGCCTAAAGTTATGACAGGTGGTCTTGACTTTATTGCCACTTCTTGCTGGCTAAAATCCTACCAATAAATCTCAGGTAATAAGGCTGTATTCCTCTTCCTCTTTTGGCTTGCAGTTATCTGCCTCACTGTCTTCCTTATTCATTCCTTGAAGCTTTTAGCTCCTAGTTCTTTGTCACTCCATCTCCACACCTGCTAACTTTTGGTCATTTCAATATCTACATGATGATCCTTCCAATATTTTCTTCTCTCACTTCCTTGACCTCTTCTCCTTCAATGGTCTTGTCTTCCACCATATCTTACCTACTCATTCCCGTAGTTAAACCAGTTAAACCCAAAACTTTTCAAACTACTTCGCTGCCCTCCACAAAGCCAATTTTAAGCATCCCATTCTTACAGGTTCTTTCAGTTCACTTTGTATAATAAATGGCTCCTACCAACATGTGTCATCAGTTGATCCTACTAGCTTTTCATTTTCCTTATGCCCATATTTCTGTCTAGTGTTCATAAATTCCCAGCAGATTAATCTTTGGGAACAAGAAAAGGAATCCTATGAATTATCAAAAATTCCCCAAATCATGAGTCATTCTTAAAATACTTCCAATAGTCTTCATACTCTTTACATATTATTATATATTTTTAAAGTCTATAAGCCCACAACTATAGATATCTGAAAAAATACTAAGCTTAGTAAAATTTACAAAGAACAGTGACCCATCACCTATTTTCAAATAGTAGAAAATGCCAGCAAATATTATTGGATGGTGTTTTGAATACCATAACATTCCCATCTCCTAGCAGTTTAACAGCACTACTCAGAATTACATATCAAAAATACAAACAAAAGGATTTATTTTGTTTCCAAAACTTGTTACTTCTGGAAACATCACTCATAGGAGTCATATGAAGTATACTACTCATGTAAGCTGATTAACAAGTATTGGCAAGAATGACTTGCCATTAGCAGATGACATTGCTACAAACACATACAATGTGGCAGCAGCTACAAGCAACGCTAACTGGCTGGACCATGGCTATTTCTCTCTGACATGCTCTCATTATGGTTCCAGGAATGCCAACCTTAACTTTGATTCCCAAGTGTCAGCATTTCCTGCTCTTGCTTTCAATTTGGCACAAATGGATTCCTTCAAAAGTAACATCTTTATGTTGATAATCTCTAATCCTCAGAGGATAATTTTAATATTTTACCAATTTTCCCAATTTGTCAACTTATCATTTTCTCTGGGACCCAGACTTTGAAAAACATACGTTTTCCTGAGAAATGCCAGAAAGAAATTGCCACATAGAAACACTACTTTTTTTTAGCAGCTTAAACTCTGTGGTCCGTTCTTTGTCCCTCTTTCTTCCTCATACTTGCCTAGTGAAACCATAACACTAGCTAAATACAACTCTCTCTCTGCTGTCTGTTTGCACTCTTACAATTGAATGTTTCTGAAGAAAAACATACAGCTATGCAGTGCTAGCTGTTCTCATTTTGAAGTTGTGATCACTAACCTCAAGTGGGCCCTTAATGCTAATTCCAATCACTGTATTTCCCTGGTTCGTTCTCTCTCCCTCTCTCCCAGCCAACAATTTCATATTTTGTCTTCTTTATTCAACCCTCCAATACCTCCTCCCTATATTTGCTCTCAACTAATGACCCTGCTTCCTATTTCACCAAGAAACACTCAAAAGATAATGACCATAAGGTATCACTATGATATCTACCCACCTACCTACATCTCTGCTCAATATATATTCTCTCCTTTTACTAAGGATTAACTGTCATGCTCCCAGCATAGGCCAGTTTCTCTACCAGTGTACTATATGTCATCCATTCTCATTTACTCAAAGCCATTACCTCCAACAATTCTCTGCTCTGCATCAAATGATCTGTAGATCATTCTCATCAGCATAGAAAAATGCTATGGTTTCTCCTGTCTTTAAAGAATAGTTTTCACCCTCACAATCTCTACCAATTACTATTCTATTTCTCTCCTCCACTTCATAGCAACACTCTTTAAAAGAATCATCCACATTTGTTGTTTGTCTAATTCCTCCCTTCCTATTCTTTCCTGAATCCACTCAGATCAGGTTTCCAGTCCCACCTTCAACTGAAATTGCTGTTCTCAAATTCATCAATGGCTTTCGCATCGCCAAACACAATAGTCATTTCTCAGTCCTCTTCATCTTATTTGACCCATCAGCAACAATGAACAAAGTTGATAACTCCTTCGTCATATAAATTCTTCCTTCACATGGCTTACAGGATACCATACTGGCTCCTTCTTCCTCACTAGCTGCTTCTTCCCAACATCCCCTGCTGGTTCCACTTCATTTGCTTGAACCTTAACTGTTAAAGTGACCCATGGCTCAATCTTTAATTTCTTCTTTTTGCTATTTGCATTCATTCTCTAATTATTATATCCAATTTCATGACCTTAAATATTATCTATGCACTAATAATTCTCAAAATTATCTATCCAGCCTAAAGCTTTCTCTTGAATTCCTCACTTGTGTACATAATTCCTATCTGATATCTCCACTCGAATAGTTAATAGACACCTCAGACTTAGAGTGGCCAAAATCATACTCTAATTCACCCAAGTTAATCACTTAGGGTAATGCCCTCCAGCTGCCTCCACGTTGCTGCAAATGACATGATTTCCTTCTTTTTTATGGCTGTGTAGTATCCCAGGATTTAACATTATTATAGAGAAAGAAAGAAGATACTATACAAGATATGGAAAAATATGAGGAGAATGTATACTTATTTACATAGATATAAATGCTCAGCTGAAAAACCAAGGAAAATCCAATGAAAACCCTTATAAAAATAAGATAACTTGGTAAGATGTGTGAGTACAAAGTTAGTATGTAAAGAATAATACTATTCTAGCTTCTGCTTGTAGAATCCATGAAAGAGTGTCAATCCCACCTAATATGGTTTGGCTTTGTGTCCCCACCCAAATCTCATCTCTAATGGTAATCCCCATAATCCCCACGTATCGAGGGAGGGTCATGGTGGGAGGGGATTTGATCTTGGGGGCAGTTTCCCCCAAGCTGTTCTCATGATAGTGAGTTCTCATAAGATCTGATGGTTTTATAAGTGTTTGACAGTTCCTCCTTCACACTAGCACTCTCTTGCCTGCCGCCATATAAGACATGCCTGCTTCTACTTCTGCCATGATTGTAAGTTTCCTGAGGCCTCCCCAACCCTGTAGAACTGTCAGTTAATTAAACATCTTTTTTTAAAATAAATTACCCAGTCTCAGGCAGTTCTTTATAGCAGTAGGAAAACAGACTAATACACCATCTTTATAACAAAGCAAACCTTTTTGAACCCATTAGACATCTGATTTCACAGAGCAGACATCCAAGCTCTACAATCAAAGATGAAGAAAATGACAACATGCCTTCATAAAAAACTCTGCATGACAAAATATATGATAAACAAGTTTAAAAGATAAAAATGAACTCGGAAAAAAGTCTTCAAATGTCACAAAGAGTTTATCTCCTTCATAGATCAATAAACAAAAGAACAATCCAGTTTTAAAAAGGAAAAGGAAAAGAGAGTTAAATGAAAAGTCAACTTTAATGTGAAAAATGCTGAACTTTACTCATGTTAGGAGAAACGTAAATGAAAAATGTAGGAAGCACTTTTTCAGCTATCAGATCAGCAAATGTTTGATAATACAATTTATAAGTTAGTATAAGATGGCACAAGATCTCCCACATATTATTAGTGAAAAGAAGAGATACGGCCTCCAAGGAGAGTAGTTTGGCAATATCAAAATGTAGAATGAACAAAACTTTGGCCCAATAATTCAAAGTTTATACAATAGATGTACCAACACATTCATTCATTCAACAACTATTTATAATATATCCCTATGTGCCTGGCATTGGCTGAGGGAGGCACTGGGGATACAGCAGAAAACAAAACAAAGTCCCTTCCTTCAGAGAGATGATTCACTAGAGGGCATCTAGACAGATACGTACATATATATATACATACACACATATATATATACACACACATATATATGTGTATATATATACATATATATGTGTATATATATGTATATATACACATATATATGTGTATATATACGTATATATACACATATATATGTGTATATATATGTACATATATCCTCTGGACAGTTATACACACATATATACACATACACACATACATTTTAGTACCCAGTATTTTATATATAATCATATATGTGTATATATATAGAGAGAGAGAGAGTAGTAGTAGTAAAAGTAAAATGTTATATTAAAATAAATAAATAAATAAATTGGCCCCATTCCATCATTCCCTGTCCCTGTATAAATGGGGCAATTTTATTTTAGATAGAATGGATGGGGAAGACCTTTCAGGCAAGGTGATATTTCAGGAGAGTAAAGGAAGGAGTGTACCATATGATTATCTTGGGGGAAGCAGTCCAGGCTGAAGGGCAAGCAAATTTTAAAAGCCTTATATATGTGTAGGAGTTGATTTTCAGTATTACAAAAGATTGCAAACAACTTAGATGTTCAACAGAACACTGAGTGACTGGTTAGATTATGGTACATTGCTGCGTGGAATCTTTTTTTTTTTTTCTTTTTTTTGAGATGGGCTCTCACTCTGTTGCCCAGACTGGAGTGCAGTGGCACCATCTAGGCTCACTGCAACCTTTGCCTCCATGTTCAGGTGATTCTCCTGCCTCAGCCTCCTGAGTAGCTGGGATTATAGGTGCCCACCACCTCGCCCGGCTAATTTTTGTATTTTTAGTAGAGACAGGGTTTTGCCATGTTGGCCAGGCTGATCTTGAATGCCTAACCTCAGGTGACCCACCCACCTTGGCCTCCCAAAATGCTGGGATTACAGGCATGAGCCATCGCACCTGGCCCTATGTGGATTCTTATTCCAGTTAGCAATGAATGAAGCAACTCCGTATGTACTAAAAGAGAATTATCAAGATAATGAGAAGACAAGCTTGGCAGTTTCTTATAAAACTAAATGTACTCTTGCCATATGATCCAATAATTATGCTCCTTCGTATTTATTCAGCTGAGTTAAAAACATGTCTACATAAACACCTGCACACTAATTTTATAGCAGCTTTATTAATAATTGCCAAAACTTGGAAGCAACCAAATGTTCTTCGGTAGCTGAATTTATTTTAATAAACAGTGGTATATCCCGACAATGGAATATTATTCAGCACCAAAAAGAAATGAATTATCAACCTATGAAAAGATATGGAGGAATCTTAAATGCATATTACTAAGTGAAAGAAGCCAGTCTGAAAAGGCTACATATTATATGATTTCAACTCTAGGACATTCTAGAAAAAGGCAACACTATGGAAAAGATTTTCAAAAATCGGTGGTTTCAGGGAGGGAAAGATTAATTGGCAAAGCACAGAGGATTTTTAGAGCAGTGAAACTATTTTATGATTCTGTAATGGTGAGTACATGTCATTATATATTTTTCAAAACCCAAAGAATGTGTAACACCAAAAGTGAACCCTAATGTAAATTACGGACTTTGGGTGATAACGATTTGTCAAGGTAGGTTCATCCATTATAAGAAATGCACCACTCTCGTGCCAGATGTCAAAGTGGGAGAGACTGTGCATGGTATATGGGAACTCTGTACTTTCTGCTCAGTTTTGCTGTAAACCGAAACTGCTCTAAAAAATAAAATATGTAAAAAGAGAGAGAGAATGATATCTAATATATATTGCTTCTTAAAAAGTACAGAAATGTGTGCATAGTATGGTGACATTCATATAAATATAAAACACAAATTTATATTATATATTTTATATAAATATATATCATTTTATCTTTTTATAAGTGCATGGAACGTATCTGAAAGAGTAAGAAACAGTAACAGTGGTTGCCTCTAGAGGAAAGGAAGTAAGTAAGTGGGATCAAGGATTTCAAACAGATTTTTCACTGTCTACCCTTTTTTAAAAATGTACCACGTGCAAGAATCATCTATGCAAAAATTTTTTAATTTTTAAAGTAAGGAATGTGATCCACAGAGAATAATTACAGAATTCTTAGGGCCTATTATTTTCTTTACTCTTTCACAAAAGTTAATAAAGTTCTGTAATAATGTCAATGCAAAGGAACTGTTCTATTTAGTTACTCTTCCAAGTTCAAACCCTTATGTGAGTAACTTAGTTTATATTTTATAATTTAGAAAAGGTGGCTTCATAAAGTCATCAGTAATATGCATAAAGCAGTAGATTCCCCTTAACATTGTTCCAAATATGCTGTCTATATACCATCTTCATGAAAAATATCACAAAACCTTGAGCAAGATAACAGGTGTCAAAAAGAAAAGAGTACTTTTATGACAATACTTGAAAAAGAAAACAGGCCAATCTGAGTAAGACATAACTGAGTAGGAGATGTGAAGGTAGGTACTGAGTCAAATATTTTTTTTCTTTTTGAGACAGAGTCTCACTGTATTAGGCTGGAGTGCAGTGGTGCAATTTCGGCTCACTGCAACCTCCGCCTCCCGGGTTCAAGCAATTCTCCTGCCTCAGCCTTCTGAGTAGCGGGGATTACAGGCGTGCACCACCACACCCACCTACTTTTTGAATTTTTGGTAAAGACAGGATTTCACCATTTGTCCAGGCTGGTCTGAAACTCCTGGCCTCAAGTGATCCACTTGCCTCAGGCTCCCAAAGTGCCCAGCTGAAATTTTTTTATACATGGTTTAGACCTGGCATGATGGCTTACACCTGTAATCCCAAACATTTTGGGAGGCCAAGGCAGGAGGATCACTTGAGGACAGGAGTTTGAGACCAGCCTGGGCAATATAGCAATACCGCTGTCTCTAAAATTAAAATAAAAAATTAGCTGAGTTTGGTAGTACACATCAATAGTCCTAATTATTTGGGAGACTGAGGTGACAGGATCACTTGAGTCCAGGAGTTGCAGGCTGCAGTGGACTATAATTACACCATTGCACTCCAACCTGGGCAACAGAGTGAGACCCTGACTCTAAAAATATAGAATAGGTGTATAGGTGTAAGGGACTCTATTCAAGTTGATATGTAATTTACTTGGCTTTCCGAATATGTGGAATGAAATGCTCTACAATATTGGAGCAAATCAACACTTTAAACTATATAGGCTATTTGGTTTTTTTATTCTCAGTTTCTTAGATCAGAAGATGGCAAGAATGATGCAGGCAAACACCTTGATGAAAGATGGATAGACAGGCAGACAGATATAATGGACAGATAGATATAAAATAGGCTTTTTGGTGATAAGACAATATAAAGTTTTCTTCAACCTAATTTAGTTACGTGGAATTAGCCATAAAAGTAGCCTTTTTTCCAGTAACTGTTTTTTTGAAACAAGGTATCACTCTGTCACCCAGGCTGGAGTGCAGTGGTGAGATCCCTGCTCACTGCAGCTTTGACCTCCCCAGGCTCAAGCAATCTTCCCACCTCAGCCTCCCAAGTAGCTGGGAATATAGGCATGCATCACCACATTTGGCTAATTTTTTAAAATTTTTTGTGGAGACAAAGTCTCACTATGTTGCCCAGCCTGGCTCAGAATTCTTGAGCCCAGGCAATCCTCCCGCCTCAGCCTCCCAAAGTGCTGGGATTACAGGTGTGATCTACCAGTCTGGCCTTTCCAGTAATTTTTATCATCTGAATAAGTACTGTCATATCTTTTAGTAGCATCTCTTTCACTGAAGTATAGTTTATATAATGCCTTTCCAGGAAAAATATGTTTGGTTTTAAGATACAGTACTTTTTTGTCCCTACCACAGTGCAATCGAAACAAAGAAGTTAAATTTGAAGGAGGCAGATTATTTGAGTAGAAAGGATAAACAATCTTCCAAAGCTAGTATTCATTCTCTCTTCTCCCCTCTATGCCCATATATACTCCAGTTACACTGACTGCAATGGGGAAAGGTGACTCAATACCTGTAAACTGCGTAAAAACCACAGAATCCATAAAAATTAAGATAAGTCGTATAGCTGAAGTCTTCCTCCATTAAGAAAGGAAGGAAAAACAAGCATGTATTTCTTTGAACTTAAATAATTATTTTAAATTATTTTAAGAAGCTGATGGCCAGGCATGATGGTGTGTAATCCCAGCACTTTGGGAGGCCGAGGCAGGCGGATCACCTGAGGTCAGGAGCTCAAGACCAGCCTGGCGAACGTGGTGAAACCCCGTCTCTACTAAAAATACAAAAATTAGCCAGGCGTGGTGGTGGGCACCTGTAATCCCAGCTACTCGGGAAGCTGAGGCAGGAGTATTGCTTGAACTCAGGAGGCAGAGGTTGCAGTGAGCCAACTTGTGCCATGACAGAGTGAGACTCTGTCTCAAAAAATAAAAAAATAAAAAAAAAAGAAGTTGAACATAAAAATCTCATTTCTTCTCTAAAGCATTTTATAAACTGTGACTAAAAGTTTAGACTTTTCCTTGTAAAAGGAGCAAATAATATATTCAAGAGGAAAATCAGTTCTTAAAAATTATCTTTTTTTATAATTTCAACTTTTATTTTAGATTTGGGGGGTACACATGCAGGTTTGTTACTTGGACATATTCTGTGATGCTGAGGTATGCAATAAATAGATCCCATCACCCAAATTGCGAGCATAGCACCCAACAGCTAGATTTTCAATCCTTGCCTCCTTCTCTGCCTCCCCGTTTAGTAGCCCCCAGTGTCTATTTTTGCCATCTTTATGTCTATGAGTACCCAATGTTTAACTCCTACTTGTAAGTGAGAACATGCAGTATTTGGTTTTCTGTTCCTGCATTAATTCACTTAGGATAATGGCCTCCAGCTGCATCCATGTTGCTGCAAAGGACATGATTTCACTCTTTTTGTGACTGCATAGTATTCCATGGTGTATATGTGTGCCTTTTCTTTATTCGGTCCACCATTGATGGGAAACTAGGTTGGCTCCATGTCTTTGGTATTCTGAACAAAGCTGCAATAAACATGTGAGAGCATGTCTTTTGGTACAACAATTTATATTCTTTTAGATATATACCCAGTAATGGGATTTCTCAGTTGACTGGTAGTTCTGTTTTCAGTTCTCTGAGGAATCTCCAAACTGCTTTCCACAGTGGCTGAACTAATTTACATTCCCACCAACAGTGCATAAGCATTCCCTTTTCTCCACAGGCTCACAAGCATCTGCTGTTTCACTTCTGAATAATAGCCATTCTGACTGGTGTGAGATGGTATCTCATTCTGGTTTTGATTTGCATTTCTCTGATGATTAGTTATGTGGAGCACTTTCTCATACGTTTGTTGGCTCTTTGTATGATTTCTTTTGAGAAGTGTCTGTTCATGTCATTTGCCCACTTTTTAATGGAGTTTTTGTCTTTTGCTCATTTAATTAAGTTCCTTATAGATTCTGGGTATTAAATATTTGTCAGATGCATAGTTTGTGAATATTTTCTCCCATTTGTAGATTGTTTACTCTGTTGATAGTTTATTTTGCTGTACAGAAGCTCTTTAGTTTAATTAGGTCCCACTTGTCAAATTTTGTTTCTGCTGCAATTGTTTTGAGGACTGAGTCATAAATTATTTCCCAAGGCCCATGTCCAGAATGGTGTTTCCTGTTTTCTTCTAGGATTCTTATTGTTTGAGGTCTTACATTTAATTTTTTTTTTTTTGACGGAGTTTTGCTCTTGTTGCCCAAGCTGGAGTGCAATGGTGTGATCTTGGCTCAGTGCAACCTCCGCCTCCCAGTTCAAGTGATTCTCCTGCTTCAGCCTCCCGAGTAGCTGGGATTATAGGCACGTGCCACCACACCTGGCTAATTTTTTGTACTTTTAGTAGAAACGGGGTTTCACCATGTTAGCCAGGCTGGTCTTGAACCCCTGACCTCAGGTGATCTGCCTGCATTTAAATCTTTAATTCAGGCCAGGTGCCGTGGCTCATGCCTGTAATCCCAGCACTTTGGGAGGCTGAGGCGGGTGGATCGCTTGAGCTCAGGAGTTTGAGACCAGCCTGGGCAACATGGCAAAACCTTGTCTCTACTAAAAATACAAAAATTAGCAGGGTATGGCGGTGCATACCTGTAATCCCAGCTACTGAGGTGGCTGAGGAAGGAGAATTGCTTGAACCCAGGAAGCAGAGGCTGCAGTGAGCCAAGATTGTGCCACTGCACTCCAATCTGGAAACAGAGTGAGACCCTGTCTCAAAAAAATAAAAATAAAATAAAATAAACCTTTAATCCATCTTGAGTTACTTTTTGAATATGGTAAAAGGTAGGGGTCCATTTTTTTTTCTTCTGCATATGGCTAGCCAGCTATTCTAGCACCATTTATTGAATAAGGAGTCTTTTTTCCATTGCTTATTTTTGTTGACTTTGTCAAAAATCAGGTGGCCGTAGGTGTGCAGCTTTATTTTCAGGTTCTCCATTCTGTTCCATTGGTCTATGTGTCTGTTTTTGTACCAGTACCATGCTGTTTTGTTTACTGTGGCCTTATGGTATAGTTTGAAGTTGGGTAGTGTAGTGTGGGACCTCTGGCTTTATTCTTTTTGCTTAGGATTGCTTTGGCTATTTGGGCTCTTTTTTGGTTCTGTATGATTTTTAGAATTGTTTTTTATCCGTTTGTGAAAAATGATGTTGGTAGCTTGATAGGAACAGCATTGAATCTGCAGGTTGATTTGGAAATTATGGCCATTTCAACAATATTTATTCTTCCAATCCATGAACATGGAATGTTTTTCCATTGGTTTGTGTCATCTATGGTTTCTTTGAGCAGTATTTTGCAGTTCTCCTTGTAGAGATCATTCAGCTCCTTGGTTAGATGTATTCCTAGGTAATTGTGTGTGTGTGTGTGTGTGTCTATTGTGAATGGGACTCTGTTCTTGATTTGACTCTCAGCTTGAACGTTATTGTTGTATAGAAATGCTACTGATTTTTTTACATTGATTTTGTATCCTGAAACTTTACTGAAGTTGTTTATCAGTTCCAGGAGCCTTTTGGCAGAGTCTTTAGGGTTTTCTAGGTATAGAATCCTATCATCAACAAAGAGAGATCGTTTTATGACTTATTATACTATTTGGATACTTTCTACTTCTTTCTCTTGCCTGATTGCTCTGGGTAGGACTTCCTTACATAACTAATTTTTATGTACTTATTAAAGAGTTGTCCATAGATCTTGCTGTTGAATTTTTTTAATCTGGCGTTTCAAACCCACAGCTTTGTCTTTACTATATGTCTTTTGTACTGTCATATAAACTTTTAAGAATAGATGCGTTAACTCACTCTGTCTGTCTTTCAGTAGACATCTAACGGTCACCTTCTATGTGCCAACTAACATTTTATTGTGTCATATTTTTAAAGTAAATCATAAGCTGCAGACTGTTCACTCAGAAAACACTATGTATATACTAGCTCTAAGACATCATGCAAGGTGCTACAGATACAGGGACAAATATATTAGTTTTCAAAAGAGAAAAGTTTATAATCTGAAGATTACAAGGAAATGGTGATTATGTACTAAAATTCTAACCATAAAAATTTCTCCAGAAATGACTTCGACTTATCAGTCAAAATGTATACACATTTGTATCGTGTGCACTTTGAGTGTTGAGAAAACATGCTCTAACACAGAGATGCTCTGCTTTTCTGTGACTTTTCATATTTGACCCACCGATTAAGCTGTTAAGGAACCTGAGTCCTACCATGGAAACCCAGCAGACTATTTTTATTGGGACAAGCATTTAAATGCATTTAACTTTATTCCTTTAAAGTCAGTATTTGTTTTGAAACTCTGTGTCCCCTACTAAATTAATTGTTTTAAGAAATTGTACATAAAAACCTCATTTCTTCTCTGAGGGTCATGCACTAATTCAGAGGGTTATGCCATAATTGCAGATTAAACTTCCCATGCCCCTCCTCAGCCATGTACCTCTGAATCTATCTAATTTGAAATCAATTACAAACTGCACCCAAGCACCTATCCCACAAATGTGTGTTTTTCACTTGGGTTCTCAATGAATATCTGTTGAGTGTGTGACAAATGAATAGAGATTATCATTTGTGACTGACACTGTGTATATTCAACATAAACCATATTACTACCAGAAAAGCAGTTTTAAACTTGCATCATTCTGAGAGTGGAGTAGTGTGAATCTCTGTCTTATTCATTATTATACAAGCAGAATAAAAAATATGCTTAGTCAAAAGAGTGTCTACTTGGTTTGCTATTGAGTTCTACAAAACACATGACATAATGGGCCAGAGCCAGTCTAAGTGGCATTTCAGGAGTCTTTGAATATTATTTTTATTTCTCATTGTCCTCACTTTCTCTGAAAAGAATGACTGATAGCCTTTCCATGTCATATCTTGGCTTTTAGAAGTGTTGTTTTATCTATTTTTTATGACTTAACCTTACATTTGTTAAGTGTAATTTTTGCTTTACGTAACATAAAAATTCTGTGATATGATGCCCCATGAATTAACAACAGTGGCTGGACCAAAGACAAGAAATCTTTTAAAAACAAATGTTCACATTAAATACCTTGGATAGGTAGGCCTTCTGGGGGTTTTTCTTTAATGCAAGAAAAGTATACCATTTCTGTTTTCAGGAATAGTTTCTTTTAGGTTTATACTGAGCTCGTCTAAAGTCGTATTACATAAGTAAGGGCTTAGTTTGTACATTAGTATTTTACATCTTAGAGTCTTACTAAATCCTTTTTTGATCAATCTGATATTGAACAGATCTATATTGATTTCTTCTACACATGTTTATGGTATTTATTTTTATATATCTAGGATTAAAAGCCAAATTAACAAGTGTAATCAATTTTCTCAGTGATAAAGAAAAGTCTTCTAGTACTCTTAGACACATTCATCTAGGGACAAAATCTTAAGTGAAGATGTTGTAATAAATGGATCGATTTATTCAATCACTGGGCATGAAAACATTAGCCCTGGGAAAGCATTTTCCTCTAAGCACTTTAGCTACCAAGTTTCACTTACGTGGCACCAAATGATTTGCATTTTTAGAGAAATTTCATGACTGCAGTGAGCTCCAATGAAAACATGAATAAATTGCTTTTTTTTTCTTTTTCTGACTTTATGAAGCTGAATCCATTAGGGGTTGAATCAAAGTATAATGAAATAAAGACAACAACTTACATGATGGAAACCCTAGATTTGATTTCTCACTAGGCCAATCTCAGTTGTCATAGCCTACATGTCAGATTAGTGGTTTTCAGGAAGATCCCTGGAGTATGTGACTTTTTTCTTAACTGCTGCATTAGGAATGGTCTCTAAAAGACAAGAAAGTAAATAGACAAACAACTATTAAGAACTAAATAGGTTTGCTGCAGTAATTCTTGCCACAAAGTCAAATAAATCAGTCTTTCCAAGCCTAACGCTATACACTTGCCTAAGAGGTTTTCTTAAGACTTACCTTCCTTTTGAATTCATTGAAGTGAGAATGAGCACAGAAGCTATGAGGATGGATTTAAGATCCAAATTAACCTGGATTTGAATCTCCAATGAAATAGTTATCAGCTGTGTGAGATTCAGCAAGTTAATCTCTCCAACCTTTTGTTTCCTTATCTGTACAAAATGAATAATAATACCTAAAGCATAGGGTAGTTGAGAGATTTAACGTCATTTTTCATAAATAGAAAAGACAATCCTAAAATTTATATGGAACCACACAGACACACACACACACACACACACACACACACACACACACCCCAATAGCCAAGGCAATGATGAGCAAAAAGAACAAATCTGGAGGCATCACACTACCTGACTTCAAAATATACTACAAACTGATAATAATTAAAACAGTGTGATACTGGCAAAAAATAGAGTTATTGACCAATAGAACAGAATAGAGAACCCATAAATCAACCCACACATGTGTGTATGGTCAATTGATTTTCAAGAAAGGTGCCAAGAATACACAATAGAAAAAGGACAGTCTCTTTAATAAATGATGCTGAGAAAACTGGATATCCGTATGCAGAATGAAATTTGAACCTTAACGCACATCATACGCAAAATCAATTCAAAATGAATTGAAGACTTAAACATAAGACCTGACACTGTTAATGCCACTAGAAGAAAACATAAGGGGAAAACTATGTGTCGTTGGTCTAGGCAATAACTTTTTAGATTTGACCCCAAAAGTGTAGCAACAAAAGCAAAAACAGACAAATGGGATTACATCAAAATTAAAAGTTTCTGCACAAAAAAAGAAAACAACAGAGTGAAGAGAAAACCTATGCATTGGAAGGAGATGTTTGCAAGCCATACATCTGATAAGGGATTAATAACCAACATATAAAAAACTCAAACAACTCTACAGAAAGAAAGCAAATGGTCTAATTTTAAAATAGGCTAGGGACCTGAATAGACATCTCTCTCAAAAACAAAGACATAAGTGGCGAACAGACATATGGAAACATTGCTGAACATCATTAATCACTAGTAAACTAAAGTCACAATGAGATATCAAACCACACCTGTTAGAACGGCTGTTACCAAAAAGATGAAAGGTGAATGTTGGCAAGGAGGTGGAGAAAAGGGAACCCTTGTGCACTATTGGTGGGACTATAAATTAGTACAACCATTACAGAAATCTGTATGGAGTTTTCTCAAAAACTAAAAATAAAATTACCATATGATACAGCAATCCTACTTCTGGGTATTTACCCAAATATTTGAAATCAGCATGTCAGATGTCTGCAGTCCCATGTTCATTGCAGCACTATTCCTAATAGCCAAGTCATGGAAGTGTCCATAAACCAATGAATGGATAAAGAAAATGTGATATATATATAATGAAGTATTATTCAGCCTTAAAAAATGATAAATCCTGTCATTTGCAATATCATAGATGGAATTGGAGAATAGTATACTAAATGAAATAAGCCAGGCATAGAAAGACACATATAAAATGTTCTCACTTATATTGGAATCTAAAATAATCTAACTCAAAGAAGCAGAGAGCAGAAGGATGGTTATCAGTGGTGAGGGAAATGGGAAGATAATGGTAAAAAAGTACAAAGCCTCAATTAGACAGGAGGAATAAGGTTTTTTCTTTAAGATATATTGCACATCATGGTAAATATAGTCAGTAATAATGTATTGTACATTTCAGAATCTCTAAGACGGTAATTCTCAAATGCTCTCACCATAAAAAAATGATAAGCATTTGAAGTGCTGGACACACAAACTAGCTTGATTTAACCATTTCACATTGTATTCATAGATCATAACATCACTTTGTACCCCATAAATATATATAATTATAATTTGTCAATGTACAATTAAAAATTAAAGCTAAATAATAAAGTGCCAGCTGGGCGCAATGGCTCACACTCGTAATCCCAGCACTTTGGGAGGCTGAGGTGGGCGGATCACCTGAGGTCAGGAGTTCAAGACCAGCCTGGCCAACATGGTGAAACCCCATGTCTACTAAAAATACAAAAATTAGCCGGGCATGATAGTGGGCCCCTATAATCCCAGCTACCTGGGAGGCTGAGACAGAAGAATCGCTTGAACTGGGAGGCAGAGATTGCAGTGAACCGAGATTGTGCCGCTGTACTTCAGCCTAGGCGACAGAGTGAGACTCCATCTCAAAATACTACTACTACTAATAATAATAACCATACAAGTGCTGACCATATTCCCTATTACAAAATATGTTCTCAATCCATGGGAAAAAATTTATATTTACTTATTATCTAAATGTTGCAACTGAGCAACAGCCAAGCAGCTACAACTCCTTTTTCCAACATGCTATTAATATTTTACTCCTACTCTACATAGTTAAATATAAATCCATAAAGCAACGATTGTCAAACTTTAATGGGCGAATGAATTACCTTGGGATCCTGTTAAAAGGCAGATTCTGTGTTACTAGGTCTGAAGTGCGGCCTACATTTCTGCATTTCTAACAAGCTCCAGGAAATGTTAATGCTCCTGGTTTGGAGACCACACTTTGAGTAGCAGACATATAGGTCACCTGGAAACTGGTGACTTCTTTCAAAATGTATTTCTCACTGTCATTGTTTTAAATAGACCAGTTCATTCTTATGAAAATTTAAGAGGAAGAATATCTTAGCTGGGATGTACAAGGTTTTGATTTTTAATTTTGGTGAGGGAATTGTTTGGGTTTTTCAGAGATGTTATTTCTAGGAACTACTTTGCTGCTGACCAGATATATATATTTACTCATCTTATAATACTATATTTGGACTGGATACTGTATATCTACAGTATCTCTTCTTTGGAAATCTCAACATACATTAGAAAACTCAATTTTTACGAAAACATTCATTTTCACATCTCTGGATTATTCATTAAAAATATCATCCCCTGGATGATGGATGTGTTTACAGCATAGATTTTGAATGGTTTCACAGACATATACTTAGCTCCAAACCCATCAAGTTTTATAAATTAAATATGTACAACTTTTATTATGTCAATCATACCTCAATAAAGCATTACAAAAAATTATCTCATATAATTCTCTGTTCTAAAGTACAGAGAATATGAAAAGAACATGAATACAGAGCTTGTATATTTTCCAAACTGTTACTCTGAAGTAACCAGAAAAAGAAAATTCAAACCTACCTATCAGCATTTAGTTTCATATTATATGTATTACACTGCACATAATTTGGTCAACAAAATTAAACTTTCTGAGTGATAATGAAATGGTCATTTCTTTGAATTCATTAGCTTATCTTCAAGCCTCAGATCAGGGGAATATATGAGAAGGATAAGTTTTCAAATTAATGTTTAAATTAGAGACAGGCTTTCTTATTTTCAGATTCGAGAGATGTTGATTTTTCAAATCTTATTTTTTTTCTATCCAGAATATTTAAATGAAAAGTGTAAACTAAAATGTAAAAACAAAAATAATGATCAGTGTATATCTTTAACTTTTCACAACCTACCTTCAAGTGACATTAGATCATTTAACACATAGTGTAAGAATTTTTTCCCTTTTATTTTTAGTTGACACATTATAATTGTAGATATTTATGGAATACAGGATGATATTTTGATACGTGTTTACAATGTGTAATGATCAAATCAGGGTAATTAGCATAGCCATCACCTCAAACATTTATCATTTCTTTGTGTTGTGAACATTCAAAATTCGGTCTTCTAGCTTTTGGAAAATAGTCAATAAATTATAGTTAACCATATCCACCCTGCAATTCTACAGAACACCAGACTTCATTCCTCCTATTTAGCTGTAATTTTGTATCCATTAACCAACATCTCCCACCTTCTCCCATCCCCCGACCCTTCCCAGCCTCTAATACCCACTATCCTATTCTCTACTTCCAAGAGCTGGAATTATTTTAGCTTCTACATGTCAGTGAGAACATGCAGTATTTATCTTTCTGTGCTTGCCTTATTTCACTGAACATAATGTTCACCAGGCTCATTTCTGTGGTGGCAAATGACAGGATTGCATTCTGTTTTGTAGCTGAATAGTATTCTATTGGGTATATACACTACATTTTCTTCATCCTTTTGTCTGTTAACGGACACTTAGGTTGATTCCATATCTTACCTATTGTAGATAGTGCTGCAATACACATGGACGTGCAGGTATCCCTTTAATGTATTTATTTTATTTCCTTTTTATAAATACCCAGCAGTGGGATTGCTGGATTGCATGATAGTTCTAGTTTTATAGTTTTTTGAGAAACCTCCATAATGGCTGTACTAATTTACATTCCCACCAACAGTAAAACATAGTATAAGAATCTTATAGGCCAGGCATGTTAGCTCATGCCTGTCATCCCAACACTTTGGGACACCAAGACAGAAGGATTGCTTGAGGCCAGGAGTTCAAGAGCAGAGTAGGCAATGAAACAAGATCCCATCTCTACAAGAATTTTTTTTTTTTAATTAGCCAGACATGGTGGCATACGCCTGTAGTCCCAGCTACTTGGGAGGCTGAGGAGGCAGGAGGATTGCTTGAGCCTGTAAGGTCAAGGCTGCAGCAAGCGAGACCCTGTCTCAATAAAAGAAGAAGTTTACAATTACATCCTTCCATTTCTCCCCTTCTCACCTTTGTGCAACGTTGTCATGCATTGTACTTACCTCTGATGCTCTTCATTTGTTTACATAGATCCAGATTGCCATGTGGTATCATTTTTCTTCTGCCTTGAGGACTTGTAGTGCAAATATGCTGCTAATGAATTGCTTCAGCTTTTGTCTGTCTGAAAAGCCTTTATTTTTGCCTTCATTTTTAAAAGATATTTTCAGTGGGTATGTCATTGTACATTTTATAGGTTTTTTTTTTTCTTTTTCTTTTCGTACTTTAAGTTTCTTAAGCTTGGGGTCTGTTGAGCTTCTTGGATCTATGGGTTTATAGTCTTCAGCAATTTTAGAAAATTTTCTGCCCAATTTCTTGAACTATGTTTCAATTCTTTCTCAATCTCCTTTTTATAATGCCAGTAAATGTCTATTAGGCTGCTTAAAGCTGTCTTATGGTTTACTGATAATATGTTCATCTTTTTGACTCTCTTTCTTTCTTCATTTTGAGGTTTCTACTACTCTGTCTTCAAGTTTATTAATGTTTTATTTTATTTTCCATGTCTCTACTTAACATTTTAAATATCTAAAATACAGTTAGAGTAACTTTGTTTTTGTTCCTAATTCTAATAACTATGTCTGTTCTGGGCCAGTTTTGATTGCTTTTTCTCCACATTGTGCCTTTTTGCATGTTTTGTATTCAAACATATTTCTTGTCTTTCAGAAATCACTGGCTTTTGTTGTCTGATGTCCAGTGTCTTCAAAATCATTGTTTCATATATTTTGTTCAGGATTTTTTGGGTAGGGAGGAGTGTTTTAGGAAAAGAGTCAATCTGATTTCTGTTACACTGTCTTGAATAGAAAAAAATTGCGGGATTTATAATGTAGCAACAATCAGAGAAATAAAAAGAACTGTATGAAGACATTAACACACTATTTATCTTAAGAAAGTATTTAGTGTCTGGACAGATTAATAGACCTGAATCAGATATTCTCATTAAAAGTTTAGATGCCCAGAAAAAGAAATTCAGTATCATTCTATGTCAATATGGTATCTTCAATGCTTCATTCAGGCCTAGTTGCATTCCATTTATTCAGAATAATGGTGTGTAAGGTTAAAAAAAACCCTATACTTTTGAATTGGAATATACTTCTGATCTTTGCATAAATTTTAATTGCTTGAATATTAATAAAAGCCCTTGGCAAGGGAATTGATATATACCAGATCCTGTAATATGAAAGAACACGTCAGTTTTTGACACTTAAGAGAGTCTATCCAAACTTGAAAGTGTCTCCTGCCTTAAAAGTTTCCATCTTGATTATTTTACTCATCAGATATAGAATTACCACATCATGATTTCTACTTCAAAACACAGATAAGAAAGATTAACTTTTTGTTTTGTTAACAACAAAATGTAGAAAAATATTACCCCCCAAATCACATATTTTTGATAGAGTGAGATTAACTCTATAATCTCAGGCTTTGATTCATAAATTTTTTACAAAACTGTAAGATGAGAAAGCCATGAATGCATGAATGACAAACCAATATTATAGAACAAGGAGGAGGAGGAGGAGGAGGAAAACGAATAAAGAAACACCCAATTATATGCCAACATTAAATATGTTGACGCTCAAACCACACTTCACATGACTAAATGTTTGCTAAAGGAAAACATTTGCATTTTATGGTTATTATATGCTACTTGTTTCCCCTCCCCCACCTCTTACACACACACACACACACACACACACACACGATCAATTCTCCCACCTTCTCTGCTCTGTGTCCCAGGAGACTGACTTCAGACTGCATCACACAGGCTGACTTGCTTTCTGGCTTCATCGTATGTATTTAGCCAAAGGGAGTCACCAGCAGATGAGAGGTTAGGAAGGTGGAGAGTTAGAATACTATTCCTCTGTCCCTCACTTCTTCAGCTCCTTTCTGACAACTGTGACACTCTACAACTGCTACTTCTAGATTTAGAAAAGGCAGTCCCTTTTCTAAATCTCTGCCCTCACCCAAAGTCCAGTGGCACCATCCTCTCTCTTTACCCTGAATTTAGACCCAGAGATGATAATGGCATGGCACCCTCTTTTGCAAGTCCCTAGGTGCCTCAATATCCCTTATTAGCTCCTTAGCCCTGCCCTCATCTCTTAATAGTCCCTTCATTAAAGTCTCTTCAAAATCCCAGTTGCATGTGCCATCTGTTTCTTCCTGACTGATACCCACTCATCTATTGTGAGTATCAAGTGGGTAGCTAAAGGCAAGCAAGTACAAGAAATATTAGGAAACCTCTGCTGAAAAGTTCAATTGATTAAGAGAACAGTGCTAATGAGGCCAAAATTAGTGTCTGGCTGTGTTCCAGGATCACAGCCTGCATCCCTGACCAGCCGTTTTACAAACCATCAGTTACAAGGTAGACCATGCCAAAGAGCACACATGAGTCTATGTCAATCCATCATCACTCCTGGGAACACAGCTCAAGGACTTAGCTGTTCAACTGAGATAGCGTCAAAATCATCTTTTTTCCCAAAGGACAGCTTTCGTAATGTGATTTTAATGAAAAAATTTATATGTTACTTCAAATAATAAAGTCATAACTGTCAATATCTTTTTCAAAGATGAGCTCTCATTTCATTCCTTATTTGTGGCTAATTCATAATAAAATAATTTAAAAGTCAAGCTTATCTAAATAAGCCTTTTATTGGTAATGGGATTCTGGGTTTATAAAAACCAGATTCATAGCCTTGAATCAGATATTCTCATTGTAATTAAATGAGTGAACCTATACAACCATCATATTAAGAATAAACAGTTAAATATTCTATTTATTTATGTATTTATTTATTTATTTATTTATTGGAAGGGATTTTCTCATTATCAAGTGTGATTGACAAGTTTTCAGTTCATATACACATTTCCCCCAAACAGAACTTCGTTCTCTTCAGTACAGTGGCCTTGTAAAATCATATTATAAGCAGGCCATTGTAGATGTGCCATTATATTAACATTGATATACTGGCTTACTTCCAGAGTAATTTTATATGATTTACATGGTGGGGAAGGGAGACTTCTGTTCCTTTTTCAGAAATCAGTTTCTGAGACTCTTTACTATCAGTGAGAGAGAAGTACTGTTTCTACTAAAATTGAATCTATGACTATCAATAAAATCTGCTGAAATACAAAAACAAAACATCTCATCGTTAATAATAGCATAATGTTACAATCACCTATAAGATAGGAGCATAGTTTATACGCAGTATTTATTCTTAATCAGTTTCATAAAACATAATCTGAGTTTTATTTTTTAACAAAAGCTTTTGAGTCATTATGATAAGGTCAACAGAAAGCACAGTCTTTTAACATTAGGTGATCAACTTTTTGACAATGGCAGGACCGGCGTAGCTAATGGAATAATAGCCTGCAGGGTCCAGCTAAATATGATATACGAATGTAATCAACCTCTGTGATGACTATTCAAAAGTAATCCCTTTAGCTTTGAACTGCAACATATATTTCAACAAGGCAAAAACCATATGAAGAAATTCTCTGCAGACCACACTGATACAATACAGCCTTCATATCATGCTCTCTGTGTTTGCTGCTTATAGTGAGTTTTAAATTTAAGGTAATGACTACTGTATATTCATGTGAGCATACAACAATACTTTTGGTTTGTTGAAGAAAGGTTGAATCCATTACCAGGGGTCTAGTCTATAAACTCTGACACAACCTTTATGAATGAGTTATTTACCCTTTTTTAGAGTAAGGCCACTACAAATGTTTAGCATGCCAAAATTATAAAAATTCATTTACCTTTCCAGTCCCCAAACTACCAGGTAATGTCTTCTCCATTTCAATTCATCCTTCTCTACAGATAACATTTTTAAAATCTTGTTTACATAGAATACTGTATAATATAAATATTATATTCCATTGTTTTCAAAAAAGGGATGCGATGGTGGATTTATAGCAATTTAGCATTTACTGGCTTATTCTATTGCTTTTGTAACGTATAGGCTAAGTGGTGGTATAAATGAGATCTTTTTGTTGCCCACTTGAATCTACCATTTCAGAGTCTTTACTATTAGCAACAAAGAAGTGCCAATTTCTACTGAAATGTAGATCGTATAAGCAAATATCACACTTCAACATGCTGTTGCTTCTAGTCTCCCTTACTAGAGTGGTACTGTTCCCAGTCTTCCAGCTCCCTTGAAGTCCTACAGATCAAACATCTCAAATCACACCTTAAGTCAGACCCATAGTGCAAAACCTAGGTTATAATCCAAATGAGTGTTTTTGCAGTGATGGAACCAAGAGCCAACAGTCCTGTGGCGAGTGAGTACCCAATGTCTAACACTCAGACCCAGAAGAAGTATCCAGTCATGCACCGCGTAAGGACATTTCTGTCAACAATATATGCCATACACAATGGTGATACTAAAAGTTTATAATGGAGCTGAAAGATTCCTATGTACTAGTGACATTTTAGCCATCATAACACTGTGGTGCAATGCATTACCTTTACTATGTTTAGCTATAGTAAATATTCATTATAGTGTTACAGATGCCTACAATATTCACTATAGTAATGTGCCGAACAGGTTCATAGCCCAGAAGTAATACGCTATAGTATATAATAGCCTAGCTATGTGGTAGGCTGTGCCATCTAGATTTGTGTAAGTACACTCTGTGATGTTTGTACAACAACATCACCTAATGACTCATTTCTTAGAAGGTATTCTTGTCGTTAAGTGACACTTGACTGTATATTACTTTGCTCATTTCATTGCTGAGAACTTAGTCACATGGCTTTAACTAAATAGTTCTCTACTGATAGGGAAGATCTAATAGAGAGGAAGAGCACTGATGAGTGGGAGGCAGAAGGAAGGACTGAAACCCTGTCTTGTCTAGACAAGAGGGCATGAGGTCTAGTGAAGAAGTAGAGGGATAGGCCTTAGGCAGTTCATTGGTACTAACAGAAGGGAAGACAGAGTATACAGAACAGAAGCAGTAGGTGAGTAACTCTTGCCACAAAGCTTGTGGACAATTTTCCCTATTGTCATTTATTTCCTCTATGAAGCCAGAAAATAAATCATCAGCTGAGAAAAGTGGAGGTTGGGAGGTTTGAGAAAAATAGAAGATTTAGTCATCTAGGGGAGTGGAAGAATGAGTGGACTAGGAATGTCTCATAGAATGGCCTGGAAGTGTAAGGGTCTACTTAATGTTTGTGGCCATGAATTTAAGACGAGGCATCTCAGGCCAGTTGTATTTTCTCCAGCCATATTGAACTATACAGTGCAGGAGAGGAGTAGGCAGATAACTAGATTTAACTAGGGCTATACTTTTGCCAAGTAAGCAAACAAAGTGAAAAGAAGAGAAATTTAGACTTTATGCAAGGAAGTAGATAACCATGGAATTTAAATTATATAAGGAAGGAAGAAGAGACAGAAAAATGAGGAAAAACAATGAAAAGGTGGTAGAATTGGAGGTTCCAATGAAGTAGAAGAATTGCTGGGGTCAGGATACCAGAGGGAGTGATCTGGAAATACAAAAGGAGGCAGCCAAACAGTTAAATGCAGGAAAATGAGCTAGAGGGGGCTCATAGTTACTGATAATGACAAGGTCTAAGTATGACCAGGAGAATTAATGGCTGTGGTAATGTAAAGGACAAGATGTAAAAGAACAGGAGGTCAAGGAATTGAGACTTAAGGTGGAATAATCTTCTACCTTTACATTGAAATTACTAAATTAAGAAAGTAGTAGTACAGTGACAATGAGGCAATGATAACATCAACTGAGAATGATTCCGTTTGTAGATAGATCACAATAGTGACAAATGGTTGACTGTATAATCTAATGACATGAGTGTTAGAAAGGGAAAGAGGAAGGGCAAGGGTCCTGAAAGAACAAGGAGGAGAGGACACCAACCCATCTTCAGGTGCAGTAGTGAGAAGACCGAGAAAATCAATAACAAAAATGGGTTTCTGGGCTGATAGTATCTTGAGAGAAGAGACAAATTTCTGTTAGAGCAAGAAAGTAAAAGGAATTTCAGAAAATAGGGTAAGGATATAGGACATTTTGCTAAAATAATGAATCAAATATTCCAAAAGGCAAAGTGGAACTCTTTCAGGAATTTCAGTGGGTAGGAGATGGGGACAGAACAGGAAAGGTAATAAAAAATAGAATGAAGGGACCTGAAAACTGGGGCCTGTCATAAACAGGAATAAACGGTACCTTATTAGATTAATCCCAGTTAATTGAAATCAAAAGTAAAAGGCCAGATATGAAAGTTAAAGTTAAGTAACAAATTAACATGGCTCTCTCTATGTATATAGATATACATATAATATATGATAAATGAAGTCATATATACACATATATCTACATATATAAACTTCCCATATTTGATTTCATTATCACAATATCATAATAATGAAGTCAATGTGGGAAGTTTTTATATATATATGTTTATATATGTATTTATATATATACACACACATACATGTGTATATATATATATATATATATATATATATATATATATATATATATATAAACTTCCCATATTTGACTTCATTATTTGGGTACTTTATATTGCTCCCTAAATTAATTTTCCTTTTGAGTATTATTTTTAAAAGTCATCTTACCCAACAAAAGGTGGCCTTTTCAGTAGCCATTTTATTATATCACAAGAATTCTGTGGATTAGGAATTCAGGCAGGGCTCGTCTGGACGTTAATTGAAGTCACTAAGTAGTATTCAGCTGACAGATGGGCTGGTTTGAAGGGTCAAAGGCAGCTTCACTCACAGGCTGGAGACTTGGCCAAGATGGCTGGAAGGCTAGACTCAGCTGGGACTGTCTGCTAGAACATCTATACGTGGCCATTCCAGCATGGCAGTCTCAGGGTATGAGGACTTATATGGTGACTTGCTTCCTCCAAAAAAAGTATCCTAAGATAACCAGGTAGAGGCTGCATAGCCTTTATGGACCTAGCCCCAGAACTCATTTTTGTTACTTCCTCCATATTCAGCTGATCACAAAAGAATCTTAAGGGTAGCTCAATTTCAAGAAGAAAACTGGATTCTACTTCTTCATGGGGGATTGACAAGATCGTGCTGTACAGGAACATGTGGAGTGGGAGAGATTGTTGTGGCCATCTTTGTACAATACAATCTGCCCTGGTGATACATACACCCTTATCTTATAGGTGATAAGGACAGATATCCCTGAAAAGGGATTCCCAGGTTCAAGATCAAAATAACTATAAACTGTGTTCATGATAATCTATTAACTTTGTGTATTTTTTTTTTAGAAGAGTTTAGAGGATCCACAGTGGAAGCTGTATCTCAAAACTCAGAACGTTTGGAAGAACTCAGTAGGTATGATAAATCAAGTAAAAAGTTTCTATTAAGTACCCACTTTGCGCAATATACTAAGCATAATCTCATTCTCCAAACACAAAAAGAGGAGCTTCATCCAGCACTTGATAACCTTAATAGTGAAACACTGCTTTAAAAAAAATCACAGATTTATTTTCAAATGTCACATAAGGTTAAGTATTTTTAATTTTGAAGCCACATCTGAAAATTACAGAAAACAAATTATTTTTCAAAACAAATGTTCTTTGCTTTCTAGCCCAGTATAAAAGTTAAATTTATAATTTATTTTATTTCAGGTTTCCAGGTGATCAAAAAAATGAAACTTAAAGCAGCTTTTCACTTAACATCAAAGCAAGAAGAAATCCATCATGTCACCTTAGACTTCAATACTTGTAATAGGAGCATGTTACAGATAATATAGAGTTATAATAAAACGGACTATGACTCTTTTCATTGGATTTTGCATTTCAGTGTGTTACTATAAATTTAATCCAAAACATCTAAATCCATGAAAATAAAATATATTCCAATTCTTAGAAATATCAGCAATCATCCATGAAATAAATGATTTCCTCTTATCCACTATTCCACAAGAAATAGTGATACCATGAAACCAAAATAAGAAAATATTTTCTAATGAGAAAATAATTACAAGCTTAAGAAAATCTTTCATGCTGAATTCATGTAGGAAAATATTTGCTAAAACTCTAGGGAAACTTCTCAACATAGATAAAAGGAGTATAAGCAATTAAGCCTACCATACTGATAAGTCTTGTTTGAAACAGTTTTCTTTACCTGTGTAACAGTATATTTTATGATACTTTTAGCTGATAGCACATAATAAAACTTATCCATGTCAACTTAAAAAGTTTAACTAAGTCCTTCAATCTTACAAGCCTTACCTAATGTGTCTTGCAAATGAAAGAACACAGCTGAGATGGTTACATGTATAATTTCAGGAGATCTGAAGATCTAAGGGAATTTATGAATTAAGTACATTACCAACAATAAAGCCTTTTATTCCCATTTAATCTTGGTTAGTATACAGTTTAAATCTGGTTTCTCAAAAGAAGAGTCCAAATAGCCAAAGCAATCCTAAGCAAAAAGAACAAAGCCAGAGGCATAATATTACCCAACTTCAAACTATATTATAAGGCCATAGCAGCCAAAACGGCATGGTACTGGTAAAAACAGACACATAGACTAATGGAACAGAATAGAGAACCCAGCCACACATACAGCCAACTGATCTTTGACAAAGTCGACAATAATAAGCAGTGGGGAAAGGACGTCCTACTCAGTGGGCTGAGACAACTGTCTGGCCATATGCAAAAGAATGAAACTGGACTCCCTGCCTTTTACCATATACAAAAAGTAACTCAAGTTGGATTAAAGATTTAAATGTAAAACCTCAAACTATAAGAATCCTAGAAGAAAACTTAGGAAACACCGCTCTGGACATTGGCCTTGGGAAAGAATTTATGACCAAGTCCTCAAAAGCAATTGCAACAAAACCAAAAATGGATAAGTGAGATTTAATTAAACTAAAAAGCTTCTGCACAACAAAAGAAACTATTAACAGAGTAAATAGACAACCTGCAGAATGGAAGAAAATATTCACAAACTGTGCATCTGACAAAGGTCAAATACCCAGAATCTATAAGGGACTTAATATAACAAGCAAAAAAGCCAAGTAACCCCATTAAAAAATGGCCAAAAGACATGAACAGACACTTTTCAAATGAAAACATAAAGCATCTAATAAACATGAAAAAATGCTTCACATCACTAATCATCAGAGAAATGCAAATCAAAACCACGATGAGATTGTATTCACTCCAGTCAAACGGCTATCATTAAAAAGTCAAAAAACAGATGCTGGCAAGGCCATGGAGAAAAGGGAATGCTTATACACTGTTGGTGGGAATGTAAATTAGTTCAGCCACTGTGGAAAGCAGCTTGGAGATTTCTCAAAGAACTTAAAAAAAGAGCTATCATTTTACCCAGCAATCTCATCACTGGGTATATATCCAAACGAAAATAAATTATTCTACAAAAAATACATATGCACTTAGATGTTCATCACAGCGCTATTCACAATAGCAAACACATGGAATCAACCTAGGAGCCCATCAACATTGGGGTTGATAGAGAAAATATGGTACATATACACCATGAAATACTATGCAGCCATAAAAAAGAATGAAACCATATTCTTTGCAGTAACATAAATGCAATTTGAGGCCATTATCCTAAGTGAATTAATAACAGGAACAGAAAACCAAATACCACATGATTTCACTTATAAGTGGGAGCTAAATATTGGGTACATATGGACATAAAGATGGGAACAGTAGACACTGGCAACTACTAGAGAAGGGAGGGAGGGGGCAAGTGTTGAAAACTACCTATTGGATACTATGTTCACCATTTGAGTGACAGGATCAATTGTACCTGAAACCTCAGCATCACGCAATATACCCACGTAACAAACCTGCACATATACTCCCTGAATCTAAATAAAAGTTGAAATTATTTTTAAAAAATGTTAGGTTCCTTTGAATGTTCCATGACTGAAGAGTAGAGACTCACCCTGCAGTGTGTAGAATCACTCTGCTTTCCACATGATATTGAAATTTTAGCACTCTGCCCAAGGAAATTATTCAGTGTATCAGTGTAATGAACATGAGTCAATGCAAATATCAAAAAATAATTGAAAAGATATATGGGTGAAAAAGTGTTTTCTTGTATTGTTTATTTAATCAGTAAAACCAATTTCCACAGTATCTCTGATTCCTGAACAATCTTTTGTAGTGCCCACAGATTTCCATGGCTTTTGCCCTAGAATTAAAATTAAAGTAGGTTTCTCTCTTTAAAACAACTGCAGATATCTGCTTTTAGACTTACAAAATATTGAGACAGAAATAAGGTTGTTAAGGATGGTATCTGAGAATGCACCTTTTACAGTGATCACCACCAAGTTCTTTTTTCCCAGAAATGTCCTGTTTTGCTAGGAAGAATCATTTTTTAAAAATGATGCTGGCCAGGGACAAATAGATAAATGAAACAGAAAAGAGCATTCAGAAATTACATATAAAAAGTTAGTATATGATAAAGGTGGCTTTTCAAAACAATGAGGGAAGGATAGACTCTATAAGGAATGTCCTGAGAACATTGGTTATCTCTACAGAAACAAAATCCATAATGTGTTCACTATTTCACATCATCAAATCAAACTGAACTATAGATACATCAGAATTCCACACTGGGAAATGTTTTTCTAATATCGGGTTGGGGAACACCTTCCTAAGCAAAAAATCAAGGTCAGGTGCAGAATAGACAAACTCTACAACATACTAGAGTACATTGAAAAGATCCATACAGTGAAAAAGTCATTTAAGTTAGAAGATCAATGACAGAGCAAAATAAATTGCAACAAAAAACCCCAATGCCCATAAAATACAGATACTTTCTTTAAAATAAATTAATAAAGATGAAGAGAAGGAAAAACAGAAAGGAAAGACAACTTGGTATGCAAAAGGACAAAGGATACAAATTGGCAATCCAGAGAAGAAAAATACCAATGATTAATACACACAATAAAAGATAGCCAAGATGGAGCACTTGTGCATTGCTGGTGAGAATCTAAAATGGTATAAACGCAATGGAAAACAGTACATAAGCTCCTCAAAAGCTAAATATAAAAGTACTGTATATGATAATACAGCAACTCTAACCTAACCAATAAGATATCATTTTCCACCAATCAAATTAACAAAAATTTAAAAGATTGAAAATATCCAGTGTGGCTAGGGTTTAGGATGAAGGACACTCCACTGTGGCTTGAATATGTTCCCCAAAGTTCACGTGTTGGAAACTTAATCCCCAAGGCAACAGGCTTGAGAGATGAGGCCTAATGGAGGTGTTTAGGTCATGAGAGCTTCATTCTCATGAATGGATTAATGCTGATTATAAAAGGGCTTGAGGCTGCAGGTTCAATCTCTTGCTCTTTCTCACTCTCTCTTTGCCCTTCTGCCATGAGATGACACCTCAAGGCTTTTATCAGATACTAGCCCCTTAATTTTGCACTTTCCAGCCTCCAGAACTGTGAGCCAATACATTTTTGTTCATTATAAACTACCCAGCCTGTGGTAGTCTGTTACAGCAACACAAAATGAACTAAGACACATTCTCATATGCTATTAATAGGAATAAAAACTGATAAAAAAAAATTTGTGAAGTCAAAGTATTTGGCAGTACTTATGAAAATGTAAAAAAATGAATGTTCTATCAGCTAACATTTCTATTCTAGAAATAGTTTCTTCAAAACTATTCAGACAAGTGCATAAATATTCACTTATAAGGATGCTTATCTCAGATCATCTGTAATATTGTGAAGTTGGAACCATCTTAAACATTCATTAACTTGGGAATGACTAAATAAATTATGGTGCATCCATACAACAATATAATATGTGATCATTAAAAATGTGAAGTAAAGTTTACTCTACTGACATGAAATGATGCCTATGGTATATTGTCAAGATAAAATCAAGTTATAGTCATGGACCTAAATGTAAGAGCTAAAACTATAAAACTTCTAAAAGAAAACATAGAAGAAAATTGTTGTGACCTTTAGTTAGGCAAAGATTTCTTAGAAGACAAAAATGCACAAACCATAAAATAAAAATTGATATAGTATACTTCATCAAAAGTAAAAATGCCTGCTCTTCTGAAAATGTTAAAATAAAAAGACAAGTCCCAGACTGGTAGAAAATATTTGCAAAATACTTATCTGGTAAAGTACTTGTATTGAAAATATGTGAAGAGCTTTTACAGCTCAATAATAAGACAAATAATGCAAACTAAGAAATAGGCAAAATATTTGAACAGGCATTTCACCAAAGAAGATCCACATATGGCAAATAAGCACATGAAAAGATCCTCAGCATCATTAGAGATGATGTGATCAGCACATTAGAGAAATGTGATCCCAGCACTTTGTGAGGCTGAGGCAGGCGGATCACCAGGTCAAGAGATGAAGACCATCCTGGCCAACATGGTAAAACCCCGTCTCTACTAAAAAATACAAAAATTAGCTGAGTGTGGTGGTGCATACCTGTAATCCCAGCTACTCTGGAGGCTGAGGCAGGAGAATCACTTGAATCCAGGAGGCAGAGGT
The DNA here is from genome assembly GCF_000001405.40 of Homo sapiens. Lineage (NCBI taxonomy): Eukaryota > Metazoa > Chordata > Mammalia > Primates > Hominidae > Homo > Homo sapiens. Next base: position 146,702,302 of record NC_000004.12, on the reverse strand, counting down.
TGCAGTGAGCTGAGATTGCACCACTGCACTCCAGCCAGTGACAGAGCGAGATTCCATCTAAAAAAAAAAAAAGAGAGAGATATTATTACACACCTACTAGAATGGCTAAAATGTTAAAAATCTGACAGTACCAAGGGCTGATAAGGACTTGGAGCAACTGGAACTCTCAAAATCACTGATGGGAATGAAAAATTGTACAGCTGCTTTAGAAACTGTTTAGCAGTTCCATATAAACTTAAATACACACAATATGATAGAGGAATCCCACTCATAATTATTTACCAAAGAAAAATAAAATCATACATCCACACAAACACCTGTATATAAATATTTATAGTAGTTTTATTCATAATAGTCAAAACCAGAAATAGCCCAAATGTCCATCAACTGGTGAATGGATAAACAAATTGTGGTACATGTGTAGAATGAAATAAAATTCAACAATGTAATAGAAGCAACTGCTGATAAATGTAACAAGATGAACCTCAAAAGCATTATGCCAAGTAGAAGAAGCCAATCACAGAATTTCTATTTATATAACATTCTGAAAAAGGCAAAACTATGGAACAGAAATTAGATCTAGTGGCTGCAAAGAGCTGGGGTTGGAGGAAAAAAGATTGACTATAAAACAATATGAGGAAATTTGGGGGATAAGGAAATATTCTATATCTGAATTATGGTTATGATTGTGTATCTTCATACATTTGTCAAAGCTAATTGAACTGTACATATAAGAGGATGAATTTTACTATGTAAATTATAACTCAATAAAGTTGACTTCTAAAAAATAAAACAAAAAGCGAATGGCTATAGTGTAGATTCAGCTTGATCATATTGTATGTGTATAATGTAGTTGTGCATGCTTGTGGTTATGTATATGTTTATATGTGTATAGAAAGACATCTTGAGTAATCTAAACCCCAAATGAACTGTGATTATCTCTAGGGAATAGGGTTGGGGACAATTTCACTTTTTATTTTATATACATCTGTATTGTTTAAATTTTTCCCACATACATGAATATATGTATATTTTAACAATAAAAAATATTAAATACTAAAGATTCTCCTACTTTGATTTTTTGTTTTTGTTTTTGTTTTTGTTTAGTTTGTTTGTTTTTTGAGTCTCACTCTGTCCCCTAGGCTGGAGTGCAATGGTGGGATCTCGGCTCACTGCAACCTCTAACACCTAGGTTCAAGCGATTCTCATGCCTCAGGCTCCTGAGTTGCAGGGATTACAGGCATATGCCACCAAGCCCAGCTAATTTTTGTATTTTTAGTAGAAATGGGGTTTTACCATATTGGCCAGGCTGATCTCAAACTCCTCACCTCAGTTGATCTGTCCACTTTGGCCTCCCAAAGTGCTGGGATTACAGCCGTGAGCCACCGCACCAGGCTCTTACTTTGTTATATAATGTTTCTTTAACCATAACCATTACATTACAAATGCCCCATCTCATCTCACTCTAAAAACTAGTTTAACCATGAGAAAACTTTATTTCCTTTTATAAGAACAATTTTAGCTTCGAAGTTCACATTCAAATAACAAATACTTCTTTTTTCCTCTATAAGAACTGCTTTTTGCTGTAGTGTCTTCTTAAATTAGTTTTCAGGTTCCTTAAAAAGATGTCTGGAAAGTTTTGTGAGAATATTTGTAATCAAAATGCCCACATCTTTGAAAACACTTCAGAAAATTAGATATATCAAACATAAACCTGTCAGCAAGGTCAACAGAAACTGGAATTTACAATCAAATGCTAAATGGCCACAGTGCTATCCCTTCTGATAGATTTAATCAAAAAGGTTTCTTAGGAGCTTCCTCCTTAAATTTCAATTTGATTCATTTTTATTTGTGAAACTGAAAACAAATCTGAAAACAAAATCAAGGTTTTCTGGATGATAGATGCAAATCACAATAGCATCAAATGCTAGTTCTTATCTGTAAAAGATCCTCCCATAAATAATGTAGCCAGGACCACTCACTGAGAACATGTAAGCATTTACAATGGTCCCTGATTCCATTTTTATCAAAATGACAGTGCTTAAAATACAACATTCTATAATATACTATAATTACTTTAGCTTTTAGCTTCTCCTTTGAAAAATTGCTAAGGCATCATTCCTTTTCTCGTTTTCATACTGTATGTAATAAGATTCCTGAAGATGGTAGTGGTGGCGGCCGGGGGCGGGGCGGAGGGTGCATCTCAGGTTATAGGCAACAAACATGGGCCAGGTGCAGTGGCTCATGCCTGTAATCCCAACATTTTGGGAGACCGAGGAGGGAGGATCGCTTGAGCCCAGGAATTCAAAGCTAGCCTGGGCAACATAGGGAGACTTCGCCTCTACTAAAAATAAAAATTAGCACATGTATACTTGTGCATGCCCATAGTCTTAGCTACTCGGGAGGTTGAGACAGAAGGATCGCTTGAGCCCAGGAGTTTGAGGCTGCAGTGAGCTGTGATCATACCACTCACTCCAACCTGGGTGACAGAGTGATACCCCCGCCTCTTAAAAAAAAAAAAAAAAAAGTATGTTTGTGCTCCCACACTATATAACACTAAAAAAATCCTGGACAATATATTTTGATCTAATTGTTAAGGCCCTTGTATTTTTCTTCCGTGCCCCAGTTCTTCCCTTCTAGGGGGCCTTCCTTTCCTCTCCCAGGGTAGTGATATACATTTCTACATAGGGTTGATGGTATATGTCAAAATACAGAAGACATATTTGGTTAACTTTCAAGATCCACATTTAAAGGTGAAATATAGGAAGTCTTTAGAAAAAGTAATGAACATAGCTTCTATTAAAGCAAAAGGCTTTAATGTCTTCTTTCCAATATTACTTTACCCAGATTTTTTAATGAAATGTATTATATTACCATTGTTACTATTGATATTTATCTTCTCTCTGCCTCCCATACACACACCCTATAGATAAGTATACCCTAGACAGTAATGTGACCATGTAATGATTATGAGATTTTTAAAAATTATCTGAATTGACTGAACATTAAAGAAAAAAAGACACAAATAATGTAGATTTAATTAGTACTTCACTAAAAGTTGCTTTGTACTTCCAAATATCTTGCTTTGGTATACAACTTCTCAAGTCCTACATCAAATAACACTTCTTTGTAGAATTATAGCTATACATTTTATGATATTGCAATTGATTTAAGAAATTCTCTCCAAAATTTTGAGTATATACAAATTATCTCAATTTTTTTTTTTGAGACAGAATCTTGCTCTGTCTTCCAGGCTGAGTGCAGTGGCATGATCATAGCTCACTGCAGCCTTGAACTCCTGGGCTCAAGGGATCCTCCTGCATCAGCCTCCTCCTGAGTAACTGGGACTACCAGCACCATGCTCAGCTAATTCTTTTTTTTTTTTTTTTTTTTTTTTTGGTAGTGATGGGGTTTCACTAGATTGCCTAGGCTGGTCTTGAACTCCTAGCCTTAAGCGATCCTCCTGCCTCAGCCTCCCAAAGTACTGGGATTACATGCATAAGCCACTGTGCCTGGCTCAATACTTTAAAAAAAAGAAAACAAAAACAAAAAAACCTTTTACTAGTTATTTGCTTGAACAATCTATAATTTACCAGCCTGAGTAAATATGGCCTTACAGAACAAAAAGTTTATCATTGCCTACAATCCCTAAACATTTAAACATGTTGTACAGGCCCTAGTCTTCAGAGAAATGCCCATTAAAACAGCATTGTAACACTAATCTTTTACCTATCATTTTATCAAAAGTTACAAAGAATAACTGGTGTTAAAATGGTGGGTTTAGCTGGGCGCGGTAGCTCACGCCTGTAATCCCAGCACTTTGGGAGACCGAGGTGGGTGGATCACGAAGTCAAGAGATCGAGACCATCCTGGCCAACATAGTGAAACCCCATCTCTACTAAAAATACAAAGATTAGCTGGGCGTGGTGGTGGGTGCCTGTAGTACCAGCTACTAGGGAGTCTGAGGCCGGAGACTCACTTGAACCTGGGAGGCGGAGCTTGCAGTGAGCTGAGATTGCGCCACTGCAGCCCAGCCTGGCGACAGAGCGAGACTCTGTCTCAAAAAAAAAAAAAAAAGTGGGTTTAAAAAAAGAGGTAGCCATGTAAACTAAAAAAAAAAAATCAGAGAACAATTTGACAATATGCACCAAAAGCCTTTAAAAACACTTTAACTCTGCTATTTCATTTCTAAGAATTTATCTTAGGAAATAAAGAGACAAATGAGAAATACTGAAGGTAAAAAGCTGTTTATTGAAGTTTCTTTCTTGTGCTAGCATAAGAACAAATAAAGCAAAGAGATAAAACTTAGATTCCACCTAAATACCCAATATAAAATAACTGGTCAAATCAGCTATAGTACCTTCCTAGCAAGTGCATTTGTTTTCTATTGTTGCTGTAACAAATTACTACAAATTTAGTGGCTTAATACAATACCCACTTATTATCTCACAGTTCTGTAGGTCAAAAGACCAAGGAGGCTTGACTAGGTTTTCTGCTTAGGTCTCCCAGGGCAAAAATGAAGGTATCTGCCAAGCTGAGTTCTTATTTGACAAGTGTGGGGAAGAATCAGCTTCCAAGTTCATTCAGGTTCTTGGAAGAATTCAGTTCCTTGCAGTTACTGAGGTCGCCGTTTCATTGCTGCCTGTTAGCCAGGGTCCACCCTCACCAACTTGAGGCCACCACATTCCTTCACATAGTCCCTTCTATCTTAGAAGCAACAGTGCTACATAATAGAGTCTTGCTCAGGTTTAAAAGCTCTCTGACTTCCTCTTCTGCAACCAGCCAGAAAAAGTTCTCTGCTTTTCCGGACTCGTGATTAGATTAGGCCCACACAATATCCTCTCCATCTTAGAGCCAACTGTGCCATATACCAGAATACAATCATGGGATTGATATCTCCTCATATTCACAAGTTCCAGGGATTTAGGTGGGACAATTTGGATGTTAAAAGTCTCTATTGCACCATGGAATAAAATACAATAACTAAAAATGATAATAGAGTTGATATTTGGGTTGCCTTTCAAAAAAATATAAATTAGTTATTAAATATTGAAATATTTCTGTAGCATTTGTCAACAAGGTATTGCCTTGGTCTCCACCTCCTACCCAGTCCTGGATATTCTCCCAGCTCCTCCCCTAGGAAGACCACGGTCCCACCTTTTGATCTAGCAATTAAAGGACTGATGCCTCCTACAGCAGGAAACCCCCAGGCCACAGTCTGTTCTTTCTGATTGTTTGGTGGCTTTGAAGTAGTAATCATTAAATATTTGTAATATCATCCCTGGATTTGGTGCTATACTTAATGGCAGAAAAAAGAATATTATAATACTATTAAATGAGGAAAAAAGACATGTTTATTTAAAATGACAAGAGAGAGACAAATGAACATGTAGGGTTGAATTGGTTTCTTTATATTAGTGAATATATCTAGGAGCAATTCCTGGAATTCCTACTGGCTTATTTATATTACTGAATATGCATAGAAGCAATTTCTAAAAAACATATCACAAAACATTAATTATTTCTAAAACATAGAATTTTAAATAATATTAATTTAATTTTAAATTTTTCTGTGTTTTTAATGAACAAGTATTATTGGCAAAATAAAAATAATATGTAATAGAGACAAAATAATTCCTGGACTTTTCTCTCCATTGACCATCTACGGCCTTGGGGGAAAATGTTTCTCATTTCTGAACCTCTGTTTCTTAACCAATAAAATAAACTACATCATATTTTTCACCCTTTCCAGCTCCAAAAGTTTCTGGTTCTAAATCTGCCACTCAACTATATATATAGGCTCAATTTGGGCTTTTTAAAAAATGAAGGAAGGAAGGAAACCATCAAAGCCACATAAAATAAAGTCTTCATTTTGTGCACTTTACGCATTGTAGAAAGCTATAATTTCTTTTTAACGTGACATAATTCATTTAAGATCAAGGTTCCCAATGTAATTATTTATTCACTTTTCCTAATTGTCAAAATGCTATAAGTTTATTCTGGCTTTTAAATTACATCTCCTGAACTATCGTTATTCAATGAGAATAATGATAGCACCTAGCACCTCAGCACCTAGCACTGAGAATATTGTTAATTATAGTGAAAAAAACCAAAGAGCCCACATCCCTGGAGCCAAAATTCAAGATACAAACAATGTCTTAACAATAAGTAAATAAACAAGGCAGATTGTTATAAAACCCTAAAAGAAATAAAGGAGACATGATAGATAAAAATGGAAAAGGGACAATTTTACATAAGGTCACCAGGGAAGGTATCTCTGAGGAAGTAACTTTAAACTGAGACCTGCAAGATGAGAAGAAGATAGCAGTATGAAAAGCCAAAAGAAATATTCTAGCACAGAGAACAGTAATGTGAATTCTCTAAGGCAAGAAAGAGTTTCAATTGTCTATGGAATATAAGAAGGATCATGTACTTGCAATAAATGAGTGGGAGAGAGTAGCACCAGATGAAATTAAGGAAACAGGCAGGTACCGATTGCTATAGTTTAAATGTGTACCCCCAAAAGTTCATGTGTTGGAAACATTGCCATTGTAGCAATATTAAGAAGTGGAGCCTTTAAGAGGGGGTTAATGCTGTTATCGTAAGAGTGAGCGCACCTCACACTTGTGGCCTCTTTTGCATGTGCTTACTTGCCCTTCCACATTTCTGCCATGATATGACACAGTACAAAAGTCCTTGCCAGAAGCTGCTGCCATGCCTTGGACTTTTCAGCCTCCAGAACCATAAGCTAAATAAACTTCTTTTCTTTATAAATTACCCAGTCTGTGATATTATGTTACAGCAACAGAAATGGACTAAGATACATATAAGTGTCATTACACCAGAGTAAAGAATTCAGATTTTATCCTAAATACCAATGAGAAGACATTCAAAACTTTTGAACCTAGAAGAGATGTGAACTTATCTGTTTTTGAAAGATAACTTCGGCTGTTGTGTAGGGAGGAGATTATAGGAGGGCAAAAGTGGAACCTTGAAGACCAGTTAGAAGGCTACTATAGAAGTCCAAGCGAGTGTAGATGAGTCACTAAGAATAAGAGTATCAGTGAAAATGGACGAAAGCAAATGGTTTAAAAGATACTTTAAGCAACAATCCATAAGCTTGCTGATGGGATCATGGTAAAACAAAGGGGAAGATCAGCAGGATAGATCCTAAAGATTTGTCTTGAGTAACTTAGTGATTAGTATGATTAGCAGTACTACTTACTAAGATGAGAAAAACTACAAGAAGATCAAACTTTGCAGGTGAAATCAAGAGCTCTATTTTAGACACAAGTTTAAAGATGTTTATTAAACTTCCTACAGGAGAGGTTAAAGAGACAATTAGACATGAAAGTTCAGGATTCAGAATAGAGATCAGTCTAGAGATAATAATTTGTAAGTCAACAGAATATGGATAGTAGTTAAAGAATAAGAGCCAAAATAGAGATAGACAATTCAAAATATAAGTACAGTAAGTCTGAGTATAGGAAAAGGAAATAAATTTTGTTAATTTATCTTAACATAAAGCATACCAGTACCAAAAGGAAGAAATTATAGATCCATGATTCATGAAAAAGTACATATTTATAAATGCATATATTTGAAACTAAAATTTAGAACCTGAAATTACTTATTAAGTAACAATAAGGAAAAAAATTCATTCCCAGAGAGAAATATTCATCTTAGATGTCTAATTTCTTACCATAAAATCACTTACTCATGACGGAACTAGCAAAATCATGTCAAGAAGAATCTCTATAAGCCCAACAACACACAACACTCACTGTATGCCCAATACTGCACATCCAAACGTTTTGTCATGGGATATGGTAGCCACTAGGACTCCAAGCCAAAAATCCTGACAAATTTCTAAGTAGCAGATAATTACAGTGAATTCATAGTGCCCTTAATTCTAAAAGCATTGCCATGTTTTGTATAAAACATTTATATACTGCCTATATGACTTTAAGCAAGTTACTTAACCTCCCTGCACATTAATTTTCTTATGCTTAAAATAAAGAAAATTAACATATAAAGAACTCTTACAACTCAGCAATTAAAGAGACAAATAACCCAATTTTACAATGAAACAATAATTTGATATATATTTCTCCCAAGAAGATACATAAGTAGCTAGTAAGTACACACAGAGATGTTCAATATCATTAGGCACAGGGGAAATGCAAGTCAAAACTATCATGGAATAGCACATTACACCCATTTAGATGGCAATAAGAAAAAAAGGTGAATAATAGCAAGTGTTGTAGAAGATGTAGAGAAATTAAAACGTCATACATTGCTAGTAGTACTGTAAAGTGGTACAGCTGCTTTGGAAGGTTTGGAAGCTCCTCAAAAAGTTAAACATATCACGCCTGTAATCCCAGTACTTTGGGAGGACAAGAAAGGCAGATCACGAGGTCAGGAGATCGAGACCATCCTGGCTAATACAGTGAAACCCCATCTTTGCTAAAAATACAAAAAAATTAGCCAGGCGTAGTGGCAGGCACCTGTAGTCCCAGCTACTTGGGAGGCTGAGGCAGGAGAATGGCATGAACCCAGGAGGCAGAGTTTGCAGTGAGCCGAGATCATGCCACTGCACTCCAGCCTGGGTGACTGAGCCAGACTCCATCTCAAAAAAAAAAAAAAAAAACAGTTAAACATAGAGTTAACTTATGACCCAGTAATTACAATCCTAAGTATCTACCCAAAAGAATTAAAAATATATGTTCAAACAAAAATGTGTACATAAATGTTCATGGCAGCGTTATTCATAATGGCCAAAATGTGGAACAACACATATGTCCAACAACTGATGAATGGGTAAATAAAATTTGGCATATCAATACAATGAAATATTATTCAGTATTGAAAATATATATATACATGTTGTATACATGGTACATACACCATGGATGAACTTTGAAAACCATATGTTATGTAGAACAAGCCAGACACAAAAGGCCACGTATTGTATGAGTTCATTTACAAAAACTATCCAGAATAGGCAATTCATAAAAACAGAAAGTAGATTAATGGTTGCCTGGGACAGGGAGGATTTAAAGGGAAATAAGAGAGTGACTGCTAATTGGTGTAGTGTTCCTTTTGTGGGTGAGGAAAATGTTCTGAAATCAGATAGTGAGGCTGATTGCACAGTCTTGTGAATATACTAAAAACCCCTCAATTGTATGCTTTTTATTTAGATATAGGATCTTGTTATGTTGCCCAGGCTGGACTCAAACTCCTGGCCTCAAGCAATCCTCCTGCCTCAGCCTTGTGAGTAGCTGGGACTACATCCTCCAAAGTAGCTGGGACTACGGGCACATGCCAACACACCTGGCCATACTGTACACTTTTTAAAGAGTAAATTTCATGGTGTATGAATTTACCTCCATAAAGCTGGTATTTGTTAAAGTAACAATAAAAAGAATATGGTTAAATACAGTGCCAGGACAGTTCTCTGGGTGGCCTTGGATAGACCCAATTCTCTCCCCTCTTCTTAGCTGTAGTTTTCAAGAATAACTGTAGAATGTTCTAGGAATGCAACATCCTGAGATAGGGGAGGGACTGGCTGGCACAGCCTGGGCTCTGTTCCTGTCTTCCCTAGAAACAGGATGTCCTTCAGTGCTTTAGCCCAGCATGTCAACTTGCCCCTGGGGTATATAACATTGGGTGGGCTGCTTTTGGGAGTCCTTCAGCTGTGGTACAAGTAAGGCACACACAGCTGAGACTCCATGTGACCCTGGAAGATTTCCTGAGCCTTGGAGGACCAGCTCACTCTGAATCTTACGTTTCTGTTGTCCCTTGCTGCCTATGTGTAAGTAATAAATTTGCTTCATGTAGCTTGTTGTGTATGTAGATAATCTGCCTCACCGGACTCAAACAAGTTGGTAATAAACACACAGGCAAAAGTCTGTTTGGGTACACATGCCCATCTGCTCCTAACTCATAGCATTAACAGAGTAAATATAAAACAGTTTGTAATACATATAACTAATAAAATATTAGTATCTAGAATTGAACAAAACATTCAAATCAATAAGAAAAAGACAACAAAATAGAAAAATGGGCAAAGTATAAGAACAGACAATTCATAGACAAAGAACACCAAATAGCCAATAAAATATGAAATATATTAATATGAAATACTAAAATAAAATATTATTTTATAATATATTAAAATGAAATAAAATATAAAATATTAATATAAATACCCTTACAGTTACTAATCAGGAAAATGCATAATTAAAAAAGATAACATTTTATACTCATCCAATTTGGCAAAAAATTTAAAATTCTAATAACCCCCAAGTGTTGGTGAGAATGTGGAGAAATAGAACACTTTAGAGAGCAATTTGGCAATATCTAGTAGAGGTAAAGATTCTTATGAACCAGCAATTCCATTTCTGAGAACATGCTTCAAAGAAACTGTCTCACAAATGCATAAGGAGACAGACTAAGAATATATATTACGTCCTAGTTTATGGTAAGTAAAAACTAGAAAATATCTATTAATATGAGAATGGATACATGGAAGCATTCATACAATGGAAATCATATGCAGCAGTTCATGAAGGAACGAAAGGTACATGTATCAGCATGAACAAATCTCCAAAAATATAATTGTGTACAAAAAATTTCAGAAAGATGTGTACACTGTATGACTTTAACAAAATTTCAAAACATGTAAAACAATGCTATATATTTTACATATATATAATAGCCTGAGAATAATTAACAACAAATTCAGAATAATGATTACCTCTATAGAGGGAAGGAGAAAAATGGGATTATGGAGGGATATACATAAGGCGGCAATTATATCTGTACTGCATTTCTTTTAAAATACCTAACTGAAGTAAATACAGATTAATAGAAAGAGTTAATAAAGGTAAATGGTGGACACACAGGTAAATATTATATTTTCCAAGCTTACCTATATAATGAGTAATTACTAGGAAGTAAAAGAAAAAATATTGATGCCTTCCAGTCTCCAGTCAAAAAGAAATATTGCTGGCCACAGTGGCATGAGACTGTAGTCACAGCTACTTGGATAGCTGAAGTGGAAGGATCGCTTGAGGCCAGGAGCTCCTGGCTACCATTTGCTATAGTTGTGCCACTGAATACCCACTGCACTCCAGCCTGAGCAACATAGAGACCCTGTTTACAAAAAAGACAGAAAATATAAGAAAATAGAACAAAGACACTACTTTTTCTTACTTGTTTATTGATATTTCATTTGGTTTTGGTTAAATTTCTTCCTTATTAATCTTGATGACAACATACCTTTGGATATAATTAAATGACATTTAATTAAAAGATAATTGTAAACATTTAATAAGGAATAATGTACAAAACAAATGATTACAAGTTTGCAGTAAACTTCCTCCAGCTGTTCCATTTCCAGACTATCTGTAGAGTGTTTTCTAAGAACTTAGACATTTTTAATGTTATTTAGTGATTCAAAGGGGAAATTATTCAGGCAAATTTAAACATGATTTTTTAATTGACAAATAAAAATTGTATATATTTACAGTGTATAACATGATGTTTTGATGTATGTATACCTTGTGGAATGTCTAAATCAAGCTATTTAACATATGCATTACTTCATATTATTTACTTTTTGTGGTGAAAACACTTAAAAACTACCCTCCTAGCAATTTTCAAGCATATAACATATTGTTAGCAGATACAGTCATCATAATTTACAATAGATCTCTTGAAATTATGCCTCTTATCTAACTGAAATTTTGAGTTCTTTGATCAACATTTTCCCATACCACTAGCTTCTAGCATCTGGTAATCACCACTTTACATTTCTTTACGTTCTGCTTTTTTCAGTTCCACGTATGTGAGAACATGCAGTATTTGCCTTTCTCTGCCTGGCTTATTTCAGTTAACACAACATCCTCCAAGTTAATCCATGTTGTTGAAGTGACAGGGTTTCCTTTTTTTGATGCTGAGTAGTACTCCATTGTGTGTATATCTCACATTCCCTTTGTCTACTCACCAGTTGATGGATGCTAAGGTTGATTCCACATCTTGGTTATTGTGTATAATGCTGCAATGAACATGAGCATGCAGATATTTCTTCCATGTACTGGTTTCATATCTTTTGGATATGTATCCAGTAGTGAGATTGCTGGATCCTATGGTAGTTCTTTTTAAAATTTTTGAGGAACATCCATACCGTTTTCCATAATAGCTATCTTAATTTACATTCCCACCAACAGTGTACAAGTTTAACATTATTCTTTAATCACAATTTATTTAATTTTCAAGTAATCTACTCTTTTGTAAAGAGTATTGCTATGATTAACTTTTAATATACAGTTGCTTAATAAAGGAGAAACATTCTGAGAAATGTATCATTAGGGATTTCATCATCATGCAAACATTATAGAGTGCACTTACACAAGCCTAGATGGTATAGCCTGCTATACATCTAGGCTTTATCTTCCTAGGCAACAAACTTGTACCGTATATGTTATTGTACTGAGTGCTGTAGGTAATTGTAACACGATAGTATTTGTGTATCTAACCATATATAAACATAAAAAAGATACAGTAAAAATACAGTATGATAAATTTATGGGACTACCATCATATATGCAACCTGTCATTGATCAAAATATCATTATGCAGTGCATAACTGTGTTCTTAAACTTGTTGTTAGTTTAGTAGACACAAGCATTTTTTAAAAAGAGCATTCTTCATCTTTCTTTTACCCAGCTAACTCATGGGAAAATAGCTTAGAAATAACCATATTTCCAATTTTAAAACATCGAAGTGGAAATATAAGCTTTAGCATTTAGTATAATAATTTAGCTAACCAAGCAAACAGAATGGGATTAGGAAAACCATGGTCGCTCTCATAACATGTAGTATAAACAGAAACTCTCCTTTTTTTCAAACCATCAAGATTAACAATTTAATTTTTTCTTATGGTTACCTAGTTAACAAGTATCAAGAAGCGATTGTTTTGTGAGAACACTGTAATAAGCATTGTGTACATATTTTTCAATAGACCCTATAATACTTAGTCTTAAGAAGTGTAAATAGGTACTGGAGAGTGAAGACTCCATAAGAAATACTTTGGAAACAGTGACAGTGCATCCCATAAGCAAATCATTCAACTCCATCATCTTATTTCTAATATCTGGTTCAGATATCAGGAACAATGGTACATCATTGTGTCCTACTTCTATAGCACAAAATTATTAAAGAATCAGAAAGTAGCCAGAAAGTCTGGTTTAGGTGCCTCGGTCTTACAGTTCTATTACATTCTCTTCTCAAAAGCTAGCCTCCCTCAAGATGATATGTGTTTATTTATTTAGGGTGCACTGTGTGCCAGGTACTGTTGTAAGCATGTTAGAAATAACAATTTATATCAGTAAGATTACAATAAGTCTGGCAGCAGTAAGAAATGATCCTGAATTTCAGTGGCTCACAACAAGAAAGATCTATTCCTCACTACATTGTATGTTGGCTTTGACTGTGGTTCTGCTTCCTGTCCTCTTCAGTACAGGATCCATGTTGAGGAGAACCCTATCTCAGACATCACCATTCTCATGGTAGAGAGAAAAAAGAGAATGGCAGAAACATGCAATGGCTGCAGTGAGCTCTTGAAATTTCTGCACATAAGTTATATACAGCAGTTAGACTAACATTTTACAGGCCAAAAAAGTGACTTGGCCAAACCTGACAATGAAGAAGGGATGGATAATCTTCTCATAGACAGGGGCCCTACAGATTTTGAAAATACAAGGTATTATCGTCATGTCAACCATACGAGGGTAGGCACTATTATTATCACCATTTTACAGTTCAGGAAATTGGGGCATAAGGATATTAAGCAACTACTTCAAGCTCATACAGCTAGTAAATGGCAGAGCCAGAACTTGAAACCCTGGCAATATATGCTCCTAACTATTACACCATGCTAACTCCTTATGTTTTTGCTCTATTTTCACTTCTTCAGAAAAAAAATCTGAAGCTCATTCACACAAAAGTATTTGACACTTAAACACTTAAGTCATAACTACATTTTAAGGATTTGCATTTTAAGGCAACAAAGCCTTAAGATAAAGTTGCAAAGTATAGACAGCTGGATTTCAGAAGAATTTATGGGGGACAGCAGCCTTTGTAATGCTCCTGGAATCACACCTAATAATTAGCCCCTTATTCTGTTTATATACACTTATTTAATTGCTGCAGTTTGAGGTCATCTACTTAGAGACACTTTCCTCACAACCCTATTTTTAAAAACACACATGCCTCATCATCACCACAATAACTAACTTCTTTGTTCTTCATCCCTTTCCTCTGCTTTATTTTTTCATGATAAGCTACGATCTAGTTTTATTTTCCATGATTATTTGTTTATTATTTGTCTCCCCTGTTTAGTTATAAGTTCTATGAGGATGTGGACACTGTTCATCTTATTCACTGTTGTAGCCATAGTATCACCACAGGAACTGGCATATAGTAGGTCCTCAATAAAGATTTGTTGAATGGATTGATAAATGGATATATGAGCGCATGAATTAACAAACTCAATGTATAATACTCAAAAGTAGAGTAAGACTAGCTATGAAAGAAATACTGGAGTAACCACGGTAAAGCATTTTTTATATTCACTAGAAGTTATTACTCTTATTGAATGCCAGCTGTGTGTCAAATGCCATAATTATACAAAGAAATATAACATAAAAGTCAGTCCCTGAGGCATACAATGTAATTAAGGAAACGGACTATACTAACAAAGAAATTAATAATAGATTAATTATATAAAAATTATAATAGAAAAGAATGGTAAAATGTCTTTAAGTAGTATAATATGTTTCAACTTCATGCAAATAGATGTGTGTAAACACACATATGAGAAATTTTGTAAATTTCCCAAGCAATTGAATAAAGGGGAAAAAAATCACAGCATACCTGTCAGGACCAAAAGTATTTGCTGTAATTTATTGTGTCCTAAAGTACAATTCTCAACGGCCTTTAAAAGAAAAAAAAAATCCAGTATCCTAAAAATGTACCATGACAATGTCCAGCATACAATAGTAAATTACTAGATGTAAAAAATTAAGAAAATATGACTCAAAACTAAAAAACAAAAGCAAGCAACAGACACAGTCCTGAAATGATCCAGATGTTGGTATTAGCAGACACAAACTTTAAAGCAGATATTATAAATGTATTCATGAGCTTAAAGAAAAAGATGGTCATAATTAGTAAACACATGAGGAATCTCAGCAGAGAAATAGAAACTATTTTTTTAAAGAGTTGAAGTCCTAGAATGGAAAATATATAAGGCACAAATTCTTTTAACAGCATTGTGAAGACTACAGAAGAAAGTGATAGTGGATTTGAAGGCAAATCAAAGAAATTGTCTACTAGAAGAGAGAAAAAAATGATTTAAAAAAATTAACAGAGATGGCCAGGTGCGGTGGCTCATGCCTGTAATCCCAACATTTTGGGAGGCGGGTGGATCACCTGATGTCAGGAGTTTGAGACCAGTCTGGCCAACATGGTGAAATGCTGTCTCTACTAAAAATACAAAAATTAGCCAGGCATGGTGGCAGGCACCTGTAATCCCAGCTACTTAGGAGGCTGAGGCAGGAGAATCGCTTGAACCCAGGAGGCAGAGGTTGCAGTGAGCTGAGATTGCGTCATTGCACTCCAGCCTGGGTGACAAGAGTGAGACTCCATCTCAAAAAAAAAAAAATTAATAGAGACTCGGTGACCTGTAGGACAATATAAAATGGTATAACACACACACACACACACACACACAAACACACACATTCATACATATAGACATACATATGTGTGTGTGTGTGTATAGTAACTAAAGTCTCAGGTGGAGAGGAGAGACAAAATAAGGCAAAATATACATATATTACAAAATAAATAAATAAAATAAAGTTGGCCAAATGTGGTGGAAAACATCAAATTAATGATCCAACATTCTCCATGAACCCCAAACAAAATAAGTGTACAGGAGAGAGCATGTGTGTATGTCAAAGTCAACTGCTGACAACCAGTTAAACAACAAATCTAAAAGTGGTCAGAGAAAAAGACAATACAAATAATGGCAGACTTGTCATCAGACATAATGGAAGCCAAGAGACAAATAACATTTGTAAACTACTAAAGGAAAAAAAACTTTCAAAAAAAGTTTGAAATATTCACTCACTCTTTGTTGAGTGAATATACCCCAAATGAGTGGATTGAAGACATTTGCAGATAAACAAAAACACAGACAATCAAAACTAGCAGCCCTCAGCTGTTAATGAACACTAAGTATTACAGAAATTTAAAAACTGGCCAGGCACGGTGGCTCACGCCTGTAATCCCAGCACTTTGGGAGGCCAAGGCAGGCAGCTCACCTGAGGTCAAGCATTCAAGACCAGCCTGGCCAATACGTTGAAACCCTATCTCTACTGAAAAAAAATAGAAAAAAATTAGCTGGGCGTGGTGGCACGTGCCTGTAGTCCCAGCTACTCCAGAGGCTGAGGCAGGAGAATCACTTGAACCCGGGAGGCAGATGTTGCAGTGAGCTGAGATCGCACTACTGCACTCCAGCCTGGGTAACAGAGCTAGACTCCATCTCAAAAATATAAATAAATAAAAATAATAAAAATTAAAACCACAGACCGGGGTAAATTATTCACAATGCAAATATATAACAAAGGTCTTATATCCAGAATATAAAAAGAGGTCATGCAACTCACTAATAACAAGGCACACATTCCAATTTCATAAATAGGCAAGACTTGCACAGACATCTCACAAAACATTTATGAATGGACAATAAGCACATGGAAAGGTGTTCAGTGTTGCTAGTCATAAGCATAATGCAAATTAAAAGCACAACAAGATGTTACTTTTCTCATTGGCTAAAATTTAAAAGATGAACACCTCCAAACATTGGGCAGGGATATGGAGCAACTATGCATTGGTTGTGGGAATTAAAAATGTTACAACCACTTTGGAAAACTGTTTAGCAGTTCATTATATATTTAAACATATGCCTACCCTATGACCCTCCAACTCCACTTGTAGGTACTTATCAAAAGAAATAAAAATGTATGTCCATACAAAGACTTGTATGTGACAATCTATAGCAGCTTTATCCATAATAGCCAAAAATATGAAACAGCCCAAATGATCATCAGCAAGAAAATAGACTAACAATTTGTGCTAAATCCACACAATGAAATAATACTCAACAATAAAAAAACTACAAAACATGAATGAATATATCAATGAATCAAATCAATAAATTTTGTATGCTCAGTAACATGAATGAATTTCAAAAACATTATGTTGAGAAAAATATCAGACACAAAAGAGAACTGAATTCATTTACTTAAAATTCAGGAACACAAAACTAATCTATCAGAATAGATGGCAGAACTGTAGTTGCTTCGAGGCTTGACTCAAAAAGGGGCATGAGGGAACTTTCCGGGTGATAGAAATATTCTATATTTTGATTGGATATTGGTTAGGTAAGGTGACACAATTTTCAAAACTCATTGAGTTGTACATTTAAAAGCTGTCTTCAACTGCTTGTAAAGATTACATCAATAAACAAAAATCATGGCAGAATTTTCAAATAATTTGGCAACCCGATTTTAAATGTATGAGAAAAAGCAAAGCTTATGAATGAATGGTCAAGACACTGTTAAGGAAGGAGGAGGTAGAGGGCAATGTGGGCAAACACTTTTGCACTAAAATTAGGATTTATTATTAACCTATTATAATTTTTAAATGTAGTATTGGTAAAGGGAAAGATAAATTGACCAATGGAATAGAACAGAGGCCCAAAACAGGACCACACGGAGATGCCAGAGATAGCAATGAAAATTACTGAAACAGACAACTGAATAAATTGCACCAGGAAAACTGATTATTCAAATGGAAACAAAATTAGATCCTTGCCTTAACACATACATAAAAAATAATTTCAAATGGATCAAAAACTTGTATGTGAAGAACAAAATTTGAAAACTTTTACAGATAATTATAGAATATTTTTATGACATCAGGTTTGAAAAAAACTTTTCAAACAAAATTACTAAACAAAAGATATCAATAAATTTGACAAATTAAAATAAACAACTTCTGTTCATCAAAAGATACCAAGAGTGTAAAGAAAACAAGACACAAAATGAATTATAAAACAAGCATAGACAGAACTCTAAGAAAAATATATAAATACCCCCCCCCAAAAAAAAGCATTTCATAGAAGAAAAAATAATGAAACAACAAAGAAAAACATGAGGGAAAGTATGTCCAATCTCATTTGTAGGACTGTGAGCTCTTCCTTTTTTATTTATTAAACATTGGAGGAGGAATGTTGTAAAGAAGAAGTGTATCAAGGACAAATTATGAGATAATGCAGAAGGAACTAATGTTAAAATCAATATTCAGCCAAAACCAAGACCTACGCCTATATTCACCATCAGAGATTGGACTTCTCAGATGTAAGAAACTTGGGAATGTTACCCAAAAATTATTTCATTATAATTTTATCATTAAAACCAGCAGTAAAATTTTGAAAATTTGACATAATAGAGGAAGAACCATTTCTCAGTACTGTCAGCTGCTAGACTGCTCCTGCTTTCACGCTACGGCTTATCTGTGATACTAAATAGACACACTCTTTCAACTGAGGTTGGTAGAGAAACATGATATTTTAGGAATTCCTCATTTTTCTTTAACACTTTCCTCCTTTATTCTTTATATTCTTTGTTGTGTCTAGATCAAAGAAGATTTATCACAGATGTTGTTGTACATGATTTGGGTTGTTTTCCTGCCTTGTGAAATTTTAACAAGGCAAACTTAATTTTGTTTTTAATTCATCCTTCAAGATGTGAAACATTCCCATGGAGAACTTTTTCCTGCAAGACTCATGGCCTAAATAGAACTAAATAACTACAAAATACTAGTATAATTTTGAAGGTTATTTTCTTTGATAATTTAATGTTAATACGACAAACATTTCCAAAGATTGTAATCTTAATGATAAGATTTCTATTACTGTTTCTTGTATTATTTCAATTTTATAAATATTTACTGGCTCTAATAAGATAAATATTCTTATTAAGGTTATCTAGCTAATATATTCTCTCTTAACATTAACCTTTACTTTAAATCTATTTCTTTATATACTTATTATTTGAAATGGCCTGGTAATTTTTGGATATAAAGTTAACAGTTTTCACAATCATCATTAATTTTTGCTGCATTTGACTCTTGCAATAACATTTACATTTATGTTTCAACAAACCTATAGACTGTCAACATTTAAGGCATATAGAGATATTTTTCATTCAAAAGTGCTTATAAAATACATATCTATATTTGAAAGTGACTATTCAGCTAGTAACAATAAATCTGAATTATTTGTCTTGTTTATGCTATTGGCAGTGTAATGCTGATTTAATGCACTACTATCCTATACACTTACATCAGTGATCCTGCAAACATTTAGAGCTGACATTTGAAGTACGCGTTGAACTACTCAGCTTTCCAAAAGCTGTGGCCTGACACAAAGACAAAAATTTTGGCCAAATACTAAGGCTAACACCAACTATGGTGTATCCCTAAAAAGAAGTATAGGCCAAGTATCTATCTCCTAGACAGAACTTTATGCCATATTCACATAAATACATACACAAATTCTTCATCTTCAAACTTTTAATTTGTATGCCTACAAAAAACAGAGATGAAACATAACGGCCCTCAATGAATCATGCCATGAATGCTCTTGTTCCTGTTGATAATGATGATTTATTCTCATCTTATAACCCACTGACACTTCCAACACTTCATAGCAGCCCCTTAGGCAACCATCACTCATAACCAATGGGATAAACCCCATTCCCTATTTATCCTCCTTTGTAAGAGCAGTCCTTCAAAATGGATTTGGACAAAGTGAGCTTCATGGTGAATTCTGAATTAAAGAATAAAAACAAGGTTATTTCAGGCATAAAAGGTATTGCTATAAATGAATAAATTATATGACTATCTGGCTGAAATCAAAATGGTAAAAATAGATATAGGAAAAGACAAAAATTTTTCATAATATTTTAGTTCAGTGTGTACACTATTCTAAAGCAAAGAAATTTCTACTTGTGATAATTTTACTGACTCAGAGAATACATCATTCATATTTTTTTAAAAAATGAATAATTTGCCTTGAACCTTCAGACCTTACCTATTTTCAAATTGCCCAATCCTCACAGAATAGCAAGAATAATGGTTCTCAACTTCTTAATTTCATGGCTCTTGAGCCTCAAAAGAATTACTGATGACCTGTATTAGTCCGTTTTCACACTGCTATGAAGAGCTGCCTGAGACTGGGTAATTTATAAAGGAAAGAGGTTTAATCGATTCACAGTTCCATATGGCTGGGGAGGCCTCAGGAAACTTACAATCATGGTGGAAGGTGAAGGAGAAGCAATTACCTTCTTCACAAGGCAGCAAGAAAGAGAAAAAATGCAGGGAAACTGCCACTGTTAAACAATCAGATCTTGTGAGAACTCCCTCACTATCACGAGAACAGCATGGGGGAAACTGCCCCCATAACACAATCGCCTCCCATCAGGTTTCTTCCTCCACACTTGGGGATTACAATTCGAGGTGAGATTTGGGTGGGGACACAAAGCCAAACCATATTATGACCCTAAAGAGCTTTTGTTTGTGTGACTTATATATACTGATACCTATCATATTAGATATTGAAACAGAAAATTTTAAATATTTATTTGTTTTACAGTAATATAATAAGCCCATTACATGTTAACATAAATGACATGTTTTTATGAAAAATAGCTATATTTCCTAAATAAAAAATTTAGTGAGAATTATTTTACATGTTTGCAAATCTCTAATGTCTAGCATAACAGAAGACAGCTGAATTTTGATATCTGCTTATGTATTCAATCTGTTGCAATATCTTGTTTTGAAGAAAATCCAGCCTTACATAGTTATGCAGTTGGAAAAGAGGAAAACTTAACAGGCTTTTCAGATAATTGATAATATTCTTCTGTGATACTACACCAAAATTTGACAAACGATAATTTCTTAAAAGTTGGTTGAATGTGAACACACTGTTGAATTTTTCCTGTTTTGTTGCATTAAAATCATTGGTTTATCTTGCATATAAACCCATGAATTGTTTTTGAAGTGTGGGTTAAAATATTGGTTCACAAAGTTAAGTCAGTCTCCCAAATGTTGACATATTTCTGTATGCAATACTTTTTTAAATCACAGGTATTAATATTACTATGAACTTCATCAGAAAATATTTGAGTATTAGGAAGCTATCAAGCTCTTGATAGCAGACACAAGTTTACCAAAATTCTAATAGTTACATAAAACCTTAAATTTTTATCACTGGCAACATGTGCTGTCAATTGATTTTCTTGAAGGGTCAGTCTCACTTTGTTAATTCTGAAGAAAATGTCTGCCAGATACTAGCCCTATTTCAAGTAAAAATGGTGTCCTATAGGGGAAAAGTGGCTAGTTCAGCCCACAGTTCATTCTCTCAAGTGATTTTCCTCAAGTCAACCATTGTAATTTGATATGCAGAAGCACTTTATGAATACTTCCCATTTTGTCACACAATATATTTTCTTTTTTTTATTATAGTTTAAGTTTCTAGGGTACATGTGCACAACATGCAGGTTTGTTACATAGGTGTACATGTGCCATGTTGGTTTGCTGCAGCCATCAACTCGTCATATACATTAGCATTAGGTATTTCTCCATTAGGTATTAGGGATAGGTATTTTTATCCCTCCCCCAGGCCCCACCCCCCAACAGGCCCTGGTGTGTGATGTTCCCCACCCTGTGTCGTTGTGTTCTCGTTGTTCAACTCCCATCTATGAGTGAGAACATGCGGTGTTTGGTTTTCTGTCCTTGTGATAGTTTCTTGAGAATGATGGTTTCCAGCTTCATCCATGTCCCTGCAAAGGACACAAACTCATCCTTTTTAATGGCTGGATAGTATTCCATGGTGTATATGTGCCACATTTTCTTAATCCAGTCTATCATTGATGGACATTTGGGTTGGTTCCAAGTCTTTGCTATTGTGAATAGTGCCACAATAAACATACGTGTGCATGTGTCTTTTAGTAGCATGATTTATAATCCTTTGGGTATATACTGAGTAATGGGATGGCTGGGTCAAATGGTATTTCTAGTTCTAGATCCTTGAGGAATTGCCACACCATCTTCCACAATGGTTGAACTAATTTATGCTCCCACAAACAGTGTAAAAGTGTCCCTATTTCTTCACATCCTCTCCAGCACCTGTTGTTTCCTGACTTTTCAATGATTGCCATTCTAACTGGCATGAGATGGTATCTCATTGTGGTTTTGATTTGCATGTCTCTGATGACCAGTGATGATGAGCATTTTTTCATGTTTGTTGGCTGCATAAATGTCTTCTTTTGAGAAGTGTCTATTCATATCCTTTGCCCCTTTTTGATGGGGTTGTTTTTTCTCGTAAATTTGTTTAAGTTCTTTGTAGATTCTGGATATTAGCCCTTTGTCAGATAGGTAGATTACAAAGATTTTCTCCCATTCTGTAGGTTGCCTGTTCACTCTGATGATAGTTTTTTTGCTGTGCAGAAGCTCTTTAGTTAAATTAGATTCCATTTTTCAATTTTGGCTTTTGTTGCCATTGCTTTTGGTGTTTTAGTCATGAAGTCTTTGCCCATGCCTATGTCCTGAATGGTATTGCCTAGGTTTTCTTCCAGGGTTTTTATGGTGTTAGGTCTTATGTCTAAGTCTTTCATCCATCTTGAGTTAATTTTTGCACAAGATGTAAGAAAGGGATCCAGTTTCAGCATTCTGTATATATGGCTAGCCTGTTTTCCCAGCACCATTTATTAAATAGGGAATCTTTTCCCCATTGCTTGTTTTTAACAGGTTTGTCAAAAATCAGATGGTTGTAGATGTGTGGTATTATTTCTGAGGCCTCTGTTCTGTTCCATTGGTCTATATATCTCTTTTGGTACCAGTACCATGCTGTTTTGGTTACTGTAGCCTTGTAGTATAGTTTGCAGTCAGGTAGTGTGATGCCTCCAGCTTTGTTCTTTTGGCTTAGGATTGTCTTGGCTATGCGGGCTCTTTTTTGGTTCCATATGAATTTTAAAGTAGTTTTTTTTCAATTCTGTGAAGAAAGTCAGTGGTAGCTTGATGGGGATAGCATTGAATCTATTGAATCTATAAATTACCTTGAGCAGTATGTCCATTTTCATGATATTGATTCTTCCTATCCATGAGCATAAAATGTTCCATTTGTTTGTGTCCTCTTTTATTTCGTTGAGCAGTGGTTTGTAGTTCTCCTTGAAGAGGTCCTTCACATCCCTTGTAAGTTGGATTCCTAGATATTTTATTCTCTTTGTAGTAATTGTGAATGGAAGTTCACTCATTATTTGGCTCTCTGTTTGTCTGTCATTGGTGTATAGGAATGCTTGTGATTTTTGTACATTGATTTTGTATCCTGAGACTTTGCTGAAGTTGCTTATCAGCTTAAGGAGATTTGGGGCTGAGACGATAGGATTTTCTAAATATGCAATCATGGCATCTGCAAACAGAGACAATTTGACTTCCTCTTTTCCTATTTGATTACACTTTATTTCTTTCTCTTGCCTGATTGCCCTGGCCAGAACTTCCAACACTATGTTGAATAGGAGTGGTGAGAGAGGGCATCCTTGTCTTGTGCCAGTTTTCAAAGGGAATGCTTCCAGTTTTTGCCCATTCAGTATGATATTGGATATGAGTTTGTCATAAATAGCTCTTCTTATTTTGAGATACATTCCATCAATACCTAGTTTATTGAGAGTTTTTAGCATGAAAGGCTGTTGAATTTTGTCGAAGGCCTTTTGTGCATCTATTGAGATAATCGTGGTTTTTGTCATATGTCCTGTTTATGTGATGGATTACATTTATTGATTTGGGTATGTTGAACTAGCCTTGCATCCCAGGGATGAAGCTGACTTGATCATGGTGGATAAGCTTTTTGATGTGCTGCTGGATTTTGTTTGCCAGTATTTTATTGAGGATTTTCGCATCGATGTTCATCAGGGATATTGGACTAAAATTCTCTTTTTCTGTTGTGTCTCTACTAGGTTTTGGTATCAGGATGATGCTAGCCTCATAAAATGAGTTAGGGAGGTTTCCTTCTTTTTCTATTCATTTAAATAGTTTTAGAAGGAATAGTACCAGCTCCTCTTTGTACCTCTGGTAGAATTCAGCTGTGCATCTGCCTGATCCTGGACTTTTTTTGGTTGGTAGGCTATTAATTATTGCCTCAATTTCAGCACCTGTTATTGGTCTATTCAGAGATTCAACTTCTTCCTGGTTTAGTCTTGGGAGGGTGTATGTGTCCAGGAGTTTATCCATTTCTTCTAGATTTTCTAGTTTATTTTCGTAGAGGTGTTTATAGTATTCTCTGATGGTAGTTTGTATTTCTGTGGGATCGGTGGTGATATCCCCTTTATCATTTTTTATTGTGTGTATTTGATTCTTCTCTCTTTTCTTCTTTATTAGTCTTGCTAGCGGTCTCTTTTGTTGAACTTTTCAAAAAAACAGTTTGGGAATCACTAATTTTTTGAAGGGTTTTTTTGTGTCTCCATCTCCTTCAGTTCTGCTCTGATCTTAGTTATTTCTTGCCGTCTGCTAGCTTTTGAATGTATTTGCTCTTGCTTCTCTAGTTCTTTTAATTGTGATGTTAGGGTGTTGATTTTAGATCTTTCCTGCTTTCTCTTGTGAGCATTTAGTGCTATAAATTTCCCTCTACACCCTGCTTTAAATGTGTCCCAGAGATTCTGGTATGTTGATCACACAATATATTTTCTAAAGTAGACTTGGTGTTGATGTTCAATGTAATTAAGATATTTTTGCTGTTTCATTAGATATTCTTTTTTTTTTTTTTTTTTGATGGAGTCTCGCACTCTTGCCCAGGCTGGAGTGCAGTGGCACCATCTCGGCTCACTGCAAGCTCCGCCTCCTGGGTTCACGCCATTCTCCTGCGTCAGCCTCCCGAGTAGCTGGGACTACAGGCGCCTGCCACCACGCCCGGCTGATTTTTTGTATTTTTAGTAGAGATTGGGTTTCACCGTGTTAGCCAGGATGGTCTCCATCTCCTGACCCTGTGATCCGCCTGCCTCGGCCTCCCAAAGTGCTGGGATTACAGGCGTGAGCCACTGTGCCTGGCCTCATTAGATATTCTTAATTGAGATTTACTTTTTTAAAAATGTGATTGCATGGCAGTGAAGAAGTCAATGGCTACCAGTACAGTTTGCTCCCGCTGGTTGATTTGTACCAGTCTGCACAAAGTTTTACCCACTATTATTTTTGCATCATTTGTGCAGATGTCAACCGTGAAAAAAGAAAATGATGTCTTAGTACCATTATGAAATAATTTGACCTCTTCAATTGCCTGAAATTATCTTGGAGATCCCCAGGGTTCTGTAGGGCACATTTTGAAAATATTTAGGCTAGACAATCTTAATTATACTGTTGTTTTTGTTATGACTTCCTAATCCCTTCCAAAATAAAACAGAATATTTTGCTGTCTGTTTCAAAAACTACTGAAGCAAAGGCTATGAGTTTGCATTCTTTTGTTTTTAATCTTATACAAATTCATATGCTATAGATATACCTGCAGTAATATGAAATTACATACACATGTAGTTTCTCATTACAACATTTTAGTAGAAGACAAAAATTGGAACGACCCAGCTATCCATTGATGGAGAATTTGTTAAATATATTAGATTACATTATACAGTGGAATATTATGCAGCAGTAAAAAGAGAAGAAGAAGAAGAAGATGACGATGAGGAGGAGGAGGAGAAGGAGGAGAGGGTGGGGGGAGGGGAGGAAGAGAAGAAGAAAGTAGAAGGAAGTAAAAAGAAGAGGAGGAGGAGGAGGAAAAGAAAGAAGAGGAAGAGGAAGAAGAAGGAAAAGGAGGAGAAAGAGGAGGAGGAGGTACAAAAAGAAGAGAATGAGGTAGAGGAGAGAGGGATGAGGGTGTTTTCTACAGGCATGTTTGGAAATATCACTAGGATAGTCTTTAAAAAGGCAAGGTGCAGAATAACATATACAGTATATGCTATGGTTTGAATGTTTGTGTCCCCTCCAAAATTCATGTTGAAACTTAATCACCAGTGTGATACTATTAAGAGATAAAGATTTTGGAGGTGATTGAGTTGTGAAGACTCTGCCCCTCTGGGTGGGATTAATGCCTTTAAAAAAGGACTTAACACAAGTTTTAAAAACATATCATCCCACTTCCCCAATTAATGGAGAATAATTTAGGTAATGTTTCATATAAGCATTTTGAGCAAGTTCAAGAAAGTTTATAAATCCCTGAACCCCAAAGTAAATATTCTCTAAATGTGTTCTACTGAAGCATACCATCAATGACAAGCACTCAGTACTTATTTTAAAAGAGTAAACTCTTTAAAATATTTTTAAACTACCAAATGCATTTTTTAATTTGACCACAATCGATTTACTTTTTTGCCTGAAGCCAATTTTACTACTTAATATCTAGTTAATGAATGAAAAGTTACACTATACTCCATTCACATATACTTTAGTGTTGAAATAGAAACAACAATAGCTGGTTTTCATAGACTTTCCTAGAATGGTTTTTATTAATAGTATCATCTTTACTGCTTAAACTCATTTGGATTCCCTTCCAATACTCATCCATACATAAAGATGAAAAGTGTAAAACTATTTTATTAGAAATATTGATTTTTAAATTTAAAACTGTTGTGAATAAATTGCTTGTTTTAGAAAAGCCAGAG
The DNA here is from genome assembly GCF_000001405.40 of Homo sapiens. NCBI lineage: Eukaryota > Metazoa > Chordata > Mammalia > Primates > Hominidae > Homo > Homo sapiens. The sequence continues at coordinate 146,675,456 of NC_000004.12, read as the reverse complement.
GGGAAACAGTGAACTAGGGTGTTCTGTGTAAATAAGCACTGTCAGGGCATGCCATTCTCCTTGTAATTTCTATGAGGAGATATTGTGCAATCAAGTTTAATTCATGTTTCTGAACCTCGACTGCAAAGAATAAAGAAACCTGTGGCACAATATTGTCATAGACGATGTCTGTCAGCAACTGAAATTCATGGTGCATACATAATACCAACACACTCATTATTCTCTCTCCTCATCCACTAAATATACTGGCAAATAAATATTTTGTCACAATAAGATAACAAAACACTTTCAGAAAATGTCTGCAACATATTCTGAGAAAACAAAAGAGGGTTTAATCAGGTCCAATAAGCAATGAATGATCCAGCCAGTTCATCAATGATTCAGCAAACACTGCTCCACCCTCAAAAGGCCCATGAGTCAGTGGGCAGGAAGGATTCTCCCATCAAGTGTTCAAAGGAATTCTGATCAGGGAGTGATCTTAGTTATTCCTAGTACATCCATCAAGAAAGACATAGGCTCTTGTCTCCCAAAGTCTTCCTGGGACTCTACATAGTGGTAGTAAAATGATTCTGAAAAAGCACAGCACAGCCTCCTTTAAAAAATAAGACAACTCATGCTGCACAGAATTTTAAGTGTAAAATGATCATTCTCTGTTAGTGAATGCCTTTAATCTTGAAGCTTTCAGCAACTCTTAAACAAATATATCAATACCCTTGTTCGTTATTTCATATAAGTGAATATTACAACAGAAGCTATTATCTCAAAGCAATTTCCTTCTTTTCATTTTAAGCATGTAAAAATATCTATTGCATCACATCCCCATTTAAAAAAATAAACAGCATTGCAAAAATACTTTCACTGTTTAAATCTATGGAGACTTGTGGAGCTTCTATGCACTCCTACGTAGCAAGGATTAGGGATGTAAGGTCGTTTATTCCTATGTACCGCCTGACCACTGCTGACTATGCTTTTATAGTTTTTCTACCTTCTGTTTGCATTTTCTGTCTTTTGTCTGCTATTGGCCATTACTTCAACTGACTAGTAAGTGCTGCCTATTTTTCAAACACTGAGCAAGGACTAGGCTGCACTAACAGAGCCAAATGCCAGTGCTCTCGGGTAGGTCTTTGGTGCTTAGAAACCTGTGCCAATTACTTCCAGGTTTAAGACAAAATATGTTATAGTTCATGTATTAGTCAGGGTTCTCTAGAGGGACAGGACTAACAGGATAGATGTATATATGAAGGGGATTTTATTAAGGAGTATTGATTCACACAATCACAATGTGAAGTCCCACAATAGGCTGTCTGCACGCTGAGGAACAAGGAGAACCAGTCTGAGTTCCAAAACCTCACAAGTAGGGAAGAAGTAGGGAAGCTGAAGTGCAGCCTTTGGTCTGTGGCCTGAGGCCCAAAAGCCCCTGGCAAACCACTGGTGTAGGTCCAAGAGTACAAAAGTTGAAGAACTTGGAGTCTGATGTTCAAGGGCAAGAAGCATCCAGCATGGGAGAAAGATGGAGGCCAGAAGACTCAGCAGGTCTGCTCTGTCCATTCCTGCTTTATTCTAGCCACACTGGCAGCTGATCGTATGGTGCCCACCCAGATTGAGGGTGGGCCTGCCTTTCCCAGCCCACTGACTCAAATGTTAATCTCCTTTGGCAACACCCTCACAGGCACACCCAGGAACAATACTTTGCATCCTTCAATCCAATCAAGTTGACGCTCAATATTAACCATCACAGTTCAAATCTGACTTCTGGGAAAGTGGCTTGTTCATTTAATACAATTCCAGCCTTTTATGGTAACTCTTCCAATATTCTAATCGGCATCTTGTCACAAAAGGCAACACTAACTATTTTTAAACAAAAATTCTACATCTAGTCTTCTCGAGGTTGTCCTTGTTTTCACAAAGGATAAACCATTTTCCAAAGTGTGTTCCACAGAACACAGGCTAATCATAGGTAATAAACAATACTATCCTTAGAACCCGATAGCTGGGGCTCCCACCCTGAGTCCTCCCCACCACACTTGGTGCCTTGGCTTCCTCAGGGCTCACCCTTCAGCAGAAGCTTAGAGGGGCCAAAGAGGTATCTCACCCCCTCCACAGTTCCTACACCCAAAGGATGTAAGGGGAGGGGTGCCCAGGAGGTAGACCCTGGATGTAGGGGTTGTGATATCCCCAGATATCCATGCAAAACTTTCCTGGGGTGGGAAGATAAGTGAGAAAGGAGCTCACAAGCAGGGAGCCAGAAGCAAGTGCGCTCTGTCATCAGTGCACAAAACTCCAAATAATCCAAATTCTAAATGAAAGCTTGGCCTTCCAGATCATTTTGCAGATATATCATTCAAGGGAAGAGCATGGAACACATTTTAACAATCAGTTAGTTTAATGTACAGCTTTTAAATATTTATGTTGCTATGTGATATTTATGATTATATTTAATATGATATGGGCGCTCATTTGTACTGATGTTCCAGCATGGCAAATGACTGTAAGCTCTACAAAGTCTGTGAGAGCAAAGCAACTTTTTATCTTTTTCACTGCTCTATTTCCTGGACTGAACACATAACTGGTGAAATGTTAAGTGAAAAAGGTGGTTTAAAAACCTGTTTTAAACCATCCTTTAAACCATGGTTTAAAAACATGTTTTGGAAATGCTGCCTTTTGCAGTCCCATTTGGAGCATTGATAATGCAAATTAGTACTTTAACAGCTTTGAGAATCCTACCATTTTAACCCAGACACCCCCTCCCTCTGCTTTTTTCCCAGAGACCATCTCACATTTACTCTATGGAGAAGGACTTTTATTAATAGTATTGCTCAAATCAATGGCACATAGCAACAAAACCACTTTGGTGCATATCAAGAAACCTGGCGTAAATGCAACATATCCTCCAATATGGTCCCAGATACAATCCAAACATTACAAAAAGCTAGTACATTTATAGGATGCTCTAGAAGGATATAAATATAAGATTTTCTTTTTTGTGAACAAACCAAGCATCCAATAATAGCAAAAATTGAACTTTTCCTGGAGTCCTTCTACCTAGAAATAAATGGTTTACAGAGTATTGAAAAGACAGAAAAAGAGTTACAAACCTATCATATTAAATTTAAGGTGAAGAATAAATGTCCAGTAAACCTTTAATGCTAATTCAACACCTCATATATCAATTTAAAATATATTTATTTCTGGTTAAAGTTGTCACTAATCTTGGTTCAAGCGACCTATAAGCAACTTAACATTTTGCGTTCCAGCCTGGCTATCCATTGTGATTAATACTGATGCTGATTATGATTAATACTTGGTGTCAGTGCAAGGTCAAGTGGGGAATTTATACTGTAGATTTTTAATTTCAACTGAAACTATAGAAAATAGTGGGAATGCAAATTAGGACTCTTTCAGAGACAAGCCTTAGAAATTATATTTAAATTAACATTATTACATGAAAGTATGTCTTAGCACAAGGAACTGAAAGAATATGGATGCAATTGACCTCAGCAATAACTGGATAGAAGAACTCAACTCTCTCCTCTCTCTTTTGTTCTACTTCTTTCCCCCATTCCCTTCTCCCCTCTTCTTGTTCCCCTTATTATCTCACCTCCTTTTCCTCTTCTTTTGTCCCCCAGTCCCAACCCACAGTGTCTCGTCTCAACTTCTCTTTTTGTTGCCCTCCTTCTCTCCAGTCACAGAGTTTCCTCCCTAAGTCAGGCATTCTAGCAGCAGACACCACCAAGTAACATTATCAGAGCTTAGGAACCCCAGAGGACAGAACATCTCAAGTTTCAGAACATAAAATCTCAAAGGAAGAAGTCTGGTTGGGCTAGTTTGGGTCACATGTACCCATTATATCAATTGCTAAGATCTAGGAAGGCATGTTACTGCCTGGCAGCACGCTGAGACCCCAAAATCCCATCACTGGGATGAGATAAATCAAAACAGGACAGGTACTCTTACCAGAAGAGGAAGTAAAAGGGAGGCTTGACATACAGAACTTCAGATGTCCTATGCAGAGTGTAAACTGTTAAATTTTTGGAAGGTAATTTGACAACATATAACAAGACCCTATAAATTCATTACCATGATCTATGCCAAGAAAAGAATCCAAACTCAGAAGTCATATTTATCAAGAAGTATACTATAACAACATTTCTAATACCAAACCATGTCATTAACCTAAGGGTCCAATAAGAGAAAAACAACTGGGCAGGCACCTATTGTCCCAGCTACTAGGAAGGCTGAGGCATGAAGATCATTTCAGTCCAAGAGTTCAAGGCCAGCCTAGGAAACATAGCAAGACCCCCCTCCCCCCCGACAAAACAAAAAGCAATAACAAAAATAGGTAAATTATGGTATAACCTCACAATAGAATATGATGTCGCCATAATAAAGAAAACTGCCTGCTACCTGAAGTCTGTCTATTACTGGGAATCCTGACCTAAGGGGAAAAAAGCAAACTACAAATGTATGTATATACACTAACCTGGAAAAATAAGTAGATAGAAAAGATGAAAGAACAGGCCAGGCACGGTGGCTCACTCCTGTAATTCCAGCACTTTGGGAGGCCGAGGTGGGCAGATCATATCAAGCCAAGAGTTCGAGACCAGCTTGGCCAACATGGCACAACTCCATCTCTTAAAAAAAATAAAAATTACAAAAATTAGCCAGGCGTCATGGCACACACCTGTAATCCCAGCTGCTCTGGAAGCTGAGGCAAGAGAATCACTTGAACCCAGAAGGTGGAGGTTGCAGTGAGCCAGGATTGTGCCACTGTACTCCAGCCTGGGTGACAGAGCAAGACCCCGTCTCTTGGTCTCAAGAAAAAAAAAAGAAAAAAGATACAAGAAGAAACAAATAAACAACTCGAAAATGTTAGGAGACTTCGGGTACTAAGGCAATAGGTGATCATTTATCTTTTACAAATATTCTTCTATTATTTCTATATTTTCTATAACAAATGTATAATTTTAATGGAAAAAAACATTAACTTCAAGATTTCAAAACTATAACCCTCAAGCACTTAAGTATCAGATGAGTATTCTTAGAATGTCTCATCTTCCCAAGTTTACCAGATGTTTCCCAAAATCAGTTATTTATTTCAAAATATTATTGTAAATTGTATAGATCCAAGGACCTTTGCCAACACTAGAGAAGTGAACAAACAAACAAAAAACATACAGAATGGGGTACAAGCTAGTCAATCATAGGAGAAGGGAGCATTTGCTTCTCTCATCTAAAACCTGTGGTATTCAGGGACAAACATCATGAGGCACAGCTATTTCTGTCAGGATACATTTAAACTATGTAGAATGGAACAGAAGCAACTAGACCTTTGTATGACTAAGACAAGCTCTAGAAACCATCTCCCCACATTTCGGACCTTCCAGTCTCTTGACCTCAAGCCCTGATGCATGCAGACCTCACCCACCCCACTCCCAATCCACACTTGTCCCTCTTCATTCCCAACCTCAACACAACCCCTCTGCATTGTGATTCACATCACTCTCCAGGTTTCTACTCTGGAGGATGAGGAAGGTCATTAATAATTATCTTCTAGTCAAGAGGTCAATAAGGCAAGATGGGGCAATAGGGCAGTGACAGCTTCAGGGACAGAGACACATTCAACGGCTGCCCTGTCCTCATTATGCTACCTGGACAGAATAGACTATTTCCTTGCCACAGTCCCTTAGAGCTCAGCCTCACAGTCAGCAAAACGAAAAACTGCTTTGAAACTAAGTCAGACAGAGGTATAGATATAGCACTTAATACGTGTAACAATCTATTCTGCTTTTATGTTATCCTAGTTTCTTTTTTTTTCTTTTTTTTATTATTATTTTTTTTATTAAAGTTTTAGGGTACATGTGCACATTGTGCAGGTTAGTTACATATGTATACATGTGCCATGCTGGCGCGCTACACCCACTAACTCGTCATCTAGCATTAGGTATCTCTCCTAATGCTATCCCTCCCCCCTCCCCCCACCCCACAACAGTCCCCAGAGTGTGATATTCCCCTTCCTGTGTCCATGTGATCTCACTGTTCAATTCCCACCTATGAGTGAGAATATGCAGTGTTTGGTTTTTTGTTCTTGCGATAGTTTACTGAGAATGATGATTTCCAATTTCATCCATGTCCCTACAAAGGACATGAACTCATCATCTTTTATGGCTGCATAGTATTTCATGGTGTATATATGCCACATTTTCTTAATCCAGTCTATCATTGTTGGACATTTGGGTTGGTTCCAAGTCTTTGCTATTGTGAATAATGCCACAATAAACATATGTGTGCATGTGTCTTTACAGCAGCATGATTTATAGTCCTTTGGGTATATACCCAGTAATGGGATGGCTGGGTCAAATGGTATTTCTAGTTCTAGATCCCTGAGGAATCGCCACACTGACTTCGACAATGGTTGAACTAGTTTACAGTCCCACCAACAGTGTAAAAGTGTTCCTATTTCTCCACATCCTCTCCAGCACATGTTGTTTCCTGACTTTTTAATGATTGCCATTCTAACTGGTGTGAGATGGTATCTCATTGTGGTTTTGATTTGCATTTCTCTGATGGCCAGTGATTGTGAGCATTTTTTCATGTGTTTTCTGGCTGCATAAATGTCTTCTTTTGAGAAGTGTCTGTTCATGTCCTTCACCCACTTTTTGATGGGGTTGTTTTTTTCTTGTAAATTTGTTTGAGTTCATTGTAGATTCTGGATATTAGCCCTTTGTCAGATGAGTAGGTTGCGAAAATTTTCCCCCATGTTGTAGGTTGCCTGTTCACTCTGATGGTAGTTTCTTTTGCTGTGCAGAAGCTCTTTAGTTTAATTAGATCCCATTTGTCAATTTTGGCTTTTGTTGCCATTGCTTTTGGTGTTTTAGACATGAAGTCCTTGCCCATGCCTATGTCCTGAATGGTAAAGCCAAGGTTTTCTTCTAGGGTTTTTATGGTTTTAGGTCTAATGTTTAAGTCTTTAATCCATCTTGAATTGATTTTTGTATAAGGTGTAAGGAAGGGATCCAGTTTCAGCTTTCTACATATGGCTAGCCGGTTTTCCCAGCACCATTTATTAAACAGGGAATCCTTTCCCCATTGCTTGTTTTTCTCAGGTTTGTCAAAGATCAGATAGTTGTAGATATGTGGCGTTATTTCTGAGGGCTCTGTTCTGTTCCATTGATCTATATCTCTGTTTTGGTACCAGTACCATGCTGTTTTGGTTACTGTAGCCTTGTAGTATAGTTTGAAGTCAGGTAGCGTGATGCCTCCAGCTTTGTTCTTTTGACTTAGGATTGACTTGGCAATGAGGGCTCTTTTTTGGTTCCATATGAACTTTAAAGTAGTTTTTTCCAATTCTGTGAAGCAAGTCATTGGTAGCTTGATGGGGATGGCATTGAATCTGTAAATTACCTTGGGCAATATGGCCATTTTCACGATATTGATTCTTCCTACCCATGAGCATGGAATGTTCTTCCATTTGTTTGTATCCTCTTTTATTTCATTGAGCAGTGGTTTGTAGTTCTCCTTGAAGAGGTCCTTCACATCCCTTGTAAGTTGGATTCCTAGTATTTTATTCTCTTTGAAGCAATTGTGAATGGGAGTTCACTCATGATTTGGCTCTCTGTTTGTCTGTTGTTTGTGTATAAGAATGCTTGTGATTTTTGTACATTGATTTTGTATCCTGAGACTTTGCTGAAGTTGCTTATCAGCTTAAGGAGATTTTCAGCTGAGACAATGGGGTTTTCTAGATATATAATCATGTCGTCTGCAAACAGGGACAATTTGACTTCCTCTTTTCCTAATTGAATACCCTTTATTTCCTTCTCCTGCCTAATTGCCCTGGCCAGAACTTCCAACACTATGTTGAATAGGAGTGGTGAGAGAGGGCATCCCTGTCTTGTGCCAGTTTTCAAAGGGAATGCTTCCAGTTTTTGCCTATTCAGTATGATATTGGCTGTGGGTTTGTCATAGATAGCTCTTATTATTTTGAAATATGTCCCATCAATACCTAATTTATTGAGAGTTTTTGGCATGAAGGGTTGTTGAATTTTGTCAAAGGCCTTTTCTGCATCTATTGAGATAATCATGTAGTTTTTGTCTTTGGCTCTGTTTATATGCTGGATTACATTTATTGATTTGCGTATATTGAACCAGCCTTGCATCCCAGGGATGAAGCCCACTTGATCATGGTGGATAAGCTTTTTGATGTGCTGCTGGATTCGTTTTGCCAGTATTTTATTGAGGATTTTTGCATCAATGTTCATCAAGGATATTGGTCTAAAATTCTCTTTTTTTGTTGTGTCTCTGCCTGGCTTTGGTATCAGAATGATGCTGGCCTCATAAAAAGAGTTAGGGAGGATTCCCTCTTTTTCTATTGATTGGAATAGTTTCAGAAGGAATGGTACCAGTTCCTCCTTGTACCTCTGGTAGAATTGGGCTGTGAATCCATCTGGTCCTGGACTCTTTTTTGTTGGTAAGCTATTGATTATTGCCACAATTTCAGATCCTGTTATTGGTCTATTCAGAGATTCAACTTCTTCCTGGTTTAGTCTTGGGAGAGTGTATGTGTCGAGGAATTTATCCATTTCTTCTAGATTTTCTAGTTTATTTGCATAGAGGTGTTTGTAGTATTCTCTGATGGTAGTTTGTATTTCTGTGGGATCGGTGGTGATATCCCCTTTATCATTTTTTATTGCATCTATTTGATTCTTCTCTCTTTTTTTCTTTATTAGTCTTGCTAGCGGTCTATCAATTTTGTTGATCCTTTCAAAAAACCAGCTCCTGGATTCATTAATTTTTTGAAGGGTTTTTTGTGTCTCTATTTCCTTCAGTTCTGCTCTGATTTTAGTTATTTCTTGCCTTCTGCTAGCTTTTGAATGTGTTTGCTCTTGCTTTTCTAGTTCTTTTAATTGTGATGTTAGGGTGTCAATTTTGGATCTTTCCTGCTTTCTCTTGTGGGCATTTAGTGCTATAAATTTCCCTCTACACACTGCTTTGAATGTGTCCCAGAGATTCTGCTATGTTGTGTCTTTGTTCTCGTTGGTTTCAAAGAACATCTTTATTTCTGCCTTCATTTCGTTATGTACCCAGTAGTCATTCAGGAGCAGGTTGTTCAGTTTCCATGTAGTTGAGCGGTTTTGAGTGAGATTCTTAATCCTGAGTTCTAGTTTGATTGCACTGTGGTCTGAGAGATAGTTTGTTATAATTTCTGTTCTTTTACATTTGCTGAGGAGAGCTTTACTTCCAAGTATGTGGTCAATTTTGGAATAGGTGTGGTGTGGTGCTGAAAAAAATGTATGTTCTGTTGATTTGGGTGGAGAGTTCTGTAGATGTCTATTAGGTCCGCTTGGTGCAGAGCTGAGTTCAATTCCTGGATATCCTTGTTGACTTTCTGTCTCGTTGATCTGTCTAATGTTGACAGTGGGGTGTTAAAGTCTCCCATTATTAATGTGTGGGAGTCTAAGTCTCTTTGTAGGTCACTCAGGACTTGCTTTATGAATCTTGGTGCTCCTGTATTGGGTGCATATATATTTAGGATAGTTAGCTCTTATTGTTGAATTGATCCCTTTACCATTATGTAATGGCCTTCTTTGTCTCTTTTGATCTTTGTTGGTTTAAAGTCTGTTTTTTCAGAGACTAGGATTGCAACCCCTGCCTTTTTTTGTTTTCCATTTGCTTGGTAGATCTTCCTCCATCCTTTTATTTTGAGCCTATGTGTGTCTCTGCACATGAGATGGGTTTCCTGAATACAGCACACTGATGGGTCTTGACTCTTTATCCAATTTGCCAGTCTGTGTCTTTTAATTGGAGTATTTAGTCCATTTACATTTAAAGTTAATATTGTTATGTGTGAATTTGATCCTGTCATTATGATGTTAGCTGGTTATTTTGCTCATTATTTGATGCAGTTTTTTCCTAGTCTGGATGGTCTTTACATTTTGGCATGGTTTTGCAGCAACTGGTACCAGTTGTTCCTTTCCATGTTTAGCGCTTCCTTCAGGAGCTCTTTTAGGGCAGGCCTGGTGGTGACAAAATCTCTCAGCATTTGCTTGTCTGTAAAGTATTTTATTTCTCCTTTGCTTATGAAGCTTAGTTTGGCTGGATATGAAATTCTGGGTTGAAAATTCTTTTCTTTAAGAATGTTGAATATCGGCCCCCACTCTCTTCTGGCTTGTAGGGTTTCTGCCGAGAGATCCGCTGTTAGTCTGATGGGCTTCCCTTTGAGGGTAACCCGACCTTTCTCTCTGGCTGCCCTTAACATTTTTTCCTTCATTTCAACTTTGGTGAATCTGACAATTATGTGTCTTGGAGTTGCTCTTCTCGAGGAGTATCTTTGTGGCGTTCTCTGTATTTCCTGAATCTGAACATTGGCCTGCCTTGCTAGATTGGGGAAGTTCTCCTGGATAATATCCTGCAGGGTGTTTTCCAACTTGGTTCCATTCTCCCCATCGCTTTCAGTTACCCCAATCAGACGTAGATTTGTTCTTTTCACATAGTCCCATATTTCTTGGAGGCTTTGCTCATTTCTTTTTATTCTTTTTTCTCTAAACTTCCCTTCTCACTTCATTTCATTCATTTCATCTTCCATCGCTGATACCCTTTCTTCCAGTTGATCGCATTGGCTCCTGCGGCTTCTGCATTCTTCATGTAGTTCTTGAGCCTTGGTTTTCAGCTCCATCAGCTCCTTTAAGCACTTCTCTGTATTGGTTATTCTAGTTACACATTCTTCTAAATTTTTTTCAAAGTTTTCAACTTCTTTGCCTTTGGTTTGAATGTCCTCCCGTAGCTCAGAGTAATTTGATCGTCTGAAGCCTTCTTCTCTCAACTCATCAAAGTCATTCTCCATCCAGCTTTGTTCCGTTGCTGGTGAGGAACTGCGTTCCTTTGGAGGAGGAGAGGCACTCTGCTTTTTAGAGTTTCCATTTTTTCTGTTCTGTTTTTTCCCCATCTTTGTGGTTTTATCTACTTTTGGTCTTTGATGATGGTGATGTACAGATGGGTTTTTGGTGTGGATGTCCTTTCTGTTTGTTAGTTTTCCTTCTAACAGAGAAGACCCTCAGCTGCAGGTCTGTTGGAATACCCTGCCGTGTGAGGTGTCAGTGTGCTCCTGCTGGGGGGTGCCTCCCAGTTAGGCTGCTCAGGGCTCAGGGGTCAGGGACCCACTTGAGGAGGCAGCCTGCCTGTTCTCAGATCTCCAGCTGCGTGCTGGGAGAACCACTGCTCTCTTCAAAGCTGTCAGACAGGGACATTTAAGTCTGCAGAGGTTACTGCTGTCTTTTTGTTTGTCTGTGCCCTGCCCCCAGAGGTGGAGCCTACAGAGGCAGGCAGGCCTCCTTGAGCTGTGCTGGGCTCCACCAAGTTGGAGCTTCCCAGCTGCTTTGTTTACCTAAGCAAGCCTGGGCAATGGCGGGCGCCCCTCCCCCAGCCTCGCTGCCACCTTGCAGTTTGATCTCAGACTGCTGTGCTAGCAGTCAGCAAGACTCCGTGGGCGTAGGATCCTCCGAGCCAGGTGCGGGATATAATCTGGTAGTGCGCCGTTTTTCTTTTTTTTTTTTTTTTTTTTTTTTTTTTGAGACGGAGTCTCGCTCTGTCGCCCAGGCTGGAGTGCAGTGGCGCAATCTCGGCTCACTGCAAGCTCCGCCTCCCGGGTTCACGCCATTCTCCTGCCTCAGCCTCCCAAGTAGCTGGGACTACAGGCGCCCGCCACTACGCCCGGCTAATTTTTTGTATTTTTAGTAGAGACGGGGTTTCACCGTTTTAGCCGGGATGGTCTCGATCTCCTGACCTCGTGATCCGCCCGCCTCGGCCTCCCAAAGTGCTGGGATTACAGGCGTGAGCCACCGCGCCTGGCCTAGTGCGCCGTTTTTCAAGCCCGTCGGAAAAGTGCAGTATTCGGGTAGGAGTGACCCGATTTTCCAGGTGCCGTCCGTCACCCCTTTCTTTGAATCGGAAAGGGAACTCCCTGACCCCTTGCGCTTCCCGAGTGAGGCAATGCCTCGCCCTGCTTCTGCTGGCGCACGGTGCGCGCACCCACTGACCCGCACCCACTGTCTGGCACTCCCTAGTGAGATGAACCCGGTATCTCAGATGGAAATGCAGAAATCACCGTCTTCTGCGTAGCTCACGCTGGGAGCTGTAGACCGGAGCTGTTCCTATTCGGCCATCTTGGCTCCTCCTCCTATGTTATCCTAGTTTCTTGTGAGGTCATTGTCTGAAGAAAAGACACTTAATAACGATTCATTCTACCGGAAGTCGATCCAGTACCAACTATGCTGCTAATTTGTTGTGTGACCAAAGATAAGTCACATCACCTGTTTGTTCCTGTAACATGAGAAGATTGAACTAAATTCATCTTTCAATCTTCTTTTGACTATAACATTTGATCGTTCTATGGAAGCCTTTTTACAAAGTCTTAGCTACTGTCCTGCAGAATACAGGACACAATAAAACCTACATCTTTTGTTATTGCTCGCCAACTATATTTTTCTAGGGTTCTTCTCACAGGATGAATTTGAAACTTTTCAGCTTACCCATGTGCTTACTACATATACTAAGTAATATATAAAATCAAAATGTTACCACGAAAAACAAAAAGAATCACTTTCAATTTATATTTTCACAGAAATATTTTAACTATTAAAATTTTGCTATATAACTAAAATTAAAATATTCACTGTAAAGTAAAATGGATTTCAGATAAAATCTATGTTAAGAAGGAAAAGAGTTTTAAGGGGGACATCCAGAATAGGATGTAGAGCAGTAGGATGTACAGAAGGGAAAGGAAAGGAGAAAGAAGAGAAGGAAGGAAAGAAGGAGGTTGTTTACTTTTGACAATATGGAGACAGACTTTTTTAAAAACACCAAAGCTGTTAAAATCCTGTCATTTGAATATAACCTGAGAAGTCAACTTTTATCACTTTTTATATCATGCTTAATATCTACTAAATCCCCCAGACAATAAATAAAGATCAAATTATCTTTATTACACACACATGTTCCTCAGCCTCTCCACAGAATACAGACATCACCAGCAGCTGACTTAGCTGCCAACCACATCCCTGACTCCTCTGCCTCTACTACCTACACTGGTCTGCCTTACTGAAGGTTCTGAGATTCAAATGACCCATACTGCTCTGTAGATCATGCTTCATATTGCACTAGGCAATAGGCTACTTCCTTCCTTTCCTTCAGTGGATAAAATGTTGCTTCCATTTTGGATTAACCAACTTTATATGTTCTCCTTCAGGACTTCTTTTTATATGATAACAATATGCATTCTTAGTTTTTTTTTTAAAAAAAGTTGACTTCAGTAACAGTGGCCACTTTGGTCATACACAGTTTGAGTGTATGACCACTCAAAACTGTGATCTACAAGAATTAGAAAATTTAAGCGAGGAGTGGTACAGAGTACATACCCAGACTAAGGAACTCACAAAGGTAATAGTCTACAAGTGTAAACTGAACGTGTCTAGATATATCCAAGTTAGTTATGTACACATGTGTCAGCTGAATGTGTTCGAATGTCTTACTACTTCAATAATCATCATCTGTGCCTTCCAGGCCCAGAAAGGTGGGCATACCAGTTGAAGTAGACTTCCCAGTGCCTTGAGGTGCCTCAGAGCCCTCTATCTCTATACAAATTCTTCTGGGCCCCTGGGTCTGCTGAATATCTCTGTAAAGCCTTGCTATATATGTCTATACTGTCATCCTTAAAGATTAGCATACTATTTCATGCTTATTGTTTACTGTCGATATGTGGCTGAGTTTTAGTATTTGGAATACAACTGAAGAGTGATTCTCTATACAACCCTATAACAGGAAAGGGAGAATTAATTAAAAGCTTAACTAATTCTCCTCATTCGACTTCCATACTGCCTTTTCTTGTGGCCTGGCTCCTAGCCAAGTCCTGCAGGGCCGCTGACTGCCAAAGACAGATCCCCAGGTGCTGGGAAATGTAGGGCAACTTCAGTAGCCAGATTCTTATATACTAAAAGCAAATCAGAAACAGATAGTTTTTAAAATAGATAACTCGAGCTTATTGACATGCTATCATTTTCTTAACTTTACTAGCTCTCTGAGGTTATCATGCAAAATGTTCACTGTTCACATCCACAATTGTTAAAGCATGCAGTAGCTGTTTCTCTTCTGAATACAATATTTTCCCAAAATATTGAACTGACACATTTTGCAGGTAACAAAAGTGAAACATCTTCAAAGTGGTAGCACAGAAAATACAATCATATAGTTCCACAAAAAAGTAAAGAAGAAACTTTTCGAAGTTTGCAACCTACTAAATTCCTCAAAAAATGGATTGATTCTAAAAATAAAACCATACCATCTTTGTAAAATAAGGAAAGGAAATTTTTTCTCTTCTAATATTCTGCTTTCTAGAAGCCAAAAGAAATTATCTATTTTCATTAAAGGAATGATGAATGGAGGCGTTTTTTCATTTGGCTAAGAATGCTTACAATGAATGTGCATAAAGCTGAAATTCTTGAGCAAGTATATCAAAAAGTATCCTACTTGAAATGGCTAACTGAAACAGAAAAAATATGCAAGCTTCAAAGGCGAAACAATCTTTTCTTGAACCATCTCTGCAATTATCTCATGATTTTAACAAATAACTATAGTTTTACATAAGCCAAAACTGGCTTTGAAGAAAATAAATTCTTCATTCTGCCTCTGTTAACTCAGGGTATGTGTTGCAGGGTTGAAGGTAACAGTGGGTTTATCATCGTTTGATGAAATACAAATTGACGCAGCACCTTCTCTACTGCCATAACACTCCGGGCTTAACCCCACAAGCACTCATCACTTGCTCATCAGTTTTTTTCCGGTGTCCTTCTCGCCAAAGGACTGTAAGCTTTTCAAAGGCAGGACACCTTTTATTACCAGCATCTTTCAAAATATCTGAACTTTATTAAAGATTTGTTAACGTAATGATTAAAATGTTCAATTTACTAATTAACATAATAATTCCGGGAATCATGGTGGGAGAAAAAAAGCATTATATATGGTCTCACATGTCATACAAGGTCTTACATGTCACTTGAATCATGAATTCAGTAGCAGAATTCCCTACATTTCAATTACTTCCAGAACACACCTTCAAACTCAGTTTCAGATATATGGAGTTCAAAAAGTATAAAGGAAACTAGAGAAAAATACTCTGTTCATTTCATGTCTGTGTCCCTGTTTATGGTATATTTTGAACGACCTTCATTCTCTGCATTTTTAACTCCTGCCTGCCTGGAAGTAACAAGAATTAGTTTCTTATTCCCAGATTATCGACCTCCTAGATCCCAGATCTTTGGCTTATTTCTGATAGCTGGTTCTGCTGGAGGCCTGTGTGCCTCCCTAACCAGTTCTATTTGACTGGTATTGAAATCTTAGCATTATACTACTAAAACCACTACTTATGTCCTTAGAATTATGTATCTAAAGCTGAAGCAGTAATCTATTTCATACTTCTCTATAAACATTGTAACTGCTTAGGATGGCATAGAATGTGATTTTTTTTTAATTTCCTCAATAACTACATGATAAACTTAAAACTAAAGCACCAATAAAATTCTACATTTTTAGTTATTAACGCAAAAACCTAATAATCAAAACAGAAATGATGTTCTCAGCATATCAGGTTATCCCTTTTTAAGAGATAAACATGTACCTTTTTGAAATTATCCTTAAGGTAATACATGAACTGCATCAAATACTGTATACATCAATATTATTAACATAATTTTCTGAAGTAATATATAGTGATTATTATTTTCTGAATTGTGAAGATGGAGTAATTGAGAGAAACAAGATTATCCTCCAAGGTTCTCAAAAGAACAGAAAATATAAGATTAACATACCAAACTCTTTTGTTGTCATGGGTTCTACCCACCTCCTTCCAAAAGAAATTGGAAGTTTCATATCATAAATGGACAGAAAGAGAACTAACCCTTACTGAGTATCTAAAATGTCCTAAATACTGTGATGTTTCAGACAATAATTAAAACAATGTGGAATGTAGTATTGATATCATTTTGCAGACAACAATAATAAGATACAGACAGGTTTCTTTTCCGAAATCACATAGGTAAGAAGTATTAAAATGCTGATTTGTTCAGAATTTGAATCCAGGCCTATCCAATTCCAAAGCCAACACATGTTATTTCCTTTGTAGTATGCTGACATAGGTGTAATAAACCCAGAAAGCCCCTAATCAAAAGAAAATTAAAAACAAACAATAAAAAAGCAAGTTATAGAAGACTAAAGAACTAAAGATAAATACTCCGAAAAAACGTGTGTTGAAAAGGCCTATTGGATTTTAACCCAAATCTCAGGTCTGCAGTATATGTCAGCCAAGAAAAGGAAATTCACAGGGTTGCAGCTCTCATTTATCTAATAAAAAAAGGATTCTCATTCTGTCAAGAAGGAAACAACTTACAAGTTCTAAAAAGGATTTCTAGTGTAAGTTACAAACCGAATCTTATACAATAAAATCCCTTTTCTCCATAACAGTTTTTCAAAAATTGCAAAACTGTCATCCACTTACCTGTTTCTTAGACAGGAGCCCATTCCTATAGCCAGGTACAAGTGAAACGAAATAATATACTGCTAGTATAATAGGAGTAAAAGGACAAGACAATGTCACACACGCAAAGTTTTAATTTCCTCAAATTATTAGTTCTTAGTCTTTCCTTGTCGTCCTAAGTTCATTAGCAAAATACCTTCCTGCCAGCAAGGAAGAAAAGGCCTGCTGCCTCTGCCAGAACAATGACTGGTCATTCTTATGTCATTCAGCCCATCAAGTAGTCAATCAGCTGGCCAACAAATGTTTATTGAGCTTCGACCATGTGCCAAGGATTGTGCTAGGTACAAATGAGCTCAACAGACCTGGTCTACACTAATGAAGTCTAAGCTTTGATGGAGGAAACAAATCACCCAGCACATAAATATTTATAGTCAAACTCCACTAAGTATCGTGAAGACATTACAAAGCACTATGAGAGCCAGTAACAAGGGGACAGGAGTGAGCCTCTAGCAGAGGCAGAGAACACATTAAGAAAAATTGGAGGCCATAATCCTAAGCAAATTAGCACAGGAACAGAAAATCCAGTACTGCATGTTCTCACTTATAAGTAGGAACTAAACACTGGGCACACATGAACATGAATATGGGAACAACAGACACTATGGACTACCAGAGGGTGGGCAGTGGGGGTTAAAAAACTACCTATTGGGTATTATGCTCATTACCTGGGTGACAGGATCCTTACTCTAAACCTCGGCATCACGTAATATTCCCATGTAACAAATCTGCACGTGTACCTTCTGTATTTAAAATAAAAGTTGGAAAAAAAAAAGAAAAGAAAAGCATCCCTAGATCAGACTTGCTTTTGTCAAGCACAGAATTAGCCACCTACGTTTATCAACTACTATCGTGTACAGAACCACCTCAGAGACCATAAAACATACAACGAAGTCTAAAATACACACCTTTGAAACCGTTCAAATTCAATTAGAAAGAAATAGACATGATAAGTTAACAACACAGGAAAGCACTAGAGGTGCATTCAGTAAGTAGCACCAATAAGTGACAGTGGGGTAAAAGGACTGATAAACCACTAAGGGCTGGTGGGACTCAGAAAGAATTCTCAGGGAAGGTAGGAAGTGAGCTAGGCCCAGCCACAATGGTTCTCAAACAGTTTTGACTAAAACACACAGTAAAAAATATATTTTCTGCCATGGCCCAATATAAATATACAAATATAAATACAACTAAAGTTTTATCAAACAAAACTCATTCTCACAGCACGTGGTCCCCAGTGATTGTTTGTATTCTACTCTGTTTTTAAAAACTTGTTCTTAAATGTTATTGATGCTAGTCACAACCCACTAAATTGATTACCCATTAATGAGTGGCAACCTAAAGTCTGAGATTTCCATAACAGAAAAGAGTTTTACACAGAAAATATCCTTCACAGAGGTACAGGGAAAGTGGATGATTCTCACTTCCTACAGAGGAAGTCCAAGTCAACGGGGACTTTTCACTCCTCCCCACCCTTCTCCTCCTACCTTTCCTCATTTCCAGCCCCGTGGCTTAGCTATAAGGAATCCACACCCAGCATTGGGCCATCCCACATATTTCCATCATAACCTTTTCTGAGACATTGCTCCCACCCTTCCCTCCCCTGGACCAACAGCACCAGCTTCTGATTCTCAGACAAAACATATTAAGCTTTCTCATAGAAATGTAAGTGAAGATTGCTATCAGACATATGACTAGATCAGAATTCCTCGTCAGACCTACATTTCAGGTCCTGAGGCTGCACACTGAGTTTGTAAATATGTCAATGTTTTTTTTTCTCCAAAATAAAATGTAATAACTCACAAACGGAGGGGATTTATCTGTTATGTACCTCTAGTAGCATTAGTATTAGGCCCAATTCAGTTTTTAAGGCCAGTTCTTTTATAATGGAGCAGATCTCCAGTTTCATAAAGACACACACACACACACACACACACACATATATATATAAATATACATATATATATATAAATATACATATATACATATATATATATATATATATACATATATATATATATATAATGCAGGGTAGGCTTCCAATTTCTCATGAATATTATGGTGATCTTTAATCAATACCCACCAATGCTGATAAACTTTTCATCTAGGAAAGAGTGCTCATTCTTTTATCACCTCTATCTGGAAGATATAGATTTAACAATAGACTCAAAAAACGTAACCCACAGACTTGATCTCAGAGCCTGAGAGCAATAGTTCCCATCCTCGCCAGCTTCATAAATGTGCCACAGATATTCCCCAGTTTGTTTTCTTTTCTCTTTAAGAAAGAAACAGTTGTTTAAAAATAAAAAATGTTAAAATAAGATAATAGTCAGAATTAGGTGGGGAACAGGTTAAGAACTGTATCTATTGCAGTTATTGATGCAAATGATGAAAATGCATTTCTCGATTTGGTTTGATTAAAACCAAAATTGATTGGCCTATATCTTGGTGTCTCAAGACATATTCTCTTATTTGGCCCTACCCATTTGCAAGCCTCCTTGAAAAATCTGGAAAAGAGGTTTTCTTCCTTCACTGGTGGGCAGAACTAATTTTAATAATCTGGGAAATAGCAGAGGAATCCTTCAGTGACACTGTGTGCTTGTCACTGTTCCATAAGCAGCTTCACGCCCACACACACATACCCCACACCCAGGCCCAACATTACCAGTGGAGAGTAGAGATGCTTCCTAGGCTAGTTTGGTTCACTCTCGAGTTTTCTGTTTGTTTCAGGTGTGTGTGCACACGTGTTAATTTGAAGACTACTCAGGACACTTAATGCTCTAAAGCTAAGGGCGACGCACGGTCACTTCTGTCTAAACCACAGTCACTCCAAAGGGCAGCAATATCGCTAGAATTGACATTCACCTTAAAATGAGCCTGAACAGGCCCCAATTTTAGGATTGAGTTTCCTCTAAGCAACAGTAAGAGCGTCTCTCTGGCGACCGAATTCTGCAAATTATCTATGGGGTTTAGTGACGAAAGGACCTGCTCATTATGAGATTTTAATCAGATCTGATTATTCTTTTGCTCTAATGTCAAAGATAATGGTTTAGTAGCATTGACCATTTTTAAACTTCCGTATAACCCATTCAAATTGTTGAGAGGGAAATAAAACTCATCCACTTAGGAATTACCTACTGGATTTGCCTTCCTATGTGACTAGTGATTGATAGGTTGGTTTGGAAAGGCAAATTGCTTCTGGTACGTCTTTTTGTCAAAAGGTATGGAGAGTCTTTTCTTAGGTCTCCAGTTACATGAGGTAGCTTGTGGGGACGGCTGGATTCCGTAGGATGGCCCCGGAGGGGAATCCAAAGAACCCGGCCAGGGTGACATTCCGCTGAGTATTCGGGTCCTCCGGGGCTCCGGGGCAGACCGCGCGGGCTTGGGACGCTTCCCCGGCTTTGGGCCGCGGCGGAGCGGCCGGCGGAGGCAGCAAGGGCAGGCCTGGGCTACCTCGGCCAAATGGGCGGCGAAGGCATCGCCGGGGCGTCTGCTGTCTGGCTCTGGAGAAAAGGCTTTGAGAAAAGCCAGAAGGCAGCGAGGTCGATGGGAAAGGGAAGCGGCTGCCGCGCCCGGTCACTGCGTGCGCTGTCCCCAGCAGGCTGCAGCAGGACGCGCGCCGAGCGCAGCAGGGGGCGCAGGCGGGGAATGGGGTAGGGGGTGGCGCGGGAGACCTGCGAGTCCAGGCGGCCCCAGAGGGGCCCCCGGAGGGCCCAGGCGCCCGCCGCGCGGCGGATCCTTGGACGAGCCTGCGGCTCCCGGGGCTCGGGACGCCCCTGCGCGGCTGCCCGAGACCGCGCATCGCCGCGCCGCCCAAACGCAATTTTGACCCGTGTGTCCCCGGTCGGCTGCCTGAGGGCAAGGCGAGGAGGGAGGAGAGGCCGAGAGAGAAAACGCGAATGGGGTGGGGGAGGGGACCCGGAGCGGGGAAAGAGTGTCATTTCCACCAACTGGGCTCCTTCCTGACCCAGCCGCTCATCTGTCACCGCTGTCTCATTCCTGTTATTTACATCTGTCTTTAGCATTCTAATTACTCGCTTTATTACTTTAGCCTGGAGGAATCCTGTAAAAAACAACGGAGATGAGGATCCTACCACACAATAAAACTGCCCAAAATCCCCACTGCACATTATACAGAGCACTTGAGAATATTTGTGCTGTTATATGACCTCAGTATGTCCTTAAATTGATCTTATTATATCTTTCTTTCTCCCTTCTCTTTCTCCGTGTGTATGTAATGAACTCTTTTAAGGTGTGGAACGCAAGAATAAGCTGTTCAACAAATAATGAAAATGAGATTATTCTTTGAGGGGGTGATAAAGGAGTGAGGACAGAGAAGACTTTGAGGCATTTGGACCAGCCCCGCACAAGTCCATTTCCTAAACTCTTGGTTTCATTTTTACGTCTGTGTGATAAAGGAGAACCCTCTTCACACCCGAGCTTCTAAGGCTGAAAGAATCTTGGAAATTTAGAGGAGGGAATAAAATGCCTAATGTCTTTCATTATCTTGCATTAATCTCTGAGTCCCCAGAAGGTCTCAGGAGGGGAAATGAATTTAGAGTAGGAATAGAAGTTGGGTTCAAAAATCATGGTGGCTTGAATATTTTTCTTTTAAGGTAAGATTTAGAGATGGGGGGCTCATGCAAAATCGGAATAAATCCCCTGATAGCAGGATTCCTCTATAAACTCAAGATTGGATTCAAGAGGAGACTGATTCAACCTACCAGAAAATCCCAGACAGAAATGCAGCTTTCTAACTGTTATTTATTCCTGCTAGTGGAATTATTGTTGCACTCAGTTGCAATTTTCTGGCTGTGCTAATGGTTTTCTTTATTGTGTTACACTAACATAATCTCCTCCAGAAAGAAAATGACAAAATATATGGATTTTTAGATAAATAACTGAGGTAATTTATTGGCCTTTATGCTCTTCTGATGGGGTGGTTGATAGATAATGTAATAATATGTACATAATTAAGCGGGTTTACTGTACCTCAGTGAAAATAGGTTCAAAGGCAGTATCTCTGTCTTTAAGCCTATGGTTTTTCTCAATGGATATTTACTTCCTCTACCCTGTGGAATGAAGGGGGAAACCTCAGGAAGCAAACAACTGCATGTAAATAGAGGATGGAGGTGAAAAGAGGGGAAAAAAAGGAAACTGGTGAGTCCTTTCATAAAGGACATTCGATTAGGGCCCATTTACCACCCAAACTCTTCTCATAAGGTTCAGTAAGCCACAGTAAATATGAATTGAGAAGTTAAAGAAGGGCAGATTGTAGACAAATATAGATCTTCCCTAAGAAATGAATTACTTACACCCAGCTAAGGGAGAGGACCTTCAAAAACACTCTCACAGGACTCAGAGACCTGCTCTCAAAGAAACATAAAGGCTTCTGGGAGAAGATCACTGATAGTGAACTTGGTGACCAAATGCCCCCTTGCCCTGGCTTCTGGAGGTTGCCCATTCAAGGCATGGTGTACTTGCTCTTCCAAACTCATCTAAATTACATCAATAACAGAGCGCACTCTTTAATGAGCTCTCAACTTTAAAGACTTGAAGGATATTAACAAGCCACTTGACAAATGGTGCTTAGAAGCACATTAAAGACGCTGCTAATGGAGCGCATAATGACGGCTAATTTTCGATCAGATATAAATTAGAGCCCCAACAGTTATTTGCCTTAAGGACTTTATGTAAATGATTCTGTTCTGTATAAACTGAAAAGCGAAGAGAGCCCTGCCATTTTGGCAATCCTTGTGGATATGATTAATAGATCTGCAATAGAACTGGGCAGAGACAACTGAGGGCATTTTCATCTAAAAATCAGTGTGTTTAGGTAGTAAATATGGTAACTTCTAGAGTTGATGTAGCCTTCTTCAAGCAAAAGAGTAAAAATGTCCTTGGCACCTCCCCCACATGGTTAAAGAAGTTCAAAAAAAAGAAAAAAGCATTCAGACTCATCTCCCTTGACCTGCACCTCACACCCACCAACATACCCAGAACAGCCACAGCTCCATCCTTCACTAGGACCAAATCTGCTTCACAGGCTCCCTAACCACACATTCCTGCACCACCCTCCAAGACCAGATAATTTTCAGGGATCTAAGCCTTGTGTATCACTTTTTAGAATCCTCTCACTGTGAAATCGCTTGAGATCTCATTCCTAGCTGTGCATACAATTCATGTCCTGCAAGAGTGTGCTGGGGGGGAAGGGAGTAGGAGAAGAAAGAAGAGGAGGAGAACGGTGATGAGGGTAGTAGTGGTGAGGTGGGAAGAAGAGTGGTGAAAGAGAACTTGAAGGAGTGCAAACAGAAAGGTTGGAGGAACCGTAATACCTACCCAATTCAAAATGGAGGAGATATTGTAGCTTTTTGGTTTTTTCAATTTATTTATTTATTTATTTATTTCTGAACTGCTGTGCCATCCCACACTCCCTCATTAAAAGAGTTAGATCTCAAGTCATCAGAGTGTACAAAAGGGTTTGGGGACTGATTCCTAAAATTTATTTCCTTCCAACCTATTCCTGTCATTGTGCCTAATGGGAAGCTCGGGAGAAGAGTTATCCTAAGATAGTCTTACCTGTGTCCAGTTTCTGCTTTATCACATCTACTTGCCATCAGCCAGCGGGGGGAAATATCATATGTAACACTGGGATTGCTTGGAGCTGCATCTGGCTGCAGTTTCAGGGATAGCATCCCTTCCTGAACAAGGGGAAAGAGTTTGTATGAGTGAGTTTGCAAAACCTAAATAGACAGCCAACTCTAGCTTGTCAATGGCTTGTTTATTATTAATTACAAACAAATAAAAACTCAGTCTTGCTGTTTCAGGAAAGCCAAGCATTATTGCATCTCAAGATAGTTTTCTCTGCCTTTCACATGCAAGATAAGTACAGATTTGGGGGAGAATCATTTTTATAAGCAACTCATGGGCAGCATTAAAGTTGATACAGAAATCCTGCTCCAATAAGTGAGCTGCTTCTAACAGTGACACCAGCTTCTAAGATTTCCTCATCCAAGCTATTTGAGAGATGAGAGGAGAGAAAAGAGGGAGGGGGGAGGGGAAAATGGAAGGAGGAAGGATTGAACAGTAAAGAGATTATTTCGTCTAGGCTGATTAAATCATTTTATCTTGCAGTAACTGACACCTAATGGCCACGAGTTAAATGGTGGGAAGTAAGGATGCTCCTCACCATCGTTACTGAGTTATGAAGTAGTTTCAAATTGGGGTACAATAAATACAATTGTTCTTAACCTAAATTAAATCTGTCTATTCTCCCCTCCAAACTTCCTCCCCAATTGTACACACTGCTAGCGCAAAAAGGCCATGTAGGTAACATCCGGACATTTCTTCTACCTTCTAGTTTAGGATTCTACAGCAATGGGAGCAAATAGAAACAGCAGCCTCAGCTTTCCCTTTGTCTGACAGCAACCTCTTGCTCATTTCTGCTCTACACTGGGTACCTTATCTTCTGTGCTGATGCCACAACTGGTTGGTAAAGACTACTATTTGAAAAATAAACCTGGAGTTACCTTAATAACAAAATTAATGACAGAACCAAAGAATTCTAGTCTTGCCTGGTTTTGAAAGGAAATGTGACTGAGCTTTCCAGAATTAGAAGCTGTTCTAATTCTGCTCAAAAAACTTGATTTACTATAACATCTTTTGGGATTTCTTTACAGTGAATGAATGCATATTACCAAGTCTAATTACCAGTTATCCAGATATGTCTGCTCCCCTCCTCAGAACAAACTGAGAATACTTGGCAAAAATGAAACTGGTCTAGCTCCCCGCACTGATGCCCTTCTATTTTATTATAGCTCCTCTTTCTCTTTGCATGTCTACACTGCAGGACCTAAGATAGAGAGATAACATATATGGTCATCTTTGCATTATTTCCCCCTCCCTGGGGAAAGATAGGTAACTCCCTCCTATTAGCCGCCCATCACCCCCTCACATATTCCCTCTTTTTCTTATTCACCTCTCAAATTCAGAGTGAATCCCAGGGAAAAAGAAATAAGTCTCCCTGAAAAGGAAAGCAGCGTGAGAAAAAAAATCAATGAAATGATTTAGGAAATGGAAGAATGGCCCCTCTGACAATACTGTAATTAAAAGCTTTCAGGGCTGTAAAGTGAAAAGTTGATGAAAGAAAGTGTAAGTTGCCAACCAATTCTTACCTAACCCAGTAGGACCATTTAGGGGAAGTTAGATTTAATTTAAGGGTGTGGACCCCAGGGTCCTCAAACTGCTCTTTTCCCAGATGGAATCAGACATTCTAGCTAAAAAGCCAGGGGCCCCAGTTCTCTTCCCCCACAAAATCCTAAGACTCTGGAGGTGAAGGAGAAAGGAGCTGCCCTCATTCTGGCTCAAGGTGACAAAATGGTCACCTCCAGAGGCTGAGATGCAAAGTTAGCGCTTGGGCACCATTAGTTCGTACCTTGGAGTTGGTACCAAAATGGGACTTAAAACCAGTTAGCCAGGCTTTCCTCTCTGAAAGCCACCATGAAACCCTGGAGAGGGTAAAGACTGAAGCACTGAACACTGCTTCCAAAGAGACCCTCACTTTAATTCTGGATCCTCATCCCTGCCCATCCCTGCTGAGCCCAGCTGCAGGCCAGGTCCCCTGTTTTCCCCGGGAAACACAGATTGCTTCCACCGTCGGAGCCAGAGGTGCTGCTGCCAGAAAGACACCGTGTTGGGCTCTGTGTAAAGGGAGGACCCACAGGCAAGACACCTGTAGCAAACAAAAGGTAAAAGCCCCATCAGGTGCTTTGAAAAAAGATACACAGAAAAGGGAGTCTCAGGCACCTTCCCAGGAGAAGCAGTGTCTTGGTAAGACTAAGAAAGTGGCATTTTGAGTGAGTTTGAAAAGTTTCACCAAGCATGTTGGCAGGGGGATATAGCAGGAGAATGGCTTGGAGTGTGCCCGTTTGTTGCTTTGTGGTGTGTGTGTGTGTGTGTGTGTGTGTGTGTGTGTGTGATGCAGGTGAGAAGTTTTGAGGAAAATGCCAGAGTTGAAGTTGAGAATCTTGGAATATACATGTCCATGGAGTATGGCTGATAGGGGGTATACCCTGGTCCTCCACTATGCTGCAAAAGGTGCCTTCGCTCTGGTGAAAATGCTTTGGTTCAGATCAGTGCTTAAGAACCTTTACAATCCAGGCCTTGCTTTGGTACACCAGGGAGCCAGCTGCCACCTAGGGAGAGACACTTCACCCTCACCCCAGTGCAAGAAATAGGGGCTCCTAGGTTTATAACAACTGAGCACAAAAGGTGCCCCTTCTTGGCAAGGGTCAGAAGCCTTCCTTATATTTTTCGGGCTTGGGACTGCTGTTGAATTTGGAGCATAAGGTGACTGCAAAAAGATTCTCCACCTGTGTCACATCACACATTAGGCCAATAATTCCCCAAACCATGACCTACTCTGTCTCTGGAAGTCAGTGAGTCTTCACCCAGTTTAACCAAAAGGCACAGAAATGCAGACAGCCATTTAGCAAAGCCAAGGTAGCCCACTGGGAGAGTAGGACTGTCCAGCCCTATGTGTATTAACCCTGCATCTCCAGGTGTCCCTTACCAACCCCAGAGTCATTCAGGCCTTCCAAGAACCACAAACACTGTCCTGAACGAATCGTGCAGAGGGTGTTAGTTTAAGCCTTTTAACCACTTACAAACACATCAGTAACTTTTTTTAAAAAAAATCAAACCCCATTAGATTAACAGGACGACTTGGCATCTTACAACAATTTTGGAAGCCAGTTGGCTTCTCTTAAAAATATCAGTTCTCGTTTTCTTGCTGCCTCCAATTATTCAGGAAGCCCCCCACCACCAGAGATAAAAAACAAAAACCCTCACCCATGTACACAAATAAGACTTTGAATATGCTCCCAGGGTCCAGAAAATGCAAACGTTAGGGGAGCTAGGAAAGAGGAAGTACAGTATTGATGAAAAATTAGGACAAATTTTTAAGATCCACGATCCAGACCCTATGGGAGGGTGAGGGGGACACTAGCTTCTGTTAGCTACAGCCAATTCTGGGGCTGGGGGGACGGCGCTTGCTTTCCGCCCAGTGACAGCTGGAGTAATGGCTGCAGACCCAGCGCGGGGTGGGGGCGGGTGAAGCTGGGCGGGGGTGGGGGAAGCAGTAATTACTAGCCATGCTCACTCGCCTCCCTACTTTAGGGCGAACGCGTTCTTTTTGCGCGTCCAGCTGAGCGCCTGGATTGCTGCTCGGCCTCGGGGCATCCTGGCTCCTGAATGGGGGATGGGGTTCGTGCTACAGGACTTTAAGCTGAGGTTCCTAAAAAGTTTCTGAGCTAGACTCTCCCCGAAGGCCCTATCCTTGGAGCAAAGGAAGGCCGAGTAGAGACCGCTCCCTACCCAGCAGTCCCCAACCATTAGGCCCGCTGTAGGGGCCTGGCAAAAAGTGAGAAAGGGGTGGTACACAAGGGATAGCAGCTCCGGAAGCGGATGCCCTGCACAGGCCAGGTCCCAACTTTCTCCCACCACCTTCCTTCCTCGTCCACAAAAGCTCGAACCCTGAAAATGCGCACAAGTCTCCCTGGGGCCCCAGAACCCTGAAGATGAGTGTATATCAAGAGGCCGCGCTGGGAGGGGCGGGGAGGAGGGGAGAGGGGTAGGGGCTGGGTTCTCCACCTCCTCCCGCCGCCTCCCTCCCGCTGGCTGGAAGCCTCACGTAGTCAGGGATTTTTTCAGAATAATTGATGGGTCCAGTTCTCCAGAGCTTTCCCGGTGAGAGCGCGGCGGACCGCGCTAGAATTTAAATAGACGTGATTAGTAAAATGCAAGGGGGCGAGGCGCCCGGGCCTCTCTTTCTTGCGGGTTCCTTGCTGAGCGCCTGGCGAGACGCCTGCTTCCCCAGCTCTGGGGGCCCCTCGGGGACCGGGCGAGCTCCTCCAGCGAGGGAGGGAGGTTCTGCTCTGACCCCACGCAGCCCCAGCCCTTTGGACTCTACCCCTCACCCTCTCCCAAACCGCCTGTCACCAGTGCGCACCAGGAACCAGAGGGGTGGAGAGGGGAGATGGGACTAGCAGGGAACCCAAGGCCAGCTTGTGCAAAGCATTAGGTGGTGAGTCGGAGGGTGGGGACGAGGATCTTGATTCCTCGGTGCCGCCTGAGCTCCGCAGGCAGGCGCGTAGCATTAGCCACCAAAAGCGAGGAAAGCTTCTGGGAGATCGCTGTCCCCGCGTCCTGCTTCTCAGTCTCACTGTTCCCTTTCCCGCCTCCAGGCTGCGGAGCCTGAGCAGCTGGGACCGCGAACTTAAGGCGCCTCTTCACTTACCCAAAGCTCTGAGAAGGCCTCTCCGCAAAGAAGTGACCTAGATTGGGAAAAGCCTTCATCTTCCCTCTCTCGCATCCCTATCTCATCGATTTGTTCCTGAAAATGGGGCTGTGCATTCTTATAACATCTACAGCCAATTAATATTGCATTAACTCTATTTTAACTCTATTTAAAAACACACACACACACACACACACACAAACGAAAGTACCAGAATACTGCACCCTATCAAAGCCATCTATTATTCACGAAAATGTAATTGGAGACCTAAGATATGTGTGTTACGGGGCAATGGAGGAAAACAGTCGGGACAATATTTCAGAAAGGAAGGGGATCCGGGGGTATCTAATATTTAATTTCAAGTCTGTGGTTTTCTAATTCGAGATTAAAAGCAGTCACGTCTTTGAAGCCAGACAGTTGGTATAAATGTACAGTTAAAATATTCTATTCCACGGTCCCTAGACAGAGCGCTCTGCTCGTCCCAGGCTTCATTAAATTTTTATTATCATCCCAGACTAGAGCAGGGAATGAGCAGAAAGACTGTCCATCTAATTGCAATTGATTAAAAAAAAAAAAAAAGCTCTTAGATTCCACCCCCCTCATTTTAATACATTAACAGCAGATTTTTTTTTTCTTGATATGTCCAGGCTTATCCAGCCCTGTGATACACACAATTACATTATCACACAGATGTATTTTCCACTTTCCAACGGGCACCAGGCTTTGCCCTCTTCTCTGCCCTTTGAGAAGGCCTCAGGGGTTGGTGGGAGTGGAGGGAGAGAGGATAGGGGAGGCTGGCTTCAGAAAGTGATGCTATATGAGAAAAAAAAAGTGACACCAGTTCTCGAAGCATCTGGCAAAAGATCAACGAGAGACAACGTTTGCACTAAGCTGGTTCTTCCTGTGGCAAGATGAAAGCATATTGTTACCCAAACAAAAACAAAACAAACAGATTATTAGGCCAGGCTGCACTTTTCCACAGTCTTTCCACTGCGTGGAATGAAAGCAAAGAGCAATATTTTCATTTTTTTATTTCTGACTGCTGCCTCCCCCACTCCCCACATCTGAGAGAGAGAGAGGGAGAGGAAGAGAGAGGAGGGAGGAAGAGAAGGAGGAAGGGAGGGAGGGAGGGAGGGAGACAGACAGAGAGAGAGGACTCAAAACGTTTGTTCTTGAGCCTTCTTCATGTGCTGCTAATCTGACTGTCACACCAGTCGACTGTAGATATGTGTGCATGTGTGTTCGGGGAGCCCATCTCAACAAGGGTGCTTTAAATTTTTGAAACGGTGTAAATAAAGCTTTTCATCTCCAAGCGTTGAAAGTACAGAATAAAACCCACAGTTTGCTTTCTGAGCAGCTTCCTATTATCACATTGCCACTTAATTTTATTTCTATTCTCTCCAAGTTAAATAGAAAGACTAGCTCACAGGGGAGCTGCCATGCGCCTACAGACTGGGGATGTCAAGCAGAGAGACTCACTGTGCAAAGTTAATTTCAATTCCCGCGGAGGATTTCACATTCTGGCTGGCTCTGACCCACAGTAATTAGCTGAGATAACTAATGATTACTTACTTATTCCTTGTAATTATCTGGATTTAATAATTCGCTGTGTAATTTATTAATTCACTCATAATAGACTTTCAGTACTGGGAATGGCTCCTTTAAAGGAGCAAAGCAGGGGAAATTTAGTGATTTTTTTTTCTCATTGCCATAAATCTGTCTCCTGACAAATGTGGACTTCAGGAACATCACAACTGTCAGAAAACCTTTGTCTTCCATTTTGTCCTACAGGATACCAATCCAACTTTTTTTCCCTTCTGTTGCAGCAACCCCCTCCAAGACCAACTGAAAAGTAAAGTGAAGTTTTGAGTTCTAATATGAATCATTTACTTAGAGATATAAATAGTTTTTGCGAAACAATTCCAAAAACAAATTTCTAAACTTACTGTCATTGCCTGTCTAGAAAAATTTTGAGCTTCATTCTGTGAATAATATTCTTTTTAAACTCAAGGGAATTTTTCTATGCATTTTTCACTGTCTCCTCAAGAGCTTCTCGAATAGATAGGTCAAAATAAATTGATATATTTGAAGTTTGAGATAAAACATTTTTATCCCTCAAATTCCAATTATCTTGAAAAAATTTCAATTATCTTGAAAAAATTTCAATTCTCTTCACAAAGAGAAGTAACAGGATCTCTCCTTGATATTGAAAAGTGTAGTTATGTATCATCACTTTTTTAAAAAATCAATTTTATGGAAAACAGAAGAGTATTACATTGTATGTAAATCCTAATTACTTCATTTGCTTTTTCATACTTACATTATTTTTCTCCAGGCTATGTGTCAATGAAACATAATCTGATAAAGAGTTGATCAACTGATGTAATGTCAGGTATCTGAAAGAAACTGAATTATAATGTTTTGCTATGGAGGGTACTTAGATATCAACCAGGCTTACATGATCATTTCTGTTCTATTTCAGTTTGGATTTAGATGACCACATTGAACAAAAAGATTGGATCATTTGCTTTTAGGGAAGTCTAAAAAACTACATAATACTGAAACATAAAATTCAAGATGTCTGAATATGCTACTAAGTCAATTTATATCTCTTTCCAACAAAATAGCAATTGTGGACCTTGGGGAAAATTAGGAAATAAGTCATGAATGCCAGTGGATTTGATTGATATGACAAGACTTTTCAGACACATTCTACTACTTATCCATTTGAGTATTTTGAAAGTCAACACCAAATGGATATTTCTCAACAATTTATACATGGTTCAGCCTATTCTTACCTTTAATTTTTTCTTTAAGACCAACCCTCTTCTCTCCAAATCTCTTTGGTTTGGTATTATCTCTAGTATCTCTGCAACTCTCATTAGTAAAAACTTCAGAATATATTTCTTTTCAGCTTTTCCCATACAACACACATTTGAGCTTGCTCTAAGAATGAAAATACTTCCATCTTGCAGACAAGAAAGTTTTCTCTTACCCTAACACAGAAAAGATTAACAAAATGTGATGTACTTTTGAAAGTCCAGGAACACGAGAGACAAAGAACACCTGGTGAATTAGGAGAAAATATAGGCCTTTACTCTCAACTATGGAAGTATATGGATAGTTGTTGTTATGTCACTTTTCTCGCAAAAATCTTAGGCATGTATGCACATATGCAAGCTGTCATGTACTTCAAAAGTACTTTTAAAACTCCTTTTTATTTCTGTTCAATATGTTTCTCAATTTCTACTACTTTTACAGTGTTTTCATCTTCATTTAAAGATGCTATATTTGTAGAAATAAGACACTAGCACATCTGTTTTACTTCCCACCAACTAACTCCCTTTCACTAAAAATCCACATATGAGAAGGGAACGGTGTTATTTATTGAAGATCATTTTTATCCTAGATAAGGAAGCTGAATCTGTTTTACATTCAAGCCATTTTATTCATTTTCTCCACTCTGGAGAAAGCAAGCAAGCCGAAGGTTGTCCAGCTAGCTAAAAACTTTTTGGTCAAAGGTGAGTTGGAGTAGGGCTGAGTTCTACGGTTACTATCCATGGTACTGAAATTAGTACTCAGCATAGAACCGAGCTGACTTTAACTCAGCATATGCTGGCTGTTTGAAAAGACTTTCAGGAAAACCGAATCTAAGAATACGAAGGGAGACAGAAGAAGAAACTTTCAGCCTTCAAGACAGAAATAGAACTAAACCATCAATATTACTATACTTGAACTCACAATTTTTTCTTTTAAATTCCTACAAGTTTTAATGTTTTCTTAGGCACCTATGCAACATCTCATTATTTGTAATGGACACTTAGATTTTGTTTCCTCAGGTGTCTTTCCTTTTTCAGTAATAAAAAGAGGTCCCTCCACCCATTCTCCATCTAACTTTCACAACTCTTTTTGTTACCTCCAGAAATTATGATATTTCCAACAACATTTAATCCCAACTTGAGCCACTGTAACGACTTTCATTGACTCATAGGATATTTCCTAATCTTGTCTCCAAAATAAGAAACATCTCAAGATAATTCTGTATCAGAAGAGTCACAGCTCAGGTTAATAGAATTACTCCTGGAGAATGACCTAGATCTTCCTCTCATTTGAGCTATAGATTAGCGTGATATTCTCATATTAATTAATAGTGTGAGATATTAATAACATAAATATCTAAACCAGATACTTACTGAGGGAAAAAATACCTTTGAAAACCTGGTATTATGTTGTCCAACTGTTGTAGGGAGTCTGAATATTATTAAAATAGTGGAGAGATGTCTTTAAGCTAGGATCAGAAGAAGAAATGACTGCATCAAACATGACGAATTTTCCTGTGTCAGTGCCAAACCAGTGTCAGACAGACTTCCCACCAACTCTGATGTCAGGGTGAATCACAGAAGAGGGCAAAAATTTGCTACTCCTAACTACACAGAATTTCTTCCTCAGCCCTACTCTGCTATGTGAGTTTCCTTAAAGGTCATGGGAAATGAGGAGAGAGAGAGAGAGAGAGAGAGAGAGAGAGAGAGAGAGAGAGAGAGAGAGGCCTTATTTCCTAAGCCAGCAACTCAGGTGCTTCCTGCTCTGTCTGGGTTCCTTGCTTTCCAGTGGTGGTGACCAAACTGAAAGCTATGGTGGGCTTGCTTCTGGGCCTCAACCAGGGTTCTGTACTCCTCCAACCAGGCCTTGGCTCTTGCCACACCCAGTCTCCTAGAGCTGCTGAAAAGTGAGCTGAGTTTCTTTCTTACTTTTACTCCTGATAGTTGGGAGGGAATGCATGAAATTGTTTCCATCCAATATCTCTGCTTATAAAGATTCTTTTTTGCAGGATTATTGCAAGTCTGAAGGAAGAACTCCAAGGGAGATATTTGGAGCCAAATATCATAATTTCTTCTGAGCAGAAAAGTGAAGTATCCTGTGAGATGAGTTCTCACTATTAAAAGGCGGTTATAAACCTTGTTCTTTAATACTTTACCATAGAAACAGCCCTTACTAAGTCCAAGCTATACTTTGATAACAACCACTCCCTAATAAATCATCAAAATGTGCTTCCTCCTTTAAAAAAGTCTCCCACCAAAACACTTCCCACATAAATGATTAAAACAACATCACATTTTAAAAGCCATTTAATTTTAATAGCATATTTTAATGAAAAAGCAGCATACGTTGCCAATAAAACATTAAAATTATCTCTTCAATGAAAGACAATCGAACAACACCAAAAATAAATTAATACATTACCATAGTAAATAAACCATCTATTAATAAAAACAAGAAACCAGGCCATATACAGAACTCAAGACTTTGGAGAGCCTCAAAGAGAACAGCAATACAGCAAAATTTGTAAGAATATATCTATGTGTGCATCATTTTTAATGAAATATTTACAGTAGATAAGGTACCAGTTATCATGTACCTAATTTTTTGTTCCAAAAGAATTTTTCCAAACAATGTGAATTTACAAGCAGTGCACTGTCTTTCTTATAGTTCAAATTAGTTTTTCTACAAACAAACCTCCAAAAGGAAAAACTGAAGTATTCCTATAAATATTAACATGTAGCCAACAAAGCAATTGAAAACTGGAAGACTGAAATACCTTGGTGAAATCTAAAATCTGAAGGGCAAACACCAAGTGGCAAATGCACCTAAAACTAGAAAATGGTGCATCGGTCATGCTTCCAACTGCTTCTTCCCTTCTGTTAGAGGTGTGTGTGTGTGTGTGTGTGTGTGTAAGGGTAAGTGAGAGCGCTCATGTGTCATGGGGACAATGTGGGAATCCCCATTAAATATGTAACGAAGTAAACAATACTTCAGACAGTGAATCAGGTCTACACGATTAAGACATCCATTACTGAGTGTCGACTCACAAATCAGAACACTACCAGTAAAAACAAAGAAAAAAACAATCTTCATTCAAGTGAGAATATACAAATGGGTCAAAAGGAACACAGTATAGGAGGAAAGCTGTAAAAATTCGGTAAACTCATCAAACAAAATTTTTTGAACGTTACTAGCTATACATTTCCCCCACTTTTTTTAGACGGAAGAAGTTTAATTAATTAGAATGTGCACAAAATTAAGTTGCTAGAGAGATAAATTAATAATTTACAGAGGGTTGTTCTGCAATAATCTAATAATAGCTTTCAAGATCAGTGAACACAGCAGGCGCAACTCTTTTCTTAAGCATTAACACTTCAGAGAAGGAAAAGGGGGTAAGAACCACAATAAAAATATATATATAATATACAGTGTAAATGCAGAAAATCTGCCATCTTTTTTTAAAATTCAAAATACTTTAGAGATGTCTCTATCACATTAAGCATCAACTCTAGTTTAAAGTTTTAGTCCTGAATCAATTTCTATTTCTGAAAAATAGTTGCAAAGTGTACTTTTAAACTTGAACACGGGTGATGTCTGTAAGAATAAAAACAAATCTTACTTGATCATTCTTGTGGACTTTTTAAACACTGTCTCGTCTGCCTTCCTGCAAACAGCCATCTCCACACTTCCTCTGAAGAAGCCGAGGTGGGGTTCAAAGGGACAACTTTGCTACAACAGACAAATACCATCTTTTGTTATTCTTTCCTTTGAGAAACTGTTTCACATTCTCACCGGCTTGGGCTCAGTTGTTCGCTCGTTCGCTCCCTCTTCAGTCCTCGATTTGTCGAGATTCACATTTACTGGAATTGTTTCTAGTCGCCAAAAGTGAAAAGAGGCAGAAGAGAGGAGAGAAAAGAGCGGACGAGGAAAGGGGCGTCTCTGGAGAGGCCAAGAGTCTTCTAAATGCCGGCGGAATATTTCATTCTTTTCTGTTTCTGCCTCTGGTTGCAGAACCAGACGCGCACCACGTTTTTCTTCAGGTCCAGCTTCTCCGCGATGGCGGCGATCTTTTCAGAGGAGGGCCGAGGCTGAATGGCAAAGTAGGCTTCGAGCGAGCGCTTCTCTGGCGCAGCGATGGACGTGCGCTTGCGCTTCTTCTCCGCGCCATTGAAGAGTTCAGGCTTGGTGAGCTTCTCGCGGTGGGACTTCTCGGCCTCCTCGAGCCATGCCTGCAGGATGGGTTTGAGCGCGATCATATTATTGTGGGACAGTGTGAGGGACTCGAACCTGCAGATGGTGCTCTGGCTAAGCGAGCCCACGCCGGGGATCTTGAGGTTGGCCAGCGCGGAGCCCACATCTGCCTGGGTCACCCCCAGCTTGATGCGTCGCTGCTTGAAGCGCTCGGCGAATGCCTCCAGGTCCCGCGGGTCGGCGTCCACGTCGCTCATGCAGCCCATGTGCGACGGCAGCCCGTGCGCGTGGGCCATGCTGAGCGCTGCTTGGTGCATGGGGTTCATGGTGGCCATGTGCGGCGCGTGAGCCGGCGTGGACACCACAGCGCCGTCGGGGCCCGCCATAGCGCCCAGGGCCAGCCCGGGACTCAGGTGCTCCAGCAGCTCGCCCTCCAGCGCCTGGTGCGGTTGGTGGTGGTGGTGGTGGTGATGGTGGTGGTGGTGGTGCGTGCCCGCCAACGCGGAAGGGTGCGAGATGGGCACCGATGAAGAAGAGGCGGCCGACGTGCACGGGATGGTATTCATAGTGTGGTAGGTGGCGTCCGGTTTGAAGGGGCTGTGGTGGGGTGGATGGTGGTGGTGGCTCTTGCTCTGGGAGACGATGTCCACGGCTGCCAGAGCCTCGGCGCGGGCCAGCAGACTCTCATCCAGCCCGCCGAATATATTGCTCTGCAATTGTAAGTAGAAGGCACACATTACGCTCAGCAGGGAATTGTACGCCCTCTCTCCGGAAGCCCCGGCCCAGGGCTCGACACCGTCGCCGCGCCTACAACATTCCCAGATCGTTAAAATAATAATAATAATAATCCTGAAAACAGAGGTGAAGAGAAAAAGAGGGAAGCCACAGAAAGAAGCCGAGAGTGCAGGAGGAGGAGGAAAGTGAGCCTGTAGACACAACGAAACACAACACAACACGCGCACAGGCAACATCCCAGGTCATAAAAATTAATATGAAAGGCAAGACCTGCTGAATACTTAAGAGAGAGAGAGGGGAAAATTGGTTGGAGGTGTGGGGTGATTTGCTGTGCAGACATGAAAAAAACATCAAGCAGATAAAGGGGGCTGTCAAAATGTGCCTTTAAGCGGTGATTATGCAGAAATACGCACCGGTGGGGTTGGAAGACAGGCTCTCCGCATAGCCTCCGAGCCCCCGCCGCCGCTGCTGCCACTGCTGCTGGAGCTGCTGCTTCGGCCTCCGCCGCCGCCGCCGCCGCCGCCGCCGCCGCCGCCACCACCAGCGTTGCTCGAGCTGCTGGGGGAGCTGGCCGAGGGCGCGATGGGAGCCGAGGAGCCCGGCGAGGTGCTGTGCAGTGCCGAGTACTTGGGCTCCACGTGCAGGCTGCCGCCGTGCGGCATGCTAAACGCCTGCTTGCTGTTCAGGGACATCATCATCATCTTCCCGCCCGCCGGGGCGCTGGTCCGTAGAGGCACTCACTGGTCCCGGCTGCCGGGACCCTCCGAGAAGTGCCGGGCCAGCCGGGGCTGGAGCTGGGAAGGGCTGTGCGAAGTTGAGCTCACCCGCCGCCGCCTCCGGACTCTGTACGCCTGATCTCGGCTACGCGCTCCTTCGCCGCCTCTGCTGTCAGTCTGAACGGATGCCTGACTCCGCTTGCCGCTAGCTGCAGACCTCGGCACCCGAAACTGCCCCCGCTCCTCGCGGCCGGCGAGTTATACTCCCCTCTCCCCGCGCCTACCCCCGCGCCCCCCGCCCTCCCTCTCTCCCTCTCTCCCGCGCGCCTCCGCCCTCCCTTGCCAGGAAACGCCGGCTCCTGTTCGGTTTCTCGCGTTGCCCCTTCTTCCTCTCTACTCCCCTCAGGCTTGAGTCCTTTCTGCTCTCTCAGCACTCGCCTCGCGCTCCCCCACCGCGCCCTCCGCCGCCTCTTTTCTGCCCCCGCCCGTGCTCTGTTGCCGCCGCCCCTTCGCAGCGTCCCGCGGCTGCTACTCACAATCGCGCCCCCACTCAACCCCACCCAAATGGCCAGGTCCGCGCTCCAGTCGCCGGGCAGTGCCTACCTAAGGACCAGCCTCCAGCCCCTCCCGCTTCTTCTGCCGGGTCTCTGTCTCACCGGAAAAAGAAACTCCCAAATAAAGTTGCGGCCCAAGCCAGCGTTGGGTAGGTAAGAGTGCCTCTTACCTGGCTGCCACCTCCTACGCCTCCTGCTTACCACTAAGTTCCAGGCTTCCAACCCCACTCGGCCCGCCCCCACCCCGTCAGCTCAGGTGACCCTGATCCCAGGTTCCCGGCCACCGCTGAGAACACAGACGTTGCGGCCAACCCGGGTTCTGCGCGCGGCTCTGAACTCCCAGCCCAATACGAGCGGAGGTCGGCGTTCGGCTACGAGCCCCCCACGGCCCGGCGGGTGCCTGGTGCCAAAGAGACATGGGGTCGGAGGGGCTGCAGGGCTTTCTCTCACTCGATTTCTCGCAGCTCTCAGCGGATTGGACAGCCGCGGAGCAGGCTCGGGTCGTCTGTGCGCATGCGACTCCTCCCCCTCCCCGCTGTCCCCACCCCTCCCACAACACACACACACATACACACAGGCACACACACACGCTCCTCTTGCCCCCCTTTTCTCTTCCTCCTCCTCCCTGTATCCAGTACAGTTCGAGTTGAGTCTTGGAAGGATCCACTGGCAAACCCTGCCCCTGGATTTATTATTCTTCATTAGCCACAATCAAAGGAAGAAGGGGCAACTGACAGGGAGAGGGAAGGTCAGAAATTACACAGCGCATATGCTGCTGAATACACCCCACAACACAGACACACACACACACACCCTCGGGGGCTGGCACAAACCTCACTTATCTTCATTTCCACAGCCTCTCGGTGCGGAGCCTATTTTTAGCTGACACTTCACTCCCACTTCTGTCCCAGTCCCAGTGCAGACCACTTTTCCTAGAGATGGACACACACTCTTGGTTCCAGTTGCAAAAGGAGATAATCTCTTTCTATCTATCTCTCTCTCTCTGTCACACACACACACACACACACACACACACACACACACTACTTCCTCTCCTTCTGGATCCCATTTTCTCTATACTTCCCGCGGTGTTGGGGGCTGCTGTCACCTCCCTAGAGAGCGGAAGGAGCAGGGTGCAGGCGAGGGTGAGAAGGCCCCGGGACCCCGACGCAGGAACCCGCGGGTGGCCCAATCCGGACGGGGGTTGACCGGGAGCAGGTGCAGGCACTGGGCGCCTGGGGAAGGCGAGCAGGTGCGAGAGCAGGCGGCAGGCCTGAGAGGCGCTGGCGCGCGCTGGGACAAAAACAGAGTGGGAAGGAGAGTGGAAAAGGGGAACCCTCGGGTGGTCAGCTCCCGGAAGCGGCGGTGGAGAGTAGGGGACCGCCTGTCCACCCCTGACCTCAGCCGGGCGGAATAGCGGTTTCAAGATGGGACCGCTGTCCTCAGGAGCCGCCAGAGTGCTGGGGAAGGCGGCAGCAACGAGCGCGCGACGGGCTCTGTCCATGGTCCTTAACCCCCTTCTGCTTTCCCTGGATCCTCTCGGGCTTCCCTTTCTCTTCCCCTGTGTGGAGGAAAATAATAAATAGTAGCCGAAGGGAACTCCTAGCAGCAGTGTTGCCGGGTGTGAGCTCAGCGAAACCTGGACATGGGGTAGGGAAAGGGGAGTGTTCACGTGAATGAATGTGGCTTGTGCCGGACGGTTCAAGTAAGTGCTTAGGTGTTTAATTTCTACCTCAACAACAGCCAGAGTAATTTTCAAGGAAACAAAAAAAAAATGACATTGTACAGCTCTGTCTCAAGCTTCAAGAAATGAAATAAATCAAAGTTAAAAGCTTGAGTATCATTTAATTATAGTGCGAATAGCGCTTTGAAAGAAGTAGAACAACATCTCTAAACAAATTATGACTGGGCCAGGAAGGAATTATTAGATTGAAATTTCATTTAGGCTCGGGAGACACCGCGCTTCACTGTGTAATCTGCTATGCCTCATCTGATTTGTATGCTTAATTCAGCTTGACGAATTTATTAGTTTTCATAATAGTGAAAAAATTGAGCAGTACTATGAGCTAATGCATTGTGTGTACTATAAATTGTATGTCATCGTGGAAAGGCTGAAGTCTATAGAAATCTTTTATTAATGTCGGTATAGGAGGGAGGATTTCCTGCAAGCCGTGAAGAGGTTCATGCCAAACTCTATCGGCACTATGTCTCACTGGTCCATTAACATATCGTCATACTAATTAGACTACTTCATCAGTGATATAATTTCAAACTTCAAATTATGTTCTAATTAACAAGGGTTGTCCAATTTGCTTAATCTTCAAAAGGCTTTGGATGGTCTAATTAGTATTAACTGTTGAGCATCTTTAAAGCCTAATAAAAAAATCCATAAAAATATTTTGGGTGTATTTTCTATCCGTACTGGGTAAAGGCCAAAGGGCCAAAGTGAGAGTGAAGATGGAAAATAACCGGAAGACAAATGTCCTCTTCTTTCTAATTCCCCCAGATTATTATAGCAAGTTAATCACATGAGAAACTTTTGGGTATTGCCACTCCTAAATAGTGTGTTTATGTGTTTAAATAAAGGCACAAGAATATCAAGGAGAAAAGCCACATGGGGAAAAAATTCTTCTCTTTCATTAGGTGCCTAATTAGATGTAAAGTAAAAAGTAACCCTGAGGAGTTTCCCGAGCATTATTGTGGCAACAGTCTGCTGAACTTGAATTGAAAATCAAATATTTGGGGTGTTTTGAACCTCCCTCTGTCCCCTCCCCCTTCATTGAGCTTAATTACTTGCAATAGTTGTTTTAATGTATGTTGTCACCTGGGAGTATTGAGAAATGCATATCGTTAATATGAATTAATCTTGATTTTAATAGTAACTGACAACTGATCTCCAAAATGCTAAACACTTGTCACCACTTCATATGGTAAATACGGTACTATAATAAATTCATGAAATAGAGAGGGACACTGTTGAAATGACTGGACAAACTTTGTTTGATATGGAATTTATTGACCAAAACTATTTTAAGCAAGAAAACTCCCATGAGAATATTTTCCTGATAACTGAAATTCATATATCATCAAAAAAAATTTAACATAACTTTTTTATCTCTCTGATATTTCTCAGTGATATCCCTAATTCCAGACAAGAAAAAAAGGAAGGCTGTGTTTTCAAATTATCAATTTGAAGTAAATTAATGTGGTTGTAGAGCAATTCAAGAGTTTATTTACCTGTATTTCCTTCCTCCTAGAAAACACATACATTTTTAAAAAGTCAAGTCATAGAGTTAGGCTTCTCCATTCCCCACTCAAAGTGAAAAATGAATAGTGATTGTGTTGCATTAGAGGGAAAAAGCAATTGTTCCTTCATCAACCAGGACTTGAAATCTTGCAGTCTCTCCTTTCAGGAGTGTCCAGAATACCAACATCGTTGCGGTGATATCAACAAAACCCATTTCGGTTTTGCCCACAGGCATTGCTGCAAAGTGCTCCAGCGAGTGTGGAAGCCTCTCTCCAAGGAAGAAAACCTCCAGCCCCGCAGTTATCAGGAGCCATCTAAACAATTAGAAAGTTGGCAATAAACCCAAGGGGTGGAGGCAAATGACCCAAAATTTGAAACCTGCTTCCTACGACCTCAACATACCTATGCCCAAGCCGCTATTCACACTTGTGCATCTACACACCTACAGACCTACCTAGCAAAAAGAAAATAAACATTTTATTTTTTAAGCAGCAAGATGGAAAATGGATCAACTCTGTGACTTCAGGAGGCGCTCCTTTCTTCTCGCCAAGCCTCTTTGTTTGACAATAGCTTCTGTCCAGTCCTCTGGCAGATGCAGACAGATGTGAGCAGCCCCCCTCACTATCCCCCACCCCTGGGTGAGGAGGAGTAGCTGGAGATTCCCCTCAGGCTTCTGGGCAAAGGGTCCCCGCAGTAGGCGTCCCCCACCCGAAAATCAGCCCGCCCCTGAAGCAATCCCAAGGGGAGAAATCTCTGTCTCCTCCTTGTATCTGGGTCCTAATTTACTATTAAAATTTTAAGTAGTGCATTCATATTTTACCGGACCTAATGTCTTTTATTAAATTTTAATCTATTAAGGGCAGGGTGATTTCTTTGTATTTCAAACAGAATTGAATTGGACTACAAGGAGGATTTCTGAAAAGACAGATCTGGCCCTATTCGCTCACCATTTCGATCTCAGGGAGAGAGTGATTGGTGGAAGAAAGAGGGAAAGGAGGGATTCCCCCATCTGTTTTTGTACGGATTTCAAAATCAGCCAATCTGCTTCAGATTCTGAATAGAAGATGAACACCCTGAGCTCTCTCTGGACTCGTGGCTTGAGACAGAAGAGTTTGGGTGGCGGGGTGGCATAGATTAAACTCTTCCGTGGCCTCTACTGTTACAGGGAGGAAAAAGAAGACACAAGAGGGATTATTCCTGAAACAAACTTCTGGAAGCTCCCAGGGATGTAGTTGCAGAGCAAAGTTCAGGTGAAGGAGGGCGCTTGGGGGCTTGAGTATTGAGATAGGGGTTTATGTTTGAGGAATGATGGGTGGGTTTTGTTCAAACATCTTTTCTCTTCTGAGTATGTCAACTACTATCCTGTCACTGGCTCCCCTTGAGCCCCAAGCTCCCCTCTCCTGCTTTAAATGAGTCGCTCTCTCGCCCAGAGATTCCAGGCACCCCATATGCCCGAGGGTAACCGCCTCCTTTCAGTGCCTTTCCGGCTCTCACTCCTAACCTTCCAATGCAAGTAGTCAGCGAGTGTCACCAGAAATCTCTGCATCCAGTAGTTCCCAGGCCCTTCTAGAAAGAAATACAGACTCACAACCTCTTTCGCTCCCATCAAAACCAAGTAGAATTCACGGAGGAAGAGGGGACAAAAGCAAAGGCTATCAGCACTCCAGAAAGCATACTCTGGAGGTTGGGAGAGACTTGGCCAAGACTAGTGGCCTGTAGTCGCAGAGCAAGCCACGTGGGGCTCTCTCTAGGTAATTCTGACCAGAGGAAAGCAGCCCGGCAGAGGACAAGACAATGAAGGGAGACAAGGCAGAAGAGAAAGCAACGGTTCCCCTTTTCCCGGTGGAGGAAAGAAAGCAGAGCTCAGTTTCAAGGAAAGTAGACTGGGAGGAGGGGGACGCAGGACGCAGCCAGCCCAGGTTGGCTGGATGCCTTAGAGGCTCCTAGACGCCCTCTCAATTCCGTCTGGTGGGTTTGCTAAGGCTGATTGTGACCAGGAACTCACATTCAGGGACAGCTGATTGGACCCACTGGCATCGACTAACCTTTGAAGCAAACACAACAGGCTCCAGGAAACTAAAATCTGCCCTGGGGAAG
This sequence comes from Homo sapiens, assembly GCF_000001405.40. NCBI lineage: Eukaryota > Metazoa > Chordata > Mammalia > Primates > Hominidae > Homo > Homo sapiens. The sequence goes on along the minus strand of NC_000004.12, from coordinate 146,633,227 downwards.
GACTCAACTCCTCAGCACCTAATTCTGCACTCTTCCAGAGCGCAGGGGCTCAAATTCACACATCTGTGCAGACATACACACACATGCACACACACACGCGCGCGCGCGCTGACACACGCAGGCACACAGACACACACGTGCTGACACTAACGCACACCCATTCAGAGGCGCACACGTTTATGTTTCTCCCCTCTTCTTCCCGCGCACCACTTGGGGGAGGGGGGCAGACCTCTGCGTTCTGTTCAGAAGCAGGCTCCCTGGTGTCTACTTGTCCCAACGAACTATTATTTTTCATCGCAGTGAACTTCCTTGGTCCGCGTATTTACCTCTTTTCAAAGTTAAGTCCAGTCACGAAATCAAACTTAAAGCATTGTAACAATCAATGAAGACTTTTGCAATCCATGGCGCCTTGCGCTTCCTAGAACTAAAATAAATGCAAGAAATCGAAACTTAATTACTTGAAAGAAATCCAGAAATCCCTCTGCATAATTTATCCAGTCATTTTTAGTAGCTTTTGTGTTCAGTGCAGTGTATGTTAACTATCCACTTTTGGCTAAGATCTGGCTCCTCTAAGTCTGTTCCCTGAGGTTCTCAGCCCAGGAATTCTGCCCTGCGAGGGGCTCCCACCTCCTGCCACTCCTCAGAGCTGATTTAGTAACCTTTTTTTTTTTTTCCAAACACCACCAACTGTAAGGGTACCAGAATTCCTGGGGCTATGTATACTTCAAAATTGTTTTAAATCTCACTCATTCTCTCTTCTTTGTCTTTGTCTCACTAGGGCTATTATTTGAATTTGTGTGAGTTGTTTCATTCTCCATCTGAAACCAGGCCTCTTAGTAAATCCAAACCAGAACTATTTCTCTGAGGGAATAGTGTGTCTCAAAAAGTACCATTTTGCTGGTGATGGAAAAATTGATTAAAAGGTGAATTTTTTTCTATTCTCCAGGGAAATTCTTTTTTTTCTTTTTCTTTTTTCCTTGAGTGTCATTATATTCCTAATGACTAAGTATTTATTCTGACTGAACTACTCTTCAAGGTACTTAGCTGGACCACAAACCCTGGATACTCGTTTCTTCCTCTGATATCTGTTCCTTCCAAAATCACTCATTTTCTCCTCTCCTTTAGTTCCTAACTGACAGAGAATCTTCATATCTACAAAGCACTAAAAGACTTCTCATCTGGAGGCACTAAATAAAGTAGATGCTCCTGTATTGGGTTTAAAGATGCTGGCTAAGATCAAATTACTTTTGCACCTATCAAGGCTCTGGCACTGTGTACCATGGGGAATTTAAAATTTGGTGGTGACCAATGCTATGGCCAGTGAATCTGTAAAACTGAACAGTACCTGAATTTATCAGCATGGTGAGGGTGACTCCTGAAAGGCAAGCTGTTTCATAGACACCTCATAGAAACCTGAAGTTATGTTATGAAAGAATGAAAAATACATTGGGGAACAGCTTGGAAACTGAAGTACATTTTGATTTAACTTACATTAACAGAAATGTAATGTAAAAGTGAAAGGATCTAACAAAACCATTAATAATTAAAAAATAATTACAGATAGTCTATCCTTACTATTCATAACCACTCAACACTTTAGACAAAGAAAACGGAATACTCTTAATGGGAATGAGATGTGAGCAGACTGCTAATGAGAAGTTAACCAAGAACTGTGCATTTGTCAAAGGAGACAAGTTTCCTTGTTTCCCCCACCTGCATGTTTTTATTCTCTCAAAGTTAGCTTGGACCTTCATTTTCCATCGGCACATCTACTGAGTGTCAGAGTTTATACAACCAAAATCTCTTGAGCAATAACAATGCAGACCTTATCAAGTTCTGAGGATCAGGGGCACCAGATGGCATGTCTATTAACCATTCTCATTGACAAATATTTATAGTAGCCTAAGAGATACATGCCTCTGTAACAGATTTTGGTTGGACAATCCTATCCCACAGGATTTCACAAAACAATGACCCTCTAAAGGCAGCAGTTTGCTCCCTTTCCCTGTTTGTGATCACTTAAAAAAAGAGATTAATCATCACTTAAGAATTCATTGTCAATCTTTTTCTTGTATCCCTTACCACAAGAGTTGTGTCCCTATGTTTTAAAAAAATGTGAATGTATCTTTCTGTCACCTAAGTAGGGTTTATTTCCAGTGTATATTTTTCAGCATCCAAAGACTTGAGAGCAGTATTCTACATATAAGTATGCAATAAACTCTTAATCATGCACTAGACATTTAAAAAAGTGTTGGGAAGAAAGTGCAGTGACTCTATTCTGATTTTCACTGCATATTCTCCTTTATTTTGTTTGAGAGACACACAGGACTGCCCCTAGAGTGCTCTGTTGACGTTTGTTCGAGGCACTGGGAGGAAATCAAAGCAGCCTGGCGGAAAGCAAACTTCACTGCCTCTTTTCAGAGATAAAGGGAAATCTTACAAAAGGAGAGATTTGCAGACATATAACTAGAATTCAATGGAGTCATGGCTGAGCATCTGCTGGGAAGCCACCAGGAAGTGGAGACCTACAGCCCATGTCAAATTGTATGCATCTGAAGGATCTGAAGCCTCTTTCCTTCCTCTCCCATCCCCAGATGAATTAGAAACAAAACAGCTTGCCTTTTGTAGGAAACAGAAAAACCTAAGGAGAAATGCTAATAGGTTGACTGCAAAGATTGTAAATACTTCTTAGCTATATAAATATGAATTGAGTGCATAAAACATGTCAAAATCCTTGTAGGCATCCACTCTCAATTTTCTTTTAACTGCAGCAGAAGGACCTTACAATGACAACAAATTCACCTTTAAGCACTTATTCTTTCTTGAAATTTTGTATACAGCCTATGATTTGTCTGTAAATCTCATGTATATATAGAAGTATGTGAATCAAACATAGAATTATAATATTTGTACCCAAACATGTGTTGTTTCCCTCTTCTTTCTCTCCTTTATATGCATATACAGATCACCAAATTATAGTTCAACTAGCAAGTGCTCTGGTAGATGCTATAGCTTTGTGCCTTGACTACTTTTTTCTGATATGCATATGAGATATCAATTTGCCCTAGCATCAAAACAAACACACTGTACTTGAAAGTATTAATAACTCTCCTCAAAACAGAAATACTACAGTTTGTGATGTTGTGTGCCCACTGCACCTTTTCTTTGGCTCTCAAGGCCAAAGTAGGCATTATCAACATTATGCTCATTTGGCATATTCCTATCCTCATATTTCATTGATTTCTCCTGGCCTCTATTGACCACTTACCTAGTCTGGACCACATAGTTAGTCATTTCTATAGTGACCCTATGAGGCATCCTGATCTCATTTCTCCCTTACCTTTTACATATCAAACTAGTCATTTTCTTTACTTTTGCCCATAGACTGCTGATTTCAGTGGAAAGAGTAAGGAGAGTAGTCTAGTTTCTCTTTAAATTGTAATTTACCATATGTTTGTGTTATCCATCTGTCACAGATATGGTAGCTTGCCACTGGACATCCGCTCCAGCCTCTTTCCAGTGTGCCTTCCTGCCATGCAGTGTCCATGAAGCTAAAAGCTACATTTCTCACACCCTTACAGCTCAGGTACTGATGTAACCAAGAGGCAGAAGTGTGGGTAATTTATTCTCAGGTGGTGAGTCTAAGAGGGGCGGTACTTCTTTAAAGCCAACAGTTGTGCACCTCTAAGACGGTGTATTTCCGAAGTCTTTAGTTTCACCAGTTCCTTCCTTATTCCCCTTCTTCCTGATTATGGTAGAGTTCACAGCTTTCCTGGCAAGCTAGTTCTGCACCACGGTTCTGGGAATCATTCCCAGAAGTCCAGCCTAGAGTCTGCTACTTCAGACCTTTCCAAAGATTTGTAAGCATCCACCTGTATTAAATCTCTCTCTTCTTAAAATAGCTAAAGTGGTTTCTGTTATTTGCAGCTAAAGCCTGACTGATACTCCAGCTTAATGTTATTTTTCTCTACTTCTCAGTTTCCCTTTCACTCACTTTTAATTGGCTCTCCATCTCATTCTCTACAGAATATATTGCAAATATTCTCCATTTCTGCCATCATGACTTTGAGCATAACCTCACCTCATGGTTTGCCAAGAAAATGGTTTACTGTTACATGTTCTACCGCTTAACTGCTCTATCGTCACCTAATCATTTTTTCTGTGTTTCCACCCCCAACATCTCCTTCTTTAATTCTCCCATAAGTGTCAACTTAACCTCCTCCTCCAGGTTAATTCTTTCATATGTCATGAGTTTTTACCCTCTCACTTCCTTCAGAACTGCAGTCTATCAAGTTAACTCTTTGTCTTGAATCTTCAATTTATCCTCCCCAGTCTTTCTCTTCTTACCCTACAAATATATTTGAGATGTATTAGCCATAACATTTAAATTAAGAAACACTTTAATTTTTTTTCCCTTTGATGTCTCTCTTTCTTCATCATCAGATTTGGAAATGGCAGTTACATTTACTGCTTTCATTTGCTTACCACCCAATTGTTTCTTAACATCTGGCAAGATTATTTCAATCCTTGACTCTCTACTGATGGTGCTCTCCCTTACGTTCCAATGAACTTTTAGTTTACAAATTCTGTGGTACTTTTTCCAAAAGCATGGGCTTCACACTTGGAAATTTGTGCTGGCTCTGCTAGTTGTTGACTTTGATTCTCATTTTGCCCCTCTGAAAAATGTGGATAATAATAGCAAATTCTTCCCCCAGGTTATTGAGTAGATTAAATGGCATATTGCATGTAAAAGGCTTAGCATATTTCCTTGGATGTAATAAGCACTTAATAAATGTTAGCTAATAATAGAACAATATCAACAACAATCTGCAGAATGTGAGTGCTGGTAATCCTCTCATTCTTCAAATGGATTGCCATGGATTTAAACATATAATCTGTAACGGCAGGATATGCCAGCCTTAGCAGAGTCAGTCTTTAAACCAGGATTTGTTCTTTCTTAGTGTTCTTCTCCCACCCTTTCCAGTCCATCAAACAAGGCCAGCCACCCAATGGCCCATCTCCCCAAGGCTATTATGTGTTAAAATGTGGGCTTATGTAATATTTGTTAATTAACTCAAAGATCCATTCAGGGAAGAAGGGGGTTAAATGTTGTTGGTTGGTGCTGTATCTTGCTCAGACAGTCTGACATTTTTGTGGCCAGGCTTCATCTACCAGTTTAATGTCATTTCTAGCTTATCGCCTCAAAAAAAATTCTGAGAGAAAAACATATTCAACACCAAAACCTGAGCATATTTGATATGGTTCCTTTTCTCAAGTCAAGAGTATTCTGCACATCCACTCTCTGAGACACTGTATTTTTTTTCTCATTTTCCTCCGGTACTCTCCCATTTCCCAAAAGGTAGTGCTTGCCTAAGGATCTATCAGCTCTGTTTTCGCTTCTCCCTTACTAATTCCATCAATTTTATAGCTTCTACTCTCACCAAAATGCCTCTCCAAACTCTATTACTCTGATAGTCAGTTTCACATTCCAACAGTTTCACATTCCAAATGATAAAAATTTATTAGATTTTTCCATCTGGACATCTGCTCTACCTTCAAACTCAGTCCCTACAGACCCATACCAGTTTCACTTATGGAAGCTATTACTTTACATTTGTATACGTTTTTCCCTTATCTGATCTCCTTAATGAGACTGTGAAATCCCTGAAGACAGAGTCTTTGTTTTACTCCTCTTTGTGGCCTCAACATGCTTATCGTTGCATTATGTATAACGTAGGTGCCCGATATGTATTTGTTGACTAACTTAATGAATGATTGTTATGACTGAAAATGATTTGAATATTGTGCATTGAAATCTCACTAATGCTTTTTGTCTTTCAAATCTTTTTTGGTACTTGGCCCAGTTTAACAGGTAGATGACAAACTAAGAGAAAACATTTGCATTGAATAAAAAGCACAATAAAAAACCTGGATTATACAAGGCAACCTTGAAAAATAACATAAAAAGAACAACATAAAACAAAATCTGATAGATCTGATAGAAAACTGGACAAAGGATATAAGCAGGCAATTTACCGATTAGCAAAGCATAGTTGGAATGCTAACTATGATGAAGAGATGCCACATCTCGCTAAGTAACCAGTGAGGTACCATCTTATAGCTATCATCTTTATAAAATTGGAAGGTTAGACAATACCAAAAATTATTAAGGATGTGCGCTAGAAACCATAACATAGGACTGATATACATAATTATTGTTATAACCATTTTGAAATGCAAACTGGTAGTTCTTAGCAAAAATGATCATGCAAATATCCTGTGGCCTACCAATTCCACTGCTAGATTATACTCCAAAAAATTTTTCTACAGATCCCAAAGGTGACATGTTTCTATCAGTGTTGTTTATAATGGCAGAGTTGTGGAGACAGCACATAGAGACAATGAATCTTATGGCAATATGAAAAGGCCTTAAAATGTTGAATGAAAAACTGAATGAGGTTTATAATAGAATGCCATTAATATACATATACAGAAAAAACATTTGCATATCTTTCAAGGAGACTTATATCCAGAAACATATTCTGTTTATTAGAATAATGTCTTAGTCTGTTTGTTCTGCTATAATAAAATACCTAAGACTGGGAAATTTTTAAAGAACAAAAATTCATTTCTCCCAGTTCTGGAGGCTGGGAGTTCAAGATCAAAATGGAGGCTGGTAGGGGCCCAGTCTCTGCTTCCAAGATAGCACCTTATTGCTGCATCCTTTAAACGGGAGAAAGGCTGTGTCCTCACACAGTGGAAGAACAGAGTAAGACAACCCACTCTCTCCAGCCTTTCTATAAGGGCTCTATTTCCATCCATGAGGGCAGAGCCCTCATGACTTAATCACCTTTTAAAGGATCCTCCTCTTAATACTATTACATTGGCAATTAACTTTCAATGTTTGAATTTTAAAGGGGATACCATCATTCAGACCACAGCAAGTAAGTACCATTGGCTGGTAGAAATGTAACTTGAAAGTAAATTCATTAAAAAATATTTAGGGCCTTACAAGAGTTCATTTTCTCCATTGAATTGTACTTCCAGGAGTCCTTTTTTTTTTTTTTTTTTTTTTTTTTTGAGACGGAGTCTCGCTCTGTCGCCCAGGCTGGAGTGCAGTGGCGCGATCTCGGTTCACTGCAAGCTCTGCCTCCCGGGTTCTGGCCATTCTCCTGCCTCAGCCTCTTGAGTAGCTGGGACTACAGGCGCCCGCCACCACACCCAGCTAATTTTTTGTATTTTTAGTAGAGACGGGGTTTCACTGTGTTAGCCAGGATGGTCTCGATCTCCTGACCTCGTGATCCGCCCGCCTCGGCCTCCCAAAGTGCTGGGATTACAGGCGTGAGCCACCGCGCCCAGCCTAGGAGTCTCTTTTAAGAAAACAATTAAAAATGCAAACGAAGGAGAAATGCTGTGTTGTTTATAATAGTGAAAATTAGAGACGGTCTAAATGTCCAAAAATAGATAAATAGCTTAATAAACTGTAGTACAACCATACTATTGAATAGTATTCAGTCACTACAATCATGTTTTCAGAGAAAATTTAATGACATAGGAAAGCGCTTTAAAGTAAAGCTGGCATGATACAAAACAATGATTCTTTTTATTCAAAATAAGTATATAAATGCATGGAAAACAGTGAAAAGTATGTTTTTCATTTTACACGTTGCATTTTAAGAAATTTAAATTTTCCAAATTGTCTACAATGAGCTTTCATTCTTCCTATTACCAGAATTATAAGCATGTCTAGACTAAATATAGTTAGTTACAGATATAACTTTCACAGGTTGCATACTTTTCATATAAGATTCATTGCCTCTCTTATTTAAAGTGCTGTAACTAAATGATCCATGAGCTGAACCACCAGTTGAACTCATTCACTATCACTAGCTGCAGTGAGTATTTATAGATTGGAAATGCTGTTTAATTGAAATGAGAGGTATTTTTTCTTCTAAGTTTTATAGTGCATCTCTGAAATATGGAAAAGCTCACAGTCTTATATGAAGGAGCCAGTCTTGAGTATTACACACTGGGGATCCAACAAAATGACCCTCTATATATGGGCTAAGTCATTTCAACCGTAACCACATTGCCCCTCTTTGCTTAGCGTGGGACCAACATACTTTCCAGGTCGCTAAGAGACAGGACAAGAAGGGGTATATTATCAGACTCCTTATTATCACACTTTTCAATACTTTATTACAGAAAAGAATGGAAATTTGGTTAGTTTAAGGGGAAAAGACATGTTATTAAGAAAGACTTAAAAAAGCATCTCTAGTTTCAGAGGCAAAATCTATTTCTATACCTTGAATTCCTTGGATGATGTATACTTGGAGAATTTTACAAACTGGTTGTTGTTGTTGTTGTTAATTGAAAAAGTAAAACACCATGAGGATTGCATTTATGCCCAAGACAGTAGAGTAATTTCAATATTCGACCATCCCATTAGTTGCAAACACGTGGCAAAGTTAGAAAAAATAAAAGGAAACCCCATAGTGGCATGATAAAGAAAGACTGATGGCTTCATCTCAGATGTACCAGTGACAAGGAGAGGGCATAGACAGGAATTCTTTTCTTTTTAAAATGAAACACTCAAGACTTTATGCCCATGGGTGTCCACAGAGCCATTTCTGGTTCTTTGATTAGAGACTTGGATTCAATTACACACATATCATATCACATACAAATCTTCAAGTGTGAACTGGTGTCATTATGTGGACTTAAACTCTTCCATCACTTAATGAATATATCAACAGTGAATCTTACACATATGGTTGGTTGGTTTTAATCTAAGGCAGGAGTAATGTTATCCATATTATTCTCTTTAACATCTCTTAATATTATTTTCTTTAAAAATTACTAACCAGTTACCAATTTGAGTTCAAATATTTCTTTAATGAAACATCACGGAGGGACCTGAACAACTAGAAAATTCTTTTCCTTCCTGATGCTACTTAGACCAAATGGTCACAGAGAATCTATAGTGAAAGGAAAATGCAGGGCTAGGCTGGGCATGGTGGCTTACACCTGTAATCCTAACACTGAGAGAGGCCCAGGCAGGTGGATCGTGTGAGGTCAGGAGTTTGAGACCAGGCTGGCCAACATGGTGAAACTCCGCCTCTATTAAAAATACAAAAATTAGCCAGGCATGGTGTCAGGCACCTGTAATCCCAGCTACTCAGGAGGCTGAGGCAGGAGAATTGCTCAAACCCAGGAGTTGGAGGTTGCAATGAGCCAAGATCATGCCACTGCACTCCAGCCTGGGTGACAGAGTGAGACTTTCTATCACGAAATTTATTTGTAACTGAATTTGATGAATCAACACAAATGATTTTCTTAGATTATCAACCTAATTTTCCAAATTCTTTGTTCTATACAATTTCCCCTCCAATCTGCTTTATATAGATTCTGGGGAAAAAAATGATTCAATATTAAACCAGGTATGTTAAGTCCAGATAAGTCTAAAATAAGATTCAGCCATAGTTGAAGTTTCATTTAATTACCATGCAATTGGCATGCAGGTGAACTGGTTTTCTTTGTTCATCTCAATTGTTTAACTGTTTATTGAGTGCCTACTGTGTACTAGGCACTATGCTAGACTATCCTGAGGGAGAATAAACATATGATCATGACATTGTGAAGATAGTTTACTGTGTATGGGGTCAGGGAGGCATGCTTCTAAAGAATTACCTATGAATACCTAGGGAGCCCACAAGAAGAAAGGGTTGTTATCTCCCTCCTTGGCTGGATACTTGCTAATTTCCAGAATTCTCAGCCCCCAAGTGAAAGACATGGTTAGGGAATTTTTGGAAGAACTTTCTGAAGGTGTATGAGGACATAAACATGAATACCAAGGACTGTTTTTTATCTGGTGACTTCAGAAGGTGGGAATCCTGCTGGGTGAGCCCACAGAAGCAGTTTGTGGGAGAATACGAATGATATTTCCAAATGTAATATCTTATAATTCTATAAAATACCCTGTTGAGTAGTCCATCGCTCCTATTGCAGCAACTAAAACAAAAAAAAATACAAAAATAGAATTTTTGAAGACATTGGAGAACTGTGGAAACAATTTTGGAAGGAAAGAAGTAAAATTTTAGATAAAAAGGAGCCCTTCCTAGTTGAACTAAGATCAAAGACTTTCTTTTTCTCAGGGGCATCTGAAGATTCAGGGAAGGGGCATAGGCAGAGTGGCTCTACTAGGATAGACAGACAAGAAGAACTTTCATGGCTGCCTCTGCTGGTGTGACAGATTGAAACATACAAGAGCACCAAAGTTATGGCTTGCTTTCCACACGACATGTTTTCTGTAGGCTGAGACAGCTGGGGAGACACAACAGCTGAATCAGAAAGGCAGAACGAAATATCCTGCTGTCTTGTAAAATTTAGGAGTCAAAGTCCTGCTAACTTTTTGACTCAGGTCGGGTGGCAGGCCAAACGGCTAAGTGCAAAACCTCTGAAAGAATTCTGAGCATTAAGGACAGAGAACCCTGATAGGATCTCAATCAGAACCCTGGCTCCAGAACCACCTTTTTGATATCAGGGCCACTAGCAAATATTTTGGGCAGGGCTTTGTCTATATAGACAATACTGAGATGTATTATAAGATTCATGGGCCCAAATGAGGTAGAGTGATTTATTGACCAAGATTTAGAATGATGGATAGAGAAGAGGTATGTACCTACTTGCATATTGTCCAAGTGGTGCATGGGAATATTCTTTCTTCATAGTATGCAGGCACCATCTCCTCCTGTTCATGTCCAGAAACCATCTCTTGATGTTTTTTTATTGTTAAATATGCTGTTCCTGGCTGATTGTATATCTCCCACCATAAAGAAAAAGTAGCTTTTTGAACTGGTTCGTGTTAATACAATGTAGGGTTTCTTGCCCCTGTGGTGCTCTAGTACCATTTATTTCGTGCTGGTTACATCCACCCTGCTGCCCATGAATACTGGCTCCCATTGATGCTTTCCAATATGGTTATTGTGTTTTGTGGATAATGACCTCAAATGCAAGTTTTACCCATAGTACACAGGAAAATGTGAATTATAATCTGTTTTCTGGTAATATTAAATTTACTTTTCAGAATTGTATAGACTAAAGATAAAACAACATATTTTCTGACCATGTTTTCTCTTGAACTATTTTAGGCCATGATCAATGCCTTCCTAGATTGTGATCTTTTTCTTTTTTTTTTTTTTTATTATACTCTAAGTTTTAGGGTACATGTGCACATTGTGCAGGTTAGTTACATATGTATACATGTGCCATGCTGGTGCGCTGCACCCACTAATGTGTCATCTAGCATTAGGTATATCTCCCAATGCTATCCCTCCCCCCTCCCCCAACCCCACCACAGTCCCCAGAGTGTGATATTCCCCTTCCTGTGTCCATGTGATCTCATTGTTCAATTCCCACCTATGAGTGAGAATATGCGGTGTTTGGTTTTTTGTTCTTGCGATAGTTTACTGAGAATGATGGTTTCCAATTTCATCCATGTCCCTACAAAGGATATGAACTCATCATTTTTTATGGCTGCATAGTATTCCATGGTGTATATGTGCCACATTTTCTTAATCCAGTCTATCATTGTTGGACATTTGGGTTGGTTCCAAGTCTTTGCTATTGTGAATAGTGCCGCAATAAACATACGTGTGCATGTGTCTTTATAGCAGCATGATTTATACTCATTTGGGTATATACCCAGTAATGGGATGGCTGGGTCAGATGGTATTTCTAGTTCTAGATCCCTGAGGAATCGCCACACTGACTTCCACAATGGTTAAACTAGTTTACAGTCCCACCAACAGTGTAAAAGTGTTCCTATTTCTCCGCATCCTCTCCAGCACCTGTTGTTTCCTGACTTTTTAATGATTGCCATTCTAACTGGTGTGAGATGATATCTCATAGTGGTTTTGATTTGCATTTCTCTGATGGCCAGTGATGATGAGCATTTCTTCATGTGTTTTTTGGCTGCATGAATGTCTTCTTTTGAGAAGTGTCTGTTCATGTCCTTCGCCCACTTTTTGATGGGGTTGTTTGTTTTTCTCTTGTAAATTTGTTTGAGTTCATTGTAGATTCTGGATATTAGCCCTTTGTCAGATGAGTAGGTTGCGAAAATTTTCTCCCATGTTGTAGGTTGCCTGTTCACTCTGATGGTAGTTTCTTTTGCTGTGCAGAAGCTCTTTAGTTTAATTAGATCCCATTTGTCAATTTTGTCTTTTGTTGCCATTGCTTTTGGTGTTTTGGACATGAAGTCCTTGCCCACGCCTATGTCCTGAATGGTAATGCCTAGGTTTTCTTCTAGGGTTTTTATGGTTTTAGGTTTAACGTTTAAATCTTTAATCCATCTTGAATTGATTTTTGTATAAGGTGTAAGGAAGGGATCCAGTTTCAGCTTTCTACATATGGCTAGCCAGTTTTCCCAGCACCATTTATTAAACTCTCTCTCAGACCACAGTGCAATCAAACTAGAACTCAGGATTAAGAATCTCACTCAAAGCCGCTCAACTACATGGAAACTGAACAACCTGCTCCTGAATGACTACTGGGTACATAACGAAATGAAGGCAGAAATAAAGATGTTCTTTGAAACCAGCGAGAACAAAGACACCACATACCAGAATCTCTGGGACGCATTCAAAGCAGTGTGTAGAGGGAAATTTATAGCACTAAATGCCCACAAGAGAAAGCAGGAAAGATCCAAAATTGACACCCTAACATCACAATTAAAAGAACTAGAAAAGCAAGAGCAAACACATTCAAAAGCTAGCAGAAGGCAAGAAATAACTAAAATCAGAGCAGAACTGAAGGAAATAGAGACACAAAAAACCCTTCAAAAAATCAATGAATCCAGGAGCTGGTTTTTTGAAAGGATCAACAAAATTGATAGACCGCTAGCAAGACTAATAAAGAAAAAAAGAGAGAAGAATCAAATAGACACAATAAAAGATGATAAAGGGGATATCACCACTGATCCCACAGAAATACAAACTACCATCAGAGAATACTACAAACACCTCTACGCAAATAAACTAGAAAATCTAGAAGAAATGGATACATTCCTCGACACATACACTCTCCCAAGACTAAACCAGGAAGAAGTTGAATCTCTGAATAGACCAATAACAGGCTCTGAAATTGTGGCAATAATCAATAGTTTACCCACCAAAAAGAGTCCAGGACCAGATGGATTCACAGCCCAATTCTACCAGAGGTACAAGGAGGAACTGGTACCATTCCTTCTGAAACTATTCCAATCAATAGAAAAAGAGGGAATCCTCCCTAACTCATTTTATGAGGCCAGCATCATTCTGATACCAAAGCCAGGCAGAGACACAACCAAAAAAGAGAATTTTAGACCAATATCCTTGATGAACATTGATGCAAAAATCCTCAATAAAATACTGGCAAACCGAATCCAGCAGCACATCAAAAAGCTTATCCACCATGATCAAGTGGGCTTCATCCCTGGGATGCAAGGCTGGTTCAATATACGCAAATCAATAAATGTAATCCAGCATATAAACAGAGCCAAAGACAAAAACCACATGATTATCTCAATAGATGCAGAAAAAGCCTTTGACAAAATTCAACAACCCTTCATGCTAAAAACTCTCAATAAATTAGGTATTGATGGGACGTATTTCAAAATAATAAGAGCTATCTATGACAAACCCACAGCCAATATCATACTGAATGGGCAAAAACTGGAAGCATTCCCTTTGAAAACTGGCACAAGACAGGGATGCCCTCTCTCACCACTCCTATTCAACATAGTGTTGGAAGTTCTGGCCACAGCAATCAGGCAGGAGAAGGAAATAAAGGGTATTCAATTAGGAAAAGAGGAAGTCAAATTGTCCCTGTTTGCAGACGACATGATTGTTTATCTAGAAAACCCCATCGTCTCAGCCCAAAATCTCCTTAAGCTGATAAGCAACTTCAGCAAAGTCTCAGGATACAAAATCAATGTACAAAAATCACAAGCATTCTTATACACCAACAACAGACAAACAGAGAGCCAAATCATGGGTGAACTCCCATTCACAATTGCTTCAAAGAGAATAAAATACCTAGGAATCCAACTTACAAGGGATGTGAAGGACCTCTTCAAGGAGAACTACAAACCACTGCTCAAGGAAATAAAAGAGGACACAAACAAATGGAAGAACATTCCATGCTCATGGGTAGGAAGAATCAATATCGTGAAAATGGCCATACTACCCAAGGTAATTTACAGATTCAATGCCATCCCCATCAAGCTACCAATGACTTTCTTCACAGAATTGGAAAAAAATACTTTAAAGTTCATATGGAACCAAAAAAGAGCCCGCATTGCCAAGTCAATCCTAAGCCAAAAGAACAAAGCTGGAGGCATCACACTACCTGACTTCAAACTATACTACAAGGCTACAGTAACCAAAACAGCATGGTACTGGTACCAAAACAGAGATATAGATCAATGGAACAGAACAGAGCCCTCAGAAATAATGCCGCATATCTACAACTATCTGATCTTTGACAAACTTGAGAAAAACAAGCAATGGGGAAAGATTGTGATCTTTTTCAATGCTGAGTGTACCCCTGCCTTCTACATACCACCAACAGCAGGAAGGAGAGGTGAGACCCATATAAGCAGAAGAAAGAATGGTCCCATTCACTCAAGTATATCTATCCCTCATTCAATACGGCATAAAAATGATCCAAGAGAACATGACATCACCACATCTATCTGGGAACAGAGGCAAGAGAAGACATTTATCAGAAAAGCCCAATGGCATTGTGGAGCTGTGTTCTTAAAAACTCCCGGAGGAAAAAGGCATGGCCATCCAGGATACCTGACATGTGATTCAGAGTCTGCAGAGAGGGTGGAGTAAACATCTTTGGTGCCAGAGATGGAGGGAAAACTGTAAAAGGTAACTGGTGTCCCATCCCCTGCCTTGGATGCTACAGACCAGAGGTGACATTGTGGTCAGAAGATAGAAGGGAAAGAGTCAATACATAGGCCCAAACACCCAGTTCAGGCTCAAAGATGACATTGTGGTCAGAAGATAGAAGGAAAAGAGTCAATATATAGGCCCAAACACCCAGTTCAGGCCCAAAGGTTGGCAGTGGAGCACTTGTAGTCCATAACCCTGAACTCATTCCGTGTCCAATGTGAATGAGAGTAACCCAACATCAGAGTGTCAGCAGCATTCTGGTGGCCCAATCTTACATTATTCTGTGAAAGAAATATGACACTGGCCAGCAGCAATGATCTGATGATCAGGCTGTCTTCCTGAAATAATAGTCTAGCCACGGTAACCTAGGATGATGTTGTAGGTTCAAATCCTGAAGCTCTTTGGGGTATCTGGTTGAATTCACATGTAAAGAAGAGGGTCTGAAAACAAGCTGAAAAGAGAATTAGGTCTCAGTGTAGGCATGGGATGCACTGCCCAGATAGACCTGCTGGCCCAGTCATATTATGGCAAGAGGAATTGGAAAATTTATGGAAATGCTTCTGGTAACTAGAACTCATGTAACACTAGAACTCAGCAAGCCCTATCTCAATTGTACTGCTGGTCCTGGCCAACCCAATGCATTGGATAAGACTTTAGAAAATTTCAATGAAGGTACTGCAAAGTGCAGGATTCCTGAATTGTGGGGCCTGGTGCAGTGCCATTTACTCTGGTTTAAGAGCAGTGCTGCCTAAATGGCCCATGCCTGAGTGATGGACAGCTTTGTTTTTTTATAAAATTATTTATTTCTTAAAATTTTTAAATTTCTTAACACAGACCATCTTGAAGATAGTTTTTTGAACAATGTATGGCATATACAAAAAAATTATGTCATGCTAGAAAACAGAACTAAATGACCAAAAAAAAACCAGATGATAGAATGAACCCCATGTATAATCCAAATGTTTAAATGATCGGATATGGACTCTTTAAATAACTGTGATTAACATGCTTAAGAAACTAGATGACAGTTGTAATTCATTAAAAAGTGGACATTCTAGAAATGAATAAAATAACTGAAATTAAGAATTCAATAAGAGTGTTTAACCTCAAATGAGACACACAGAACAGAGAAGCATTGGCCTAAAATATGGATCTGGAATGAATCATGGAGAGAAAAAAGGGCGATATATGCAAGAAGAACCACAGCTTTAAAAAGCTCTAGAAATTTCCAGCAGGATAAATACAAAGAAAAAAAGACAGGTGCATCATAGAAAAACTGCTAAAAGCAAAGAAAAAGAGAAAGTCATACTATCACTAACAGAAAAACATATGTGAACTTCAAAGAGGCAACAGGAAGCAGACTTTCAAGAAAAGTATGGAATGAGATCTTTAAAGTTCTGAAAGACAATAGCTTCCCATTTATAACCCAACAGCTGAGAAAGTGTGCTTCGAAATGAAGGTGGAATAAACATTTTTTAGACAAACACTGAAAGATTTTTTTCACCAACAGACCTATACCTAAAGAAATTCTAAGTGAGTTCTTCAGAAAGAAGAAAAGTGATCTAAGAGACAGGCATTGAGATTTATGAATAAAAGACTATTATAAAGGATTAACATGTGGTAAATATAAATATATACAGAATAAAATAAATGACAGCTACTGATGCTCTTTGACTTACAATGGAGTTACATCCTGATAAACCCACCATAAAACAAAAAACATCATTACTTTTAATGGAAAAAACTGCAATTACTTTTGCACCATCCTAGTATTTGTACAGTTGATTTAAACCCAAACATACCAGTAATTACACTAAATATGATTGGGCTAAATATTCCAATTAAACAAGCATCCTCTAGGAAAGGGGTTGGCAAACTATGTAATTGGTCAGATAGTGTTTTAAGCTTTGTAGGCTACATATATCTCTGCTGCCTATTCTTTCTTCTTTGTCTTTTATAACCTTTTAAACACACAAAAACAATTCTTAGCTTGTATACCATACAAATCAGATAAGCTAGATTTTGCTTGAGGGCAACTGTTTGCCATTCTACACTCTAAGCAATAATGACAGTGATAATTACAATGATAATATTTATTTAGGACCCACTATAGACTGGGCACACTTATAAATACATTATATCTGTAAATTCATTTAAGCCTTATATCAATAATGTGGAATAGGTACTGATATCTCCATTTTACTGAAGAAGAACGTGAGGCACAGAGAAGTTAAGTAGGTAACTTGATCAAGTCTTACAGTAAGTGGCAGAACCAGGCAATCTGGCTCTAGAGCTAAGCTTCTTACAGAGTTGATTAGTAACATTTTTGGCTAATATGCAGTCCACTTGAAAACAGTAGCAATATGTATGGTTAGCGAATCTGGCATCTGAAGGCTAGAGATCAGGACCAGTTGGAAACTTCAAATATCCTCAACAAGGTCCAGCTTCCAGCAAGAATCATTGTCTCTATTCGTTTATTTTGCAATAATCAGGGCTATTGATTTATGCCATATCTAACTGTAGCTTGAAATTAGTTTTTCTTTATTAAGTCTAAATTTTTCCAGTCGTCATGAAAGGCTGTTTCTAAGAAATCTGTTGTCTCAGTATGATGCTGATCTGAGTTCATTTTAAAGACAATCCAGTAACTGCCAATACCGCTCCTGCAATCTTACAGGTAGGCATTGATCAATAGCAACACGTCAAGCCTATAAGTGTCTTGTGGCAATTAGTCCAGATCAACCTTAAAACAATTTGCAAGTTTGTAAAGGTGCAGTCTACATTTCTACTAGTAACATTTTTGTGTGTTTTTAAAAAATCCAAGTATGTAATTAAGGTGTTGTTTCTTGTTCAAAGTATAGGGTTAATGTCCTTATTAATGTGTATTATTTAGATATTTATCAAAGATCACTGTATAAATGATTGTTTTTAAAAGCTTTTTAATATTGTATATATTTCAAATATTTATAGAGGAAAAGTAGATAGAGCTGGGAGGCATAGCTTACAAATAACTGTAGGTGTAAATATTAGTGTTACCCTTTCTTTTCCAAAAAAAGCAGATGAAAAAAATTTTAATTACTCAATAATGATGGCATAATATGGCAAATTTTTATTAGACGTTCAAGTGTTGAAATTAAGCATTTTATATACCATCATTTGGACACTCAAATATATTTTCTTAGGTTTATAATTTAGGCATTAAAAATACGTTCTAGTAAAAGTTTCACCATACAAAGCCTAGGATAGGGGCATCATAGGGCTAATTCTACCAATCAAATTAAAATACATTAAACAATACTTTCATGCTCTTATTTATTTCTGCCTAAATGTTATTTTAGTTTTTAAATGGGCACTAGTGCTAAATTTTAAAACATTATTTTGAATAGAAATAATTCTGGTAAAAGTACTAAAGCATCAGAATAATAATATAAAGAAATACTTTCCCCCTTAAATCTCAGTTATTTTGTACACCAGTAAAGTCTCTAGGAAGATCCCTTAGATGTTGTGAACCAATTAAGTAAACAAAGTTTTACCACAGTGAACACAGAAAAAAAGGGTTTGATTCTACTTGGAGCTAGATGTTTTAGTGCAAGTTTAAAATTTCCTTCTCTTTACAGGTAAAAATGTTATAAAATCTCTGGTGGTAAATTTATTTTAATTTTGTTTTCATTCTTCATTTGTCTGGCAACCGTAGTCTCTTGCCAAATAACGGTCCCTATCATTTGGCCCAGTTTTTCTGGCAACCCAAAAAGAAAGAGGAAATCACTGGAGATGTTCTTTCTGAGATCAAACACTGGGTTGCAGCAATTGGCAGATTTTGATTATTCTCCACTGTATTACTCCATCTCGCATTGCTGTAAATGAAGCTGAGTAATTTATAAAGAAAAGAGGTTTATTTGGCTTATGATTCTTCAGGCTGTACAAGAAGCATGATGCTAGCTAACACCAGTTTTTGGTGAGGCCTCAGGAAGCTTTCATTCTGGCAGAAGGCAAAGGGAAGCTGGCATCACATGACAAGAGAGAGCAAGAGAGAGAGGAGGAGGTGCCAGCCTCTTTTAAACAACCGGAGAGAGCAACCTCATCACCAAGGAGATGGCACTGAGCCATTCATGGCTGATCCACCCCCATGACCCAAACACCTCCCACTAGGCCCTGCCTCCAACGTTGAGGATCACATTTTAACATGAGATTTGGAAGGGACAAATATCCAAACTATATTATCCACTCACAAGTGTTTACCAAAAGGTTTCAGAGGCAGCACCTTTTGTTGACTGACGATTTCCCTATATAGACATTTCAGTACGAAGACATCCTGAATACCTCCTTAAAAGAATTACCTAGATTCTCCACCTTCTCTCTTTCTTCTTCCTGAGTGCTTCAATCTCTCTTTCTTCTGGGGCCCTCCTGCTGCAATGTCCTGCAAACCAGCTTCCTGGAAAGTCTCTGACATGTTCGTCTGCATTAAGGTGTAATGGACTTACTGATGTATCAAGCAGGGACAGGGTCACCTTTTGTGCTAGTTAATTGTATGTATCAATTTGACTGGATTAAGGGATGTCTAATAGTTGGTAACACACTTTTTCTGGGTGTGTCTGTGCAAGATAACGGAGCTCCTGGTTCTCTGTCATTGGCACTTGGGCTGAGTTACGACATTAGCTTTCCTGGTTCTCCAGCTTGCAGACCACAGATCGTGGGACTTCTCAGCCTCTCTAATCACGAGTCAATTCATATAATATATGTATATATTTGTATATAAACATAAATGTTTATAAATAAGTATAGATTTATATATAAGTATATATTTAAATATAAATATTTAGAAATATAAAATTTATATATAAATATATACTTGTAATATGTATTTATGAATGTATATAATATATACATATAGATATATATATTCTGTTTCTCTGGAGAATCTTGAATAATACATATTCCCTGGGGAAATCTGCATTTTAATAGAGTTCCTCAAAGTGAATCTCTTGTTGTAGAGTGTCCAGCATTAGCAAGGAAGACAGTGGTGGAGAATAAGTGATCCTGAAATCATATAATACAAATTGCGGTTTATTCTACTACTTGTTAGGGTGCACATGACAAATAAAGACTAAGCTGCTTAGATTTACTTGGTGAAACAAAGGGAGAGTTGACTTACTGTCAAGAGAACTTTTTTTTTTTATTTATTTTTTTTTTTTTTTTATTGTGACGGAGTCTCGCTCTTTCGCCCAGGCCGGACATGGCGAGATCTCAGCTCACTGCAAGCTCCGCCTCCCGGGTTCACGCCATTCTCCTGCCTCAGCCTCCCGAGTAGCTGGGACTACAGGTGATCGCCATCGTGCCCGGCTAATTTTTTGTATTTTTAGTAGAGACGGGGTTCCACCACGTTAGCCAGGATGGTCTCGATCTCCTGACCTCGTGATTGGCCTGCCTCGGCCTCCCAAAGTGCGGGGATTACAGGCGTGAGCGGCCGGCCCAGAACTTAACTGTTACTTAGGTTCAGGGGTACATGTGCAGGTTTTGTTATGTAGGTAAACTGATGTCATGGGAGTTTGTTGTACAGATTACTTCATCACCCAGGTACTAATCTAAGCACCCAATAGTTATTTTTTCTGATCCTCTCCCTTCTCCCACCCTGTACCTTCTTCGTGTCCATGAATTCTCATCATTTAGCTCCCACTTATAAATGAGAGCATGCAGTATTTGGTTTTCTGTTCTTGCATTAGTGTGCTAAGGATAATGGCCTCCAGCTCCATCCACTTTCCTGCAAAGGACATAATCTGATTCTTTTTTATGGCTGCATAGTATTCCATGGTGTATATGTATCACGTTTTCGTTATCCAGTCCACCATGGGTGGGCATTTAGGTTGATTCCATGTCTTTGCTATTGTAAATAGTGCTACAATGAACATACATGTGCAAGTGTCTTTATGGTAAAATAATTTATATTCCTTTGGGTATATACCTAGTGATGGGATTGCTGGCTTGAAAGGTAGTTCTGTTTTTAGCTCTTTGTCAACTGAACTTTAACCATATGAACAGCAATATTTAAAACTAAAGACAATTATCTTCAATACTTCAACAGGCATATAAGTATCTACATGCATATAAGATTGGATGGGAGATATGCATTTGCAAAAAGACATATATATTTAATTCAAGCTGATTTTTTAGAATCTTAGCCAAAGCCACAACAGCTAACAAGATAAAATTATGCAAAATTTTATGCATGATTTGGCCTTATTACTTCATTGAATTACTCTTTGCCATTTTTATGGTCCAAACAACAGAGCTGAAGAAAAATATCACTTTTAAATGGTGAAAAATATGAGAAATATAGTTGGAATTCTTTCTAAGGAAAGCTCTTTTTGTACTTGTGCAATTTGAAATGGCAGCAATTAGTTTCTTAGCAGGACCTAATCACTTGCACAAAGAGAAAACATATCATTTCAGATATGGAATCAGCATTTGATTTGATCAGTAAATTCCTAATTTGAAGAAAGAAAAATAGCTTCAGGGCTTGGGTGGGCCAGAGTAGTGAACCATGCATGTAAAATGCTGAGCCTTTGATTAGGAATATAAATAATTATTAGCTTATACCACATGGTGTTTCTCCTTTTTCTCTTTCATTCTCCATATCTGCAGGGTGTTTTATCAAATTTAACTGCGGAAAGGAGGGCAAGCTAGCCAAGGGGCTCTTGTCCTAGCTTGCCTCTTGTGAACACATAATTCTCAATGCTTTGGTTAAATTGCAGATTCCTGCTGTCAGAGGAGTAAGAAAAATTATAGGTGTCATTGTGGACAGTATACCTAACATTTTGAAGATTTGAAGACACCTTGTTTCCAGTTCCTTTTTTCTAAAATGACAGCTAATTGCATATTCAAAAACTAAATATGAACATATTCGGTTTTAGGTAATAGTGCTTTTATGCCAAAATTACCATTGGGATTATGGAGCCTTTTTTTCCCCCAGACTTTTTATTTATGGAATTAATTTTAATCAAGTAATTCTTATTCATCTCCATTGACATAAGGTAATACTTAGTAAAAGAAAAATAAGAGTGTATTTTTCTAAACATTTTTCTTAGGATCAAAACACTGATATTTGATGGAGTGACTTTTGGCCTTCAGAAACGTATTATATACCTAAATTTCATGAAATTCTGCCTAAATACATACAGAAGAAAGTGGGACACTTGGGTAAATATTCAGAAAAATTCATCACATGCTTTCAATCTCTTTCTATTCATGGAAGAGTTAATCTAAATACCTCAGGTCCACAATTTACTGTATGTATCAGTTCAAGAGAGCAGATCAGAGAATCTTCGTGGGGAATGGCTTTCTTTCTGTTAAGGATTCAGATGTCAGAACAGACCTCGCAGTTCACCTCCTAAAGGAACTGTGTTTACTCATATCTTCATGGAGACAAAAGATGGGCAAAGTGAATGTAGTCCTATGGAGGAGCAGTTTGTTTTCAGGTAACCTAAACAAGAAATAAGGAATGATGAGCCGTGTTTATTTGTAGTCTACCTCCAAGGCCTCATCTTTACAGTATGGTGATTTTTGAACCGGTTCTGGTCGGGATCTCCTTGATGCCTTGTCCTAGTTGTGTATCTGGCTCACCATTTATTCTTTGCTACAGTCCAACCCACACTTGTCAGGCTACTTTCAAATATTAATATTTATTCAGAATTGCAGATAACTTGAGTCCTTTTGTCAGCAACTGCTCTAAGTTCTTTCCTTAGATTATACGCTTTCTGTTTCATAACAGAGCTTAATTATTATTTTGTCTGTTTCAGATCTTATGGCTGACTTCCATAGCTCAAATGTATAGAATGCAAGAGGAAGATTCTCCTGAGTGACACTCTTTCTACCTGACATTTTCCTCCTCTGATATACTTCCTTAACCTTTGAGACGTATTTTATAGTCTCCTATGGGTATCAATAGGAAGAAAAATAAACTTTTAAACCTAGAGCTGTGTGGAAGACTTTTCCCATTATTCAAAATTTTAGTCTATTTTCATTCACTCTAACAGTCAGCTGCTGAGGAGTATTTTCCATACTGAAGAAAATAGGTACAAATACCTATATATTTGTAGGTATAATAATTAGTAACATGATCCATGTCTTTTACCAAGAAAAAATTAATATTGTTTGGAATCTTTTATTTCAGAGGTAGACCACATAATTAGAAAGTTCAGGCCAGGTGCAGTGGCTCACGCCTGTAATCCCAGCACTTTGGGAAGCCGAGGCAGGTGGATCACCTGAGGTCAGGAGTTTGAGACCAGCCTGGCCAACATGGTGAAACCCCGTCTCAACTAAAAATGCAAGTATTTGCTGGGCATGGTGGCACACACCTGTAATCCCAGCTACTTGGGAGGCTGAGGCAGGACAATCACCTGAACCCAGGAGGCAGAGCCAAGATCGCACCATTGCATTCCAGCCTGGGCGACAAGAGTGAAACTCCATCTCAAAAAAAAAAAAAAAAAAAAAAGGAAAAAGAAAAGAAAAAGAAAGTTCAACTTTAGATGCATAATATAGAGGTTTTTGTATAATATAGAGGTTTTTGAAGTGTAGGTATGTTTAGAAATATTGAGAACAAATTTATGTTTTAAAACATTTTTATTTCACTCACACTGGAGGAAAATTGAATAATGGAAGTTTAAAGTGTTATATATTCTTCATACCAGTCATTCAACAATACATGCCTCGTAAGATGAAAAACTTTAAGTCATTCACCTGACAAGAATTTATCAAATATCTACTCTGTTCCAGATATCATTTTAGGTGCTATGGAATCAACAGTGAAAAAGGTAAACTCTAGAACTTACATTCTAGTAAGGTAGTCAGATAGTTAACAAGCAGCCAAATAGATGCATAAAATCAGTTTTTAAAAAGCAATGAAGAAAAGTAAAAGAAGGTTAAGAGATAAACAATTTCAGGATGTACTATTTAAGATAAGTGATTATGGAAGGACTATCAGAGAAGGTTACATGTGAACCCTGCAGAAAGTGAGGAAGCCAGCCCTACAGATTTGTGGAGGAAGGGCATTTCTGGAGGGTGGAAGAGTCACACGAAGGCCTGGGGCAGGAGAGAGTGTGATTCTTGCAGAAGATCCAGGAGTTAGTCTGGCCAGAATACAGTGAAGGGTCTGGGAGGTGGAAGAGATATTGAGCATGACCTCAGAGAGGTTGACAAGTGATAGAACGTGTAGAACCTTGAAATCCCTGGTAATGAATAGATTTGTTCCCATTGTGACAGGGAGCCACTGGAGGACTGAGAACAGGGAAGTGAATGTGATTAAGTTCTGGTTCTAAAAGATCAGTCTGGTTGGGTTGAGAAAGGCCTACAGAAGATTGAGCTGGAAGTAGGAGGACTAGTTGAAAGTCTATAGCTGCTAATCAAGACAAGAGATGATGGCAGCTCAGATTAGGATATTATCAGTGAAGGGGCTGAGAAATGGTCACTTTCAAGACATAATTAGAAACTAGAAGCTATAGGATTTTCTAATAGAAGAGAGGTCTCAAAGATGACTCTAAGATTTTGACCTAAGCAATAGGGTGTATAAATATCCCATTTATTGAGAGGGAGTACATTGAGAGAAAAAGAAATTTAAAGGAGAAAATAAAAAGTTAAATTCTGGACAAGTTAAGTGAGAAAAATAATTAGAAATTGATCTGCATATATTGCAGTATGTTTCATTTTTTATTACAAAGATTTTTATTATGAAATAGAACATTCACACAGTAAGGAACATGAAACATAAATAAAAAAAATCTGTATAAGCAAACACCCAGGTCACTAGCATTTTAAAAAGCTTCCTATGTGATTCAATATGTAGCCAGAGTTGAGAATGGCTATTTTGTAATGGTTACAAATTCAAGTTATTAAAGTCTCTGAGAAAACTTTGGAACAATCTTTCTTGAGACCAGTGGTTTGGATTATATGAATGCATACAGTCCTTTTGAATCTGTAATCAGGTGGGATTAATTAGAATATTCTCTTATGGGATGTAGTAGTTAATTGATTTTTTTCTGGCCAAAATTTCTTGTCATTCTTACTGTTAAGGGTGCTTTTAGAAGGTATCCAACTTCTGGCTATTGTAATGAAGGCAGAGTAATTCCACATGCCTCTTTTTTCTTGTGCTGAAGACTGCTGTCTACATTACATTGTTGCCAGTTATGATTTTGCAGCCTGGCAGGGAGGGCTAGCCATGTTTGAATCTCTTCTGGACTAACTACGCAACAATCTCTCTTAGA
The DNA here is from genome assembly GCF_000001405.40 of Homo sapiens. Classification (NCBI taxonomy): domain Eukaryota; kingdom Metazoa; phylum Chordata; class Mammalia; order Primates; family Hominidae; genus Homo; species Homo sapiens. The sequence goes on along the minus strand of NC_000004.12, from coordinate 146,608,038 downwards.
CCCAGTACACTGGGGAATTTTTATTAGCTCATACAATCTCTTCTAGATCTATGTTTCTATAATTGATAGAACAGGCTGAGTGCCAGACATTGTACAAAAATTTTAACAGAGTTATTAATATCTGTAATTTTTGTTAGAATTTGACTTAATCATCTAAAAGTAGTATAAAAGGCATTCAAAATTAATTTTTGAATAATTGGGATTTACAATTGGTTGGGTTTTAGATAACTGACATTCACAAACAAATAAAAAGTTCTTCACTCACTCAGGTCAACTATTCCTTCTTCTCTTCCCCTGCTCTATTCTTCTTCCTTTTTAATATTTAATAACTTTTAATAATGTGGACATATAGTTCACGTGTATAGAACAAAAAGTCTAGAATATCTAACACCATTTGATCATTACTTCCATATAAAGGGTTCTGGCAATTGAAAAAAAAGGAGAATACATTCTAAAGTAACAAATGTCTTTAGACTCTAAGATGTTTTATTACATTTTCTTCCAAAGGGGAAAATAAACCATCAACTTTTCAAAATAATTTCTTTACATGTTTTCTTTAAAATTACAAAACCCACACATTAAACATTCCAAACACCAGAACTATCCTAAAAATGTATCTTTCCACCAAAATCTTACCATGAATATTTTAGCATAATGGCAAAAAAAGTGGCCTGTATGAAAATTGTTTTCAAGGGCTACTGATCATCATTTCTGGCAATACCTGGTAAAAAGAGAAGACCTATCAATCAAGAGGTACTGCAACACACACAATGCCAGGAGCGTCTTCAAAAGGTAGTGGAAAAGTCAATAAATCACCTGAGATAATTCCCAGATGATTACAATGGGAAAAGTCTCCTGGCATTTCTAAGTCAATGGGGTGCACTGACTGCAGACCCAGAATAGTGTTTATTTCTTTTTTAAATTATACTTTAATTTAATTTAATTATACTTTAATACTATACTTTTTAAATTATACTTTAAGTTCTAGGGTACATGTACACAACATGCAGGTTTGATACATAGGTATACATGTGCCATGTTGGTTTGCTGCACCCATCAACTCGTCATTTACACTAGGAATTTCTCCCAATGCTATCCCTCCCGCAGTCCCCCACCCCCCAACAGGCCCTGGTGTGTGATGTTCCCTGCCCTGTGTCCATGTGTTCTCATTGTTCAATTCCCACCTATGAGTGAGAACATGCGGTGTTTGGTTTTCTGTCCTTGAGATAGTTTGCTGAGAATGATGATTTCCAGCTCCATCCATGTCCCTGCAAAGGATATGAACTCATCCTTTTTTGTGGCTGCATAGTATTCTATGGTGTGTATGTGCCACATTTTCTTAATCCTGTCTATCATTGATGGACATTTGGCTTGGTTCCAAGTCTTTGCTATTGTGAATAGTGCCTCAATAAACATACATGCACATGTGTCTTTACAGTAGCATGATTTATAGTCCTTTGGGTATATACCTAGTAATGGGATCGCTGGGTCAAATGGTATTTCTAGACCCTGAATAGTCTTTCTAAGTCCTAAAGTGTATAGCTGCTGTAGTCATCCAATGTTGGCATTGCACTTGCCTCTCCTGATAACTTTTAACTTGATGAGCAGCCAATGATGAAGGAATCTTGTGTTGGAGAGGGTAAACTAATTTTAGAATTCAGACTTCAGGGTGTGTTTATTAAATAAAGTTAGTTAGTTGTCCTCGAATCTTATTTATGTTTACCAACTTTTCATCATTTCGCCTGTCAGTCATCAGGAGAGAGGTGTTGAAATCTCTCATTTTAATTGTGTATTCATCAGTTTCTCCTATAGTTCCATACATTTTTCTGTATATATGTTGGGGAAAATTTATTATTAGAGGCATGTGACTTAAAAATTGTTACATCTTCCTTTCATTTATTCAGAAGCAAACTTTTATCATTATATTATGATTTTTCTTATTCTTAATAATGATTTTTACAATAAAGTCTATTTTCTGATATTAGGATAGAGACACTGGCTTTCTTTTGGTTTATTTTTTGACTTTTAAAAAATTGGATTTAATTTTTTTCTGTTTCTTTGTTTTCTCATTTGTTTTTATTCTTCTAGAGGTAATCCTTGAAATTTTACAAAGAGTATTTAACAACCTGAAAAAGTTTACAGTTGATGAATATATTAACCTGTCTTCCAAAAAGTAGACACACCTTAGAACAATTTTATTCCAATTGCCCCCTCCCAAAATTATATTGACTTATTTTCAACAGGCATAACTTTGGCTACTGTGTAAAGAATGGATAGGAAGAGCAAAAGTGGATAAGGAAGCCAGTCAGGAGGTACTGGCACTAGTCCAGGCGAGCAATGATGGTGGCTTAGATGGACAGGTTGGATGCAGTAAGACAATTAGGTGCAGTCACTTCCCAGCATAAGATGGAATCAAAATGCTAGCACATACAACACAGCTGCTTTTAATCTATGTTACAATAAATAATAGCTAATATTTAGTGAGGGTCTCTATGGGTCAGGCACTGCAGTAGTACTTAAAATGGATTTCTCCTTTAATCCTCACAAAAATCCTGTAAGATAGATTTTTTGCTTTTCCCAGATAGAAACTTAAGGTTGCAGGCTAAGTGCGTGACCACCCTAGCACCTGAGAAATGTAAGAAGCCAGTTGTGATTCAGTGTAGGAAGAAAATCGTCCCTGTGAGAACCAGCAATCTAAAACCACCTATGTTTTCTTGTTTGTGTTATATTTCAAAGTAATGTTAGATACCCTTATCTTTCCAAACTTGAAACAACAAAGTACATTACAGAATTGCAATAATTGTAAGAATAAAGGCTCTTTTCTTTTTTGCTGTCTTAGAGCAGGGAAACAAATATTCAATTTCTCTGTGAATATATTACACTGTTACACAATTATATACAGTATAAATGTATCACCTCTAAGTTCATAGTCACTGAAGACTACCCTTTGTATTAAAAGGCTGAAAGATTTGAGGGCTGTTTACTGTCTGCCCCACATTAAACAGTTTTTTGTCAATTAATATTTTTTAACAGTGATAAAAAATTTTAGTGAGGTATTGGTTATGAATAGTCCTCAATTTATAAATAGGCAATGTTCTCAAATTTGGTTTGAAATCTAATTTGCATTTCATATAAAACAATAATTATAGTCAGCATTTATAAAGTGTCTAATATATACTGAGTGCTTTACAAATATGATTTTTAGGCTCCCAGTAAATACTATGAAGTAGGTAAACTGTTCTCATTTTACAGATGAGAAACCTGAAGCCGAAAGAGGCTTCAAGTAACTTGATGAAGGTTACACAGTTTCTAAATGACAGAATTGGAATTTTAATCCAGGTCAAATCCTGGTGAGCACAAAAAGTCTACTGAAGTCATAAATGCAGCATCAATAATACTTCTTAAGACATCAGAGTTTAACTATTCCCCCCTAAACTCTTCCAAACCCTGAGTGTTGACTGAGCTTTCAGTCTTTCAGAGTCCAGAACCCAATTCCCTGTAAGTTTGAACAGTCCTCAAACTAGAATTTTTCTAAATCTTTCTCTAATGATTTAGACATAAGTGCTCAATAAACATAATGAAGGGCATTGAATTGAATTCTTCGCGACCAATATGATAAAATCAGAAATAAATTTTTCTAAGATTGCATTGAAAATGTTTGAAGAAGACAGGATAACAAAGGTAGTTAGCGTTGTGGCACGTTAGCATGTACATCTGCTAGGTTTTTACATTAAGCAAAACATTTCCAACTCTTTTAAAAAATCATTAATTTATCTTATCATCTTTCTGCTGGAATGTGGGTCACCACTGCCTATAGAAGAAAGTCTAAACTGCTCATCATGCCCACTTGGCTCTTCAAGGTCGGGTCTGCTACTTACCTCTTCAGTCTTCTTTCTCACTGTGGTGTCTGTTCCAACCTATCAGTGGACTTCCATGCCTTTACTCCTGCCATTCTTTCTGCTGGGAAGAAGACTTTTTTGTCTTCCCAGATAGGTGAGAGCTATTTCCCCCAGACTGGAATCTTTGTATCCCCTCTGTACCCTCCCTCCACCATCTTCAACAGCATGTTTTACTGAACTTGTTTATAAGGCTTTTTCTCTGCACTAGGTGAAGAGCTTCTTAAGAACAAGGATCACATCTTGTTCAGCCTTGTGTTCTCAATGCCCAGCATATACTAGGTTTTCAACAAATGTTTATTATTGAATTGTATGTCAGCAGCATGTTGGGAAAAAGAGAAAATTATGTCAGCACTGGGAATTGAAAGAACCTGTTGTTTATTTATTGTGATTGCTGTTTCAGAAGCAGGCTAGATGTGCAAAGGTTTAGTAATAAAAACTGGAGCAGTTTGAATACTTTCTTAACATGTTGTAAAATATTCTGTGGCACCAAATGGCTGCATCACACTTTATGCATTCATTCACCAAAAGGGACTGATGGAGCACTTGTCCCAGTGTTAATATCTTTTTGAATGAAAGAGGCAAGTTTCCTGCTCACATGGGCCTCACTGTCATGCAAAAGAAGCAGGCATGAGATAAATGATCACACAGATTATTATGCCTACAATTAGGCTGCATGTTAAGAAATGGTGAGTGCTCTGAGAAGTGGGAACAGGAAGACTTAAACTAGTCGGGGGACAAGGCAACGTTTCTCTGAGGGATGTTTAAGAGGAAAGTCCAGTAGAAAGCGGACATATTCTTGGCAGAATGGAGAGCATTTACAAAGAACCCGAAGTGAAACAGATCCAAGTGTGTTCTGTGAACACAGAGGAGGACTGTGTGGCCTCTCAACCTCACTAATAATCAAGAAAAGTTGGTCAAAATTTTTAAAAGATTGACAAACCATATTGAATTAAGTTGGGAAAGCAGGAAAACACATAAAGTTTGTGCTGGTATAGCAATCTCTCTGAGGACAGCTTAGCAATGTCTATCAAAATTTGAAATGTATGTGGATTTGACTCTGAAATGCCATGACCAGGAACTTAACCAGACAGGAACCAGTCGAATGGACAAAGACCTATGTTTTCAAGGCTATTCACTGTAACATTATTTTTCTCAGAAAATATTTGGAAACAATTTAAATATTCATCAATAGAGGATGAGTGAATTAAATCATGGAACTAGATGGATGTTAGAAATAAATATATGGATCTATAGTTATCATTAAGCAAAAAGAGCAAGTTTTGACACTGCATTTATAATATAATCCAATTTTATGAAAAATGTGGTGTGGATTTTCAGTCAAGAGGACACTGAAACTTCAGGCTTATTTGAAACAGCTATGAAAGGAGGTAATTCAACAACTATGAAGAAAAAAGATCCAGAAAGATATACAGGGGTAACAAATATGAACACATCAGTGGGTGAAATTAATCATAAAAACTATGTGTATTAAAATAATTTGGAATTAAATTATAGACAACAATAACGAGAAAGATAGCAGAAGAACTTTCAGTGTGAGGTCAAAGCAGGCTAAGGCCTTTGTCTTATTGTGGAGAAGTACAGAGACAGTGAATGGCTTGAGATAACTGGAAAACCTTACAGCAGAGTATGCATATTAAAATTTTAAATGTAAGCACGACCATGTATAGCTACACAAATAAGTCTATGAAACAATATTGAGTAAATAACCAGAGAAGTCATAGAATAATGGAGATAAAATATCACTAACCTAAAGCTTAAACATTTACAAAATCATATAATATTGTTTAGGGTTCAAACATATAGTAAAAATATAAAGACATGGATAAAATAATACATATTAACTTCAGATGATGTAACTTTTGGAAGGGAAGGAGGGTGGAAGGAGCATGAAATCATGGAAATGTACAAAGGTCAGTACAAACAAAAAAAGATCATTATAGCACACTTTATTTCCTACAAATATATATCTGAAACAGATATGGTAAAATGTTAACATTTGTTAAATTCTGAGGTGAGTACATGGATTTTGCAAATATGAACAGGGACCTTTGATTTGAGCAACTGGGTGGCCCTGAGTTGAATGCTATACTTCATTGCAACAATGCAAACCTTCAAAATTCTGGTTAAGTATTTGCAGTTACAGTGAAATACAAAAGAAATGTGACTTAGGGTCCCACAGGGTACTTACCTTGGTGAGGCCAGTGTGCTTCAAGTCCTGTGCTTGCCTCTGCAGGCTCAGATATATTATTTTCGTCAGCTTACCCCTAGGAAATAATCAGGTATAGGGTCTCCAAGTCATACTAACCAAGTAGAGAGGAGCCAATGTGTTCATTTAAGAAATGTCTATCAAAGGGGCCAAAAAGTTCACAAGGAGGGACTACACTGCCTCTGTAGGATTATCCACATGGAAAACCAGATCATGTCAAAGGGTTATTTAGTGAGTGTAAAGCCAGGGATGGTCAGTGTTATTGACTTGTGATAGACTGATGTTTTCATTTCAGAAAGAATGTATTGAATTTAACAATTGTCTGTTGTCCTCCAAATCCCTGCCAGGAGGACCCAGTGCCTGTGATGGCTGGTTTGTGCAGCCCTTTCCCCAACTGTCCTAGAAACATAATGACAGACACTTAATCTCTGACTCTCTGCTCTGTACTTCCTGCTGCCACACCCTGGATGGTAACACCACCTTTTCCTCAAACCAGCCAGGATGCATTATGTCAGACTTAAACTTTCCAGATGCTATTGAATTCCAGCCATGCCTCTTTGTGACTTATACTCACATCACCTAAATTGGACTTGTGTTCCTGAATCTCCTTAGCCACACTTCATTAGACAGTTGCTTAGGTTACTATGACAGTCGGTTATTTTATTCATGTTGGTACTTATTAGACTTACTCCTTTAAAGTTGAATAACTTCTTAAAAAATTATTTTTTGTTTAGTAAAATATACACATACACATAAAAAATATGTTTACTAAAATATACACATACACATACACATAAAATCAACAATACAAAATGATGTACAATAAAATCTCAGCTTCACTTCCACCTCCATCATCCATTTATTTTTCTCTCTCTCCAACTTTTTTTTCCGGCTATTGCAATGGAAGCTACTGGCACTTGAGATGGTGCTTTGAAAATGTGTTCTGGGTTCGGATCCTTCCCTGTGTGTTCTCCCTGCACCCCGTTATTTCCCTATCCTTAACACATAATTTCTTGCCTACTTGCTTGTATCTGCTATACGTTGCCAGTTCCTTGAAGGATGGGATTGTCTCTATCTTGTTTATTGTTTTACTCCCAGCATTTAGCACAGTGAATGTATCCTAACACATGGTACAATAGACGTTTGTAAAATGAATAAATACTATCATAACTAATATTTACTAAGTGTTTACTATAAAATGGAAAAACATATATTGTCTGAAGATCATTATTTACTGTTGCAGATGCTGTCGATGCCCCACCCATATCCCCTTTGCCCTTACTATTTTGGTACATGCAAGACCAACTTCCAAATGCATTGCTTTGCCTGAGGGCTTTCTCTGACCACCTGAGCCCAAAATACAGGGGAATTAATGACTTCACCACCACCACTATGACCAGTAGCCTTCATGCCTCAGGTTATCCCACCCTAGGAACAAGGAAACTGGGTATTTATACCCAATGAATGATGGGAGTCAGGGTGTAAATACCCACTTTTGTGGGATAACTCTAAGGCATGTGTCCCACATTTACTCCCAGGATTTCAAAGCAATATTAAGCCCTACTTACCTATAACGCTAACTTTTAAAAATGTACTTGCTGATGCCAATGTCCTGAAGTTAACCTTGTTGTTTCCAATTTGCCTCACAGGGTCATGTGCCCATCCTTAACCAATCACCATCCCTAGAGGTGTTTTGACTGGCCAGACTTAGGTCACAGGTCCGCCCTTAAAGTCAAGAGTGGGAAAAAAATCCAACAGAACCACAATGATGAAGGAGAAAGGAAAAAATCAGAGGCCACTTCCAGGATGCATTATGATTAGATGTGGGATAGCCAAAGAAGAACTATATTCCATTACAGACAGAGGACTGAGACTCGCTGAAAAAGGAGAAAGGTTTTTTTTTATTGAGATTTATAGCTGGAGTGAATTATTTATTAGCCCTTCTAAGGAAAATAATATTTCTCTATTTTAAACTTTTCCAGAGAGCCTTAAAATGCCTTTTTTAAGCAATATATTTTTCTTCAGATGATACATGAGGACATCTACCTCCAGTGAGGTCATAGGCCAAGCATTTGGCTTTTATACGTGCATTGAAATATTATTCACCTCTACAAATATACCTGAATGGACAGGATTTTTCAAAATTGTATTTTAAGGAGTTTTCATAAAGAACTATTTTGAGGCTCTGGCCCCAGAAAGTCTGTGGTGTCAGCAACTCAACATACTTAAAGTTTCTCACATTAAAAGGTCTAAAACTTCCAATCTTTCCTCTCCAGAGTGTTCCTTTTCTGCTATCAGTAAATTCCTCAAACCTGAAAGATGAACTTTCTCACTGAACATCAACTATTCCTTTACTCAACTACCTTCTACTGTCCTGGTAGCACTACATTTCTTATCAATTCAATATTTTCAAACATAAGTATAATATCCCTCATCTTCAATTGACAGTTTAATTAGTTAGTGAATCTCTGGCTCTTTGGCATGGGTGAGTAGCTTGATCTTACCTTGTGACTGTATGTATGAAGTCATCTCTTCAATCAAGATGCTTAATGCAGGTCTATCCTCTGCACACATTCTCTGAGTTTCTCCTGAGTGGAACAAACTAGAAATGTACTTATACTACCCCTAAAGAATTCAGAGAGTAGATAATCACTTGTTCTTTCACAGATCCATTTTTTCTAATAATAGCTCACAATAATATGGAAAATGTTGGTGAGGAAATTAGAGAATTGACTGAGGGCACTTTTCTGTCTTTGAAGGGCAGCTTCGAGGTGGGGAAAGGAAATGACAGTAACTTAAAGTCTAAGTCTCCTTGGGTCTATAGGGATCAAGAGGATGATCAGAAAGAGATGGCCAGAAAGAAAGGTCACATCATTCCTCTAAACATGGTGTGACATCAGAAATACACTGTAAAAACTCCAAAATCAAAGGGAATGGATAGGGAACTGGTATGTTTTGCTGTGTCTCCATCCAGATCTCGAACTGTAGCTCCTGTAATTCCCACATGTCATGGGAGGGACCCCAGTGGGAGGTAATTGAATCACGGGAGTGGGGCTTTCCTGTGCTGTTCTCCTGATAGTAAATAAGTCTCCTGAGATCTGATGATTTTATAAAGGGCAGCTCCCCTGCTCATGCTCTGTCTTCCTGCCTCATGTAAGATGTGACTTTGCTCATTTGCCTTCAGCCAGGATTGTGAGCCTTCCACAACCATGTGGAACTGAATCAATTAAGCCCTTTTCCTTTATAAATTACCCAGTCTTGGGTATGTCTTTATTAGCAGTGTGAGAACAGACTAGTGTGGTAGAATGGTAGCTGGTAGGGGGGTGCTGCTGTAAAGATACAAGCAACTTTGGAACTGGGTAACAGGCAGAGTTTGGAACAGTTTAGGGGGCTCAGAAGAAGACAGGAAAATGTGGGAAAGTTTGGAACTTCCTAGAGACTTGGAAGGCTCAGAAGAAGACAGAAAGACATGGGAAAGCTTGGAGCTTCCTAGAGACTTGTCAAATGGCTTTGACCAAAATGCTGACAGTGATATGGACAATAAGGTCCTGGCTGAGGTGGTCTCAGATGGAGATGAGAAACTTGTTCGGAACTGGAGCAAAGGCAATTCTTGTTTTGCCTTAGCAAAGTGACTGGCAGCATTTTGCCTGTGCCCTAGAGATCTGTGGAACTTTGAACTTGAGAGAGATGAATAAGGGTATCTTGTGGAAGAAATTTCTAAGCAGCAAAGCATTCAAGATGTGATTTGGGTGCTGTTAAAAACACTCAGTTTTATGTATTCACAAAGATATGGTTTAAAATTGGAACTTATGTTTAAAAGGGAAGCAGAGCATAAAAGTTCAGAAAATTTGCAGTCTGACAATGTGATAGAAAAGAAAAACCCATTTTCTGAGCAGAAATTCAAGCCACTGCAAAAATTTGTGTAAGTAATGAGGAGCCAAATGTTAATTACAAAGACAATGGGGAAATGTCTCCAGGGCATGTCAGAGGTCTTCACAACAGTCCCTCCCATCACAAGCCTGCAGGCCTAGGAGGAAAAAATGGTTTCCTGGGCTAGGCCCAGGGCCTTGCTGCTTTGTGCTGTCTCTGCATCCCAGCCATGGCTAAAAGGGGCCAATATATAGCTCAGGCCATTGCTTCAGAGGGTGCAAGTTCCAAGCCTTGGCTGCTTCCATGTGGTATTGAGCCTGCAAGTGCACAGAAGCCAAGAATTGAGTTTGGGGAACCTCTGCCTAGATTTCAGAAGATGTATGGAAATGCCTGGATGCCCAGGCAGGAGTTTGCTGCAGTAGTGGGGCCCTTGTTGAGAACCTCTGCTAGAGCAGTGTGGAAGGGAAATGTGGGGTTGAAGTCCCCACACAGAGTCCCCACTGGGGCACTGCCTAGGGGAGCTGTGAGAAGAGGGACACCATCCTCCAGACCCCAGAATGGTAGATCCACCAACAGCTTGCACCATGCACCTGGAAAAGCCAAGACACTCAATGACAGCCTGTGAAAGCAGCCAGGATGGGGGTGGTACCCTGCAAAGCTCCCTCTTGGGCAGAGCTACCCAAGACCATAGGAACCCAAACTTTGCATCAGCATGACCTGAATGTGAGACACGTAGTCAAAGAAGATGATTTTGGAGCTTTAAGATTTGACCGTCCCCCTGGATTTCAGACTTGCATGGGTCCAGTAGCCCCCCTTTGTTTTGGCCAATTTCCCCCATTTGGAATGGGTGTATTTACCTAACGCCTGTACCCCCATTGTATCTAGGAGGTAGCCAACTTGCTTTTGATTTTACAGGCTCGTAGGCAGAAGAGACTTGCCTTGTCTCAGATGAGACTTTGGACTGTGGACTTTTGGTTAATGCTGAAATGAGTTAAAACTTTGAGGGACTGTTGGGAAGGCATGATTGGTTTTGAAATGTGAGGACATGACATTTGGGAGGGGCTGGGGTGGAATGATATGGTTTGGCTGTGTCTCCACCCAAATCTCAAATCATAGCTCCCATAATTCCCACATGTCATGGAAGGGACCTGGTGGGAGATAATTGAATCATGGGGACAGGTCTTTCTCATGCTGCTCTCATTAGTGAATAAGTCTCACAAGATCTGATGGTTTTATAAAGGGGAGTTCCCCTGCACATGGTCTCCTTGCCTGCCACCACGTAACATGTGACTTTGCTCCTCATTCACATTCCACCATGATTGTGAGGCCTCCCCAGCCATGTGGAACTGTGTCGATTAAACCTCTTTCTTTTACAAATTACTCAGTCTCAGATATGTCTTTATTAGCAGCATGAGAACAGACTAATACAGGAACCCTTTAGTTAAATATTTCAGAACATAGATGACTGGGGTGAGGCAAAGGAGACAACTTCTGCAAAAGTCAATATGTGCAAAACAGCAACATTTTGCAAGCACTTTTGCATTTTCTTAGACATGCATATACAGAAATCCTGTCCTTCCCTTCCAGTGTAGGCTGGGACATTTGTGTCCCTTTAGTAATTGGCTGCAGCACAATTGAGGCCTGCTTAACTTTCATTATATCAATATAAAGGAGGGTAGGCTAGAAAGCTTCTTAACAGAAAAAGACTTTGTGAAGATAGCAATTGCCGGAATGAAATTCCAGCTTGACATCTGTTCCAGATTCACCTGCAGCTGTTGCTTACCTATTTAGAGGCAGCTGGTGACACGGAAAAGCACAAGATGTGTAAGACAAAGAGCTAAAAGAACTGAATCTCTCCATGCCATCTCCCAGTGATAAACATGAGGTTTACAGAAATTCATACTTGACCAAAGTCACATTATTAAGTGTCAGAGTCAATACTAGAATGCAGGCCTTCTGGCTCTAAATGGGTGCCTTTTCACGACATTTGTTATGGACACTGTACTTTTGTTAATTAATCTAAGATGTCATTAGTTGGTAGAGGTTTTTCCAGTTTGTAAATAACAGCTTTATTGGGAAAATTTACACACCATAAAATGTGCATTTGTAAAGTGTACAATTCAGTGGGTTTTTGTATACTCAGAATTATGCAACTGTCACAACAGTCTAATTCAAGAATATTTTCATCACTCCATAAAGAAAACCCAGGAGGGGTGCAGTGGCTCACGTCTATAATCCTAGGACTTTGGGAGGCCAAGGCGGGAGGGTCAATTGAGCTCAGGAGTTCAAGACCAGCCTGGGCAAAGTAGTAGAACTCTGTTTCTACAAAAAGTTAAAAAATTAGCCAGGCATTGTGGTGCATGCCTGTGGTCCCATCTACTCAGGAGGCTCAGGTGGGAGAATTGCTTGAACCCAGGAGGTTGAGGCTGCAGTGAGCTGTGTTCACTGCACTCCAGACTGGGTGACAGAGTGAGACCCTGTCTCAATTTAAAAAAAAAAAGAAAAGGAAGAAAGAAAACATATTCATTAGCAGCCTCCATTCGCTCCTTTCTCCAGCTCCTGGAAAAATGTAATATATCTGTACAATGGAAAATTATTTAGCCTTTTTTTAAAATATGCTTTAAGTTCTAGGGTACATGTACACAACGTGCAGGTTTGTTACATATGTATACATGTGCCATGTTGGTGTGCTGCACCCATTAACTCATCCTTTACATTAGGTATATCTCCTAATGCTTTCCCAGCCCCTTTCCCCACCCCACAACAGTCCCTGATGTGTGATGTTCCCCTTCCTGTGTGCATGTGTTCTCATTGTTCAATTCCCACCTATGAGTGAGAACATGCGGTGTTTGGTTTTTTGTCCTTGTGATAGTTTGCTGAGAATGATGGTTTCCAGCTTCAACCATGTCCCTACAAAGGACATGACCTCATCATTTTTTATGGCTGCATAGTATTCCATGGTGTATATGTGCCACATTTTCTTAATCCATTCCATCATTGATGGACATTTGGGTTGGTTCCAAGTCTTTGCTATTGTGAATAGTGCCGCAATAAACATACATGTGCATGTGTCTTTAGAGCAGCATGATTTATAATCCTTTGGGTATATACCCAGTAATGGGATGGCTGGGTCAAATGGTAATTCTAGTTCTAGATCCTTGAGGAATTGCCACACTGTCTTCCACAATGGTTGAACTAGTTTACAGTCCCACCAACAGTGTAAAAGTGTTCCTATTTCTCCACATCCTCTCCAGCACCTGTTGTTTCCTGACTTTTTAATGATCACCATTCTAACTGGTGTGAGATGGTGTCTCATTGTGGTTTTGATTTGTGTTTCTCTGATGGCCAGTGATGATGAGCATTTTTTCATGTGTCTGTTGGCTGCATAAATGTCTTCTTTTGAGAAGTGTCTGTTCATATCATTTGCCCACTTTTTGATGGGGTTGTTTGTTTTTTTCTTGTAAATTTGTTTGAGTTCATTGTAGATTCTGGATATTAGCTCTTTGTCGGATAAGTAGATTGCAAAAATTTTCTCCCATTCTGTAGGTTTCATGTTCACTTCGATGGTAGTTTCTTTTGCTGTGAAGAAGCTCCTTAGTTTAATTAGATCCCATTTGTCAATTTTAGCTTTTGTTGCCATTGCTTTTGGTGTTTTAGTCATGAAGTCCTTGCCCATGCCTATGTCCTGAATGGTATTGCCTAGGTTTTCTTCTAGGGTTTTTATGGTTTTAGGTCTAACATGTAAGTCTTTAATCCATCTTGAATTAATTTTTGTATAAGGTGTAAGGAAGGTATCTAGTTTCAGCTTTCTCCATATGGCTAGCCAGTTTTCCCAGCACCATTTATTAAATAGGGAAACTTTTCCCCATCTCTTGTTTCTGTCAGGTTTCTCGCAGATCAGATGGTTGTAGATGTGTGGTATTATTTCTGAGTGCTCTGTTCTGTTCCATTGGTCTATATCTCTGTTTTGGTACTAGTACCATGCTGTTTTGGTTACTGTAGCCTTGTAGTATAGTTTGAAGTCAGGTAGCGTGATGCCTCCAGCTTTGTTCTTTTGGCTTAGGATTGTCTTGGCAATGAGGGCTCTTTTTTGGTTCCATATGAACTTTAAAGTAGTTTTTTCCAATTCTGTGAAGAAAGTCATTGGTAGCTTGATGGGAATGGCATTGAATCTATAATTTACCTTGGGCGGTATGGCCATTTTCACGATATTGATTCTTCCTATCCATGAACATGGAATGTTCTTCCATTCGTTTGTATCCTCTTTTATTTCGTTGAGCAGTTTGTAGTTCTCCTTATTTAGCCTTAAAAAGGAAGGAAATTCTAATACATACTACAACATGAATAATTTTTTTTTTTTGAGACAGAGTCTCACTCTGTCAACTAGGCTGGAGTGCAGTGGTGTGATCTCGGCTCACTGCAACCTCCACCTCCTGGGTTCAAGCTATTCTCCTGCCTCAGCCTCCCAAGTAGCTGGGACTACAGGCACCCACCACCATGCCCAGCTAACTTTTCTGTTTTTGTAGAGACAGGCTTTCACCATGTTGGCCAGGCTGGTCTCGAACTTCTGACCTCTAGGGATCCACCTGCCTCGGCCTCCTAAAGTGCTGGGATTACAGGTGTGAGCCACCGTGCCTGGCCTAATCTTGAAAACATTTTGGTAAGTAAAAGAAGCCAGTCACATATTGCATGAATTCATTTATATAAAATGCCTACAATAGGTAAATCCATTAGCTTTTTAAAAATTGTGGCAAAATACACTTAACAAAATTTACTATAATATCTTAACCATTTTTAACTGTACAGGTCAGTGTTGTTAAGCACATTCACATTGCTCTTCCACCACCACTAACCATCTCCAACTTTTTCATCATCCTAAACTGAAACTCTATACCCATTAAACACTAAGTCCTCATTTCCCTCCCCCACCATGCTCCTCCGGCAAGCCACCATTCTACTTTCTATCTCTATGAATTTGACACTCTAGGTACTTCATATAAGTGGAATCACAGAGTATTTGTCTTTCTGTGACTGGCTTATTTCACTTAGCCTAATGTCATTTAGGTTCATCCATGTTGTAGCATGTGTCAGAATTTCATTCCTTTTCAAGGCTAAATAATATTTCATTAATGCATGTATCACATTTTATTTATCCAGTCGCTCTCGGCGGACATTGGTGTTGATTCTACATTTTGGCTCTTGCAAATGATACTTCTATGATTATGTGTATACAAATTCACAAATATCTCTGAGACCCTGATTTCAATTCTCCTGAGTATACACCCAGGAGTGGAATTGTTGGGTCATATGGTAATTCTGTTTTTAATTTTTTGGAGGAACTGCCATAGTATTTCTTAAGCAGTCATAGGAGCTTATAGTAAATGAATGCCTCAATCCTATCTATCATTTGCATGCAGACGGGCAAAATTTACCTGAGCACAGTTGAATCCCAGGCTACAGAACAGTAAGGTTAGAAACAAATGATCTACTCCCCAGCAATAGTGCTGCTTTTCAAAAGCCCTCAAGTTAATGAAATGTCTCATTTTTTAAATTCAGTGACTAAAACTGATTTCAATCTCAGTCTATTATCTGTTAACTTTAAGGAAAATTTTAGAGTGTTATTTTACTTTCAATAGGCCTAGAAGTCAAACTTTCCTCCATGCTTACGCAGAGCCTGCCCACCAATGTTCAGAGGAAAAGCCCATTTACGAATGGGTGGTTTTGTGTGTGGCCCAGACAGTGTGCTAGACACTGAATTTTTGTCAGAGAAGATTCCATTTGCATCCCCTAATGGTTTAGTTGCAGTCATGCCTCAAGGCATAAGAATAGACTGGATTTTGTATCACTTTATTTTTCTGACTCATGAGAGAAAAAGAAGATTGAAGCCATTTCTGATTTGGAAAGAGGGAGAGAAGTATTACTCATTCTCCCTTTACCCTCAAGTGCTTTCCTTTTTTTCCCCTCCTAAATGTCACTCTCCCTGAAAAAAAAAAAAAAAAAAAAAGTGTTCACAGCCTTAAATTCCTCAATTCATCACTAACATTTTCATTGCAGAAGCAATGGAAAGAAAACCAGAGATGATTCTATCAGCATCAATGCCCTGCGGGGGAGGACATTCAGCAACACAGTCTTCCTGCATTAGGAGACACACTTCAAGGCTGGCCCCTAAGAGAGGCTCTATTTTAATAAGCCAGGTAAGCTGGGCATGGTGGCAGGTGCCTGTCGTCTCAGCTCCTCAGGAGGCTGAGACAGGGGTATCCCTTGAGGACAGGAGTTCGAAGCTACAGTAAGCTATAATCGCGCCTGTGAACAACCACTGCACTCCAGCCTGGGCACAGTGATGAGACCCCATCTCTAAATAATAATAATAATAATAATAATAATAATAATAATAATAATAAGCCAGGTGAATGTTTTCCATAAAAAGTGGTCTCCCTCTTAATGAAAGCCTTATTAAACAACCTCAGAAGTATTGTGACTCAAATTCCAAGCCAACAAAACAAAGAATCTTAAGTATATTTTTTAAACTTAAAGTTAGCCTCAGTCAGGTACTTTGTGAACCACTGATTTTCTTACTAAAGAGAAATCAATCCGATCCTCCCTTCCATTATGTAGAGGGATGTGTGTGGTCTCAGGAGTGATGGATTAGAGAACACCAAGGAAAACATCTGTCACCTTATCCTTTTAGATGGAAGAAACTATTTTGTCCATGCGGATGGAAGGCCATGAAGAACTTCCTCTGCCATTACTAACTGAGGGCCCATTGTATGAATTGACTATGTGAAAGCAACTAGAGGCCAGGTCCCTGGTGCCATCGTGTGTGCATTAGCTTCAAACCATCATCAGAATGACTGAACCATGAGCCCACAAAGCTCTGTCTGCTATAGGCACGAACCCTGACTTCCCTCTGCAGTGATTCACAGCCTCTTCACCTTTGTCAGCCCAAGAATCTACCAGAGTTAATCCCTTCGTATTCTCCATCCCTGTTTACTTCAGCAGCCTCAAGAAGGCCAGATGAGGCCTCTTCACTCCAACACTCAGCCCCATATGGCTCTGTTAACCCCGTAATAATCTGACCTGATCTTTCTCCCTCCTGCCAGCAGTGTTCCTGTCTCTGTTCCCTCTGGAACTCACATCTGTCATCAACAAAAATCCCCCATAGCCTTAATCTCATCTTGCTGGAACTCTAACCTGGCTCTCCCCTGAGGACACTACTTTCCCTACAGTTCCCTCAGGTGGTGAATCTTTTTGTCTCCTAAAACTGGGCCCAGAAGTCGTAGCTATTCTCTGTGCCCTTCCTTGCCACTTCCAGGCCATGGTTTTGCCTCTTCCCCAAACCTCTCAACTCCTTCAAATCTCATGCCTTTGTGAATTCTACCCATCACACATCCCTGTTGCAGTCACCAAGGACTCCCAGATCACTCTTCATCAATCCTTAAAGATTTTTGCTCTTGGTTCATTGTCAACCTCTCCAGTCATCTTAATATCACTGAGCTAATTCTTCCAGGAAGGTGAGTTTGAGGGCCTTAACTACCTCTTTGAAATCTCTTCAGCTATCTTTGCCATTTATTCTCTGAAAACGTCATCCAACCTTATGGCTTTAAATGCTATCTACTGAGGCCCCCCAAATTTGTATCTTCAGTCCCTGTCTCTCACCCAGGCTCCAGACTTACATACCCAACTGGACACTGAAACTCTTCACTTGGATGTCTAATAGAATCTCAAACTTAACATCTAAAAAGTAACAATTTATTTATTTGAGCGATGCCCCTCCCACCAAAACCTGCCCTTTCTTACAAAGTGGTAACTCCAGTCTCCTAGCTAGTCAGGCCCAAAATATTGGAGTTGTCTTAAGTGCTTTCCATCACATTCCACATCTAATCTTAAATTCCATTGGCTCCACCTTCAAAACATTTGCAAAACCTTATTGCTTTGTACCACTTCCTCAGATACCATCAGCTCCATCAAAGATGACAGCCATTGGCTTCCTAACTAACTTGACTGCTGCTCTGCTGTCCTCGGCTTTCCCAGCCTATTGTCCACCTAGAAGCCTGAGTGATCTTTCCAGAATGCAAGCCGGATCATCACTCTCTTCTGCTTGAAACCCTCCAATGGCCCTCCAGCTCACTTTTTCCAAAAGCTTTACCCTGGTCTGCAAGAACTCAACTGACCTGAGCCCCAGATACCCCTTGGCCTTCCCTGTGACCCCTCCCCCTCCACCCCAGGCTCACTATGGTCTAGCCTCCCTAGCCCTGTTATGGCTCCTCCCATACCCCAGGCATACTCTTGCCTCAGGGCCTCTGTATTCACAGTTTCTCTGTCTGGAACATTTCCCCCTGCAAATATCCACTTGGTTCCCTCCCTCACTTCACTTAGGTCTCTATTCAACTATCACCTCCTCTGAGAGGCCTTCCCCAGTCCTCAATTTAAAATTGCACATCTACGCCATGACTAACTTCCCCTTTTTCCTTTTTTTCCCCACAGCACTTACCCTCATGTGATGCATTATATACTTTCTTTATTTATTTATCATTAGCTCCTTCCACTAGAACCAAAATTCTAATTTCACCCTAACATTTAGCTTTATGAAAGCATGATTTTATCTATTCATCACTCTATATCCCAGCAACCCATGCCCTCACTAAATATTTCTTTTTTTATTTGTGATATTTCTTTTAATACATTTTATTTAACATTCATCCAATAAATATTTACCGAGTACAACCTATATGCTAGGCATTGAAGCAATAATGATTATAAAATAGACACACATTTTGTCCTCATGAAGCTTACAGTTTAATGTAGGTGGGAGAGGCAATAGATACTGCACAGTAACATATGCTATGGTGGGGGTGGCACAGGGTGCCATAGGGGCAGAGAATAGAAGCTCTTCCAGGTTAGAGGAGATAGAATTTCAGAGATAAAACTCCTAGAAATTAAAGTCTTTCATTTCTGCTCCCAACTGCTTAGTTATCAGAATAGACTGAATATAGAACCAAATAATAAATGCTTTACAACATCCTCACAACATCCTATGTAGTAAGTCCTACTCTTATCAGTTCTCAGGTGAAGGAATGGAAGTACAGAGAGAGTGGCAAGTTGACAAGAGTTACAGAGATAGAAAAGTGGCACAGAAAGGAAACAAACTCAGGCAGTATGGCTTCAGAGCCTGTGCTTTTAACCACTATCTTAAACATACTCTCTGAGCAGCATGCATGTGTGATAATTTGTTAACGAATAAAGTCCTCTAGGTATTTTCTAGCTGCATGTATAGGTAAGGCTTGGTACAGACTATATGAATAGTTTGGTTTTCAAAAAAGGTTTTATCAGCATGACCTAGAATGCAGAAAGACTACTTTTGTCTAAAAATTAAAATCAAATCATCTTATTTGTACTGTGATGTGAACGTCTAACACTGGTATTCACTAACCATTAATATAAAAAGAATGCAGTAGGAGCAGCTCTTTGTAATCCCCCCTTCCCTCTGTCTTTTGACATTCTCTCTTTTTTCCCCCTTTCAATTCTTTTTATTTATTTATTTATTTTTATTATACTTTAAGTTCCTAAAACCATAAAAACCCTAGAAGAAAACCTAGGCAATACCATTCAGGACATAGGCATGGGCAAGGACTTCATGTCTAAAACACTAAAGGCAATGGCAACAAAAGACAAAATTGACAAATGGGATCTAATTAAACTAAAGAGCTTCTGCACAGCAAAAGAAACTACCATCAGAGTGAACAGGCAACCTACAGAATGGGAAAAAACGTTTGCAATCTACTCATCTGACAAAGGACTAATATCCAGAATCTACAAAGAACTCAAACAAATTTACCAGAAAAAAACAACCCCATCAACAAGTGGGTGAAGGATATGAACAGACGCTTCTCAAAAGAAGACATTTATGCAGCCAACAGACACATGAAAAAATGTTCATCAGCACTGGCCATCAGAGAAATGCAAATCAAAACCACAATGGGATACCATCTCATACCAGTTAGAATGGTGATCATTAAAAAGTCAGGAAACAACAGGTGCTGGAGAGGATGTGGAGAAATAGGAACACTTTTACACTGTTGGTGGGACTGTAAACTAGTTCAACCATTGTGGAAGACAGTGTGGTGATTCCTCAAAGATCTAGAACTAGAAATACCATTTGACCTAGCCATCCCATTACTGGGTATATACCGAAAGGATTATAAATCATGCTGCTCTAAAGACACATGCACATGTATGTTTATTGCGGCACTATTCACAATAGCAAAGACTTGGAACCAACCCTAGCCCTCACTAAATATTTCTTGATTGAAGTAAATCATCCAAATGCTGTAAATGCAGGAAATACTTTTATACTCTTACTTTCATGATGTTTTCCCCAGAAACCAGCACCAACTTCAATAGAAATTATCTCTGTTAACATTTCCAAAAGAATCACTTAATACCTACCAAATACATGTTGAGCACCTACTATATGCCAGACATTATCCTAGGTGCTGGGGGCATAATATTAAACGAAAAAAATATCTTGTGTTCCTGGATCTTCTGGAAGGGGAGATTGAATAAATATGCAAATAATTAAAATATATGGAATGGAGGATAGTCTCAAGTGCTGAAAAGAAAAAGTAAAGAAGGCATATATAAGATATCAGGGGTTGAAGAAACTGGAATTTCAAGTAATGTGGCCAGGCAATGCCTCAAAGAGAAGACACTTTTTGAAGGAAAGGGAGGATAGCAAAATGAGGAAGCAAAGAAGTTGTCAGCATAAATTGCATGTTCTAGGACTAGGAAGGAAGCCAGTGTGACTGGTGCAGAGAGAACAAGAGAGAGAGTGAAAAGTGATGAAAGTTAGGGAGGTAAAGAGGCCAGATCATATAGGATCTTAAAGGCAAGAGTTAGCAGCTTTTCTTTTACCCTTAGTAAGGAAGAAGCCACTGGAAGGTTTTGAGAAGATAAATGACATTACTTGCCTTAAGTTTTTCAGGATGACTCTGGCTATTGCGCTGAGAATAGACTGCAGAGGGTGTGGGCAGAAGAGAGCAAGGCTAGTACACTAATCTAGATGATAGCTGAGTGGCTTGGGCCAGAGAAGGAGTAGAGCAGATGGTGAGAAGTGGTCTCCTTCTAGATATATTTTAAAGGTAGAACTGCCAGGTTTTGCAGATACACTGAATGTGGGTTATGAGAAAAGTAAGGGAGTTAAAGATGCCACCAAAGTGATTGGCCTGAGCAAGTGGAGAAAGGTGATGTCTTAAATTGAGCTGGTGAAGGTTGCAGGAGAAGGTGACTTGGGAGGAAAAATCAGGAGCTCAATTTTGACTATGTTTAGACTAAGATGCTTGTTACGTATGTATACAATTAATGTGTCAAGTAACAAATATGTGTTTCTGGAAAAGACATTTTTGGACATCAAGTCTAGATTGATTATTTAAATTGTTTTTTATCATTTTAATAAAAGAATTGGAAGCAGCCTGTATAAGTCAAAATAATACAGAAATTTCAAGCAAAAATGAATTATTCCAAGGAGTTAGAAGCTCACACAATTATTGAAAAAATGGATGCCAGGAAAGATTTTCAGGAAATCCAGAAATTCAGTGATCATAGAGAAGCACTACTGATGATCACTTCTATTTTCTTGATGAGGTAGGATGTAAGGTAACATGCTGAGAATAAGAGGGATAAAGAGGGTTGTGGATAGGGTTTTTGAGGAAGCAGTAAAAGACACACTTGCTCACCAAAAAAATGTCTCTGCTGAGCCTGTCCCTGATTTCTCAAACAAATAGCTAGGATTGCGACATAATGGGATTTCATGCTGTTCTCCTGTTCTGGTGCAACTCTATGAACATTTAAAGTAGTTCTGTTTAAAAGCTCTTTTAGGAGCACAGCTACACACTAGCAGACAATAAGAGATGCAAGCAGAACTCAACTCTGAACTTGTGAAACGCAGATTTACAGCCTACCCTAGAGATTCTGATTCATTAGGTTTGGGGTGAGGTCCAGGAATTTTTCATAAGTACCACAGATGATTTTGCACGCTGTGATAAACACTGCTCTGAGTGGCTCCCAAACAGAAGCTGTTGACAGGAACAGCTGCTAAGAATTAGGGGTGCCTTTGGTTGGCAGTGGGAGCCACTGTCACCTAAAAGCAGCCTTTGAAAGCAGTAAGTTGCTCAGAGAGAAAAAGTCTTATTATAACAGAATGCTAAAGATTTCCGTCATTCATTACTCTAGAGTGAATCACCCTCCAAGGCCTACTGTCTACCCCAATAGCTGAAGAAGTAGAGATTTCTGGTCTTTTTTTTTTTTTTTTGATTCTCAATGAAGATAAGAAATAGCAATTCTCGCCAGAAAATTTCTCAGGTTAAGCTTATAAACTCTAGCCTTTGAATCATTTACAAATTTTAAAATAATAACCTGGCACGCAGATATTTAGCCAGGGCAATATGTCCAAAAGAAACTTTAAAAACATCAAGTTTTTCCGGGGCTAGTATTAACTTTCAACTGTATTTAGCCTGATAGGAGATGTGGGCAGAGATAATCATATAGTACTTTTAATTGTCAAATAAATACCAAACAGATCAACTTGACGTGATAGTTGCAGATTTTTTTTTCTTAATGTGTCTGATTTCATTTTTTACCCTAGATCAAGCTTGTCCAACCTGTGGCCCAGAGGCCACATGTGGCCCAGGACAGCTTTGAGCGCAGTTCAACACAAATTCGTAAGCTTTCTTAAAACATTTTGAGATTTTTTTTTGCCACTTTTTTTTTTTTTTTAGCTCATCAGCTATCATTAGCATTAGTGTATTTTGCGTGTAGCCCAAGACAATTCTTGTTCTTCCAACATGGCCCAGGGAAGCCAAAAGATTGAACATCCCTACCCTAGAGGATTGCTTAATCAAGGTGTAACTGTGCTAACATTAAGAAAAAGTTTCAACCATTTATATAAAAGTAGTATGCCAGAATAGAGTTGGTATGTTTTCCTAAAAAATTAAAAAATTTCTACTTATTACCAGCAACTACTTAACAGCCCATATTATTTAACTCAATGAATTAAATTAATCCCATGAAATAAAATATGAGATAGGGATGATATCTGAATTCATTTTTATTCATGGCTAGAGACTATGAAGATTCTTTTGACAAGCCCTTAAAAATCTTGTGGGTGATGTTAAAAACTTCAATGTACAAGTGCTGATTCAATTTGGGGGTGCGGGTAGGGACCTCCTGATTTGACACAGTCAATTCTATACAGAGAACATGAGACTAGAAAACCCCCAAGCCATACAAAGGCTGCTGGAGTGTTCACATGTTCATTACCTGAATTTTCTAATGCTGAACAACTGAGGGATATGAATATGCAAAGCTCATAGACTCTGCCCAGCATCAGCCTCTTTCAGCCTCTCCTTTTTCTGAAAAGGAAGTCACAGTGTCTCTGGCTTTCTAAGCTCTGTGTTCTGAATTCCCAAAGCAAGCAGGAGAAGAGAGGGTGTAGGTTTTTATGTGCTTGTTTGTTTTTATAGCAAAAACCAAATTTGCCTTTTTCAGAGTATGTGCTTCCAGATCAATATCAGAATTTAGCCAGTGACTCCTCATGCATTTGCCTCCCAGAATTAGTACACATGGTTGTCCCAGAGGCAAAACGAGAAATCTCATTGGCTCGGCATCCTGAACTGTCTCAAGTGAGTTGCAAGTTCTTGTAGTTTTCTTCTGTTTCTCTGTGTGTGTTTTTTATGATACACAATAAGTGTACACTTTATGGGATACATATGACATCTTGATACATGCATACGATGTGTAATGATCAAATCAAGTAATTGGGATATCCATCACCTCAAACATTTATCATTTCTTTACATTGGAAACATTCCAAATCTTCTGGTCTAGCTATTTTGAAATATACAAAGTATTATTAACTCTAGTCACCTTACTGTGCTGTTGAACACTAGAATATATTTCTTCTATCTAACTGTATTTTTGTACACATTTACCAACCTTTCTCCATCCTCATCCTACCACTTACCCTTCCCCAACTCTGATAACTGCCATTCTACTATCTATCTCCATGAGATCTATGTTTTTTAAGTTCCTATGAATGAATGAGAACATGAGATAGTTGTCTTTCTGTGCCTGGCTTATTTCACTTAACACAATGTCCTCCAAGTTCATCCATGTTACTGCAAATGACAGGATTTCATTCTTTTTTATGGCTGAATAGTATTCTACTGTGTATATATATCACAGTTTCTTTATCCATTCATCCGTTGATTCACAGTTAGGTTGATTCCATATTTTTTTTTTTTTTTCTGAGATGGAGTCTTGCTCTGCTGCCCAGGCTGGAGTGCAGTGGCGTGATCTTGGCTCACTGTAAGCTCCGCCTCCCGGGTTCACGCCATCCTCCTGCCTCAGCCTCCCAAGTAGCTGGGACTACAGGGGCGTGCCACCACACCCAGCTAATTTTTTTGTATTTTTAATAGAGATGGGGTTTCACCATGTTAGCCAGGATGGTCTTGATCTCCTGACCTTGTGATCTGCCCACCTCGGCCTCCCAAAGTGCTGGGATTACAGGCGTGAGCCACTGTACCTGGCCGATTCCATACCTTGGCTATTGTGAATAGTGCTGCAATTAACATGGGAGTACAGATATCTCTTTGACTTACTGATTTTTTTTCTTTTAGATATATCTATGTGCTTTTAAAACCCATTATTTGCACTTTATATATTTCTATAACTCTACGCTCAAGATTTGTTAAAACTCCCAGTCCTTTCCAAGAATTTGTGCTTGTTTGTCCATTCTATCAAACATTAATTTTGTGTAACAGTGACTAGTTCAGATAAGGATATCTCCTAAATCTACCAGTATACTTTACATTTTACCAAGTGGAAGACACACTGCCTTCTCTCATAGTCCATCTGTAACCTCCTTTCCTTCCCTTTTCCACTCTGTGCTGAACAGCAAACAGCAACCAAACTATCTTGGGCCAACAATACCATCTACTGGTCATGGTGATAAACTACTAAAACCGCTTGAGCATATTCACAAGCCATGTTCTCCTATTTATTCTATAATCAAAACTCAATAAATTATCTTGGAAATTTTTCAGCAAGTGAAAACTATATACACTCAGGCCATCTCAGTCACCAAAAGAAGCCCCAATTCACCACTCATCGTTGTAAACCACATTCTTGTATAGCTCTGTTCATTTCTTTATATGACCCAATCTCACACCCTTTCCCACAATACACTCTTCCACCCTGTTCCTTGGAGTTCACTGTGGGTCATTAGCAAAATTTCCTATATCCTTGAAGTAGTCTCTACATCACCTTCGTCTCTTTATTCTAAATGAAACCTGATCTTTCTGCAGCTATGAATAGTCACTGCCAATTTCAGCTT
Source organism: Homo sapiens (assembly GCF_000001405.40). Lineage (NCBI taxonomy): Eukaryota > Metazoa > Chordata > Mammalia > Primates > Hominidae > Homo > Homo sapiens. The sequence continues at coordinate 146,582,654 of NC_000004.12, read as the reverse complement.
ATCCTCCTTTCCTTCTCCCTAAACACATCCTTGCTTCCTCTGAAGTTCAGCCATGGGTCACCTCACTGCTCCATATGTCCAATCATCTACAGACTTCATAGTCACTTCGCATTATTCCTTGAAGATTCTCATGCCTTACCCACTGTCATCTCCCCAACAGCAGTTTTCTCCTAATTCTTGGTGATTTCAATATCATTGAAAAGATCCTTACAATAATCTAGCCCCTCAGGCTCTTGGTGCTCTCTCCTGCCATCATCTTGTCCTCCACATCACTCCAGCTACCTGTTCTTATGGTTGCACTCTAAACCTTACGAGTATCAATAACTGCACCCCCTTTCATGTCAATTTCAGATGTCATATACTCCCACCACTACTTTCCAAGTCTCCATCTCATTCTGATCATTTTCAAGCCACACAAGAAACATATATCTATTGACCTTAGCATCTATTTCTCACTTCCTCATATCTGCATTTACCTCTATCCTCAATTAAGATTCAACAGTTCAACATGATAACCATTACCTTATATAATCCCAATTCCCTTGTCCTTCTCTTCCACCATCAAATTTACTTCTTCTTAGTTAAATCCCAACTTCCACCTACTCCTTCCTGCTTCTGATCTGTTGGAAATGGCTGCAAAAAAAGTTATGCTAACAGATTTACTTTGATTCCTGATTGTCACCCTCAAGTGGGCCTTCATTATTGCCAGGGAATTTCACTGCCTTTGAATAATCACTTTCATCTCTTATTCTCCGAGACAACTATTTTATACCCTTCTTTTCTCTTCGAACCTACAGCATCTTGCCATTTATTCTCTCTAATTCTCTTTATTCTCACTATAACGACTTTGCTCTTCATTTTACTAAGAAAATAGAGATAATTAGAACTTCCTCATGCTTCCACCACCAAACACACACACTTTCCTCTATGCCCCGCATCCTGTCTTCCCTTCTGTCACATTGAATAGATAATCTCTGTTCCTATCTAAAGAGAATTCCACGTGTAAAATGGATCTTGTCTTCTAAGAGCATCTTTCTGGAAGTTGTGTGTCTTTTCTGTATCATAGTTTCCTCTCTGACTGGATCATTTTTGTCTTTAAAAATAAAACCCTGCCAGGCACATTGGCTCATACCTGTAATCCCAGCACTTTGGGAGGCCAAGGTGGGAGGATCGCTTGATTCTAGGAGTTCAAGACCAGCCTGAGCAACATCGGGAGACCCTGTCTGTATAATAAATTTTTTAAAATTAGCCAGGCATGGTGGCATATGCCTGCAGTCCCAGCTACTCAGGAGGCTGAGCGGGGGGATTGCTTGAGCCTGGGAGATGGAGGCTGCAGTGAGCCATGATGGTGCCACTGCATTCTAGCCTGGGCAACAGAGTGAGATCCTGTCTCTAAAATAAAATGAAATTAAAAAACCCAAACCCCAACTTGACTGCACATGACCCTCTAGGTACTACCTGATTTCTCTGCTCCCTATCATAGCAAAAACCTTCAAAATGGTGGGCTACATTTGCTGTTTGTACTTCTCCTAATATTTCCTGAAGCAAGCTCAAGGGGCTTGTATGCACTCAAAGATTAATAGCAATATCCATGTTGCCAAGCTAATGGTTTTTTCTTAGTTCTTGTCTTCCTTCATTATCAGAGGCATTTGAGTCACTTTTGATCATTCCCCTTTCTTAAAATGCCTTCCTTGCTGGGCTTTTTTTTTTTTTTTCTTTTTTTGTCTTCCTAGTTCTCTGGTCATCCTGCCATATCCTTGCTGGTTCCTCTTCATATTCCAGACCTCTACGCTTGAGAGTGCCAAAATGTTCAATCCTCAGATCTCTCCTTTATCACTCTTCAGGTGATCTCACTTAATCTTCAGACTTTAAATGCCACCTACATGCAGATAATTTCAAATTTCTATCTATAGCCCAGGCCTTTTCTTTGAATTCTAAATGCATATAATCAACTTCCTACTTGGTATTGCCATATGGAGGACTGACAGGCATCTCAAATTTAACATGCCCAAAACTGAACTCACGGTCCCACCCCTTACATATGTTCCTTTCCCTGTTTTTGCTCATAACAGTAAATGACAACTCCTTTCTCTCAGTTTCTTGAGTCCAAGATCTTGAGTCATCCTTGACTCCCTCTCTCTGTTTTCTTGCTTTTTGTTGTGGACATTTTTAAACACAGACGAAAGTAGAGTGAACCTTGACCGCACTTTTGTTTTTTGCTTACACTCCACATCTGATCCATCAACAAGTCCTACTTGTTCTACTTTCAAAGAAAATACAGACCACTTCCTAGCAGCACTTATCATTATGACTCTCTTAGAGCCACCATTGTTTCTCATCTGAACTACTGTAAGAGCCTCCTAATTGTTCTACTGACTTCTGCCCATGCTTGTGTTTTCTTTTATTTCTTTACACAGAGGAAGCCTGTTCTTAGGCTGTGAAGACTGGGGAAAGCATGAACGCAGTCCCTCACTGCACAAATTATGCAGTCAAGTTTCCCATGTGTGGGCAAATCACAGGGGTCAGCACATCCAGAGTGCAATGGATAAGCCTGGCCCTTGGAAAACCAACTTCATGAATATGGTATCTCCCCTGCCAGATAAGTATGCTTCTGTGTTTTCAATGGAACAATTGGAATTTTCTTGCAAGATTATATCACAGCTCTACTCAAAGCCCTCTTCTCACCTCCCTCAGAGTGGAACTTATTAGAACTTATTAGTTCTTATTAGAGCTGCACCCTCCACTGCCTTGTCACTGCTGCATGTCTTACCGCTTCCTTCTCATGCCTTCCTCCCCTAGCCTGGCCTCATTTGTGCTCTAACTCACTAATCATGTCTAGCTTCAGGATCTTTGCACTTCATGTTTCCTCTGCCTGAAATGCCATTCTTCACATCTCTGCTCAAATGTAACCTTGTCAACAAGTCCTTCCCTGACCACTTTACAGATTAGCATCTTCCTTTCTGCCCTGTCACTTATATCCCTATTTTTTAATTTTTTTCTTCATGTTACTTATATCCATTAACAATATTTGTTTGTTTGCTTGTTTTTTGAGACAGGATCTCACTCTGTCACCCAGGCTGGAGTGCAGTGGCACAATCTCAGCTCACTGCAACCTCCGCCTCCCTGGCTCAAGCAATTCTCCCACCTCAGCCTCCTGAGTAGCTAGGACTACAGACGTATGCCACCACACCTGGATAATTTTTGTGTTTTTTGTAGAGATGGGTTTTTGCCATGTTGCCCAGGCTGGTCTCAAATTCCGGGGCTCAAGCAATCCTCCCACCTGGGCCTCCCAAAGTGCTGGGATTGCAGGCAGGAGCCACCGTGCCCAGCTATTTGTTGTTTTATATTTCTCCCCAACTAGAGTGTAAGCTCCATGAATGTAAGAACTTCATCTGTTTTGTTCGTTGTTTCTTTTTCCCCCCAGTGTTTTGAATAGTGCTTGGTGTATGATAGGAACTTAATGAATATTTGCCAAACAAATCTTTTTTCTTTCTCTATTCTTCCAACTGTTGCATCGTTAGCCAAAAGAATCTGTTTCTTCTCTCTCTGGTTCCATCTATTCTTCCTGGTTCTCTCTCTTTCATTACTTCTGTTAACATCTCTGAGTCCCAAAGGAAGTAATATAATCTAGGGCTGAAAATAAACACCTTCAGAGCCCAAGTGGGCAAGGCGTGTGTTAAGCAGCAGGTTGCAAAGCCACAGGGGGTGGTGAAGTGTGTTGTCTTACTCCAAGCTATTTACATTTTTCAAAGTTAAACAATCCATCTGTCCAGCGGGCTTGAGCCTGCAGATCATGAGTTTGCTGTCCTTGTCCTCATCACAACCAGGAAGCCCAAGAATGGTGGTAGTGCTATACAGTTCTTATATGGACGACATTTTCTTAAATTTTAAAATTAAATTTGACAAACTACAAATGGATGGTAGCCTGCTTCACAATTTGCTCAAGTTTGTCTTCAATGCTTCATCCATATTAAATTAAACCTATTTTCTTCAAGTTCTAGCATTTGAGGTGTTTTCTTGAATATTTCACTCTTTTCTTTGCATTATGACTAATATAAAATTGTCTACTAATTTTCATAGCGAGTTTTATATCTTAGTATTTAGTACGCAGTATTTTATAGATCCTTTATAAGGCTTCGGGCCCCCACTGCAACCATCTAGTAACGAAGTAAATGGGATTAATGAACTGTGATCAGCATCTATTTTTCCTAAACAAGGCAGACCAAAATATGCGTGCAGCTTTTGAAAAGATGGGCCTCAAGGAAAAAATAAATCATGTCTAAAAATACTCTGCTTAAAGCTCCTTTATTGCAAAACTGTGCTTGTTTCTATGTTTCCTTAAAAGAATAGAGAAACAATTGCCCCTCAGTGGCCCCCAACAGGTAAGCTGTGTTGGATGTTTACACAGGGCCACAATTTCTGTCCTCATTAAGTACTAAAGTGAATCAGAACTCACCCCATGACCCTACCTTTTTATGTTCTCCCCTCCAAATCATCATCCAGTTATGCAAAGGAGTCATGAGCCACTCTCTGAGGAAAGGCTGAGTCCTCTAAAGCAGGGGCCCCCAACCCCAGGGCCATGGACCAGTACCCATCCATGTCCTGTTAGGAACTGGACCAACAGCAGGAGGCACATTGCCAGATGAGCTCCGCCTCCTGTCAGATCAGTGGTGGCATCAGATTCTCATAGGAGCATGAATTCTATTGTGAACTGCACATGCAAGGGATCTAGGTTGCATGCTTCTTGTAAGAATCTAGCACCCGATGATCTGAGGTGGAACAGTTTCATCCCCAAACTATCCCATCTCCCTGCCCATGGAAAAATTGTCTTCCATGAAACCGGTTCCTGGTGTCAAAAAGGTTGGGGACCGCCACTCTAAAGGCCCTGGACCATTCCGACAAGGGAAGACTTTCATCATCAAGCCAAAGAAAGAGGCAGTGTAAGTCCTATCTGCTTACCCTCCTACCTGCTTACTCTCATATCTGCTTACTCTTGAGGATTGCATTTGATAGGGAATAAAGGTCAGAGCGCTTCTTGCCCAGTAATCTCTGTTTCACTGAAGTTTTAAAAAACCATGTATACTCTACCCTGCTTTCTCCGCTCTTAATAATACTTGCCTGACCCCAAAGAGCTGTGTTTGCATTCAGCCTCTGATTTTCAACAGTTTTCACTGGAAGATGAGTTCTAAGCTGCTAGTTAATGAATGTACTTTTGAAAAATAATTTAAACATAAATGAAAATACCACTTCTTCTCAAACAAGATCAAATTCAACAATAGAATTTTTCTGGTCAGACTGAGTCACTATAAATGAAAGGGAGGGGAATTGAGCACATGTTTAGATGTTACCCGCCTGGGCAGCCCTCCAAGATAATCAAGCCTTCCAGAACATGTGGATTTTTTCCTTCAATGGCATGATTTAATGTTGGGGACAAAGACATTTTACAGAATTAACCAGATAATACTCAGACTAGGTCATAGAGATAATTTTATAAGCAAGTCACTCCAAAATGGACCCTGAAAAATAGGATTTATTTGCTAAGTTCTGAATAAGGAAATTGGCCCAGTTGTGAAATATTAATACATCAGAAACAAAACTTCACTTGATATTGGCTCTGGCTCCTGAGCTCAGCTGTAAGACTTTCTACATCTGAGCAGACTTCTAATATGCAAACAGAAAAGTCAAACCATCAGGCTAAAGGGAAATTGTATCTTCTCAGAGGTCAAATTTGCTGAAACTTTTGAATAAGGTACAGAAGGGCAAGAGGACCAAAGACCCTGGTGAAATCAGAACTGTGTCCCCTGAAGCCAGTGACTGAGTGGGAAAATAATTTCATATCCTCATGGCCAGATTTTAAGTGCAGAAAGCAATATAGTGTGGCAAAAATACGGGACATAAATTTAATAAAATGAGTTTTATGAGATGGGGCGCTGCAGAGCTTCCCTAATTAAACTTTATCCTCACGTTTGGGCAATTTTCTTCTTTTTGAGAGCAGTCTATCCTTTATTTCTTAACTTCCTGTCACTCTTTTTATTGGTAAAGCAATTATTTTTGCTAAAACCAGTGGACAGAGCTCATAAAGTGACATTGTTTGCCTACGTTCTGCATTACCGAGAGATATAAAGAATAAATACACACTTTTGGAAGAGAAATGAATCTTTCAACTATTCCTCATCATAGTAGCTTGTGCCCATCATTATAACTTTAAACTAGGTTATCTGCGTGAAGATTGGGAAAATACTCTTTTTTAAATGTAGGAAAATAGTGTTTGCTTTTGGAGACATTATATCAAGTAGGTTTTAGATTAAAATAGTAACTTACCAGCCAGGGGCGGTGACTCATGCCTGTAACCCCAGCAGTTTGGGAGGCCGAGGTCGGGGGATCACCTGAGTGAGGTCAGGAGTTCGAGACCAGCCTGGCCAACATGGTGAAACCCATCTTTACTAAAAATACAAAAATTAGCAGGGCATGGTGGTGCGTGCCTGTAGTCCCAGCTACTCAGGAGGCTGAGGCAGGAGAATTGCTTGAACCCGGGAGACAGAGGCTGCAGTGAGCTGAGATCACACCACTGCACTCCAGTCTGGGTGACAGAGCGAGACTCCATCTCAAAAAAAGTAAAAAAATAAAAAAAATAGTAACTCATAGGAGCAAAGGAAGATTTCCCTCAGAGTCCTTAAATATATTCTCTTATGTCAGAAAACTGTACCTAAATTGGTCACAACTGCTACAACTATTTCATGAAAGCATCTCAAAGTGATTTGCTAAAGTTGTTACCTGTAAATATGTCTGCAGGGAAAATAAACTTGTTATACAAGTCACTACAAACTTCTACTATAAAAAAAGTATATCAAGTTGCATCATTCGATAACCCTTTCAGCTACTGAAAAGTCAACCAGTTATATAATGAGCATTATATACTAGATAAAGTACTACTGCCAAATAGTCCTTTCATAATTTAAGGCAAAACCCACAGAAAAAGATCTTAGTGACAAATATTTATTCACAAATTACTTGCTTTATTAAATTGATTTAACTTTTGACTAAATCTAGAGAGAGAGAGAGAGAGAGATACTTAGGAGGAAGTTAAGAATAATGAGCTCTAGTTCCTTCAAAAATAGTTGTGTTGTCATTTCTAAGAGGGGATGGAGCAGGTAATACATTAGGTACAGTTTTGCTTTTTTGCAAGGTGAAGACCCTAAACTATGAGTGTAGTGATATAGCATAACACATTTTTCCAAGTCAAGATTTCTCAAGACATCATTGTATTCTACCTGCTGAAATGTTATAAAGAAATGTCCAATGGTATAGACCGCAGCCCCAGATTATTTTCTTTGAAAAAATGATGATTTTCATCTGTTATCCACCAGATGCCATGTTGGATACAGTTGTTGTAGGGAGACCACAAGAACTTCAAAGCTGCATGTTCAAGATGGATTCATGAAAGTCTCTGTAACATTAACTTGCTTCCATTGATTATGTTTTATGAAAATCAAATCTTTCATGGATTCTGTCCTCCTGAAGCATGTGGGGAGCTATGTAGGAAGAGAGTGGATATAAAAGTGGGTGGTAGATGGAAAAAAAGAAACTGATGAAAGGGACTCTATTCATAACCATTACAGTTTTTCTCCTAGAAATAAAAATCTTTGAATACAAATATAAGTAGATTATTTGCTTTGGGCTATGTAAAATAGAACCTAAATAAAATGATGCCAAGCGTTGATTCAATCAGTGTCTTTTAGCATTACAATATGGGCTTTCTTAATTTCCAAAAGCAGAATAGGAAAATTCAAAAAGCAATCCAGTGTTCAGGAATATTTTACTTACTATTTTAATAAGCCTTTGTTTATGCCTAGAGGTGCCATTAAATTTCCAGGCAGACATTAATATACAGCTCACTAGGGACTGATGTATATGCAGTGATTATTGCTGGGCATTTCACTTGGGGCTCTCTCACTACTCATATACACAGCTACTGGACAGAAGATTTTTTTCAAAGTTTGTGCTTCATTTATACCCCCAAGATTGTTCTTCTACCTTACATGGAGATGAATAGCTATTTATGATGTGGATCTAATAATCACAATAGCAAGCTTTTAAAAATATTTAATGTGTTTTTAGAAAATCTTTCTGTGGTTACAGTACAGAATAATTTAATTTTTGTTTGATTTGAAGAAGTGACTGAAAATAGGTTGGATAATACTGAATAGTATGTTTTGCTCTATTCTCGTCACAGCTCAAAGTTTGGCAGAGACTCTAAGGGTAAGGGACTGGGTAGATCTGAGAAGATAACCAAGGAGGCATCAATTTCCACCTGTGCAAATAGATGCCAATTATTATGAACTTCAAAAAATCAATTCGAACATTGCTGTGAAACCTGAGCCTGAATGGGTTTTGTATGTTAACTCTAATTATAATAATTAGATTATAAATAATTTATCATGTATCAGTACAATGAGTTAATGGCATTATATTTCTCTGATGGGTGTTCTTGATTTTTTTCAGAATTTAAAAAATAAGAATGCTGCCAAGGAGCTGAGATACATAGCTTTAAATCTTTTTTTTTTAAGTTTATAACACAAATCAGAACATAGAAATGCTATTCAATGATTTAAAATGCATTTTTATACTGCTTTCAGGTGCTGGAAGCAAATATCACAGCAGTGTGATGAAAATCAGAAAGCAATGCTGGCAAAATGGAGCCATTTTTCTCTGCTAAATGGAATGCAGAGAACATTCTTAACTCTAAGAACTGATGGAACTAAGTGAGTAACTTCTTATTGTGGCTCTCAGGAGCTATTGATGGCAGTTCTATTTGGCTGCCTGGCATAGCTTTGGAAACATGGTTATTAAAGCCCTGTTTCACTCACTTTTAAAATGCAGATGACAAGATCAGTGAGCCAGGTAAAACTTGAGTAATGACTGAGTTTTTTCTAGCATCAATAATAATGCAATAAGTTTATTGTAGTTGCCCTAATTATGTGTATATGTAAATGTATAAACACTAAAAATAAGTATTGGATAAAATGCAAAAGAGATATGTGAACTATTAATCTCTTTTGAGGATGCAATTCTGGCCATATCAATTAAGATTACAAGTACACGCAGACGTTCCCCTAGCAATCCCATAAAAATAAAATTATCAGCACTTAACGGTATGTGTGCAAGGATGTTTGCCATAGCTTTGTTCATAGTGACAAAAATGAGACATAGCAGGAATGCTCCTCACTCAGTATATAGATAAGCAAACTATGATTCAGCTAATGTTATGCATCCAATAAAGAGAATGTGTTATATCTTTATTCGTTTGGTTGGAGGGGTTTTTACACTAGGTGTTCAAGTGACCAAAACAGTTTTCTAATTTTTTTATAGTTGTGGTGAGGAGGGATGGGTAAGAGAGGGAGAGGAAAGGGATAAACAATTTAACAAAATGGTTAAAAAGCTTTCTTAATGAAATACACGTAAAATATTATTCCATTTATTCAAAATTGTGTATCTAAGTATTCGTATGTATGTCTGAAAAATGTATTAAAGGATAGTTACCAACAACAGTGGTTATCTTGGGTGATTTTTAGTTTCTTACTTATATATATTTTTTGTTTGGCTGGATTACTTTACAATAGCATATTTTATTTGTAAAATGAGATTTTAAAAGAGAATCAATAAAACAATGTTTTAATGTTATAAACATTTAAGAAAAAACTACAAATCTGTAAAATACAGAATATATAAACAAATTTTTGAAAGGTCAAAAAAAGCTATGTTTTCAAATATAAGACTTAACATAGTTGCTTATCAGCTTAAGGAGATTTTGGGCTGAGACAAGGGGGTTTTCTAGATATACGATCATGTCATCTGCAAGCAGGGACAATTCGACTTCCTCTTTTCCTAATTGAATGCCCTTTATTTCCTTCTCCTGCCTAATTGCCCTGGCCAGAACTTCCAACACTATGTTGAATAGGAGTGGTGAGAGAGGGCATCCCTGTCTTGTGCCAGTTTTCAAAGGGAATGCTTCCAGTTTTTGCCCATTCAGTAAGATATTGGCTGTGGGTTTGTCACAGATAGCTCTTATTATTTTGAGATATGTCCCATCAATACCTAATTTATTGAGAGTTTTTAGCATGAAGGTTGTTGAATTTTGTCAAAGGCCTTTTCTGCATCTATTGAGATAATCATGTGGTTTTTGTCTTTGGTTCTGTTTATATGCTGGATTATGTTTATTGATTTTTGTATGTTGAACCAGCCTTGCATCCCAGGGATGAAGCCCACTTGATCACAGTGGATAAGCTTTTTGATGTGTTGCTGGATTCAGTTTGCCAGTATTTTATTGAGGATTTTTGCATCAATGTTCATCAAGGATATTGGTCCAAAATTATCTTTTTTGGGTTTGTCTCTGCCAGACTTTGGTATCAGGATGATGCTGGCCTCATAAAAAGAGTTAGGGAGGATTCCCTCTTTTTCTATTGATTGGAATAGTTTCAGAAGGAATGGTATAAAATCAATGTGCAAAAATCACAAGCATTCTTATACACCAATAACAGACAAACAGAGAGCCAAATCATGAGTGAACTCCCATTCACAATTGCTTCAAAGAGAATAAAATACCTAGGAATCCAACTTACAAGGGATGTGAAGGACCTCTTCAAGGAGAACTACAAACCACTGCTCAATGAAATAAAAGAGGATACAAACATATGGAAGAACATTCCATGCTCATGAGTAGGAAGAATCAATATCGTGAAAATGGCCATACTGCCCAAGGTAATTTATAGATTCAATGCCATCCCCATCAAGCTACCAATGACTTTCTTCACAGAATTGGAAAAAACTATTTTAAAGTTCATATGGAACCAAAAAAGAGCCCACATTGCCAAGTCAATCCTAAGCCAAAAGAACAAAGCTGGAGGCATCATGCTACCTGAATTCAAACTATGCTACAAGGCTACAGTAACCAAAACAGCATGGTACTGGTACCAAAACAGAGATATAGACCAACGGAACAGAACAGAGCCCTCAGAAATAATGCCACATATCTACAACCATCTGATCTTTGACAAACCTGACAAAAACAAGCAATGGGGAAAGGATACCTTATTTAATAAATGGTGCTGGGAAAACTGGCTAGCCATATGTAGAAAGCTGAAACTGGATCCCTTCCTTACACCTTATACAATAATTAATTCAAGATGGATTAAAGACTTACATGTTAGACCTAAAACCATAAAAACCCTAGAAGAAAACCTAGGCATTACCATTCAGGACATAGGCATGGGCAAGGACTTCATGTCTAAAACACCAAAAGCAATGGCAACAAAAGCCAAAATTGACAAATGGGATCTAATTAAACTAAAGGGCTTCTGCACAGCAAAAGAAACCACCATCAGAGTGAACAGGCAACCTACAGAATGGGAGAAAATTTTTGCAACCTACTCATCTGACAAAGGGCTAATATCCAGAATCTACAATGAACTCAAACAAATTTACAAGAAAAAAACAAACAACCCCATCAAAAAGTGGGCCAAGGATATGAACAGACACTTCTCAAAAGAAGACATTTATGCAGCCAAAAGACACATAAAAAATGCTCATCATCACTGGCCATCAGAGAAATGCAAATCAAAACCACAATGAGATACCATCTCACACAAGTTAGAATGGCAATCATTAAAAAGTTAGGAAACAGCAGATGCTGGAGAGGATGTGGAGAAATAGGAACACTTTTACACTGTTGGTGGGACTGTAAACTAGTTCAACCACTGTGGAAGTCAGTGTGGCAATTCCTCAGGGATCTAGAACTAGAAACACCATTTGACCCAGCAATCCCATTACTGGGTATATACCCAGATGATTATAAATCATGCTGCTATAAAGACACATGCACATGTATGTTTATTGTGGCACTATTCACAATAGCAAAGACTTGGAACCAACCCAAATGTCCAACAATGATAAACTGGATTAAGAAAATGTGGCACATATACACCATGGAATACTATGCAGCCATAAAAAATGAGTTCATGTCCTTTGTAGGGACATGGATGAAGCTGGAAACCATCATTCTCAGCAAACTATCGCAAGGACCAAAAACCAAACACCACATGTTCTCACTCATAGGTGGGAATTGAACAATGAGAACACATGGACACAGGAAGGGGAACATCACACACCGGAGTCTGTTGTGGGGTGGGGGTAGGGGGTAGGGATAGCATTAGGAGATATACCTAATGCTAAATGACGAGATAATGGGTGCAGCACAGCAACATAGCACATGTGTACATATGTAACAAACCTGCACGTTGTGCACATGTACCCTAAAACTTAAAGTATAATAATAATAAAAAAAAAGACTTAATATATATTCCAGACAAGTTAGGAAAATTTTTTTAAGTTTGGCAGATTAAAAAAATTACAGAAAGCATTTGACATGCTGATATATAATAGCCCAAGTACCAAAAAAGTGGATAATTTGCAAACCCTAATCCTGTTCAAGGGCCCTTAAACCCACCTAGAATATCTGTCCCAATTGGACATTCAGGCTTTTAAATGTGGGGCTTTGATATAAAAAGTCAGAAAATGCAGCAGAACCCGTTCCTCCTGGGGCAGGAATTGACATCTCCTGCTTCTTCCAAGGACTCAAAGCATGCAATCCCAATATTTCCAACATGTCCAATAAAGAATAGATTAGGATACAACTAATTCTTCATTTTGGCCATCTACACATCTGTGTGTATCACAACACGGTAGATTTGCCTCAGTTTTGAATACGGAGAAATTAATATCTTGGTTGCCATCTATAGAAATACCAATAATATCTACCATTTGCTGATCATTGAGGATGTATGAGGTATGAGGTAAGTGCTTTCTATGCATCATCTAATTTAATGTTTTGACAATAGGTAGGTAATATTATCTTCACATGGCTGGTGCCCTCATTTCATTCAGATTTCAAATGGTGGCACCTCAAAAAGGCCTTCCCCAGTCACCCAGTCTAAACTGGAATACCTCCCTCTAGGGCAGTACCAGATGCTTGGTCGTCCTATACTAGAGCCTCAGAATCTGTCTAGAACTTCTTAGGCACTCAGTAAATAATTTGTTAAATAAAAGAATTATTTTTACTTCTCAAATAACATAAGGTCATTGAGATGGTTAAGTTGGCTGGGTTAAGGGATACCCAGATCGCTGGTAAACAAGATTTTCTGGATATATCTGTTAGGATGTTTCTGGAAGAGATTAACATTTGAATCCATAGACTGAATGAAGAAGAGTCAAGGTGGCAAGCATCATCCAAGCAGTTGAGGGTCTGAATAGAATAAAAAGGTAGAGGAAGAGGGAATTCATCCTCTTTTCTTGAGCTGGGACATCCATCTTCTCCTATCCTCGGACATGGAAGCTCCTGATTCTCAGGACTTCAAACTCAGACTGGATTAAATTACACCACCAGCTTTCCTGGTTTTCCAGCTTGCAGATAGCCAAATGTGGGACTTTTCAGCCTCCCTAATCACATGAGCAAATTCTCATAATAAATCCCCTCTCATGCACCTACATGTTTCCAACTCATTCTGTTTCTCTGGAGAACCCTTACTAATAGAGTCATGAGCCTCAATTTCCTCATCTGTTTCCTTTACTATTTCATTTATTCATTCAACAAATATTCATTAAGTACCAACTATATTTCAGGCCTGTTGTTGGCCTTCAGAATGTGCCAGTGAAGAAAGAGACAAAGTTCTTGTGTCCTTGGAGCTTGCTTTTCAGTCATTACAATATTGTTTTCCACATAGTTTTCACTGGTTGTCAGAAAAGTAATAACAAATGTAAACACTGTAAATTTCCTTCTATGAAACTTAAAAATGTAGGTATGCTCCTGTCAGAATCATAAAAATCAGGCAAATTCTTTACATTTCACATTTGTAAATACGTAATTGTTTACTTGAGTAGTCTTAGCTACAGAGGTAAAACAGACCTTATAAATGAATGACAGAAATGATTAATAAAATCATTGTCCTTATTTAAGGTCATGATAAAGAAATCAAAGCAGAATTAATTCAGAAACTTTTTTCCTATTCTTTGGTTGTATCAATAAATTTTAACACTTGAAAAATGGTTTTACCAAGCTAAAATATTACATCCTATACATTCTCCTCTCGGGAGAAAAAGAATTCTCTACAACTGCATATGCACAAATCCTTATAAGGAATTAGAAATCTTGGTTTATTGGTTTGTTTGTTTTTTAACCCAATGGTAACCCTGGGTAAATGTGGCCAGAGTCCTCAAACCACCCTGCATTTCCTCATCACTAAAATGGGGATAATAATACCTATCTGTCTGTACTATAGGATTGTAAGAAGCAAATAAATTCATGCAGGTTTTTTATAACTGTCAAGTACTACACATATTCTATACAAAATATAATTTTTACTTGGTGCAATTTTAAGAATATACAAATGAAGTCTATTAACATCTGATATGTTGTTTTAGAATGAGAAAAATTTAATTTAGTGCTAATTTCCAAATATGTTTCACCTTAATGAAATAAATGTACAATCTAAAAATAACCAATTCTAAGACTACGTTAATCTTAAAAATAGTGTAAGAATAACTCAAGAATTTAGTGCATTGCCACATCACATTTATAGTTCTTAAAGAAAGCCAAAAGTCAAGCTCAAATTTGGAAAAGTATGATTCTTTTGGTATTTTCCCTTGATATTTTAACTGTTTAAATTAATATAAGTAGAAGAGATAAGATGTTATTCAATGTATGTAAAGAGGAGATTTTGACACAATAGCATAAGATTAAAACTGATGCTTGGTATTTATGGCATAACCTCCTGTAAAGGATAGCTCAGGCAGGGAGAACTGATTCCACAACAGGGCTTTTTCCTATTTCACATTCCAAGAGCTCTCCTTAGAATCCACAGTTGTCTTAGTCACTGATTTGGCACAGCTGCACCCCCAAGGGCATAGCAGCTTTGATTGTCTCTGTCTATTGCAGTGTTGGCAAATTCTTCTTGGAATCTTTATACAAGGCATTCACTAGGTGGATGCTAGGGTTGGAGACGCAGCAGGAAGTGCACCTCCCCCACTCTCCTGGGGTATTGGTGGGACTTCCTAGAGAAGAAGACGCCAAATATGAGACCTAAAGAATGAGTAGAAATTGTCTAGAGGAGCAAAGCTATTGTTTAAAGAGAAGATGAGTCACATCTGTAAAAACAAGAAGAGATCCAGATTGCAGAGGACCTCATATTTTATGCCAAGGAGCTTGGATTCAGTCTGATAGGCCAAGAGAATCTTGACTGCTTTTGAGTGCAGCAGTTATAAACTGAGATTTGGATTCTAGATTAACAAGGGAACTGAGCTGAAGATTTGCTGCTGGAAGGGAGGGTGGTAATGGTGGACGGTTAATACAGGAGACCTGTGGAGAGCCTACGTTTACAGTTGTGTTGTGCTACTGATGTCAGTAGCAGCAGGTAGAACAGCAAATGAATTTCAGCAACATTAATTTTGAGAATATCTCATCATATAGCAAATATGACAGGAAGTGAGGGAGGTTATCTTTTTGACTCCATCAGGGTCCCACAAAATAAAATCTGTGGTTCAGGGAGCAGAGATGCAGGCAAGTAGGGATTGGCTTTGATACATGTACTTGGTAAATGCTTGCCCTTGTGTTTGATCTCTCCTACGCAGTAAGATAAAGGGACAGATATGAAAACAGTTGCGAGATGGAGTTCAAGGGATTTGGAGATTGAAAGGAGGAAGAGCCTTGGACAACGCTCTGGCTTGTGACTTTGGGTGACTGGGAAAGCAACGTGATTACTGAGAATGTTTAGTGAGGAAAGTTGGCCTTTTTAAAAATAAGCTTTCACTGGGAAATGAAGGCAAAAATAACAGAAACAGATCATTTTACATAGAATGGGCTTCTAATTTAACATTAATGAAAATTTAACTATTAGTTGAACCATTTATTTGTTACTCAATTTTTATATTCATCTCACTTCTGTTTGAGAACCCACCCGTGGATATTTTCCCTTCCTATCATCTCCAATTCTTCTCTTTCCTCAAAAGAAGAGTTAGGCTTATGTGTAAATTTCTCTCTGATTGTAGACATATATAAAATTAATAAGCAGATAGGATTCCCAGACCAGAGAATAAAAGCTTTATAGGAGATGTCACCTTCTTGTCAAAAGTTAAAAAATCTACAGCTGGCTAGTTAATTGGAAAAGGCAATTAAAGCAGGGAAATTTGTAAGCTACCTTTTTAAAAGGTTTAAAAGTATAAGTTGGTATACACTTTATACATATAATACATAGGTGTATATAGGTGTATATACATATGTGTACATAAATATTAGAATATATAGGTGTATATACATATGTGTACATAAATTAGAAAACTTGGTTTTTTAACCCAATGCTGACCCTGGGTAAATGTATATACATATGTACACATATGTATATACACCTATATATTATATATGTACATATTTATGTACACATATATATACACCTATATATTGTGTGTGTATATATAGGTGTACATATTTATGAGATACAGAGTGACAGTTGGTATATGTATACAGTGAGTAATGATCAAATCAGGGTGCGTGTGTGTACATATATATATATACACACACCTATATATATACACCTTGCCTTTTCTTTGATTTTTGCATCATCTTTTTTAAAGAACCAGAGCCATATGCCTCACCAATTTCCAGTTTCCATTTCTTTAAGATGCCAGAAGAATGTTGAAGCAATCTGAATGTAGAATCCTAGATTTTGATAAATTTAATCTAATATTTTGCAGGTATATCATCCACATATATATGAAAACAATTTTTAAGCAGTCTAGTCTTCATAGAAACACTAAACTTCTGTATTTATATTTCTTTCTTTCTTCCTTTTTTATTTTTTGAGACAGGATCTTGCTCTGTCACCCAGGTTGGAGTGCACTAGTGGCATGATCGCAACTCACAGCAGCCTGACCTCCTGAGGTCAAGTAACCCTCCCACCTCAGCCCCCTGAGTAGCTGGGACTACAGGTGCATACCACCATGCCTTGCTAATCTTTATATTTTTTGTAGAGACGTGGTTTCACCATGTTGCCCAGGCTGGTCTCAAACACCTGAGATCAAGTGATCCTCTTGCCTTGGCCTCCCAAAGTGTTGGGATTACAGGCATGAGCCACTGCACTCGGCTTCTATATTTATATTTCATTAGTCTGTTCAACACTTAACTAAATAATGTTATCCAAATAACAAGGGCAAAAGACACAAATTGGTTTGGGAACAAAGACAGTTGACTTTTTTTCTCCTTTTATTTTTAGTTGACATGTAATAATTGTACATATTTATGAGATACAGAGTGATATTTGGTATACGTATACAATGTATAATTATCAAATCAGGGTAATTAGTATACTATCCCCACAAACATTTATCATTTCTTTGTGCTGTGAACATAAAAATCCTCTCTTCTAGCTTTTAAAAAATACACAATAAATTATAGTTAACCCTATTCGCCCTGCAATGCACAGAACACCAGAACTTATTTCTCCTATCAAGTTGTAACAATTGCCTCTTGGTAAGAGAATGTGTTCTTGAGTAGCTTCACATTAGCATATGAGAACAACCCCAAAGCAACTCTTAGCTGGAGTTTAGGAATGAGAAAGATCTGGGTAGAGTCCAGACTCTGGAGTTTACTAACTGTGTGACCTTATAAGTTGTTTATTTTTTCTGAGTCTTGGTTTCTTGAGAAGGAGCATAAGTGTTACTAGAAAGGGGTCCCTGCCCAGACCCCAAGAGATCTCACCCAAGAAAGAATTCAGGGCGAGTCCACAGAGTAAAAAGAAAGCAAGTTTATTAGAGAAGAAACAAAAGAACAACTACTCCATAAAGAGAGCAGCCCCGAGGGCTGCTGATTGGCTAATTTTATGGTTATTTCTTGATAATATGCTAAACAAGGGGTGGATTATTCATGAGGGAAAGAGGTGGGCAATTCCCAGAACTGAGGATTCCTCCCTTTTTTAGACCATACAGGGTAACTTCTAGATGTTGCCATGGCATTTGTAAACTGTCATGATGCTAATGGGAGTGTCTTTTAGCATGCTAATGAATTATAATTATATAATATAGTACATAATATATATAAACGTATAATTATAATAATGAATTATAATTAGCATATAATGATCAGTGAGAACGATCAGAGGTCACTTTCGTCACCATGTTGGTTTTAGTAGGTTTTGGTCAGCTTCTTTACCACATCCTGTTTTATCAGCAGGGTCTTTATGACCTGTATCTTATGATACCAGTCCTACCAACCTCCTATCTCATCCTGTGACAAAGAATGCCTAACCTCCTATGAATGCAGCCCAGTAGGTCTCAGCCTCATTTTACCGATCCGCTATTCAAGATGAAGTCACTGTGGTTCAAATGCCTGTGACATAAGAACCACAATTCCCAAAATTCAGTGTTAAATAAATTGTCACAGATTGCTAACAATTTCAACCCTGAAAAGTAAACACATTGGCTTGAAATTGAAGTGCACTTTGCCAGGTAGCAACAGGCTGACAGCATATCTGGGTCCTTATTGCAAATAAGGCTAAATGTTAGCATGGATCGCTGCATAGTTCATTCGCCCATTCTGTTCTGATACTTAAAAGCATCTAAAGACAATGTCATCTAGAAAAGCTCTTGGTACACCATACTTACTCAGTAAACACTCATTTCCTTACCTCTTCATGAGAGAAAAAGATACATTTCTCTCATCACCATTCCTCCCCAATTCCTTTTGCCATTACTATTATCGAAGCTTCTACTAAACAAATAGTTGAATCAAATTGATTTAATCTTAGGAAATAAAGGTTCTTAGGCTATGCTTAATGGATTATCCTAATCATTTGAAAGTGTTATGGAATAAAAATCAGTTGGTTTCTGATCTAGAACACAGGTGGACATTTCAAAAGCAAGTAACGGGCTCAACAATTCATGGGCTCATTAGTTTGCTCCATGCCTCCCTTCCACCTCCTTTCTGAGTGATGGTAATAACTGACAACGGGAGAAAGAAGGCAAAGAACAAGGGTCTTCAATACAATGGGCTGATTTAGGGGCCTTCTCTTCCCACGTCCCCATTCTTCTGCCCTTAAGAAAGTGTTCTCTTGGTGTGATAGAACTATTTCCCCCAAGTCCTTTGCCAGCGCCTGAACCTTCATATACAACACAAAATTATTGGGCTCAGTATCAGTTCTGTTCTGGTCCTCTAGAAACCCTCTGTGTTGGGACTTTGTGTGTGTGTTTTCATTTGAACGCAGGGTCTGGTGATGATGGGGGAGGGCAATATGGGTTACTTTCCCTCACAGAGATGTGATGAGGACAAATGAAATGATATTCATATAGCACTTTAGGATGTTCTTGTAAAATGAACCTTTGTAAATATGAAGTATTCTAAAACGCCAGTGACTGCAACTCCTATTTAAAATAAAAATTGCTGACAACAATTTCAACCCTGGAAAGTAAACACATCAGCTTGAAATTGAAGTGCACTTTGCCAGGTAGCAGCAGGCTGATGGCATATCTGGATCCTTATTGCAAATAAGGCTAAATGTTTGCGTGGATCACTGCATAGTTCCATTCACCCAACCTGCTCTGATATTTAAAAGCATCTAAAGACAATGGCCAGGGCTTGTATTGTTTGTGATCCAGGGAAATCTGAAAGGCTGGTTCAGTCTTTGACCCTCCAAGGGCATTGCAGTCTATCTGGAGAAAGCTAAGATAGGGACATCTGGAGGATCCTGAACTACAACAGGATCTAAGCCTGCTCCTGTGATTGACTGTAGTCCCTTAGTGGCACATTAGAGCCATCCCATGGGGTTAGTGTGAAACCAGATCAAAGTGATTCTCTGGGAAACCTTCAACCTGGAGACAGGAGCAGAACCCTTATCCCTCAGGTGGCCATGGTCTGGGAATAAAGCCATGCTCCTGGAACATTTTTGGAGCTATGTGTATGCAAACACCATATGTTACCCTCTTACAGTATATTGAGAGATGTTCTAAAATTGTCACAGAGCACTGATGTGTTTCAGACCCTATCAAGCAAAATAGGACCTAGGTCTACCAGAGATCACATACTAATTTAGCATCCTAGGTGCCGAGGGGAATGATCAGTGAAGCCTCTATGAGTTGACGGAGGACCAAGCCAGCAAATGCAATAGGAAGAACTAGGAAGAAAATGAGTCTTGGGGAGTTTAGCCCTGGTAGATTTCCCAGACAACTGCGCAAGTGAGACTTGGCTCTGGAGTAGCATAGAACAAAGCCACAAAGACTCAGCAAAGGAAAAACATGAATTTCAGTAGAAGGCAGAGGGCGATGCCTAAAACCTCTGAAACAAAGTAACTTCTCAAACAATCACAGCCATGGCCACTACATCTGTACTTGCCCACTTCTAACCTCATTCTTTGTTCTCTACTGTGGAGTTCTCCTTAGGCCCTCTGTTTGAGTTAACACATAAACATATAATGGGATGTCTAATAAACATATAATGATATAAACATATAACTGGTTATCTAGTAAAACATTCACAGACAAATAATACAACCTAAAAATAACTAATTAGTAATTTCACTACTGGTTGATGATGTACATACAAACACCAAGTAATATCTCAGATATAATATGCTTGTTTTTAGAATTTTAAACTTTAAGTTTGGAGACTTTTATATTCTTTTTGGATTTGTTCTTTGGTAACTTCAGAGAGGTTGTTCACATTTTGGTGTTTCTACTTCTACGTTTTTAGAATGAGAAAAATTGTGTCATGTTTTTGTGCAAAGATTCAGGAAAGACATTAGATATCTTGCCACCACATTTTGTGTTTATCATTAAAATGTAGGAGGACTTTCATCCTATTCTGTTCCTAAGTCTATTCCACAAATAGTGATGTTTAGGATCACTTGACTTTTCTTCTCTTTGAGAACAGGAAGGAGGACAAAATGCAGGGGGAACAGAAGAAGAACATTTATTACCATTAACTCTACCTCTAGGTGATTTATCTATATTTAACCTTCACAACCATCTTATGAAGCAGGTATTATTAACCATGACATGTTTTACCAGCGAGGAGAAGGGTCACTTGCCTCTCAATGAGATAGCATGAGATTTTTATGCACTTCTTCAAAGTAACAACAAGATCATGTCTTCCCAATGATTTTTGAGAATCTGCATTTTCCAGGTTTGCCACCCCTGCTCTTGGCTATTCTATTCTATCAACAAAGAAAGGAACCTTTAACTGTGGTTAGGTAATGTACTCAAATGGTAGATGTGGAGTTTAAATCCTCCATGTTTTCACTCTCTCTTGCATTCTCTTAAGTGTTTTAAGGAAGGTATTTCATATTGGTTTTAGAAGTGCATTCATCTGTAATCACCACTTAGCCTTCAAAATAAATCTTTAGGTAGATGACTAAAGTGATCATGAGAAAGTCATAAAGCATGAAAATCGAATCATTTAAAACATGTTTATTCTTTCTCTCTTTATTGCTTTTAGGATATTCAACAAGTGGGAATAACATGTGATATGTTATAGACTCCAGCTGTTTGCAATATGGTACTAAGTGAGGAGGCATATTATTTTAGGAAAAATAGAGGGAAACAGATATAAAGTACTTTCTAATTGCTTTTCTCTATGTTCTTTTAGAAAGCAATGAAAAGACAGATTGATCTTGTTTTAGCGTTAGTTATTGTTAAGGTCTTAAGATTTATACTTTGCTTTCTTGGGTCAGATAGTTGATGGGTTTTCACATACTTTTACACGTATAGAGACCCAAGTTGTGAAAAGATCAAAATATTTGTCAGATAGTCCCAGCTCTTCTTCAAGTTAACCCAATGACACGTGACACACATCCAGAGGAAAGGAAGATCTTCTTTGAGGAAATACCAGTCTTCTTATAAATCCATCAAAGCAAAGAACCAGAAAGAACTTTTGAAAAAGATATTTCAGTTTAAAATGCAGCAGATGACAAACCCAGTCGTAGAGCCCTCTGGGGATTTGACTACCAAAACCCAATATATCACAGAAACATTTATTTTGTAAGTAATGTTAATGATATTCTCAGAGCTCTGTGTTTATTGTTTAACACTGCCATCATTTATTGATGACTAACGGCCAATAAACAGTGCTTCTTGCCTTTACTCTGGCTTCTAGTCAGTATTTACGGATTAGGTCCATTAGTCTTCCTTTTGAAAGCCATTGAGACAATGCAGCTGGTACCCAACTGAAGAAGACATGCAAAAAACATTATCTGCCACTCAGGTAAAGACAAAGAAGTGAAATTGTAAGGAAGATGTGCAATTGCAACCACAAGAAGCACTAAAATGT
Organism: Homo sapiens; assembly: GCF_000001405.40. Classification (NCBI taxonomy): domain Eukaryota; kingdom Metazoa; phylum Chordata; class Mammalia; order Primates; family Hominidae; genus Homo; species Homo sapiens. The sequence continues at coordinate 146,560,297 of NC_000004.12, read as the reverse complement.
AAGTACTGTAATGACCTAATGAATATTTCTGAATATATCTAATCATGTGACTTACCTTTTTATTCCAGCTTTTAGAATACTAATCACAAATAGATCCCATGTTATCAAATGTGGTTCTATAAGAGAGTATGGGAATACAGTTGTTGAGACCACATTAAGGAAAAAAATGCTCAGACATTTAAGAATGTAAAAGACTTGCAGAAATAAAAGGAATGATAAGAAAATTTAATTACCGGAAATATATGGTAAAAGGAAGATGGCACACGATTCAGAGAAATGCAGCCACAGCCATGTCCTTTATAAAAAATGTTTGCTTTTATAAAAAATGTTTGCTGCTCTCTCCCTCTCTATACTATACTATTTTAGGTAAGAAATGTTAATATTCTTAAAACTTCATTTTAAACCTTCAAGTCCTTTCTACTTCAAGATAACTCCCCAGATCTGTCTTCTCTAGGGTGAGAGTGCATGCTTTACCAGGGCATAGTGGAACTTTCTTATTAAATCCAATTAGTGAGTTGTTATGCATCAACCCCAAACAAGCAAGACTTTCCTGAAAGTACAATATAAAGGCCTGATATGGTTTGGCTGTGTCCCTACCCAAATTTCATCTTGAATTCTAGTTCCCAAAATCCCCATGTGTGGCTGCATTTCAGTAAAAGTTTATTTACAAAAACAGTATTTGGTCCAAGGGCTTTAGTTTTCTGTCTCTGGTTTAGGACAAAAAATACCAGGCTAGTAATTAGGAGATGTGAATTTAAGAGCTCTGCTCTGATAAGATGGATTGGAGAATACCATTGGTCTGGTTATCCACTTTCTTATTTCCAGAGAAACAACTGCTACAGTCCTCCAACAGTAGGGAAAGAATAAAGTGATACTTTCCTTGGAAAATGGCAGTAGCATTTGTTTTCTCTGTCTTTGTTGAAGAGTTTCAATCTCAGTACCTAGGGTCACTTCAGGCCAAGAGGGCCTGCCTCATAATTGACAGTAGGAGGCCCAATGTATTCAAAATTAATATTTATAGGTGTCTGGCCTGATAAGGTTCTAAGGTGTCTTCAGATACAGCTTCTGACATTTTCTTCCTCCAAATATGCACAAATTTGATTTAACAAGATCGGTAGCCCTATTACAACAGCAAATTCCACCCTTAGTTTTCTATTTGATAATCGATCTATCACCAATGATTCCATTTCTACTGTGTGTAACTTGAAAAGATTGTAGGGGACTGGAGCCAAGACGGCCGAATAGGAACAGCTCCGGTCTACAGCTCCCAGCGTGAGCGACACAGAAGACAGGTGATTTCTGCATTTCCATCTGAGGTACCGGATTTCCATCTCACTAGGGAGTGCCAGACGGTGGGCGCAGGACAGTGGGTGCAGCACACAGTGCATGAGCTGAAGCAGGTCAAGGCATTGCCTCACTTGGGAAGCGCAAGAGGTCAGGGAGTTCCCTCTCCTAGTCAAAGAAAGGGGTGACAGACGGCACCTGGAAAATAGGGTCACTCCCACCCCAATACTGTGTTTTCCGATGGGCTTAAAAAAACGGCGCACCAGGAGATTATATCCCGCACCTTGCTCGGAGGGTCCTATGCCCACGGAGTCTCACTGATTACTAGCACAGCAGTCTGAGATCAAACTGCAAGGCAGCAGCGAGGCTGGGGGAGGGGCGCCCGTCATTGCCCAGGCTTGCTTAGGTAAACAAAGCAGCCAGGAAGCTTGAACTGGATGGAGCCCACCACAGCTCAAGGAGGCCTGCCTGCCTCTGTAGGCTCCACCTCTGGGGGCAGGGCACAGACAAACAAAAAGACAGCAGTAACCTCTGCAGACTTAAATGTCCCCGTCTGACAGCTTTGAAGAGAGCAGTGGTTCTCCCAGCATGCAGCTGGAGATCTGAGAACAGGCAGACTGCCTCCTCAAGTGGGTCCCTGACCCCTGACCCCTGAGCAGCCTAATTGGGAGGCACCCCCCAGTAGGGGCAGACTGACACCTCACACGGCCAGGTACTCCTCTGAGACAAAACTTCCAGAGGAACGATCAGACAGCAGCATTCGCGGTTCACGAAAATCTGCTGTTCTGCAGCCACCGCTGCTGGTACCCAGGCAAACAGGGTCTGGAGTGGACCTCTAGCAAACTCCAACAGACCTGCAGCTGAGGGTCCTGTCTGTTAGAAGGAAAACTAACAAACAGAAAGGACATTCACACCAAAAACCCATCTGTACATCGCCATCATCAAAGACCAAAAGTAGATAAAACCACAAAGATGGGGAAAAAACAGAACAGAAAAAATGGAAACTCTAAAAAGCAGAGTGCCTCTCCTCCTCCAAAGGAATGCAGCTCCTCACCAGCAATGGAACAAAGCTGGACAGAGAATGACTTTGACGAGTTGAGAGAAGAAGGCTTCAGACGATCAAACTACTCCAAGCTACAGGAGGAAATTCAAACCAAAGGCAAAGATGTTGAAAAGTTTGCAAAAAATTTAGAAGAATGTACAACTAGAATAACCAATAGAGAGAAGTGTTTAAAGGAGCTGATGGAGCCAAAAGCCAAGGCTCGAGAACTACACGAAGAATGCAGAAGCCTCAGGAGCCAATGCGATCAACTGGAAGAAAGGGTATCAGTGATGGAAGATGAAATGCATGAAATGAAGCAAGAAGGGAAGTTTAGAGAAAAAAGAATAAAAAGAAACGAACAAAGCCTCCAAGAAATATGGAACTATGTGAAAAAACCAAATCTACATCTGATTGGTGTACCTGAAAGTGACGGTGAGAATGGAACCAAATTGGAAAACACTCTGCAGGATATTATCCAGGAGAACTTCCCCAATCTAGCAAGGGAGGCCAACATTCAGATTCAGGAAACACAGAGAATGCCACAAAGATACTCCTCGAGAAGAGCAACTCCAAGACACATAATTGTCAGATTCGCCAAAGTTGAAATGAAGGAAAAAATGTTAAGGGCAGCCAGAGAGAAAGGTCAGGTTACCCACAAAGGAAAGCCCATCAGACTAACAGCTGATCTCTCAGCAGAAATTCTACAAGCCAGAAGAGAGTGGGGGCCAATATTCAACATTCTTCAACCCAGAATTTTATATCCAGCCAAGCTAAGCTTCATAAGTGAAGGAGAAATAAAATACTTTACAGACAAGCAAATGCTAAGAGATTTTGTCACCACCAGGCCTGCCCTAAAAGAGCTCCTGAAGGAAGCACTAAACATGGAAAGGAAAAACTGGTACCAGCCACTGCAAAAACATGCCAAATTATAAAGACCGTCAAGGCTAGGAAGAAACTGCATCAACTAACGAGCAAAATAGCCAGCTGATGTCATAATGACAGGATCAAATTCACACATAACGATATTAACTTTGAATGTAAATGGGCTAAATGCTCCAATTAAAAGACACAGACTGGCAAACTGGATAAAGAGTCAAGACCCATCAGTGTGCTGTATTCAGGAAACCCATCTCACGTGCAGAGACACACATAGGCTCAGAATAAAAGGATGGAGGAAGATCTACCAAGCAAATGGAAAACAGAAAAAGGCAGGGGTTGCAATCCTAGTCTCTGATAAAACAGACTTTAACCAACAAAGATCAAAAGAGACAAAGAAGGCCATTACATAATGGTCAAGGGATCAATTCAACAAGAAGAGCTAAGTATCCTAAATATATATGCACCCAATACAGGAGCACTCAGATTCATAAAGCAAGTCCTGAGTGACCTACAAAGAGACTTAGACTCCCACACAATAATAATGGGAGACTTTAACACCCTACTGTCAATATTAGACAGATCAATGAGACAGAAAGATAATAAGGATACCCAGGAATTGAACTCAACTCTGCAACAAGTGGACCTCATAGACATCTACAGAACTCTCCACCCCAAATCAACAGAATATACATTCTTTTCAGCACCACACCACACCTATTCCAAAACTGACTACATAGTTGGAAGTAAAGCACACCTCAGCAAATGTAAAAGAACAGAAATTATAACAAACTGTCTCTCAGACCACAGTGCAATCAAACTAGAACTCAGGATTAAGAAACTCACTCAAAACCACTCAACTACATGGAAACGGAACAACCTGCTCCTAAATGACTACTGGGTACATAACGAAATGAAGGCAGAAATAAAGATGATCTTTGAAACCAACGAGAACAAAGACACAACATACCAGAATCTCTGGGACACATTCAAAGCAGTGTGTAGAGGGAAATTTATAGCACTAAATGCCCACAAGAGAAAGCAGGAAAGATCCAAAATTGACACCCTAACATCACAATTAAAAGAACTAGAAAAGCAAGAGCAAACACATTCAAAAGCTAGCAGAAGGCAAGAAATAACTAAAATCAGAGCAGAACTGAAGGAAATAGAGACACAAAAAACCCTTCAAAAAATTAATGAATCCAGGAGCTGGTTTTTTGAAAGGATCAACAAAATTGATAGACCACTAGCAAGACTAATAAAGAAAAAAAGAGAAAAGAATCAAATAGACGCAATAAAAAATGATAAAGAGGATATCACCACCGATCCCACAGAAATACAAACTACCATCAGAGAATACTACAAACACCTCTACGCAAATAAACTAGAAAATCTAGAAGAAATGGATAAATTCCTCAACACATACACCCTCCCAAGACTAAACCAGGAAGAAGTTGAATCTCTGAATAGACCAATAACAGGATCTGAAATTGTGGCAATAATCAATAGCTTACCAACCAAAAAGAGTCCAGGACCAGATGGATTCACAGCCCAATTCTACCAGAGGTATAAGGAGGAACTGGTACCATTCCTTCTGAAACTATTCCAATCAATAGAAAAAGAGGGAATCCTCCCTAACTCGTTTTATGAGGCCAGCATCATCCTGATACCAAAGCCCAGCAGAGACACAACCAAAAAAGAGAATTTTAGACCAATATCCTTGATGAACATTGATGCAAAAATCCTCAATAAAATACTGGCAAAATGAATCCAGCAGCACATCAAAAAGCTTATCCACCATGATCAACTGGGCTTCATCCCTGGGATGCAAGGCTGGTTCAATATACGCAAATCAATAAACGTAATCCAGCATATAAACAGAACCAAAGACAAAAACCACATGATTATCTCAATAGATGCAGAAAAGGCCTTTGACAAAATTCAACAACCCTTCATGCTAAAAACTCTCAATAAATTAGGTATTGATGGGACGTATCTCAAAATAATAAGAGCTATCTATGACAAACCCACAGCCAATATCATACTGAATGGGCAAAAACTGGAAGCATTCCCTTTGAAAACTGGCACAAGACAGGGATGCCCTCTCTCACCACTCCTATTCAACATAGTGTTGGAAGTTCTGGCCAGGGCAATTAGGCAGGAGAAGGAAATAAAGGGTATTCAATTAGGAAAACAGGATGTCAAATTGTCCCTGTTTGCAGATGACATCATCATATATCTAGAAAACCCCATTATCTCAGCCCAAAATCTCCTTAAGCTGATAAGCAACTTCAGCAAAGTCTCAGGATACAAAATCAATGTACAAAAATCACAAGCATTCTTATACACCAATAACAGACAAACAGAGAGCCAAATCATGAGTGAACTCCCATTCACAATTGCTTCAAAGAGAATAAAATGCCTAGGAATCCAACTTACAAGGGATGTGAAGGACCTCTTCAAGGAGAACTACAAACCACTGCTCAATGAAATAAAAGAGGATACAAACAAATGGGAGAACAGTCCATGCTCATGGGTAGGAAGAATCAATATTGTGAAAATGGCCATACTGCCCAAGGTAATTTATAGATTCAATGCCATCCCCATCAAGCTACCAATGCCTTTCTTCACAGAATTGGAAAAAACTACTTTAAAGTTCATATGGAACCAAAAAAGAGCCCGCACTGCCAAGTCAATCCTAAGCCAAAAGAACAAAGCTGGAGGCATCACACTACCTGACTTCAAACTATACTACAAGGCTACAGTAACCAAAACAGCATGGTACTGGTACCAAAACAGAGATATAGATCAATGGAACAGAACAGAGCCCTCAGAAATAACACCGCATATCTACAACTATCTGATCTTTGACAAACCTGAGAAAATCAAGCAATGGGGAAAGGATTCTCTATTTAATAAATGGTGCTGGGAAAACTGGCTAGCCATATGTAGAAAGCTGAAACTGGATCCTTTCCTTACACCTTATACAAAAATTAATTCAAGATGTATTAAAGACTTAAACGTTAGACCTAAAACCATAAAAACCCTAGAAGAAAACCTAGGCATTACCAATCAGGACATAGGCATGGGCAAGGACTTCATGTCTGAAACATCAAAAGCAATGGCAACAAAAGCCAAAATTGACAAATGGGATCTAATTAAACTAAAGAGCTTCTGCACAGCAAAAGAAACTACCATTAGAGTGAACAGGCAACCTACAACATGGGAGAAAATTTTTGCAACCTACTCATCTGACAAAGGGCTAATATCCAGAATCTACAATGAACTCAAACAAATTTACAAGAAAAAAACAAACAACCCCATCAAAAAGTGGTCGAAGGACATGAACAGACACTTCTCAAAAGAAGACATTTATGCAGCCAAAAAACACATGAAAAATGCTCACCATCACTGGCCATCAGAGAAATGCAAATCAAAACCACAATGAGATACCATCTCACACCAGTTAGAATGGCAATCATTAAAAAGTCAGGAAACAACAGGTACTGGAGAGGATGTGGAGAAATAGGAACACTTTTACACTGCTGGTGGGACTGTAAACTAGTTCAACCCTTGTGGAAGTCAGTGTCGTGATTCCTCAGGGATCTAGAACTAGAAATACCATTTGACCCAACCATCCCATTACTGGGTATATACCCAAAGGACTATAAATCATGCTGCTATAAAGACACATGCACACATATGTTTATTGCAGCACTATTCACAATAGCAAAGACTTGGAACCAACCCAAATGTCCAACAATGATAGACTGGATTAAGAAAATGTGGCACATATACACCATGGAATACTATGCAGCCATAAAAAATGATGAGTTCATGTCCTTTGTAGGGATATGGATGAAATTGGAAATCATCATTCTCAGTAAACTATCGCAAGAACAAAAAACCAAACACTATATATTCTCACTCATAGGTGGGAATTGAACAATGAGAACACATGGACACAGGAAGGGGAACATCACACTCTGGGGACTGTTGTGGGGTTGGGGGAAGGGGGAGGGATAGCTTTAGGAGATATACCTAATTCTAAATTACGAGTTAATTGGTGCAGCACACCAGCATGACACATGTATACATATGTAAGTAATCTGCACATTGTGCACATGTACCCTAAAACTTAAAGTATAATAATAATTTTAAAAAAAGAAAATTTAATAAGTTAAAAAAAGAAAAGTTTGTATGAGTTTAAGGCATTCAATTAGGCATCAGTTAGGGTTAGCAATTCACTTTTTGGAGCAACCTTTATGACAAGAGATAATGGCTTACTTTTCTGCTTTTTAGAACTGCATAGCATATAAAATTAGGCTTTTCTATAAGCAACAGGAAACTCAAAATAACAGTGATAAACCAGAGAGAAGTTTGTTTCTCTTATATACCTACAATCCAGAGATACTCAAGCTAGAGTCCTTAGGGTAGCTCCAGGAATTTCCCATCTTGCCACTCTGCCACTCTTGGGAATTTCAGCCTTTACATATGCATTCAGCCGGCAAGAAGAAGGAATAAACAGGTGAATGTCCCCTTCCTTTAAGAAACTTCCTAGAAATCAGCCACTTCTAGTTACATTACATTGCTGGAACTTAGTTACATGCCTGCTTACAAGATTCAAAAGAATCTGTAATCTTTATTTAGCAGCCTGTGCCCAGCTAGAATCAGGAGTTCTAACACTAAGGGAGGAGAGAATGTGTAATGGGAGACCGACCACCAGCAGCCTCTACTACCCATTATAATTACACAGCTCTTGGAAAAGTCAACCCAATCTATTCTTTGAAATGTTCAGCCTTTGAGAGCTCCATGAACCCAGGGTAATGTGTACAGGTCTCCAAATCACAGGGACATAATGCTCTCCAAACTTCTTTTAGATCTTTGTTCTTATTTAAATTAAGTTGGATTTATAACTCTTGTTGTTGCCCCATCTTAGAGGACACTCAGAGATGCAGTAATTGTATGTAATTTTCCAGGAGGAGATGAAAATACCCTCTGGAGATTTTTAATATCTTTGGCATTTAAGGAATACGAAGTGGGCAACCACTCTATAAATAGTTTCATTTGCCCTGCATGAATGCAGACAGCTATCTTTTCCCTGAAAACCAATATTAAACACAATTACACAGGCAATTATTACATATTATTTTCTGATATGTAAGCCAAAATTATATATTTGTTTTAAACAATGAAACCTATATTACTCATGCTATTTTACACACACATGTTTTTGAATTTTGTCTTTTTATCTCAGTCATCCCTTATTAGTGGTACCGAGTTATGCCTTTGTTTTTAGCTTAGCTAGTTGTTCCAAGTGCTTCTGTGCTATTGTTATGCACAGAATGTTGGCTTTATTTCTTTTACTCTTTCTATCCTTCATCATTTATTAATGACACAGATTGTATGATGAAGAATTGTCAACATTATCATTTTTCTATATTTACAAGTATAATAACTGCATTGAAGTGGATTTGTCATCTAATAGCCTTAAATGATCCCTCTCTTTCGAGCTACATTTCACTCCATTATTTACTGTGCTTCCCAATAGCTTATCTTCCACGACTGTCTACTCTCCTCTCTCCCCTTAATTTCCTGAGACAGATTTCCACTTAAGGGACAGAGAAACTATTAGATGGAGAGGTTCCACAAACCACCAGAGCATAAGGCCTTCCGCAAAGAGACACATTCACCCCTCATGGGTTAAAGAAAGTAAGTAGCATTACATCTTCCACACAGACAAACTCTGTCACTATCAATGTGCAAAGGGCATAATCCTATTTCAATTGAGGAAATTTACATGCATAACTCTCATTAACACAAATACAATAGAAGCTAAGTGCCTAAATTCCTGTACGGAGAAAAGAGAAGTGGTTATGTTCCTAGTCTAATGTAAAACATGACTTCCTATATTTGAGTTGGAATTTTCATAACTGTTTAATATTAGAGTTGTTCTAGGGAGAGGCAATATCAAAGAAGAAAATAATACTCTATCTCCATAAAGCATTTTAGCAATGCTCAGAGAAGTGGACTACCAGACACTTATTCTGGAAATTATCTTGCTAGCTCCAATATGTTTTCAAATTATGCATGTATTTGTAGTATTCTGTTATAATTGGCACAGCCACTACATATCTTTATCTTTGCTGTATTTAGAATACAGGAAAAGAAGAGCATTTCCTTTCATGGTAGAATTTTGAAGCTAACAATATTCAGTAGTATAAAAAAAAATCCCTGATCAAAATAGTTGCTCTTAAATATGTTTGTTTGGAGATTATATATGTCCTTATGAATCTTTTCATTTAATTTGTAATTACTTTAAATGATTAAAAAGAATATAAATAACTTATTTCTCAAAAGAAAAATATAAAACAAGATTACCCTGCCATATGTAATTTTCACAAATTATCTACCAGTGATAAATTAATTACAGGAGTTGATTATTGAACCAAATATTACCACAAAATATGTCAGACTTTATGTGGGTCAAGATGTAAGGGAGGTGATATGGTTTGGATCTGTGTCCTACCCAAATCTCATATTCAAGTGTAATCCTCAGTGTTGGAGGTGGGGCCTAGTTGGAGGTGATTGGATCACAGGGGCGGTTTCTAATGGTTTAACACAGTCACCCTGCGTGCTGTTCTCATGATACTGAATGAGTTCTCATGAGAATTGGTTATTTAAAAGTGTGTAGCACTTTCCCTCCCCTATCCACTTCCTCCTGCTCGTCATGTGAAGTGCCAGCTTCCCCTTTGCCTTCCACTATGATGAAAACCAAGCAGTTGCTGCCATGCTTTCTGTACAGACTGCAGAACCATGAACCAATTAAACCTCTTGTCTTTATAAATCACCCAGTCTCAGGTCTTGTCTTGTCTTTTTTGTTGTTGTTGTTGTTTTTGTTTTTTGATGGATTCTTGCTCTGTCACCCAGGCTGGAGTGCAGTGGTGCCATCTCAGCTTACTGTAGCCCCCACCTCCCGGGTTCAAATGATTCTCCTGCCTCAGCCTCCCAAGAAACTGGGATTATAGTTGTGCGGCACCATGCCCAGATAATTTTTTTTTTTTTTTAAGTAAAGATGGGAGTTTCATCATGTTGGCCAGGCCTTTCTCAAACTCCTGACCTCAGGTGATCCTCCCACCTCAGCCTCCCAGAGTGCTAGGATTACAGGCCAGGTATTTCTTTATAGCAGTTCGAGAACATGCTCATACAGGGGGCAATGTCAGAATTTTTTTTGACACTTGTATGCTATCAATATATTTACTCATCATTGTAACAATCCAGATTATAGGTACTAACTTTATATTATAGGTACTGTAATTATCTTACAAACTGAGACCAAGGAAGGTTAAATGACTTTCCCAGAGTCACATGGGTATTACAGTAAGTAGTGTAGTCAGGATTTTAACCTGGGCAGTTGGATGCTTGGAGACATACTCTTAACCACTGAAGTCTACTGCTCAGGTTTCTGAAGTCAGGCATACCTTGGTTTGAAGCCTGACTCTGCCACTTATCAGCCATGGGAAAAACTTTTACCTTACTTTCTTCATCGTCACATCTTTAAAATGAGGAAAATCAGACTTATGTCATTTGGAATGGGAAGGTTGGGAAAGGCACCAGAATACTACTCGGTTGGCCACTAAGAAGTCACAATTACTGTGGTAGTTTCATTATCTTTCAGCAACTGTTTTACAGTTTTACAGGCTCAGAAGACCTACCCATCAGCATCCCAGAGCTGACCAAACTCTGGGGTGCTCTCTCATGACACAAAGCTTACTGTGTTCCAGGCACCATTTCGGGAAGATATTAAATATTACTGTGGGCAGAGAAGTGGTGTTATTAGGCCAGGTGTGGTGGCTCATGCCTGTAATCTCAGCACTTTGGGAGGTCGAGGTGGGTGGATCACTTGAGGTCAGGAGGTCCAGTCCAGCCTGGCCAGCATGGTGAAACCCTGTCTCTCCTAAAAATACAAAAAATTAGCCTGGTGTGGTGGTGTGCACCTGTAATCCTAGCTACTCAGGAGGCTGAGGCAGGAGAATTGCTTGAACCTGGGAGGCAGAGGTTGCAGTGAGCTGAGATCGTGCCACTGCACTCCAGCCTGGGTGAATGAGTGAGACTCTGTCTCAGAAAAAAAAAAAAAAGAAGAAGAAAATGCTCTGATCGTCTTTCCACACTTACCATGTAATTCCTCTACTCACCACATAATTCCTCTACTCACCCCCATAGCAAACTTCTTGACTGAGTTGTCTATGCTCACTGCAGGCACTTTTCAACTCTTTGCAATTCAGCTTAGGTGTTAGTTACCTATTGCTGTGTAAAGAATTACCCTAAAATTTGGCAGCTTAGTCAGGGCTCATAGTTTCTACGGGTCAGCAATATTGGCTTGGCTTAGTTGGATGCCTGTGGCTACAATCAAGCTGTAAACTGGGGCAGAAGACATCTTCAGTTTCACTGGGAGAGGAGCCACTCCAAGCCTCAGACTGTGGCTGGCTGTTGGGGGGAGATTCTTTCTTGACACATGGGCTTCTGAATAGACAAGCTTACATGATGGCAGCTGGCTTCTCTCAGCAAAGGAGCAAGCCTGCAGAAAAAGCTTAAGATAGAAGTCATAGTCATTTTGTAGCTTAATAGAAGTGACATCTAATCACTTCTGCCATATTCCATTTATTAGAAGCAAATCAATAAGTCTGTTCACATCCAAAGGGAGGGAAATACACAAGTTTACAGAGGTAGGGATCTATTTTAGGAGCTGCCAACCACAGCCTCTGTGCCCACCTTTCAAACTATAATGTCTCATGTTAAAGTCTCAGACAGCCTGCATGTAGTCAAATCCTCCCAGTAGCATTAACTCCAGATGGCTGCTCCCTCCTTCATCAAACTCTATGCCCCTTGTCTTCTGTGATTCCACATTCTCCTGATTTTCCTCTAAGTTTCTGTTCCTTCTTAGTTTTCTTAACAGCATCCTGCTCCTCTCTCCAATTTCTTTCCTTTGTCATCAACACTCACTGAGTAGGTCATTCAATCCCATGGCTTTAAGTATCATCTAATTGCTTATGGTTATTGTTGCCTGTCTCTAGCCCAAACTGCTCTCCTGATCTCTACAGTCACATATTTCAGAGGCTTTCCTGACATCACAATGTGGATGTATAATAGGTATATCTAGCTACTCAAGACTAAAACAGAGCTTACGGTTTTTCTCAAAATCTTTTCTCAGATTTTTTTTTAAATCAAGTTTTATAATGTCAGGAAAATAAAACAACAAAAACCTCAAAACCAAAACCAAAGCAAGCAAGTAACCAATCAACCAACCAAACAAAAAAATCCCAAGAACACCATGGAAAATGGCCAATTAGAAGCCGCTAGTGTGTGCTGCTTTTCACAGAGAGAAATAAAAGGGGCGAGTAAATACTACGCCTTCAACTGAAACACCCAGATTCATGTATTTGATTCATGTATTCATCAAGGAAACAACAAACCATAGAGAATGGAGAGGACTAAGACAGGATGACTGCCCACCTGGGAGTGACACGGAGCCAGGGAGCCTCCCCTGCCCAGGGAAATTGTGAATGAGAGACCCCTGGGACCCATGTATTTTCCATGGATCTTTGCAACCCTGGGGCCAGGAGATCCCCTCATACACCCACTCCACCAGGGCCTTCAGTCTGACATCAGAGCTATGTGGACTTTGGGCAGAGACATTGCTCAGGCACACTGAGAGTCCCAAGACCCTTGGATCCCCAGGCATCCTGGCAATAGCAGCTCTGGCAAAGTGGGACTCCTGTACACGCCAGCAGGCTGAGTAGTAATGGTCTGCAGGCCCCACTTCCACGGCATCTCACAGGATAAGACCCATAGGCCTGGGATGCCAGCCAGCTTCCAGTAGCAGCTCTGTACCTCCCTGAGATGGAGCTCCCAGTGGGAGGGGCACGCTGGCATCTTTACTGTTTCGAAGTCTTGGCTGTTGTTTCCTTTGGGCTTTGGCGAGTCCAAGGCACTTGGGGTTTGGAGCAGACTCACAGCATAGCACTTCTGCCCTATCGAAAAGTGGACAGATTGCTTTTTTACGTGAGTCCCCAATCTCATTTCTCCTCACTGGGCGGGACCTTCTGACTAAGATATCCAGCCATCTCCTGCCAGTGTTTTTGGGCAAGCAGCAGCTCCACACCTCCCTGGGAGGGAGGGAGCAGACGGCCATCTTTGCTCTTTTGCAGCCTTCCGTGTTGTTGCCTTCAGGCACTGGAAAATCCGAGCTGACTGGAGACTGGAGCAGACTCCAGTATAGTGCAACAGCCTTATGGAAAAATGGCCAGACTGTTTTTCATATGGGTCTTGTTTCTCATTTGGTGGGACCTCCGAGCCTGGGTCTCCAGCCAGCACCTGCTGGGGCTATCAAGCCAGTGGCAGCTCTGCACCTCCCTGGGACAGGGTTCACAGCAGGAGGGGCGAGTTGCCATCTTTGCTCGCCTTTGTTGTCACCAGGCTCTGGAGAGTCAGTGGGGACCAGGGGCTGAGCAGCCACCTCATGGAAAAGTTGCCAGACTCTCCTCCACACAGGTCCCGGTTGTCACTTCTCCTCACTGGGCTGGGCTGCCTCACCCGGGACTCCAGCAAAACCACCCCTGCCCCTACCAATCACTTCAATCAGAGGCAGCTCAGCATCTTTCCAAGGAGGAAGTCCCACAGTCGACCCACAACCCCTCCACCACTGCAGTTGCAATGGTACCACCCTAACAGCCCTAGGTCTGGGGAAGCAACAAAGGGTCTAGGCATTATACTGGCACTCTCAGCACACTGCAACCACCATATGGAGAGGAGTCTAGTCCCTCTACCCTGGGAACCTCCACCTTCTATTCTTCACCAGGCAGGGTCCCAGCTCAGAACCACAGAATAGCTGCCCTACCCATGGCTATGCATACCCCTGGTAGTGGCTCTGAGTTTCCCTGGAGAGAGTCTCCCAGAGGCAACTGATAGCCTCTCTGCCACTGTCACAGCAGTGGTTCTGCCCCTGCTGCTCCAAGTCTGGGGAAGAAACAAAGCTCCTGAGGGCTACACCTGAGCTTACACCACAACACATTGATCATACAGAGAGAAGGTCAGTCTCTCTTCCCTATAAGCCCTCGACCCCATGCTTCCCAACAAGTGGATCCCCCAGCTGACACCAGCAGTGCAGCCACCCCACCCTCCTGGCTGAATACTCCTAATAGTAGTGGCTCCAGTTTTCCTGGAGGTGGAGCCCGCAGGAGCAACTGAAAGCCCCTCTCACACTGCCTCTGTAGTGGTACTGCCCTTGCTTCCTTTGCACTGGCAAAGGAGCAAACACCCTGTCTCATCTACACCTCCATCAAGTTGAAGTAGGCCCAAGGAGAGGAGGCCACTCTGTTTCCCATGGTTCCCACCCACCCCCACTGCTCACCACTAGGCAAGGCCCCCCTGGCTTGGGCACACAGCACAGACACCTGCACCCCCATCCTGAGCTGATTGCACTGAGCAATTGCTGCTCTGCATCTCACTGGAGTGGAGCCCCAGGAGGCAAGTAAAAGACCCATGGCCACAACCACTACTAAGGTCCCTTCCTCTGCTGCCTCCAAGTTGGAGAAGGAATATAAACTCTGAGATCGCCCCAAAGTTGTGGTGGGCAGCCTAGGAGTGCCAAGCTGTCATCTATAGCCAGCACTCAAGAGGGAGAGGAGCCCACACCTTCAGAGAATTGAGAGGGAGCATGGCTAAAAATGAGAGGAAATATAGGGGACCATGTGACTGAGTGAGAGGCTACCTACTGACCACTAAGTTTAAGCGCCACCTACTGGATCACATCCCAAAGCTTCAACACCAAAATACCCCACTAACATGTCTCACTGTGAAAACAAAGACAAGTCAACCACTAATAAAGGCCCTGCACAAAGCCTTGGCCCTTTGAAAATAGGCAGAAAAGAAGTCTACTGACTATTGAATCTACACCACAGTTAAAGGAACACCCACATGCAGAAATAAGAAAGGATCAATGCAAGAACTCTGGCAAGTCAAATGGCTGGAGTGTTTTATGTCCTCCAAGTGACCACACTAGTTCTCCAACAAGGTTCTTAACAAGGCTGAAAGGAACACCCACATGCAGAAATGAGAAAGGACCAATGCAAGAACTCTGGCAATTCAAATGGCCAGAGTGTCTTATGTCCTCCAAGTGATCACACTAGTTCTCCAACAAGTTTCTTAACAAGGCTGAGATGGCTGAAATAACAGAAATAGAATTCAGACTATGCATAAGAATGAAGATCATTGAGATTCAGAATTCCAAAATGCAATCTAAGGAAATTAAGAATATAATAAAATGATACAGGAGCCGACAGACAAAATAGCTGGTATAAAAACAGAAAACAAAGAACAAAACAAAAAGCACTGAACTGACATGATAGAGCTGAAAAACACACTCCAAGAATTTCACAATGCAATTACAAATATTAACAGCAGAATAGACCAAGCTGAGGAAAGAATCTCAGAGCTTGAAGACTGGCTCTCTGTAATAAGACAGTCAGACAAAAATAAAGAAAAAAGAATAAAAAGGAAGATACACAACCTCCAAGATATACGAGATTATATGAAGAAGCAAAATCTACTAATCATTGGTATCCCTAAAAGAGATAGGGAGAAAGCAAACAAATTGAAAAACATATTTCAGGACATCAGCCATGAAAGCTTCCCCAAACCTTGCTGGAGAGACCAACATTCAAATTCAGGAAATGCAGAGGACCCCAGCAAGATATTACAAAAAAAGATCATCCCCAAGATACATAATCATCAGACTTTCCAAGGTCAAATTGAAAGAAAGAATGTTAAAGGCAGCTACAAAGAAAGGGTAGGTCACCTACAAAGGGAACCCCATCGGGCTAACCATAGACCTTTAAGCAGAAACCCTACAAGCCAGAAGAAATTGAGGGCCTATATTCAACATTCTTATAGAAAAAAATATCTAAGCCATGACTTTTGGGTAAATAATGAAATTAAGGCAGATATCAAGTCATTCTTTGAAACTAATGATAACAGATCAACATACCAAAAATTTCATATCCAGCTAAATTAAGTTTTCTAAGCAAAGGAGAAATGAGATCCATTTATGACAAGCAAATGCTGAGGGAATTCATTACTACCAGGTCTGCTTTACGAGAGCTCTTGAAGGGAGTGCTAACATGGAAAGGAAAGACCATTACCAGCCACTACAAAAACACAATTAAGTACACAGACCAGTGACACTACAAAGCAACCACATAAACAAGCCTGCATAATAACCAGTTAAAAACACAATGACAGGATCATATCCACACATATCAATACCAACCTTGAATGTAGATAGGCTAAATGCCCCAATTAAAAGGTGCAGAGTGACAAGCTGGATAAGGAAGCAAGACCCAATAGTATGCTGTCTTCAAGGGACTCAACTCACATGCAATGACATCCATAGGTTCAAAACAAAGGGATGGAAGAAAAGCTGCCAAGCAAATGGAAACCAGAAAAAAGTAGGGGTTGCAATCCTGATTTCATACAAAACAGTCTTTAAACCAACAAATGTCAAAAAAAAAAAAAAAAAGACAAAGAAGGGCATTACATAATGGTAAAACGTTCAATTCAACAAGAAGACCTAAATATATATTTATCCAACAGAGGAGCACCCCGATTTATAAAGCAAGTTCTTAGAGACCTACAAAGAGATTTAGACTCCCACACAATAATAGTGGGACACTTCAACACCCCAATGACACTATTAACAGATCATCAAGGCGGAAAATCAACAGATATTCAGGACATGAACTCCACACTGGACCAAATGGACCTGACAGACATCTATAGAACTCTCCACTCACTAATAATAGACTATACATTCTTCTCAACACCACATGGCACATACTCTAAAATGGACCACACAATCAGGTATTTTAAAAATCCTTAGAAAATGCAAAAAATAAAAACCCAAATCATACAAACCACACTCTTATACCATAGCACAACAGAAATATAAATCAAGATTAAGAAAATAACTCAGAACCATATAATTACATGGAAATTAAACAACATACTCCACAATGACTTTTGGGTAAATAATGAAATTAACGCAGAATTCAAGTTGTTCTTTGAAACTAATGAGAACAAAGATCAACATACCAGAATCTCTAGGACACAGCTAAGGCAGTGTTAAGAGGGAAATTTATAGCACTGAACACCCACATTAAAAAGTTAGAATGATCTTAAATTAACAATCTAACATCACAACTAGAAGAACTAGAGAAGTAAGAGCAAACCAGCCCCAAAGCTAGCAGAAGATAAGAAATAACCAAATTCAGAACTGAATGGAAAGAAACTGAGATATGAAAAACCATTCAAAAGATCAAGGAATCCAGAAGTTGATTTTTTGA
The DNA here is from genome assembly GCF_000001405.40 of Homo sapiens. Lineage (NCBI taxonomy): Eukaryota > Metazoa > Chordata > Mammalia > Primates > Hominidae > Homo > Homo sapiens. Next base: position 146,542,696 of record NC_000004.12, on the reverse strand, counting down.
AAACATTAGTAAGATAGACAGCTAGCTAGACTAATAAAGGAGAAAAGAGAGAAGATCCAAACAAACCCAATTAGGAATGACAAAGGAGATGTTACTAATGACCCCACAGAAACACAAATAACTGTCAGAGACTACTGTGGACATCTCTATGCACAAAAACTAGAAAATCTAGAAGAAATGGATAATTTCCTGGACACATAAACCCCCTCAAAACTGAATCAGTAAGAAACTGATTCACAGAACATACAAATAATTAGCTCCAAAATTTAATCAGTAATAAATAACCTACCAACCAAAAAAAAAAAAAAAAAAAAAAAAAAGGCTGGGACCAGATAGATTTACAGCCAAATTCTACCATATGTACAAAGAAGAGCTAGTACCATTCCTACTAAAACTATTTCAAAACGCTGAGGAGGGCTCCTCCCCAAATCATTCTATGAGGCCAACATCATCCTGATACCAAAACCTGGCAGAGACACAACAAAAAGAGAAAACTTCAGGCCAATATCCTTGATGAACACAGGTGCAAAAATCCTCAACAAAATACTAGCAAATCAAATCCAGCAACACATCAAAAAGAATCCATTATAATCAAATAGGCTTTGATTGGTTCAAAATAGACAAATCAATAAATGTGATTCATCACATAAACAAACCTAAAGACAAAATCCACATGACTATCTCAATAGATGCAGAAAAGACTTTTGATACAATTCAACATACTCTCATGTTAAAAACTCTCAATAAACTATGTATTGAAGAAACATATACTACAAAATAATAAGAGCCATCTGTAACAAACCCACAGCCAACATCATACTGAATGGGCAAGAACTGGAAGGATTTCCCTTGAAAATCAGCACAAGACAAGGGTCCTCCCTCACCAACTCTATTCAACATAGTATTGGAAGTCCTGGCTAGGGCAATCTGGCAAGAAAAAGAAATAAAGCACATCCAAATAGGAAGAGAGGAAGTCAAACTATTCTTGTTTGTAGATGACATAATTCTACATCAAGAAAACCCCATAGTCTCACCCCAAAAGGTCCTTCAGCTGATAAATAACTTCAGCAAAGCTGCAGGATACAAAATCAATATACAAAAATCACTAGCATTTCTATATACCAATAACAGCCAAGCTGGGAGACAAATCAGGAATGCAATCCCATTCACGGATAACTCCAAAATACATAAATAAATAAATAAATAAGTAAAATACCTAGGAATACAGCTAACCAGGGAGGTGAAATATCTCTACAAGGAGAGTTACAAAACACTGCTCAAAGAAATCAGAAATTACACTAACAGATGGAAAAATATTCCATGCTCATGGATAGGAAGAATCAATATTGTTAAAATGTCCATACTGCCCAAAGCAATTTACAGATTCAATGCTATTCCTATCAGACTACCAATGACATTATTCACAGAACTAGAAAAAAAACTATTTTAAAATTTACATGGAACCAATAAAAGGGGCAGAATAGCCAAGACAATCCTAAGCAAAAAGAACAAAGCTGGAGGCATCATGTTCCCTGACTTCACGCTATACTACAGGGCTATAGTAACCAAAAGAGCATGAAACTGGTACAAAAACAAACACATACATCAATGGATCAGAATAGAGAGCTCAGAAATAAGGCCACAGACCTACAACCATCTGATCTTCAACAAAACTGACAAAAACAAGCATTGGGGAAAGGACTCCCTATTCAATAAATGGTACTGGGATAACTGGCTAGAAATACGCAGAAAATTGAAACTGGACTCCTTCTTTACACCGTATACAAAAATCAAGAAGGATTAAAGACTTACATGTAAACCCCAAAACTATAAAAACTCTGGAAGATAACCTAGGAAATAAGATATTGGACATAGAGACTGGCAAAGATTTCATGATGAAGACACCAAAAGTAATTGCAACAAAAGCAAAAATTGACAAATGGGATATAACTACACTAAAAAGCTTCTGCTTAGAAAAAAAACTATCAACAAAGTAAATGGACAACCTACAGAATGAGAGAAAATATTTGCAAACTATGTATCTGACAAAGGCCTACTATCTACCACCTATAAGAAACTTAAATAAATTTACAAGCAAAAAACAAACAACCTCAGTAAAAAGTGGGCAAAGGACATGAACAGACACTTTTCAAAAGAAGACATACATGTGGCCAACAAGCATATGAAAAAAAGCTCATCTTCACTAATCTTTAGAGAAATGCAAGTGAAAACCATAATGAGATACCATTTCACACCAGTCAGAATGGCTATTACCAAAAAGTGAAAAAATAACACATGCTGGTGTGGTTGCAGAGAAAAGGGAATGCTTATACATTGTTGGTGGGAGAGTAAATTAGTTCAACCATTGTGGAAAGCAGTGTGGCAATTTCTCAAAGAACTAAAACAGAACTGCAATTTGACCCAGCAATCCCATTACTGGGTATATACTCAAAAAAGTATCAATCATTCTACCATAAAGACACATGCACACATATGGTCATTGCAGCATTATTCACAATAGCAAAGACATAGTATGAACTTAAATGCCCATCAGTGGCAGATTAGATCAAGAAAATGAGGTACATACACACCATAGAATACTATGGTGCCATAAAAAAGAACAAGATCATGTCCTTTGCAGGAACATGGATGGAGCTGGAGGTTATTATCCTTAGCGAACTAATGCAGGAACAGAAAACTAAATACTACATGTTTGCACTTATAAGTGGGAGTTAAATGATGAGGACACATGGCCACAAAAAGAACAACAGACAGTGGTGCCTACTTGAAGGTGAAGGCTGGGAGGAGGGAGAGGATCAGAAAAAATAACTATCAAGTACTAAGTTTAGTACCTAGCTGATGAAATAACCTGTATATCAAATCCTCATGACATGAGTTTACCTATGTAACAAACCTGTACATGTATGCCCCTGAACCTAAAATAAAAGTTAAAAAAAGTCCCAAGAAATTGAGTTGAAAAATATATTTAAAAAACAAAATGTAAGAATGTGAAGAGATTTATTCAGTGGTATCTTAATTTATGTGATAAGGATTTTTTTTACAACAGAATCATTTGAGGAACATTGAAATTTTTTCATGCATAAGACCTATACTTAAAGCAAAGCTAAGCCATACTATACATTCAAGTAAATTTTTTCAAGTTATATACATATTTTTTGCATTGGCTATAAGCATTATCAAGGTGGGATCAAAAGATGAATCAGATGCAGAGCCTGCCTTTAATGAGTTTACACGTCTAGGAGGGATAGAGATAAAATGCTAGGGAGTTAGGGAACAGAATAATTCTTTCATAACTGGAAACCATCAGAAAAATCTTCGGGGTGAAGGTAACATTTGTGCAGAGACTTAAAGGCTTGGTGAGATTGGATTTAGACTTATAAAAATAGGAAGACCATTCCTGGAGAATCAAATAGCATTTCAAAAAGTTATAAAAGCAGAAAATCTCACCTAAGATTGCAAGAAGGTGGATAATAGAAAATCAAATGAGATATGTGGGTCAGAGTTTGTCAGAATAAGGAGTTGTAGGAAACATAGTCATTGAAGGTCTTTCAGTAGAGAAGGGTCATACTTTTAGAAAAGTGTGGCATCTCTGGATGGTGGTAGCTAACCTGAGCTCCTTTATGTTATGGACTGAATGTTCATATCCCCCCAAAGTTCATTATGTTGAAGCCCTAATCCCCACTGTGATGGTGTTGGGAGGTGTGGCCTTGGGGAGGTAATTCAGTTAAGAGCAGAGCCCTCATGAATGGGATGAGCATCCTTAAATGAGATCCCAGTTAATTTTCTAGCTCCCTTCTCCCACGTGAGAACACAGTGAAAAGACAGCCATCTATGAATGAGGAGGCAGCCCTATGCCAGACACTGAATCCACCAGTGCCTTGATTTTGGACTTCCTAGCCTCAAGAACTGTGAGAAATAAATGTGTGTTGCTTAAGTCACCAAGTGTATGCTATTTTTGTTATAGCCTAAATAGACTAAGATACTTCATTAAGATTCTTTTCTGTACATATTGTCTTTCTCAGTAATCTCCAATCCTATGTCATTAAAGACCACTTATGCCGACTTCTAAATTTTTATCTCATGTCCTGAGCTCCCTCTGTGAAATGTTTAGTCAACTGCCTGACCTCCACCTGGATTTGTAATAGGCACCTTAAAGTTGTCTCCAGCGAATTGGATTTTGCTCACTAAATCTGCTTTCCCATCTCTTCTATCTTTGTAAATGATACTAACTGTGATGGTTAATACTGAGTGTCAACTTGATTGGATTGAAGGATGCAAAATATTGATCCTGAGTGTGTCTGTGAAGTTTGTCCTCACTGGAATAGACATTCTGAATGTGGGTTTGCCTACCCTGCACACAATGCTTCTGCCAAGACTACCATCCATGGACTCATGGAATGCTTTATCCATCGTCATGGTATTCCACACAGCATTGCCTCTGACCAAGGCACTCACTTTATGGCTAAAGAAGTGTGGCAGGCTGGGCGTGGTGGCTCACACCTGTAATCCCAGCACTTTGGGAGGCCGAGGTGGGTGGATCACGAGGTCAGGAGATCGAGACCATCCTGGCCAACATGGTGAAACCCTGTCTCTACTAAAAATACAAAAAATTAGCCGGGTGTGGTGGCGGGTGCCTGTAGTCCCAGCTACTTGGGAGGCTGAGGCAAGAGAATGGCGTGAACCCAGCAGGTGGAGCTTGCAGTGAGCCGAGATCGCACCACTGCACTCCAGCCTGGCGACAGAGCAAGACTCCATCTTAAAAAAAAAAAAAAAAAAAAAAAAAAAAAGAAGTGCCGTCATGGAATTCACTGACCTTACCATGTTCCCCATCATCCTGAAGCAGCTGAATTGATAGAACAGTGGAATGGCCTTTTGAAGTCACAATTACAATGCCAACTAGGTGACAATACTTTGCAGGGCTGGGTCAAAGTTCTCCAGAAGGCCGATGCTCTGAATCAGCATCCAATATATGGTACTATTTCTCCCTTAGACAGGATTCATGGGTCCAGGAATCAAGGGGTGGAAATGGAAGTGGCACCACTGACCATCAACCCTCATGATCCACTAGCAAATTTTTTGCTTCCTGTTCCTGCAACATTATGTTCTGCTGGCCTAGAAGTCTTAGTTCCAGAGGGAGGAACGCTGCCACCAGGAGACACAACAACAATTCCACTAAACTGGAAATTAAGATTTCCACCTGGACACTTTGGACTCCTCCTACCTGTAAGTCAACAGGCTAAGAAGGGAGTACAGTGTTGGCTGGGGTGACTGACCCAGACTATCAAGATGAAATCAGTCTACTACTCCACAGTGGAGGTAAGGTAGAGTATGCATGGAATACAGGAGATCCATTAGGGCATCTCTTAGTATTACCATGCCCTGTGATTAAGGTCAGTGGGAAACTACAACAGCCCAATCCAAGCAGGACTGCAAATGACCCAGACCCTTCAGGAATAAAGGTTTGGGTCACTCCACCAGGAAAAAAACTACGACCTGCTGAGGTACTTGCTGAAGGCAAAGGGAATACAGAATGGGTAGCAGAAGAAGATAGTCATCAATTCCAGCTATGACAACATGACCAGTTGCAAATACGGGGACTGTAATTTTCATGCGTATTTCTCCTGCTTTTGTTAAAAACATGTTTGTGCATGTATATACTTGTACTAAGAAAATATGTTCATTTTATTTCATTTTTCCTTTATCGTGACATAAGATTTATTGACTTCATATCAGCATTTAAGTATTGTTAACTTTATGTAATAGCATTTGGGTTGGGGACTGGTGCATTTCCAGTTGTATGAAAGATAGTTGTATTATGTTAGGCATAGTTATGACCTTATGATTGTCTTTATTTGAAGATTATGTATGATATCAGGAGATATGTATGGGTTCAAATTGACAAGAGGTGGACTTATAATGAGTGTCAACTTGATTGGATTGAAGGATGCAAAGTCTTGATCTTGGGTATGTCTGTGAGGGTGTTGCCAAAGGAGATTAACATTTGAGTCAGTGGGCTGGGGAAGGCATATCCGAATTTAATCTGAGTGGGCACCATTTCACCAGCTGCAGGCACAGCCAGAGTATGAAGTAGGTAGAAAAACATTAAAAGACTAGACTGTCTTAGCCTCCCAGCCTACATCTTTCTCCCATGCTGGATGCTTCCTGCCCTCGAACATTGGACTTCAAGTTCTTCGGCTCTGGGACTTGGACTGGCTTCCTTGCTCCTCAGCTTGCAGATGGCCTATTGTGGGACCTTGTGATCTTTTGAGTTTAATACTCCTTAATAAAGTCCCATATATATACACACACACACGTATATATAATCCTATTAGTTCTGTCCCTCTAGAGAACCCTGACTAATAGACCAACATTCACCCAAACCTATGGATTTAGCTATAGGTTGGTGCAAAAGTAATTGTGGTTTTTGCCATTTAATGACAAAATACTTTCTTTGCTTAGAATTTTCCCTACACCTTCTCATCACAATTAAATTTAAACTTTGTAACTTGGTCTACAAAGGCCTACATGATCTGGATGAAATGACCCCTGCCTCCCCCAACCCTCATCCCTCGCTGAGGTCTTTTTATTCCTTTAACATGCCTTTAACATGCTGTGATAGGCAGAATAATGACCCCCAAAGATCTCCACATTCTAATCCCCAGTACCTATGAATATGCTACTTTACATAGCAAAATGGACTCTGTAGATTTGATTAAGTTAAGGCTCTTGAGGTAGGGAGGTTATCCTGGAGTAGTTGGATACAATTGGTGTGTACCCAAGTGTATTCACTTCCTAGGGATGCTGTAAAAAAATACCAAAAACTAGATGGCTTAAAACAACAGAAAGTTGTTGTTTCATAGTTCTGGAAGCTAGAAGTGCAAAGTCAAGGTAATGGCAGGGCTGTGCTGCTGTTTCTGATGGCTCTAAAGGGAAAATCTTTTCTTGCCTCTTCCAGCTTCTGCTGTTTGCTGCCAATCAGTGGCTCTCCTTAGCTTGTAGATGCATCACTCCAGTCACATGGCCATCTTCTCCTCGTGTATTTTCATTGTCTTGCTACTTATTATGTGTGTTCCTGTGTCCAAGTTTCCTCCTTTTTAAGGATACCAGTCAGATTAGGACTTACCCCAATGATCTCATTTTAATTTGATAACCTGTCAAGACCTTATTTCCAAATAAAGGTCACATTTTGAGGTACTAGGGGCTAAGACTTCAACATATATTTTTTGAGGAACACAATTCAGCCCATAACACCAATGTCATCAGAAGGGTCTTTATAAGTAAAAGAGAGAGGCAGGAGAGTTGCTGTCAGAGTGATTCTTCCCAAGAAAGACTTGATAGGCTACTACTATGAAGATGGAAGAACAGGGAGCCAAGGAATGCAGGCAGCCTTAGAAAATGGAAAAGGAAAGGCAGTCCTCCCTTAGAACCTCCAAAAAGGCTTACAAGCCCTGCCAACTTGTTGATTTTAGTCCAGTGACATTCATTTAGGACTTGTGAGTTCCTGAATTATAAGATAATAAAGTTGTGTAGTTTTAAGCCACTAAGTTTGTAGTAATTTGTCACAGTAGCAATAGGAAACTAATACACACACCAAGACAGTTGCCACCTTACGGCATTTATGTGGATTGTTTATGAACAGTTTCCTGTGTCTAAAGTGCTCATCTCCCAGATAGAAACATGGTGGGCTTTTCCACATGATTTGAGTCTCTGCTTAAATCACATCCCTTCAGAGAGGTTTTCTGTTAAAGATTATTTGTGCCCCTTTCCCCCAAATTCACATCTTGAAATCCTAATCACGAACATAATAGTATTTGGAGGCAGGGCTCTTAAGAGGTGATTAGGTCATGAGAGTAGAACCCTTAGGAAGGGATTAGCTACCTTCTAAGAAGATACAATGAGCTTGCTGTCTGTCTCTACTCTCTGGTATGTGAGCACACAGCAAGATAACCATGTGCAAACCAGGAAGTCGATTCTCACCAGACAGGGATCTGGCTACATCTTGATCTTGGACTTCTCAACTTCCATAACTATGAGAAATGTTTCTTATTTAAACTACTCAGTCTTTGGTAACTTGTGATAGTAGCCAAAACTAAGACACCTTCCCTGACTTCTATTAAAGTAGCTCCCTTCTTACTCTATCACATGACCTTTTTTTATTTTCATCATGGCACTTGTCACTTCTTGCCACCATTTTCTTTATGTTATTATTAGAACACACAAGGAAAGCTGAAACTTTCTCTTCTATTTCCTTATAACCCCACTACTTAGACTAGTGCCTACTACATAGCAGGAGCTCAATATTTGCTGAGTAAGTGAATGAGTAAACATTTATTCCATGTAAGATAATGGATAAACCCTATTCCATTTCATCTTTTCATCAGACCAATGGGATAGAATTCCTATCACCATTTTATCAAACATAAACTCTGTGAGAGCAGGCATAGGTGTACCTGTACCTTTTTGGCAAAATTAATCATTCATACATATTATGAATAAGTAAATTAACCACATTCCAAGAAATCAAGTAGTCTGTATAAGTAACAATGTTTAGAAAATAGATATCTACTACATTAATGCCTATGGCTTCCATAATCTGTTGCTGAAGAATCCCAGAGCTACAGTTTGAGCCAACTCCATTCTAATGAGATGGAACTCTCATTTTGCCTGCCTTCTGAACAGCTCTATTAACACACTCCAGTCATCCCTGAATTCCAGATATACAAAACTGAATTTCAGATCTATTCCCCAAATCTACTTTGTAGATTTGTCGGCTAAAACAAGGGCACCAGCACCTATCTGCCAAACAAATTCCCGGGAGTCATTTTCGACTTCCTTTCTAGTCCCCTACAGATGATCGGTAGTTTATTTTTCCTGTTTAATACTTTTTATACTAGTTGCCTTTTCCAGCTCCACTGACTTAGTCACTTCGCGAACTATTTGTCCAGAGACCGCTTCTAAGATAATCCCTTCAGCAAGACCGAGCATGACACTTGTTAGCTTAAAAACCTTCCATCACCTTCTAAAGTTTTTTTTTAAATTATACTTTAAGTTTTAGGGTACATGTGCACAACGTGCAGGTTAGTTACATATGTACACATGTGCCTTGTTGGTGTGCTGCACCCAGTAACTCATCATTTAACACTAGGTATATCTCCTAATACTATCCCTCCCCCCTACCCCACCCCACAACAGGCCCCAGTGTGTGATTTTCCCCTTCCTGTGTCCATGTGTTCTCATTGTTCAATTCCCATCTATGAGTGAGAACATGCAGCGTTTGGTTTTTTTCCTTGCGATAATTTGCTGAGAATGATGGTTTCTAGCTTCATCCATGTCCCTACAAAGGGCATGAACGCATTCTTTTTTATGGCTGCAAAGTATTCCATGGTGTATATGTGCCACATTTTCTTAATCCAGTCTATCATTGATGGACATTTGGGTTGGTTCCAAGTCTTTGCTATTGTGAATAGTACCACAATCAACATACGTGTGCATGTGTCTTTATAGCAGCATGATTTATAATTCTTTGGGTATATACCCAGTAATGGGATTGCTGGGTCAAATGGTATTTCTAGTTCTAGATCCTTCAGGAATCACCACACTGACTTCCGCAATGGTTGAACTAGCTTACAGTCCCACCAACAGTGTAAAAGTGTTCCTATTTCTCCACATCTTCTCCAGCACCTGTTGTTTCCTGACTTTTTAATGATTGCCATTCTAACTGGTGTGAGATGGTATCTCATTGTGGTTTTGATTTGCATTTCTCTGATGGCCAGTGATGATGAGCATTTTTTTATGTGTCTTTTCCCTGCATAAATGTCTTCTTTTGAGAAGTGTCTGTTCATATCCTTCACCTACTTTTTGATGGGGTTGTTTTTTTCTTGTAAATTTGTTTGAGTTCATTGTAGATTCTGGATGTTAGCCCTTTGTCAGATGAGTAGATTGCAAAAATTTTCTTTCATTCTGTAGGTTGCCTGTTCACTCTGATAGTAGTTTCTTTTGCTGTGCAGAAGTTCTTTAGTTTAATTAGATCCCATTTGTCAATTTTGGCTTTTGTTGCCATTGCTTTTGGTGTTTTAGACATGAAGTCCTTGCCCATGCCTATGTCCTGAATGGTATTGCCTAGGTTTTCTTCTAGGGTTTTTATAGTTTTAGGTCTAACATGTAAGTCTTTAATCCATATTGAATTAATTTTTGTATAAGGTGTAAGGAAAGGATCCAGTTTCAGCTTTCTACATATGGCTAGGCAGTTTTCCCAGCACCATTTATTAAATAGGGAATCCTTTCCTCATTTCTTGTTTTTCTCAGGTTTGTCAAAGATCAGATAGTTGTAGATTCGTGGCATTATCTCTGGGGGCTCTGTTCTGTTCCATTGTTCTATAGCTCTGTTTTGGTACCAGTACCATGCTGTTTTGGTTACTGTAGACTTGTAGTATAGTTTGAAGTCAGGTAGCGTGATGCCTCCAGCTTTGTTCTTTTCGCTTAGGATTGACTTGGCAATGAGGGCTCTTTTTTGGTTCCATATGAACTTTAAAGTAGTTTTTTCCAATTCTGTGAAGAAAGGCATTGGTAGCTTGATGGGGATGGCATTGAATCTACAAATTACCTTGGGCAGTATGGCCATTTTCACGATATTGATTCTTCCTACCCATGAGCATGGAATGTTCTTCCATTTGTTTGTATCCTCTTTTATTTCATTGAGCAGTGGTTTGTAGTTCTCCTTGAAGAGGTCCTTCACATCCCTTATAAGTTGGATTCCTAGGTATTTTATTCTCTTTGAAGCAATTGTGAATGGGAGTTCACTCATGATTTGGCTCTCTGTTTGTCTGTTATTGGTGTATAAGAATGCTTGTGATTTTTGCACATTGATTTTGTATCCTGAAACTTTTCTGAAGTTGCCTATCAGCTTAAGGAGATTTTGGGCTGAGACAATGGAGTTTTCTGGATACACAATCATGTCATCTGCAAACAGGGACAATTTGACTTCCTCTTTTCCTAATTGAATACCTTTTATTTCCTTCTCCCGCCTGATTGCCCTGGCCAGTACTTCCAACACTATGTTGAATAGGAGTGGTGAGAGAGGGCATCCCTGTCTTGTGCCGGTTTTCAAAGGGAATGCTTCCAGGTTTTGCCCATTCAGTATGATATTGGCTGTGGGTTTGTCATAGATAGCTCTTATTATTTTGAGATACGTCCCATCAATACCTAATTTATTGAGAGTTTTTAGCATGAAGCGTTGTTGAATTTTGTCAAAGGCCTTTTCTGCATCTATTGAGATAATCATGTGGTTTTTGTTGTTGGTTCTGTTTATATGCTGGATTACATTTATTGATTTGCGTATGTTAAACCAGCCTTGCATCCCAGGGATGAAGCCCACTTGATCATGGTGGATAAGCTTTTCGATATGCTGCTGGATTCAGTTTGCCAGTATTTTATTGAGGATTTTTACATCGATGTCATCAGGGATATTAGTCTAAAATTCTTTTTTTGTTGTGTTTCTGTCAGGCTTTGGTATCAGGAGGATGCTCGCCTCATAAAATGAGTTAAGGAGGATTCCCTCTTTTTCTATTGATTGTAATAGTTTCAGAAGGAATGGTACCAGCTCCTCCTTGTACCTCTGGTAGAATTTGGCTGTGAATCCATCTGGTCTTGGACTTTTTTGGTTGGTAAGCTATTAATTATTGCCTCAATTTCAGAGCCTGTTATTGGTCTATTCAGAGATTCAACTTCTTCCTGGTTTAGTCTTGGGAGGGTGTATGTGTCGAGGAATTTATCCATTTCTTCTCGATTTTCTAGTTTATTTGTGTAGAGGTGTTTATAGTATTCTCTGATGGTAGTTTGTATTTCTGTGGGATCAGTGGTGATATCCCCTTTATCATTTTTATTGCATCTATTTGATTCTTCTCTCTTTTCTTATTAGTCTTGCTAGTGGTCTATCAATTTTGTTGATCTTTTCAAAAAACCACCTCCTGGATTCCTTGATTTTTTGAAGGGTTTTTTGTGTCTCTATTTCCTTCAGTTCTGCTCTGATCTTAGTTATTTCTTGCCTTCTGCTAGCTTTTGAATGTGTTTGCTCTTGCTTCTCTAGTTCTTTTAATTGTGATGTTAGTGTGTCAATTAAAGCAACAAGTTCAGCTTTCTGGGCTGAAGTGCCCTGGGGCAATGATCTGGCTTCAACAACAGTGTCCAGGGTTACCACTGCATACCCTGAACATCTCTCTCCTTGTGGGTTGATGAAGCTGCTCCCATCCACATATAGTTCCCTGTCTATTGATACCCAAGGCTGGTCCCAGAGGTCAGGTCTGCTAGAGTAAACTGAGTCTAACACTTCTACACAATCATGCTCAACACAGCTCTCTGATACCGGGAGCAAGGTGGCGGGTGTTACAAACTTCAATGGTTATACAGGGATTTTCACAGAGCAAACTTTGGTACTTGGTAAGTCTAGCATTCGTTAGCCAATGATGTCCTTTAATATTCATTAAAGTCACCACAGCATGGGGGGCCTTTATGTTCAGGTTTTGCCCAAGAGTCAGCTTATTTGCTTCTTGTACTAGCAGGGCAGTTGCTGCCAAGGCCCTCAAACATGGGGGCCATCCTTTAGAAACCTCGTCTAGTTGTTTAGAGAGGTAGGCTACCGGCCTCGGCCAGGGCCCCACAGTTTCGGTTAAAACTCCAACTGCCATCTTTTCTCTCTCTGACACACACAATGTAAAAGGCTTTGTCAGATCGGGTAGCCCCAGGGCTGGGGCTGACATAAGTTTTCCTTTAACTCATGAAAGGCTTGCTGTTGTTGGGATCCCCATTCAAAAGGTTCCCAGTCCCCCCATCTTGTGACCTCATACGAAGGCTTGGTTAATACTGCAAAGTTTGGGATCCACAGTCTACAAAACCCCACAGCTCCTAAGAATTCTCTCACCCGCCTTCTGCTCTTAGGCTCCAGTAGATTGCAAATAACCTGCTTTGTTTCTGATCCCAGGCTGCACTCCCCCTGTCGGATAGTAAATCCCAAGTAACGTACCTGCTGTTGGCAGATCTGAGCTTTTTTCTTGGACACCTTATACCCACAGTCCTCCAGGTGCTGGAGTAGGGCATCCGTTCCCTTTGTGCACCCGACTGCCGTGGGGTGTCCCAGCAAAAGGTCATCAGCGTACTGGAGCAATACACAGCCTAGGTCTCTGGTGGGAAACTTCTGGAGGTCTCGAGCCAATGCCTCCCCGAAGATGGTGGGGGAGTTCTTGAACCCTTGGGGTAGCTGGCTCCAATTGTACTGAGTAGTGACACCTGACTCCGGATCTTCCCACTGAAAGGCAAAGAGCTTCTGGCTCTCAGGGGCTAATCTGATACTAAAGAAAGTGTCTTTTAGGTCCAAGCAGGTGAACCAGCTGTCCTAGCTGGCAGCAACCCCAACAATGTGTACGGGTTAGGTACTGTTGGATGTAAAGTCACTGTAGCTTGATTAACCAAGTGCAAATCCTGTACCAGCCTGTAGTCCTTGGTCCCTGGCTTGGGAACAGGCAGGAGGGGAATGTTCCATGGAGATTGACAAGGAACTATAATTCCAAAAGTTCTTAAGTGCTTGAGATGGACTTGGATACCTTTAAGAGCTTCTCTGGGGACCGGGTACTGTTTTTGCCTAACCGGCTGGGCCCCAGGCTTAACTTCTATAAGTAGGGGGCTTGGTTGACTGCCAACCCTGGAGGGTTGTCTTCCGCCCATACTCTTGGCCACCGCTTAGCCAGAGCTGGTCTTATCTCTTGGCCCGGCTCAGTTAAGAAAAGTCTCCATTCCTCTTCTTGGGGGACCATAAGGGTCATAATGACTCCTGTTCTGGGTAACTTTAGCAGCAAAGAGCTGTGCTCTGTAAAAGAGATAGTGGTTCTCAGCTTGCTAAGCAAGTCCCTTCCCAACAAGGGCAAGGGACAGTCAGGCATGTACAAAAACTGATGAATCACTTTATGTCCTCCTACAGTACAAGTCCGGGGCAAGCAGGAAGCTTGCTTTGCTGAAACCCCCGTGGCTCCAATGATGTCAATAGTCTTTTTGGATAAGGGGGTGACCAGGGCGGTTACTACCAAATGTTCAGCAAGGTTATCTACAAGAAAATCAATGTCTTTACCCCCGACTATCATTCTGACCATAGTCTCTTTGGGAGCACTTGAGCCTGATCCTCCTCAGTCCAATAACCCTTCTGCCAGGTTGAGCAGGGCCCCTTCCTCCTTGTCTGGGACCTCCTGCTCTGAGTCACCTTGTTTTCTTTTTAGCTGAGGGCATTTGTTCTTTCAATGTCCTATTTCTTTAAAATAAGCACACTGGTTACGCTGCAAACTCTGACAGCCAAGCTGAGTTTTTTTCCCAGGGCCCCCCTTCCCTTGCCTCTTTGGGGGGACCCCTCTGATTGCTGCAGCTAACAGGTTGGTGTTTCGCCGGGCCTGACGTTCATTCTCTTTGTGGTTTTCCTTAGGGCTTACTGCATCCCTGTTTACAAACACCTGATTAGCTATTTCTAACTGTGATGTATTCATCCCTGCAAACCCAGCCTGTTTCTGCAGTTTTCTTCTAATGTCTTCTGTACTTTGACTAACTAAAGCCATGTTAATCGTGCGCTGATTTTCAGGGCTATCGGGATCAAAGGGAGTATACACACGATAGGCCTCACGCAGTCTCTCGTAGAATTGTGCTGGACTTTCTTCTTTTCCCTGAATGACCTCAGAGACCTTGTTAACGTTTGTGGCCTTCTGGGCTCCCCTCTTTAATCCTCCAAGAGAGCTTCCCTGTATCGATTTAGCCTTTGCATATCCTCTCTTTCATTTGGGTCCCACTGGGGGTCGGTTCCTGGTAATTGGGTCCTTACATACTCTTGCAGGTTTTGGTAATCAGCTGGTGTATGTTCCTCTAGCCACTTAGCTGCTGCTTGGAGCACTCTCCGCCTTTCATCTGTGTTAAAGAGGAACATGAGCAACTGGTGGCAATCAGCCCAGGTGGGGTTGTGGGTCTGGATAATAGTTTGGAACAAATCAATTAGAGTTTGTGGCTTTTCGGTATAGGACGGGGTATTGTTTTTCTAGTTGAGAAGATCGGCAGAGGTGAAGGGCTGGTACACAAAAACACGCCTCTCCACCATGTGACCATCCTCATCTATCCCAGTATACCGCTGCTCTCTCAGGGGCATTTGCATCCCAGTTTTGGGTCGTAGACGAGCTGCCAAGGGAGGGGTTTCTCCCGAGTCTTCACCTCCTCTCTTGTCTACCCTGGGTGGCCTAGGGATATGTTTGTCTTGCGGAGGCACAAGCACTGTGGGCTCTAGAATGAGGAGCCTCTTCCCCTGGTAAGGGGAGGACACCACTGGGATCACTGGTGCCATCTCCTGCAATGGATCTTCTGATGTTGGGTTGAACAGAACTTCAGGAGTTGATTTCCCTGGGCGGGTGGAGTGGGATCCTTCCTTGGCTATCTGTCCCTTTGCTACTAGCATTGCTGCTGCCTGCCCTCTTAGCCACTGTGGGGGGTCTAGCACCAGCTGTAACCAAGTGTCTATGTATGGGAACTGGTCTAGGTATCCTTTACCAGTTACCTTGTGCCACACCTTAGAAACAAGGGACCTGTCCAGGCTTCCTTCTGATGGCCGACCCACTTCTAATGTTGGCCAATCTATTTCACACAAAGTTCTAAGTTTCCCTGGTGTCATAGTAACCCCATAGTCTCCACTAAATCTTTCCTTGACATTTTTCAACACAGTTCCTAGCGGAGTGGGCTTACTTTGTGTCTGACCCATGTCTCCTCGAGACAAAACACCACGCTCACACCACACACACACCACAGAACAAAGAACCGGTAAAAAGGGCACACACACACTTCAGTTTACACCAGACCAGAATCAAAACCAAAATCGGAGTATCCAGAAATCCATGCCAGGTCAAAACCAAAACCAAAGTATCAAGCAATTCAACTCAAGTCAAAAACAAGAACCAAAGTGCTGGTACAGGCACGCCATGGGTGATCAGGCCACGCTTCCACTCAAATGGAGTGGGCAAGTTCCAGAGACCAGTCTTACCAAGTTTCAGATGTCCAGACTTAAAGTGCCAGTTCCTTCCCGGTGTTCAGCCACTGCGTTGATCCTCCATGAGGGCCTGTCATGCACTGCTCTGACGAGGTGTTCCACCAGGGCAATTGCCTCCCTGGGAGCGCTCTCAGGATCTGCAACACTGGAGCTGGTCAGAATCCCCCGCAGGGATGTTCCACAGGGCAGCCCTAAGCAGCCTAAAGGGCTGCCTTGACCTTCCGTTAATCACCTTGATTCCCAGTCAGGGAACCAAGAAATGTAGCAGGACAAGCTGCAGACAAAACTCCTCAGACACTGGATTAAAGAAGCAAGAGGTTTTTATTCGGCCGGGAGCGTCGGCAGACTCGCGTCTTAAGAGCCGAGCTCCCCAAAGACAGAGTTCCTGGCCCTTTTAAGGGCTTACAACTCTAAGGGGTTCCACGTGAAAGGGTCATGATGGATTGAGAGCACATGTGGTTAGAGTGGGGGGTGGGGGCGGGGGTTAATCTTTTAACCTCAGGCCGGGTCATCAGTGGCACCAGCTGGTCTTGCCACTGACTTCATTCCTGTTGTTTTTCAACTTTTACTTCCTCCTCCTCTTCAGAGAGAGGAGACAGTAAGAGAAATGGCTTCTCTCCTCAGTAAGCTGTTCTGAGTAGTGTGATAAAATCTTGCACTGTCCAGGACATAAATCCTTCCTTTGTCCAGCATATCCACACTGTAGACACTACCTGTCCTTAGTCACTTAGTAGCCATCTTGGTTATCAGATACTGTTGTGGTATCACACTGCTTATGTTCAAGTAATCCCCCTATTTTTTTAAACTTAATTGTTCTATTTTATTAGTCATGTGCTACATATGATGTTCTGGTCAAGACAGTGATCCCATAAGACTATAATGAAGCTGCTGGGTGTGGCAGTGTGTACCTGTGGTCCCAGCTACTCGGGAAGCTGAGGCGGGATCACTTGAGCCCAGGAGCTCAAGGCTGTAGTAAGCTATGATCGCACCACTGCACTCAGGCCTGTGCGACAGAGTGAGACCTGCTTTCTTAAAAAAAAAAAAAAAAAAAGGACTATAATGAAGCTGAAAAATTCCTATTATCTAGTGAAAATGTAGTTATTGTAATGTCATAATGTGACACATTATTTATGCAAATCTATGATGAAAGAAATAAATCAGGCAAAACACCATAGGCATATTTCTGAAAAGAGCAACATCTCCCAAAGAGACTGAGGAAGGTCCTTCAGGAGGTATTCTGGAAGAAGGCATTGTTATCATATAAGATGACTGCTCTACATAGGTTACTGCTCCTAAAGATCTTCTACAGGGACAAGATGTGGAGGTAGAAGTCAGTGATATTGATGATCCTGACCATGTGCAGGCCTAGGCCAATATGTGTGTGTCTTAGTTTTTTTTTTAAAAAAAGTTTAGGAAAGTAAAAACAAAAATGTAAATAGAAAAAACTTATAGAATAAGAATATAAAGAAAATATTTTGGACAGCTGTATGATGTGTTTTAAGCTAAGTGCTATAACAAGAGTCAAAAAGTAAAAAAATTAAAAAGTTTATAAAGTTAAAAGTTACAGTAAGTTATTACTGAATTTAAAAACTGTTAAATTAAATGTAGCCCAAGTATAGTATTTATAAAATCTACAATAGTGTAATGTCCTAGGCCTTAACATTCATTCACCACTCACTCACTGACCCACCCAGAACAACTTCCAGTCCTACAAGCTCCATTCATACACCACTCACTCACTGACCCACCCAGAACAACTTCCAGTCCTACAAGCTCCATTCATAGTAAGTGCTCTATACAGGTATACCACGATTTTTTTTTTAAAGGAATGGAATCTTGTTATGTTACTCAGACTGGCCTCAAACTCCTGGATTCAAGTGAGTCTCCCGTCTCACCCTCTCGAAGTAGCTGGGACTAGAGGCACACACCACTACTCCTGACTCCATTAAAAAAAAAAACCTCTTATACTGTAATTTTTCTATGTTTAGATATGTTTAGATACACAAATACCACTGTGTTGCAACTGCCTACAGTATTCAGTATAGTAACATGCTGTATAGGTTTGCAGCCTAGGAACAATAGGCTATACCATATAGTCTAGGTGTGTTGTACACTACATTATTTAGGTTTGTGTAAGTACACTCTATGATGTTTCTCTAATGATGAAATCGTCTAACCATACATTTCTCAGAATGTAACCCGGTGGTTAAGCAATGCCTGACTGTATTAATTATTGTTCATCTCTTATTGTGCCTAATAATATAAACCAAAAATTATCATCATAGGAATGTATGTATAAGAAAAAATACCATAGCATATATAGATAGGGTTCAGTACAACCAGCAGTTTCAGGCATCTACCTAAGGTTCTTGGAATGTATCCTTTCAGGATAAGGGGGGACTACTGTGATTGAGTTAAGGCTCTTGAGAGATCATTTTGGATTATCTGGGTAGGCCCTAAATCCAATGACAAGTGTCTTTATAAAAGATACACAGAAAAGGAGGTGCAACGTGAAGATGGATGCAGAAACTAGAATAATGTGGCCACTAGAAAGAAATACAGAGGGGAATGTGATGTGAAAACAGTGGCAGAGATTGGAACACTCTAGCTACAAGCCAAGGAAGGCACCACCAGAAACTAGAAAAGGCAAGGAAGGACTCTCCCCTAGAGCCTTCAGCGGGAGTATGGCTCTGCCAAAATCTTGATTTTGGACTTCTGTCCTCCAGAACTGTGAGATAATAAATTTCTGTTGTTTGAAGGCATCCAAGTTCGAGTATTTGTTTCAGCATCCACAGCAAACAAATACAGGCCTTAAGAGAATATAATTCATGGTACATTATATTCTTTTCCTTTAAGTACCATTAAAAACAGAACAAAAAAATCTCTGAGTTAGATTCTGCTCTACACAGATCAAAGAGGTATTAGTAAATAATTTGTGAATAGCTGTACAGTTAAAACAGCTCAATTTCTGTAAACTTAATGTTTAATGATGTTTTAATACAAAACTATCCCTTCAATGACTGAGACGTATGACTCTTTAACCTACTAAGAAATTACTATAAGAAAATAATTATGTTGTAAACTATCTTTCATTTATCTTCACTTATCTTCTGACTGCCTGACAACTAACATCAAATTTTATATTTCATGTACCTGTCTCTTTTCAGAGTAAACTGCTTAATGTCATCTATGTCTCCCTGTTAAGTTCTTTTTATCTTGAAATTAATTTTTTTTCATGTTGCCTGATGTATAATTAGATGACACTTGGTACTGTGTAACCTACAACTGGGAGCACAACTCTTAAAGTGGCTTAGTTTCTGGAAGTCTTGCCATCAAGATAAAGCTAAATTAAATAGAGGAAATGACACGACGAGTGTCTTTCCAGCTTTGAATAAATTCAGAATTAAAGTCTGTCATCACGAAACAATCTCTTCCAAACCTTAAGTTCTATTTTTAACCATTTAAGTGGCAGATGCCAGGTTATTTCAAAATATCACATACTATTTTCTTTCTTTCTTCATTTGGATGAATGATACAGTGGAGTTCATGCTCTTGCAGGGTCTACCGGTAGGAAGTCCATTCATGAAACCATCAATGTCACTGGTTGCCACAAGACATTTCAAGGAAGAAACTGGCAGATAGAACTAGCACTCGTGGCAATGGAAGGTAGGACTCCCCAACCTCTCAGACTCAATCCCCCACCACTTCCGCGTTGGAATCCGCGACCCTCTTCCCAGAGTTTTCCTGTGGCTTGGGTAGGTCAGCCCTGGGGGCGAGCCAGAGCGGGCACCCGCGCGCCCAGGGGCTTGCCAGCGCAGACCCCACTCCGCCCGCGAGTAGCTTAGTTGGTGGGGAGACTTCAGCTGTCACTCTCGGCCCGCAAAGGCAGATCTGCCCCGATCCCTGCAGCCCTCCCCAGTCCCGGAGACAGGTGTGGGCCGCAGAGGGAAGGGGATCCGGACCAAATGCCCACCCGCAGGCGAGCGACCTGGCGAGGTCGGGCCCACCTTCCTTGGGTTGTAGCGGACGCCGGCAAGCAGGGGTCCAGCGAACGTGGGCATCTGCCCGGCGCCGGATTTTCAACCCACCGCCAGAGATAAGGCTCCCCGCCCACCAGCGAGCCACTTTCCCGCGCGGACACCTCTAACTCCGGCAGCTCAGGCTGGGAACTCGGAGATCCAGAGTGGCCTCCCCTCCCCCCCGCGCATACGTCAGCGCTAGCGTCGTGGAAGCGCCGTAATGTCCCGAAGAAGCGCGTCTCCAAACTTGCACCCCGCTGCCGCAGCTTCAACGGAGAAATCCCTTGCCCCAAGCACACGTCAGCCCTGCCCGCGGAGTCATGGCACAGCAAAAGAGAGGCTCTCCATGGAGATATGCTCCAGAAGGGTGGGTGGCTGTGCCTAAAGGTTTGTTAGAAAAGGACAGTCAGTGAGGCTTGCTGGCTGTGGCGCCTTACGACGCTCTCCCCGACCCCTCGTCATTCAGAAGGTTCCGCAGGTCTCGACAGCGGTGCGCTTGTCAGCCCCATCCGGCGGCCAGCCTCCCTTGCCGGATCGCCCACGTTGTCGGCCTGGTCCGAGTTCTTCATTTCAAAGCATCTGCACCTGCGAGCCCGCGGCCAGAGGCGCTGGGGGCGTTTGTGCGCGTGTATTCTGAGGCGCGTGGTAGTGATGGCGGCGCTCAGTGAGACTTTCCTGTCACTGGCTACTACTACTCCCAACCCTCCTCAAAGCCGCCGGAGCAACCCCCAGGTCTTTACTTTACAATCGGCAATTTGACTTGCTCTGCTGCATGTCTGGAGGGACCAAGGAAAGTGTGGAGACGCTCCAAGGATTAGGTGATCGGAGCTTGAAAAGAAAAAAAGCCAAACAAATAAACAAAACCCACCCACCCTAACAAATATGAGGCTGCTGGAGAGAATGAGGAAAGACTGGTTCATGGTCGGAATAGTGCTGGCGATCGCTGGAGCTAAACTGGAGCCGTCCATAGGGGTGAATGGGGGTAAGTGCTGCACCTCTGCCGGCTCCACCGCGGCTCCCACTTCAGAACTAATTTGTGAGTCTTGGAAAGGTGGGGCAACCCTCATTGCAAGCGCTTGCCAATTTCAGGGGGCACTGACCAGCCTTTGGCCCTTTTGCTGATTTTCTAATTTACCAACCCCAGAGGGAACTTGTAATTAGGAACGAGGCAAAGGAATTTGAGGGCAGGTAGCCTTTTCCGTAGACAAACAATGACTATCCTGAGTGTCAAGAAGTGAGGTTACAGAGAATGAAACTTACTCCTCTTGCCTTCAAAGTAGCATCCTATCCCAAGGGAATCTAGGTTGCTAAGAGTTCCGTATCTATCTTGGAGTGGACCTCATTATCGAGTCTACTTTCGAGTCCTCCCCGCCCCCACATTAAAAAAAAAAGTGGAGGAAAAACAAGAAAAGGGACACCTCCGCCCCCAACTCAGATTTTATGGCCCACATGTTGGAGAGTGATGATTTGCTGTAGTTGCTGGTGCTCCAGAAACTCCCAAGCCGACTGACACGTTGCACTCTTTGATTACAGGACACTTCATTACAGCATACTTCCGTGTGCTGCCGGGATTCAGTTGCTATACTAGCAGTCTAACAGATACAGACTGTTAGACTATGTGTAGTGTAGTGTAGTGTGTGTTTTGGCAAGGAAATGTGGATGGACTGAAAGCATACTTAGATCTCTGAATAGTGGGAGCTTTGTACAGGAGATGATGGGCACTGGTGGGAACATTAGAAATATTAGTTTTTTATGCCCCCCCCAACACCTTTAGACAATCTTGTACTACTTTTCATAAACATTAATTGAATTTATTCAATTCGCTTGTCTTTTTGACCTTGTTTGTCAGTTTCCAAGCTTATTGACAGGTTTAATACCTAACTCATGCAACCGGAGCAAATAAGGATAGAGGTGAACAGGCACAATATTTCATAGTAGGAAGCGCTCAGGAGGATATTTGAAGTTATTTTTATCTTTTTGTTAAAACATGATGGAAGTGAATGAAATGATCTCTTAGGAGAACAGCAGTGGTCCCTTCTCCCCTTAACCTCCACCCCATTACTCTGTTTAGAAGTAGCTTCCGGGAACATTTTAAAAGGAATTATTTAAACCAAAATTGTGGAGATGAAGGATTGTTTGTTTTAAAATTTTGTTCTTCTGTATTCAACTTAGAACAAAATGTGTAGAATATGTAACTGTGAGAATAAAGCAGTTATTCCTGGTGGTTTCTCCCTCTGATTGATGGTAATAGTTTCTTCTTTAACACTGCTGCTCTGTGAACTTTTGGGAAACTCTTGTGAAGATCAGGTCTGTCAAATGAAGACCCCCTATCCCCGGAGCTAAATGAATAGTAAGACTTAGAGTACCTTTGCATGATCTGCAATGCACACTTCACTAGCTATCGCTTCTCGTGTTAGATCTCTTATTTGCTCAGTTTTGAGATGAAATTACAGAGGATGTATGATCTTTAACTTTAAATCTGCAGGGGCTAAGTTTGGCAAAATATCTTTTACCTTGCATTCCTAAATATTCTGTGGGAAGAAAGGTGTTGAATGCTGAATCATTTCCGTGGGGCTTTTCTGCAGTGGCATGTATGAGATAGATTCTGCAAACTTATGTGTTCCATAGACTCTGCTTATTAATATTTTGGTACATTATTGTATCATAGAAATGCCATTTCCCATTTCCACTAGTCCTTCTGTCTTTAATGTAGGATAATTCATTCCTTTGTTTAATTATAATAGAATGTTAAGAGGGGGAGGGGAATATTTAAAGTGTTTTAAGCCAACATGCTTCTTTTACAGTTGAAGATACCAGGTGACTCTCTCTAGGTTAAGGTAGCTAGCTTAGGGAAGAGGAACTATTGGAGACCAGGGTATTTAAAATTCCTGGGAAACTTCTACTTCCCAAGCAAGCCAGATTCCTTGACTTTAAAATCTGCTCCTGAATCACCTTGCTTAGCTGCTGAAGAAATATTACCTGTGTGAGCTGCTGAGACAGATTCACTAACAAATATAAAGATAATGTACCTCTTATAAAAGTTTTTGAGCAGCCTTCACTGCCCCCAAATGCAATGCCTTTTGCACTTGCCTTCTCCCTTTCTTTCCCTTTTCTTAGATCTCAGCAAAATGATTTGTGTAAATGCCAGGCATATTAAATAATTTATTACAGCATTTGAGGAAATCTTTGTTTCTTTTATTCATTGTTGTACTACAAATGCCTAAGACATAGTAGGTCATCTCTCTCTATATATAGATAATATTATATATTATGTTAAATAATGTATTATATATTATCATATTATATATTATGTTATATATTGTATATAATATGTTATATATTATATAAAATATATTATTATATATAATATATATTCTCTCTCAGAGGGGCCTTGAGATATTATGTATATTATATATTATGTACATTATTGTATCATATATTATATATTATGTTATATACATAATATATATTAATTATATATTATATTATATATATATATATATATATATATATATATATATATATATATATATGGTGATTTTTCCTGAGCTTGGTCTTCTGTCCATATATCGAACAAGTGGAGGGTTTCAGGCTATGGAGGAGCCGTGATTGTTGTCCTGTTGTTTTGCTTAAGTGAGTGTATTAGTTTCTTAGGGCTGCCACAACAAATTACCATGAACCAGGTGGCTCAGTACAACAGAAATTTATTATCTCACAGTTCTAGAAGCCAGAAGTCTGAGGTCAAGATGTCCTCCAAAGGACATCTGGGAAAGAATCCTTTGAGTCTTCTAGCTTGTGGTGGTTGCCAGCCGTTCCTTGGCTTGTGGCAATATAACTCCAGCCTCCACCTCTGTCATCACATGGCTATCTTCCTTGTGCATGTGTCTGTGTCCAAATTTCCATCTTTTAAGAATACCGGTTATTGGATTAATGTCCCTCCTAATCCAATAAGACCTCATCTTAACTTGATTACATCTGCAAAGACCCTATTTCCAAAAATGTGACATTCACAGGTTCTGGGTGGGCATGAATTTTGGGAGTCGGGGGACACTATTTAATCTAGTACAAGAAGACTGAATAGGATGCCAAATATGAGATGATCTTAGGTTTTTAAATGTTGCCATGTACCAAGATTTCTCAGCCTTGGCACATTGACATTTTGAACATGATAATTTTTGTTGTTGGAGGGGCTGTTCTATGCCTTCCAAGATGTTTAATAGAATTCCTGATCTCTACCCACTAGATGTTAGTAGCACATCCTATCCCCCAAGTTATGACAACCAAAAAACATTTCTAAACATTTTCAAATGTCCATGGAGGGTAAGATTTCTACTGCTGGAGAACCACTGCTATATAGGTATAAAATGTCATTTTCTCAGGACTGCATTTTTTGAAAGAATGTTGTTTTTTGTTAGCACATTAGGTCTTCAAGCCAATTGTGTACATGTCACAAATGATACTTATATCCACTCACAAATGATACTTTTAAGTATTGTTCTCGCAGTGTTAACACATTTGAATGCTGCCATCCTAACTCCAGAGAGGATTTCCTGGAAGGCAGGGACCAGGCCTGGCTGGGTCACCACATATCTCTAGGGCCTAGCACAATTTAATAATAATTACGGTCATAGCAATATATTATTAAGTACTTTATATGCATTATCTTATTCACATAGCAAGTGCTCAATAAGTATTTGTAGAATGAATACTCTTGGGCAGAACTGAATGCATGTGTGATTATAAGCTTTTGTTTCTGATATCCTAGAAGAAATGAAATAATATTTGCTAAAGAGAAGGGAACTTCTTCCATTGATTCCCTTCTTTGGGCTCGGGGGTATTTTGATTGTTATATAAGTGCTGATACCATGATAGATATAATTAGGACCTCTATTGAAGGATGTTGCTTACATGCTGTCCTGTGTGCTTCTTTATTCTTCTGGTCTGAAGACACTGTGCTGAGCAAGACAGCCACGGTCCTTGCCCTCTGGAAAATGCTCTCTGGAGTTAGGCTGCATCACACAAATGCTTACCTCTGTTGGGACAGTAAGACACCAGGGGTGACACTGATATCTAAAGTACCATTTGTTGTCCTGCAGTAGATTATTATTGTTGTTATTATTATTATTATTATTATTTTGAGACAGAGTCTTGCTTTGTTGCCCAGGCTGGAGTGCAATGGCGTGATCTCAGCTCACTGCAACCTCTGCCTCCTGGGCTCAGGTAATCCTCCCACTCAGCCTCCCAAGGAGCTGGGAACTACAGGCATGCACCACCATGCCCGGCTAATTTTTGTATTTTTAGTAAAGACTGGGTTTTGCCATGTTGGTCAGGCTGGTCTTGAACTCCTGGCCTCAAGTGCTCTACTCGCCTCGGCCTCCCAAAGTGCTGGGATTACAGGTGTGAACAAATAGATTCTTCTTTTGTGCCAAGTTATCTACTGAAATTCTTTTCTAGCAATAACTCTTTTTTCTCTTTTTAGGACCACTGAAGCCAGAAATAACTGTATCCTACATTGCTGTTGCAACAATATTCTTTAACAGTGGACTATCATTGAAAACAGAGGTACTGTCATCTATGGGACACATGAAAAGCAGGGAGAAAAATTTAATTTGTACTTACTTAAATTTAAGAGTCCTTTGGTAAAGCTGTTTATAGCTATAATCTGAAGGATTCACTATAGCAGAAGATAACTTGGTCGGCAAAGGACTTGTGTTTCATTCCTACATATGTGTATTATAAAAGCTGTACAGTTGAGCAGCATGGGCCCTGAGGATGTGGTTATAATGAGTATGTTTTTAATATGACAGCTGAACTGAAGCATCTACTTTAGTTCTTCCTCAACTTATGGTGGTAACTACAGTGGTGCCTGCTATGCCTGGGCACATTTGAGCTGTTGATGTTCAGTTTGGTTTTCATAACTTTTGTGGATCATCTTTGGTTCCCAGGACTCATGCTGTTCAAATAATGCTTAATTTGTCATAACTTTTAATTAATTTTTATTTAGAAAAGCTTATTGTTCCTTAGCATATCTATTAAATATTAATAGATGTCTTAAGAGAAATATTGATGTTTTTCATTTGACACATATATGTATGTGTATATGTATATGTGTATATATATACACATATACATATACACATACATATATGTGTCAAAAGTGTGTGTGTATACACACACACACACAAACACACACACACCCCACACCTATATATGTAATGTTATTTACTGATTTACTGATTCAGGTTTCACTGAACATGAGATTCTCTTGGAAGTAAAGAAATCCAGACATTTTTACATTTACGTGTGATAGAGGAATGAGTAGAATTTATGATTCTCTTTTAACTTACAATGGAAGAAAAAAAAAGAGGAGAAAATACCCATTTGGTCTTGAAGAAATTACATAAAATATCATTCTAACATCCTGTTCTTATATAGATGGGACTATCTCACTATAAGAAGGTATTTTGTTTTTGGAAATGGCTTTAAAAATTAAGATTCTGGTCCAGCATCATGTCTTACCTTTATTTATTTTAAGTGTGATTGGAATGAAGACTAAATTTAGTTATCTCCTTCTTAGATCATCCTAGTAGCAACATGGAAAAAATATGACTTTACTAAATTTATGTATTCTGTAGCCATCGGTTGGTATAAATCTTTTCATTGGGTTTTTTTTTTTTTTTTTTTTTTTTTGAGATGGAATCTCACTCTGTTGCCCAGGCTGGAGGGCAGTAGCGTGATCACGGCTCACTGCAACCTCCGCCTCCCGGGTTCAAGTGATTCTCCTGCCTCAGCCTCCTGAATAGCTGGGACTACAGGCACCCACCACCACGCCCGGCTAATTTCTGTATTTTTAATAGAGGTGGGGTTTCACTACATTGGCCAGGCTGGTCTTGAACTCCTGACCTCAAATGATTCACCCACTTCAGCCTCCCATAGTGTTGGGATTACAGGCATGAGCCACCACACCCGGCCTCATTGGGGTATTTTTTGATATACGTAGGATCATTGTGTAGTGTCTATAGCTGATAAATTGTGTCTCAAGAATTGTAAATATTTTCTGTGATTACCTGCTTTTCTGAAAATAACTGACATGGGATGAGATTTCCTAGTATGTCAAATTCCAATTTTGGTAAACAATATTGATATGAGAGGACCATAATTACTACTTACACAGGCTTTTTTTCTGTCAACATATGAGTTCTAATATTTGTTCTCAAATGTGGGGCACAGTGATACAGAAAGATATTTGCTACTACCATAATGTTGGACTGATCTTGCTTGGAGGTCTTCCTGCTGACCTTGGCTAATGCTCTTTATGGAACTGCTTTCTAACCCAAGTCCTTTACTTGGGGCGTTGCTCTATGTCCCCTGGTGGCTGCTTAATGGCTACAGCTGTTACTTGTGCCATGGGAAATCCAGAAAGCAACTTGATTTCTCTCACTCCTTAGCTTCTTACTTAATGCGATTCTGCGAAGCAGCCAACTTTGTGGGATGCAGGAGTTGAAGAAGGAAGAATGCCACAGCTGTCAGCATTTCTCTAAGGACTGACTTCTTTTGTAAGCACCTAAGAAACCTTCAGAGTCATCCAGCTAATTTGGATCTAATGAAATGCCGTGATCTCGTGCTTTATCGTGGTATCTAAGCAGCAATCAAAGCCATTTCTTCCATCAAAAGCCCTTTTCAAAAGAATACAACATTAAGTCATTTTCAAAAGCCATATAACTTAAGATGTCCTAGATTGTATCATTGTGTAATATTAAACCACTTCTAAAGCCTGCTAATTTCATGGTTAACTTGTAACTTAGGAGGTAGCAGTCATATTTGTTTACTAGTTAGTAATCCTAAATTCATTTCAGTGGGGATTACGATTTATATGTCTTATTAGGTCCTAAAATAGTTCATTTTTGCATACAAGAGACAGTGAATTATTATTGACTTGAGTTTATTTGGAAGCATTTGTGTTGGTCCCATTCAAGTTTGATTTATATTGAACATTTCTTATATGACTCATACATTGATTTAATGACATGTATTCTAAAATTTGTTTTAGTAATTTGTTAAAATTATAAAGGACACTGTGCTAATGCAATGCTGAGTCTTCAGTTTTATGACAACTTCTAGTTTTTTGAAATTTTGTTGTATTGAAGTGAAATATGGTTACATTTAAAATTCATATTTAGTTCACTTCAAACCTGTAGTTTCAGAGGCTTTGTCACTTAGCCGACTGTGGCAGGGCGAATTTGTTTAAACAAGTATCAATTAAGTGCTTATGGCCACAAGGCACGGTGCTGGGGATAGAAACAAAGGTGAGCAGGAGACTTAGGGGCTGAGAAAAGGTCCTGAGTAGGGCAGAAGATGCAGGCTTTTATTTTTCTGTAAAAATTATTATCTTTTATCCTATTAGCAGAAAAGCAAATATAGCAAACTCTAAACTTTAGATGTGTGCTGTTTGTTTCAAGCCCAGAGCTATGAGCCTGACTCTCAGCAAATGAATGAGATGGTCAGATAAAGGGTTACAAGAGAAATCGGTGTCTAATGAAAATATTTCTACGTCCCAATTAGAGCCCTGGTTTTAAGCAATGCTTGATGCTGTCAATGAGACTCTGGTATAATCAGTAAATGATGTGGAGTGTCTTCTTAAGTTTATTTTAATGGATTTTGACCTTATTACATATGAATAAACAAACTATGATGCAGAGCCAACTTTTTGATTATTCATGATGGCATTTATTTGACTATGTGGCTCAAAATTCTACATGGGTATGTATGGAATAATAACTATTTTGGAATTTACAGGGTTTACTTGCTTGTTATTTTCTTTTATTACCTTGTTTTATCTTTATGGTTGTATGCAGAAGATATGGAAAATATATGATGCTGGGATTTTGTGAAAGTCTTGAAACTCTTTCTTAGAAGCGCTTCCCTATTGTTAAGAGGCCCCTTATGAGCCAACATGGTTGGTTGTTGTGACTTGTTTTGCTGGGTTCTTTACTGTACCATCATTCTGATGCAATGGCAATTTCTAATTGTCATTTATTAGGTCAGCAGTATTTTCTAAGCACATTTTAGTTTTTATAACTTGTTTCTGTTGTAATAAAAGTGGTATTTACTTATAGAAAGATTAGAAAGATTGAAAATGACTAGTATTAACTATTAACATCAATTTTTTAGTCCTTTTTAAAAAATATGTTTTATATGCATAATATTTTACAAATAAAATTGTATGTGAATGTAGTATGTTTATACACATATTGCAGATCTATACACATACACACATGTAATCTTATCCTATTCTTTTCATGTAACATTGTATACTTTTAATGTAATTTAATATTATTTATATTTTCTTTATATAGTATAACAAAAATGTATACGTTACTTACTTTTATGAACATATGATTTATTTACATAGTTCAGAATTGAAAGGTATAAAGATATGTATAAGTCTTTTTTTTTTCACTCTTCCACCAACTATCCAGTTTTCTTCTCTGGAGACAAACAATGTTAACAATTTCTGCGTACCTTTCCAGAGATATTCCATGTGAAACATACACATGCATATTCTACTTCCCTACAGATTGTATTTCATACTCTTTGGCACCTTAACTTATTTTACTTAAAAAATGTGTCTTGTACATTGTTTCATCTCAACACATAAATAAGCCCATTTTTTTTGTACATCAAATAGTATTCTGTTGTACGGATGTGTCATGATGTATTTTTGTTGTCCTCTATTGATGAACATTTAGTTAATTTACAAGGTTTTGCTATTACAAACATGTTGCAAAGGATAAAAATATATTATTTCCTATATTTGGAAACATATGTGAAGGATAAATTCCTGGAAGTGGAATTGCTAGGTCAAATGATATATGTAGTTTAAGTTGTAACAGATATTCCAAGTACCTAGAATGGTGCCAGGTGCTCAGTAAGTATTACTTAAATGAAGGAATGAGTTGCCAGGTTGCTCTCTATAGGTTATGCCAATTTATACACCTATTGATAAAGTAGGGGAGAGATTCTGTACACCTGCATTCTCATCAACAAGGTATTTAATAGCTCATAACACTCCAATTAGATTTTAACTTTTTAAATGATTCTCTTATGTTTGGACATTTGTTTCCAGATTTTGCTCGAATAGATAACACTGTGATGATCAATTTTGTGTATAAATGTTTACAATCACATTTTTATATCTTTAGGATAAATTCCTAGTCATAAAATTCTGGGGTCCAAGAATATGAATTATATAGTCGTTGATATATATTACCAAATTAATTTTCAGAAAAGTTATGCCATTTTTTATTCCTGTCAGAAGTATATGCAGTCCGGGCACGGGGGCTCATGCCTGTAATCCCAGCACTTGGGGAGGCCAAGGCGGGTGGATCACCTGAGGTCAGGAGTTCCAGACAAGCCTGGCCAACATGTCAAAACCCCATCTCTACTCAAAATACAAAAATTAGCTGGGTGTGGTGGTGGGCGCCTGTAATCCCCGCTACTTGGGAGGTGGAGGCAGGAGAATCGCTTGAACTCAGGAGGCAGTGGTTGCAGTGAGCCGAGATCGCACCATCGCACTCCAGCCTGGATGACAAGAGCAAAACTCCATCTCAAAAAAAAAAAAAAAAAAAAAGAGTATATGCAAATGCCTTAGTGTATTCTGGCTAATCATTTCATTACAGTATTTTAAAAAATAAAAATACTAATATTTGTTTAGTGTTTATCAAATGCCTCTGAGTATATTTAAATGAGATTTGGCTTCAAGGCTGTTGAGAATTCTCTGGAACTGCTGGTGCTCAAGTTTTCTCTGGAGTAGAGCTCTAAGAATTCTGATTCACTGTAAGGATGGCTTGCTTTCTCTTAGGTCTGATCCCAGGACCTAATATGACTTCTGGTAGGCTGAGTGTTTTCTAGTGGTCCTAAATTATACTCAGATCGCTAGAAATTCTTTAGATGTCATTTAGGGATGTCTTGTGACCTAACAGGAAGGAACTGCTGTGTGTATCTCCACACAGGGAAGTAGACAGTGGGAAGTGATGAGACTAATCTCAGAATGTGGTGATGAGCGAATGAGTCTGCATTAACGTACTGTTGATTAAACTGATAAACTTTGGCTAATGTCCCTGAGGCTGAGGATCTCTTGAACATCTTACCTGAACAAAGGGGCCATTGCAGTTCTATACTTACAACCAGTAACTCTCTGGCATAGTTGAATATGTTTTAATGATCACTTGCTTGTTTTAAAGGACTATAGTTTTTCTAGCACTTTCCAGTTTTATTTTAGTTTTCCATTTTGTTTTTATTTCAACACAATATAAACTCAAATGCAAGTATTTGTGAGTTTATATATATTTGAATCCTAGAGGTTAACTAATTATCCTTTTTTAGTTGTTAAACTCATAACGTGTGCCTGGTTTCTTATGTTTAATGTGCATTTTTTTTTCCCCTCTTGGGGCAGCAGTGGGAGAAGCAGGCATGGGTTTGCTAGCATGCCGGAAAATTTAGTTCTGATCTTCACCATATAGTAGCCCTCAACTTCAATTTCTTCATCGGTAAAACAGGGATAATAGTATTTACTTACTGAGATTCTTGTGAGGATTAAGTGAGATAACATGTAAAGTGACAAGCTCAGATTATGGCATAAAGCTGGTATTCTGTTAGTGTTAACAAAGAATCTAGTGAATAGACTGTGGAAGGAAATGCCATTTGGAATTAGAGACTATCATTGAGGGAAATATTTTTTAAAGTATTAATTTGTAGATTCAGTAACATCTTGCCAAATTGAGGACTTATAGCCTTGGTGCAATGAATAGAGGTTAATTACTGTATTTGGTTGAAATGTGATAGGTCTTATTAAGGTTTTTTTGAAAAGATTTCTTATTTTATGTAGGTAAACATACATGCACGTTGTTCAACAATCCCCAAATCTATAGTAGTATGAAGTATAGTTAGCTTAGTCCTGGTCCAGAGTTTTACACATCTGATTTGTTAGGGCTTATTGTGTATTGTAAAGAAATTAGAATAAGAACATTTAAAAAATTTTAGGCCAGGCGTGGTGGCTCATGCCTGTAATCCCAGCACTTTGGGAAGCTGAGGGGGGCAGATCATGAGGTCAGGAGATCAAGACCATTCTGCCCAACATGGTGAAATCCCATCCTACTAAAATACAAAAATTAGGAGGGCATGGTGGTGGCAGGCACCTGTAGTCCAAACTACTCAGGAGGCTGATGCAGGAGAATCCCTTGAAACTGGGGGACGGAGGTTGCAGTGAGCCAAGATCGCGCCACTGTACTCCAGCCTGGGCGACGAGCAAAAACTCCATCTCAAAAAAAAAAAAAAATTTAAGAAATTTTAAACAAAAATACTTTATAGCCTTCATGAGTAACTTTTTTATCTTGCATTCTGTCTTGTATGCATATACTTATAGATAAAAATTTTAGCTATGAAAAAACCCAAAATTAAGAACTAACTCATGTGATGTTATTTTAGTAGGGATCTCCTTTCAGGAATAGTTTTCTTACCTTTGTTTATTTTGTTTCCTTAATTTTTCCAGGAGCTGACCAGTGCTTTGGTGCATCTAAAACTGCATCTTTTTATTCAGATCTTTACTCTTGCATTCTTCCCAGCAACAATATGGCTTTTTCTTCAGCTTTTATCAATCACACCCATCAACGAATGGCTTTTAAAAGGGTATGTTTAAATCTTTAAAAGTGGGTCCACTTTTAATGGGGCATCTCTAGAGACATTATTGTTTCTATGGCAACTATATACAAAAGGGCTTATGTGTACCATCTTAAAAGGAAGTAAAAACACATCTTTGTTTTCCTTTAAAACAATAGTATTTCATCAAGGAGGTTCATCAAATAATTAACAGAATCTTAAGATACACCCTCATGCTTCATCCTGTGGTTTTACGACGAGCACTTTTCTGAGAATTTTAGAGTGGTCTTGGAAGAAAAATGAGAAGGACTAGCAGATGTAAGATCTGTATGCAAGTCAATTGGATGTCAATTAATTAGATAATAGCTGAGTATAATGTGTGTTTTAGAAATGTTTAAGGAAGAAAACATACATATATGTGGGACAAACGTTACCTTTTCATTGTTTTATGTTTGATATAATAGTTGAACTTAGAGCCTGAAGATTGAATTCTGACCATATCCCTAACATACTATGTGACTTTGAGCAAAGTTTTTAAATAGTTTTTAATGTCAATTTCCCTGTCTAGAAAAGGAGGATAATCGTACTTTTACTGCTTACTTACCAATGATGTTGGGGATATCAATTGAAATTGCATATTCATTGATTCAAGTTATTTATTTAGCTTCTACTTTGTTTCAGGAGTTATTATACATATTGGAGAAACAACAGTGAAATGCCTGTTAGTTTTGCATGTTGGGGAGTCTCAGGGGGTGTTGTATCAATAAACAAGTAAGTAGATGAGCAAGATAGAGATAAATGATGTAAAAAGAACAAAACAGTGAGATATGTGAAAGTGGTTGGGTGGGCAGGCTTTTGATTAATTTAGATTTCAGAGTTCTGGGGGCAGAATGTTCTAGGGAAAGGAAACATAATGTACAAAGGCTCTAGGGCAGGATCAAGCCTGTTGTGTTTTCCAGTCAGTAAAGCAGCCAGGAAGGCCAGAGCCTGGTGATGTAGAGGAAAAATACCATGTCCTAGCGGTATAAAAGTAGGCAGGAATGAGGTATGTAGAGCCTTATAGGCCGTGGTACAGCATTCAGATTTTATTCTGAGTGCTACAGGAAGCTACTGGAGGGATTGGAATGAGAGAGTGATGTGGTCTGATTTATGTTTGCAAATGATTCTTCTGATAGCTATGTGTAGAAGAGATAGTAGAGGGGCCTGAGAGAAATCAACTCAGAGAGTAGTGGTGAGGTAGCAGTTCAATAGAGAGGAATGAATGTGTGCCAGATAGATTTTACAGTAGAGCTTTCAGCAGTGATGGGTGAGGAGGATGTAGAAGGAGGACAGAGGAACCAAGCGTGACTTCTGGGTTTTAGGTATGAACCACTGGGTAATTGGTAGCATCATTTACTTAAGAGGGGAAAACTAGGTTAGGAGGCATGGTGGAAATCAAGAGTGCCATTTTGGCCAGATTTAGTTTCAGAGAATGAACATAAAATTTCACCAAAAAGTGTAAAATGCCACATAAATATGATGACATCATTTTAGAGCAAAAATGTATTATGCATATCAAGAACCAATAGTTACTGAATATCTGCCATGTGTAGGCCACTCAAGGAATACAAAGATATTTACTCATTTTTGTTGTCTTCTGGGAACTTCCAACCTAGTTGGTTATAAAGGACATATATATGTATGCCTCCTAGTAATCACTAAAATGGGGCACCATGTGATTTTTCAGATGAGTGGTGTAATCAGTTAAAGAATAAGCAGTTCAGCAAAGGTTGGGTACTCGTAGAGATTTCAAAAATGCGGCATTAATGAGATACAAAGATAAAATATTTCCATAGGGTCGGCTTGCAGAAGGCCTGAATTACTGGGCTGAGGAATTTGCATTTGAAGCTATAGATGATGGAGAGAGAGCTGTTAAAAATGCTCAACAAGCGAATAACAACATGTTTAAAAGTGGCTACTAAGGAAGATTAATTGGACAGCTTGGACTCTCAATATGCTAAATAAAACAAACAATTCTGACTTCAAGATGTTGAACTTAAAGGAGTGTACACTTACCGTAATTCACTTAGAGAAAGCTCTTCCTGGCTTAGTGTTTTTTCCCTTCCCCTCCCTAATTTGAAAGTACATACTTAGTATATTAACTTGAAGGGATTGCATAATCATGTTTAAGTTGTTGAAATAAAGATGTTCTGAGCACATGCTCCTTACCTTGCATAGTAAAGGGACAGAGTGAGGTAGAGGGAACATTGAATAGGCCTTTTTAAGTGTCCAGATTGGCTGAGAAGCATCTGGACAGGGATGATGGTGGCAGTAGTCATGGAGGAAACTGGAAAGTTAGTTATGGTGACAGATTGATTTATTTTTATTTTTATTTTTATTTTTTGAGACAGAGTCTCACTCTGTCACCAGGCTGGAGTGCAGTGGCGTAATCTCAGCTCACTGCAACCTCTGCCTCCCGGGTTCAAGTGATTCTCCTGCCTCAAGCCTCCTGAGTAGCTGGGATTACAGGTGCCCGCCACCATGCCCGGCTAATTTTTGTATTTTTAGTAGAGACAGGGTTTCACCATGTTGGCCAGGATGGTTTCAATCTCTTCACCTCGTGATCCGCCCACCTCAGCCTCCCAAAGTGCTGGGATTAAAGGCGTGAGCCACTGCGCCCAGCCACAGATTGATTTTTGAGGAGCAAGAGGAGTCACATATAACTTCAAAGTTTCAAACTGGATCATTAGGGAAAAAACTGGTCCCATTGATCAAAAAAAATATGTAAATTCAGAGGGGAAGTTTATTTTTCAGAAAACATATGAATTCTTTCTGAAGATCTATTGTACAGCATGGTAACTATAGTTAATAACGTATACTAGAAAATTGCCAAGAGAGTAGATGTATATGTTAATTAGTTTGATTGTGGTAATGATTTCACAGTGTATACACATGTCAAAACATCATGTTGTATGCCATAAATTTTTATAATATTTCCTTGTCAATTATACCTCAATAAATTTGGAAAACAAATATATAAATACAATATTAGACATGCTTAGTTTAGAGTGGCAGTCATAGGCAGCTACAAATTCGGGAATTGTAGTTAGGGCTAAAAAATATAAACTTGAAAGTATTCCTAAAGATTGAAAATAAGATTGAAAAGATGGCAGGAGAGCCAGCAAAAACAAAAACAAAAACAAAAAAAAACCAAACAAACAAACAAAAACACCAGAATGACTGGTTTAAAACACAGAAGCTAAATTTGAATGAACTACAATGGTAACCATGAAAATATTAGAGTGGCCTGAGAGGTAAGAAGGTAAGCAGAATGAATATGAGGAAAAATATACCAGATTTGGTGATTTGGGGATTACTGGTTACTTTAAGGTTACTATTACTAGTAGAGGGGGCAGAAGTCTTATTTCAGAGAAGTAAAGAGAATGGTCTCTGGGGCCATGGAGGCAGGCACTCTTTAAAGGTCAAAAGTGAGTCACAATGAGAAAAGTGGGATTGTATCTTGAGGAGGCAGCACCACTCATTTCACTCATTTTGCTGTTAGTTATCTATATTTCTGCATTGACTCTTCTGCCTCCTTGAAGGCAGGAATAATGTCTTTACTTCTTTTTAAAAATTATTTCCTGTAGGATTTTACTCATAGAAGATATATGTATTCAATATATAGTTGGCAAATTTTTTTTTTTGAGATGGCATCTCACTCTGCTGCCCAGCTGGAGTGCAGTGGCACAATCTTGGCTCACTGCAACCTCTGCCTCCTGAGTTCAAGCAAAATTTTTGTCTTTTTAAAACTATGAGAATTCTGCTTTTTTGCACATAGAAGGGAAGGGGCTGGAAGAGGAGGGATGAAAAAGCTAAAAAGATTGAAAATGCCTGAGAGGATCTGTCCTAGTATTGGGGGTAGGGGAGACAGAAGGCGGAGAGGCTGAAGTGGGAGGCCTAGATAAGTCTTTGACCCATAAAAGTTTTACCCCAGATAGGTGGCTTTGTGAGTTTGGGAAAGTTACTTATCTTCTTTCTTCACTTCAGTTTTCTGTAAGATGGGAATAATAATAACACTTATCTTAAATATAACTTTTGAGAAATAAATGAGATAGTATGTAAAGTGTTTAGAATAGTGTCTACTACAAATGGTAAATGCTCAGTATTAGTGATGATGATAGTAGACTCTAAGGAAGCCTCAGAGATTGGGAATTTATAATAGGACAGACGACTCTAGTAGCTCTTTGTAAAACAGATCTGGAAAGAAGACCATATTAAATGGAACTGAGTTGGAAATTCCATAAAATGGGTTTTCTTATGCTTCAATCAAAACGAGTTTAAACATTTTTTTCCTATTTCAGAGCTAATGTTGAATCCATTGCATAAAGTTTAGATAATATGTTCTTACAAAAATGAATAAAAATATAGTTGACCTTGAACACTGTGAGGCTTAGAGGTGCCAACCCCCATGCCGTTGAAAATCCACATATAACTTTTGACTCCCCAAAAACTTAACTACTATTAGCCTAACCATTGACTGGAGGCCTTACCTATAATATAAAGAGTCGATTAATATATATTTCATATATTACATGTATTACATATTCTTACAATTAAGCCAGAGAAAAGAAACATATTAAGAAAATTATAAGGAAGAAAAAATATATTTACTATTCATTAAGTGGAAATGGATCATTATACAGGTCTTCATTTTTGTCATCTTCACATTGAGTAGGCTAATGAAGAGGAAGAAGTCTTGCTGTCTCAGGCATAGCAGAAGCAGAAGAAATTCTTGTATAAGTGGGGCCCTCACATTTCAAATCCATGTTGTTAAATGGCCAACTGTAACCTTTAATCATACCCATTCAAAATCTAAGTCAGATACTCTGTGTCATCTATGCCCTGTATGAACTTTCCACTTAGGCCAGCTACCTGTTCTCCCCAGAAGATATATTCTATATGAATTTTGAGTAATTAAAAAAATGTATAGTACTTAAATTTATTACTCATAGTTTCATTTGCTTGTTATGCAATTTATTTTCTGTCCTAAACTAAGAAAATAGACCTGTCATCATCTTGGGTGTGTGCACATAATATAATAAAAACCAAATTGAGGATAGATACTAGAATTTACTACAGAGTCTGAATGCAAGAAGTATGTGATTGTGTCATGCCTGTTTCTATAATGTTATTACAATGTTAAAATGTCTTTTGTGAGATGAAGATTTGAAAACTGCTCTTCTATAGAAAGAAATCCAAAGATGTAAGCTTGTGTCTTGTCAAGTATTTTTGAACTTAGGAAGTGGTTTTGAAGATTTAGAGACTTCCTACAAACAAAATGTAGGGAAAATATTTTTCACTTTACCTAAAAATAACCTAAGACTATATACACTTACCAAATGATTAGCCGTTTTGGTTATCTTTCTTTTTTTTTTTTTTTTTTTTGAGACGGAGTCTCACTCTTTCGCCCAGGCTGGACTGCAGTGGCGCTATCTCGGCTCACTGCAAACTCTGCCTCCCAGGTTCACACCATTCTCCTGCCTCAACCTCCTGAGTGGCTGGGACTACAGGCACCCGCCACTGTGCCCGGCTAATTTTTTGTACTTTTAGTAGAGATGGGGTTTCACTGTGTTAGCCAGGATGGTCTCGATCTCCTGACCTCGTGATCTGCCCATCTCGGCCTCCCAAAGTGCTGGGATTACAGGCGTGAGCCACCGAGCCCTGCCCATTTTGGTTATCTTTCAATGACTGCA
Source organism: Homo sapiens (assembly GCF_000001405.40). Lineage (NCBI taxonomy): Eukaryota > Metazoa > Chordata > Mammalia > Primates > Hominidae > Homo > Homo sapiens. The sequence continues at coordinate 146,504,210 of NC_000004.12, read as the reverse complement.
CTCACTATACCTTGACTGCTTTTTGAATTGTATAATAAGAGCTTAAATAGCTTAAAACAGACTCACTCAAGCCTATGGAATAGCATAAGAGATTAGAACCCATACATTTGCAGCACCGTGTAAGCCACGTTGCCTTGTGTAGACTTGTCTAAATTCAACAGGGGATGTGCATCAATAAATATGCCCTTATATTCATTTGCTCAGCCTTGCTATTTTAGAATGAATGTAGTGAAAGCTGTCTATGATTATAAAATTATTTATAGTTGGATTTTCTTTTATTTTTCAGTTTGCAGACAGTAGGTTGCATGCCTCCGCCTGTGTCTTCTGCAGTGATTTTAACCAAGGCAGTTGGTGGAAATGAGGTGAGTCATGGGGCTACCTTATTTAAACATAAGTGCATGCTGTGCTTTTATTTCAAAAATATATCACATTTTTGGACATGAAGGGTTGATGTTGCAGAAAACTCCTAGCCATAGCAGCTTGTGAAAGAAGGAGGTGTACTCACATACTAGCATGATGCTAAAATTGATTATGATGGATGGAATTTAGGATTTCAAAGAGAAGAGCAAGGGAAATGAGTGAAATAGAGATAGTGATTTTTCTTCTACCTCAGTGGAAATTGGGAGACAAAGGACAGAGAAGACCTGGGAAAGGCATTTTTCATCCAAGATTCTCAGACTGAGGGCATCCAGTATGGCGATTCCTTATCTCCAAAAAATTTGTTAACAAACTAAATTGATGGGGAAAAGTTAAATATGTTTAATGGCAAGTGAGGATGATATAAAAAGAAGAAATTAGGTTAGGTTTCTTAGATGAATTCAAAGAGATTATTCAACTGCTAGGGGACTATGGCACAATAATTGTATTTGTATATTGGAGTAGCAATTGTCCAATGCAGAAGCTACTTATAGGGGGTTCTTCCTTGGTTGAAAGGTGCTATGACTTTATACTGACGGACATTCATTTGTGATAGCTTATTTCTCCTTTTCTACTTATATTCTCTCATTCAGAAAAAAGATGTTATTGAAGGAGGGAAGATATAATGGGTTTCCACTTCAGTTCATTCTTAGGATTCTGCTTTCAACATCTATTTTCATTTTCATCCACTTTATGCTTTCCAAAAATATTGAGTACCTGCTATATTCTTTTTGAAAACAGGTTTATGGAAGTATCATTGACATATAACCAACTGTATAAACTTAAACAGTTTAATGTTTTGACATATGTGTACATTTGTGAAACCATCACCACAATCAAGATAGTGAACATATCCATATCCATATATACACCCTCAAAGAGTTTCCTGAGTCCCTTTGACATTCCTTCCATCTGCCCTTCTCAACACCCCTCTTCCCCAGGCAACCACTGATCTGCCCTCTGTCACTATAGATTAGTTTGCGTTTTTTAGAGTTTTATGCAATGGAATTACACAGTTTGTGCTCTTTTTTAAAATCTTTTCTGGCTTCTTTTACTAAGCATACATATTTTGAAATTCATCTATGTTGTGTTCATTAATAATTCAGTATCTTTTTTGCTGAGGAGTAGTATTTTGTATAGATACACTACAAATTGTTTATCCATTCACTTGTTGATGGAAATTTGGGCATTTTCTAATTTTTGGCTATGAGCATTTACTGTAGAAATCTTAAGTTTATATATAATATACCCCCGTTTCCTTGGAAATACCTAGGAGTGGAATGGGTATATCATCCAGTAGGTGTAAGTTCTAGTACCTTTTAATCAAGGAAGAATCATCTATAAATAGTTATAAGTCTCCTATAAATAGCTTCTGATGTAGACCATTTCTCTCAATATATAAGCACTCTTCTTTTACTACATGTGTATGTTTAACTTTTAAATAAATTACCAAACTATTTTTTAAAGTGGTCATACAGTTTTACATTCCAACCAGTAGCGAATGAGAGTTCCAGTGTTCTACATCCTAGTCAACATTTGGTACTGTATTTTCAGTCTTTTTAATTTTTGCCATTCTAATACGGTGTAATGATATCTCATTGTGGTTCTAATTTAATTTGTATTCCCAGTGATATTGAGTATCTTTTCATGTGCTGATTTGCTATTCATATGTCTTCTTTAGTGAAATGTCTATTAGCTCTCTTGCTCATTTTTTAAAAAATTGGGTGGTTTGTTTACTTATTGATGAGCATTAAGAGTTCTATATATTCTGGATATATCTCTTTCATCAGATATTTGCTTTGTCAATATTTTTTCCTAGTCTGTGACTTGTCTTATTATTTTTTACCAGTGCCTTTTGAAGAGCAGGATGGTAGTGGAGACAGTAAACGTGATTGGATTCAGGGTGTATTTTGAAGGTACAGGATATGCTGATGAATTAGATGTGGGGTGTGAGAGAAAAAGAGGGGTCAAGAATGGCTTTAAGGTTTTTGGTTGAGCAACTGCAAGGATGAGGTTGCTGTTGCTATGTGAGAACAGGTTTGGGGAGTATTAGCCTACAGAAGCTAGGCTATTCTAGGATCACTAAGAACTCCAAAATCTCAGTGGTTAAAAATATGCATTTATTTCTTGTTCATGGTACATGTCCCATGTGGGTCAGTGGGAAGGTCTTTTGCCATCCCTAAAGATGCCAGATTGATTGGAGGCTCTACTGTCTTGTAGGTCTACCCCCTGGATGGAACACACAACATTTTCACTTGCCACAGCAGAGAGAAAGATTGGAGAACCACAAATAGGCTTTTCACTGCCCAGGTTGATAGTGATACATGGCACTTCTGCTCACATTAAATTGGCCAGAATAAGTCATATGGCCTTACCATGTATTGTCATTTATGTGCCCTGAAGGAGAAAGGAACTGACATTAGTGAATACTTGTAATGTCAGCCACATAGGTAAAGATCAAGAATTTGGTTTTTTGATGTACTAAGATGCCTATTATATATCCAAGTGGACATACTAACGAAGAATTAGAGCTATTAGAATTGGTAGTTTAGGAAGTGGTCTAAACTAGAGATATAAATTAGGGAATCATCAGTGGATAAATGTATTTAAAGCCAAAATTGGATGAGATTATTTGGGGAGAGAGCATAGATATAAAAGAGAAGAGGTTCAAGGACTGAGCCCTGGATCACTCCAACATTAAGAGGTCAAGGGAATGAGGAATAACCAGCAAAGGCAACAGAGAAAGCAGCAATAATGAGGGCAGGAAAAAGAGGGGAGCACTGTGTCAGGGAAGCCAGGTGTCCTGGAAGCCATGTGAAAAAGTGTTTGAAGAGGAGGGTCTGGTTCACTGTGTAAAATAATGCTGATATAAGTTGTGTAAGGTAAATTCTGAAGATTAGCCACTAAATTATGCTACATGGAGTAATTGGCAGCCTGACCACAGTGGTTTTGGTGGAGCATTGGGATAAAAGCTTATTTGGGGTGGGCTCAAGAAAAAAGTGGGAAGAGCAGAATTAGAGATAGAAGTAGAGACAACTGTTTTGAGGTTCTCTGTGATGAAAGGGAAAAGGGAAATGAGGTTGTATTTAGAGGGGATGTGGGGTAGAAATTTTTTTAATGGAGAAATAACAGCATGTATGTATGCATCATGATGAGAATGCTACACTAGAGAGGAAACTATTGATGTAAGAGAGAGTGTGTATGCTGGAGTAATATATTTGATCAAATGAGAGAGAATGGTATTGAGTTGTATGACTGTCAGTAGACCTTGGGCTGTTTATTTATAATAACAGAAGGGAAGGCAGAGTGTGTGGATATGGATGTGTGTAGCTGGGTAGAAGGGGTATACTTGGTCTCTTTTAATGGTTTTTATTTTCTTAGTGAGGTTGGAAGCAAGGTCAACCACTGAGAGTGATGATGAGGTAGGTAGTATTGATGTTTCAAAAGGGAGGAGAAAGTGTGCAATTGCCATCTAGATGAGGAAAGTGAGTTAACTTGAGGGTAAGGCAGGACAGCTAGGCTGGACTGAGGAGCCAGCTGAGATGCGTAGACATGCATTGAAAGTGAAGCCAGGCATTGTGGTTGTGTGTTTTCTCAAAGCCACATTTAGCTTCTTAGTGTAGGAATGAAATTGGCAGATAGCTGGATTTAACCAAAGATTTCATTATGTCAGGTAGTTATTTTTATTTGCCATATAATTAGTGAGATAGAGGAGGTATAGGAGTTTTAGACTAGTATGCACTGTGGTTTTCTTTCTATTGTGATTAGAGATAAATGTGATTTGTCTAATGGTGATTCCCTCAAGAGGTGTGTAGGCTATATTGATTTAAGAGACTAAAAAACCTTTTTGTTCTCAACTTTTGGCCAAAGTTCACATTTCATCCATATCCTTGACATTGACGTAGCATTAGATTCTTCTAAAGTCTACTTACATGTTTATTCCCTCAATAGATAAATTGTTTATATTAATGTTCCACGTTAATAATGTGGAATTTAGAAATATCTCCTTTGTTTTCTAAAAGTGTTAGTCTATTTCTTTAAATGTTTATATTGTATAGCTTCATGATTGTCAAGCATTTTTGTAGACCAGGGGTATAAGATATAATTTTTCATAAATCTTGAATATCAAACTTGAGAAATGAAGTTTGCAGAGTCCAGTTTGGTCCTACCTTCTGATATGAAATGAGTAGACTATTTCATATTTTCACCAGATTGTAGGAGAAAATGATCTGCAAGAAAAGGTAGTAGAAAAGTTTAATACTTTCCTAAAATAATGTTACTAGATAAGTGAATATAGACTTTTGTTGAAGTAAATGTGAAAGAAGATTAATCTTATGTATAATATATTGGAAAGAATGTAATCTAAGGATGGGCAGTGAATTTGTTGGTGTGTGTAATGAAAAGGTCCACAAGCTGGGCCCACTGTCACCTACCATTTGATGAAGGCCCTGATTCTGCTTTTCTGTGATTCTCTGCTCTGCCTTGCATGTAGCGGCTCTGTACTCACATGGGTTTTAACATAGCAATAGAATTGCTGTGGCATATTTCCATGTTGCATTGTCCTTGCAAAATGTTCTTGATGGTGTATATGACAAGTATGAAAACGTCTTCCTTCAGGATTTTGTGTTATCACCTTTTTCACATTTAGTTGATGCTCATGTATATTTATATATTTATATGTAATATATACATGTTTAATATGTGCTCTCATGTACTAAATACAGTGTGTGGTTGTATAGCATATTTGTTTTTAATGATTTGGGGATGTATGCAGTTGTAATGGTGTCATTTGAAATGATTGTTTTCATTTTGCAAAGTTGTTATAGAACGTAGGAGGAAATTTGTTTCTGCTACTTACACACTTTTCATTTTAAATGATTTTCAGTAAAATTGTTGGTTACCAAAAGATTTTGTCATGGGTTGTACTTTGGCAAGAAGTAACTTTATTGCTTTTTGTTAGTTAAAAAAAATATGTTGTTATAACTTAGGTTATTATTGTTTCAGTGAGCCAATTAGAATTTATAATAATTTTTAGCAGCAGAAGGAACTCAATGTATGTGCATAGCAATGTATATACACCGAAATGCCAGTATATTTCTCAGGTAAACAAATGATACTGTTTAGTAGTAAAGCTGACTGACAATCTTCTTTTGTGGCTTTTACATTTTAAGCTATTTTTATTTAAATATTAGAAACATGGTCAGCTTCTTATTTGTGATTGTTATTTATTCATTTGAATATTTTAAACACAAGTTTTCAAAACTGCAAAGTTGTAGAGTGTGCTTTGACATGGTCCAGCTGGTGGTGATTGTGGCTGTGTGTATGTGTGTGTGCATGTAATTGTAGTTCCTTTTTAAGTAATAGAAAAAGTAATAAGGCCGGGGGCGGTGGCTCATGTCTGTAATCCCAGGACTTTGGGAGGCCGAGGCTGGGGGATCACCTGAGGTCAGGAGTTCAAGACTAGCCTGGTCAACATGGGGAAACCTCGTCTCTACTAAAAATACAAAAATTAGCCAGGCTTGGTGTCATGTGCCTGTAATCCCAGCTACTCGGGAGGCTAAGGCAGAAGAATTGCTTGAACCCGGGGCGCGGAGGTTGCAGTGAGCCAAGATTGTGCCATTGCACTCCAGCCTGGGCGACAGAGCGAGACTCCGTCTCAAAATAAAAAAAAAAAAAAAAGTAATAAGAGTTGGTGAATCCTAATTTTATTTCCAAAAATAAGAAGATAGATCAGAATGTTTTATATTTTATTCTGACATGGGAGGCAAAAGATAAACACTTATTCTTTGTTTAAAACTATATATATTTGTTTAGTTTAAATTTCTGTTCTAAATACAAGATTCAGTGATAAAAAATTTTTTTGATTTTTTTTTTCCCTCCAAAAGCCTTACAAAGGTTTTAAACCTGATGAGACTTGCTAAGAGAATCCTTGTATTTGAATTCAAGTTACTTCTGCCTTACAATAACTATCACAGGGATTCCTTTATAAAAGAAAAAAAAATTTAAAGAAACTAGAAAATTATTCCCCTATGTTTGGAGAGGGAGTTATGTGGTTTTCATAGTATTGTTGTAGAACTATTTCATTTCTCTATGGTTTGTACTGGTATTTAGTGAAAAAGCAAGAAAGGTAGGGTTTGGGAAAGAGGCATTGTCTTCTTTTATCTCAATATTGCTTCTTTTGCATGCTGAGAAAAGGAAGAATTCAGCGAAAAGCCATTGCCGAAAAATGTGAAGTGAATATGAAGCCTTAACGTCCAAGTAAAGTTGCAAAGCTATACAACTTTGCAAAATTTTGAGAGCCTAGGTATTAAACAAGTGGAAGAGAAATATAATTAAGGAGTGTCTGCCTTCAAATATCTGAAGGGAAAAAGAAAAAAGCATTAAGAGTTGTAATAGATAAAAGTCAGGGCAAGTTAGAAAGGAGTCTTTAGTCAGATCTGGGAGTAATATTTAAACTCTAGGTTATCTGTGTTTAAAACCAAGCCTGGTAATTCGAACCATGAAAATAGGCACTTTTACCACTAGTAGCAGTGTACTGACTATAGGCATGTTATTTATGTTTATTTGTGGTTTTTTGATTGTTTGTTTCTTAAAATGGATTTCATGGATCACTTGCACTGGCATTACCTGAAAGATTAGAAAAGTAAACTTAAATTCTTTATATCATATCCACCCTAGACATATTGAATTAGAATGTTTAGTGGATGGGCCTCAAGAATCTCCTTCTTTTAAAAATTATGAAACCTATCGTAGCTATAAAAAGGGTGTAAAACACATATACACAGTTTAAAGCACAATATGCACTTCTATGTCCACCATTCAGCTTTAGAAATAGAATACAGTATTCAACCAATTGTTAAGCATCAACTTTAAGATACTGTTTTCTACCATAGAGAATAATAAGGATAATAACGTCTTACAGGGGAGAAAAAGTAACCTTTTCCTCACCCATGGCAAGGGTCATAGCTGACATCCCTATAACAAATGACACATTAACAAGAGAAAAGCATAACAAATTTATTTACCCGAAGTTTTTGGTGACATGGGTGATTTCAGAAATGTAGACCCAAAGAGACAGGGAAAACTATATTTTTATGCTGTCTGATGAAATAAATGGATAGTTGTGGAGAAAAATGGTTGGAAAAAAAGGGGTATGCTCTAATGGTAATAAACTGGGGCACTTAACAAGGCCAGGTTTTTCAGATTCTTTTCTGTGTCTCTGTAAGACCTGCTTTCCCCCTGAGTGTGAGAAAGGACACCTGTCACATGAGGGTCTTCAGGGGAGAAGGGAGGAAGTCAGAGTGACCTTTCTGCTTTCTATGATCCACCTAGGGGGAGGGGAATTCTAGTTTCTATGATCCACTCACAGGCAAGAGAAAGAGGGACAGGAGACAGGAGGGTAGGAGAAGGTTAGGGAGACCATCTTGCTTTTGAGGCCCCCTTGTCTGTGTCAGCTCAAAAGTACTCAGTATGCCAAGACACCATGCTTTAGGGTATTGTGTTCTGAGACCTGACAATCTAGTGCCTGACTTTGAGGAGCTTACATTTAATGTGATATTACAGTATTCAGAATCTCTACTTCATGTTATAAACCTCACAAAAATAGGCGAAACGTAGTGGAATAATTTTGCCTAGATGACCCATATCATTAAATTATTGTTTTCCATTTTAGTGTAGAAAAAAACAAAATGTACCACAAGTGAGGTCAGCTCCACCCAGCTGTGTGGGACAGCCAGAACTTCAGGTTAGAGATCTAGACTGTGTTTGCTACTTGCAGCATTAGGCTGTGGTCTTGCCTGGTCTAGTATTAAGACAGTGTACTTCTTTTAATGCAAGCATATTTAGCTGGCATTTTTATTTTATTTTACTTAGCAGGTTGAAGGATTTTAGAACTTTGATAGTCATGCTGAATTCCAAATACATTTTAAAGAAACATTTTGATTTGGGGTATAGAAGAAAGATAACAAGTATGTGTATGTGCCTCTGTGTGTGTGTGTGTGTGTGTGTGTGTGTGTGTGTGTGTGTGTTTACTTTCATCAACGGGGCTGGTGCTCAAATCTCTTCAAAGACAATTTAAGAATGTCTCCTGAGCAAAGAAAATTATCACATGTGGTGAAGTCTTTAAGTCATAGATGAAGGTCATAGAAGTCTGAGTGTATTTAAAAAAGGTTTTCTATCTGCTTGGAAAGCAAATGAAGCACTCATTACTAACTTTCAAAGTATAGCTATGAGATTTTTGCTAGAGGTGAAAGATCAAGATCATCACAGTCCAAATGGAGACTGTAAGTTCAATTTCTGACTCATGAGTGAGGCATGAAACATTTCAGGGTTATTTTGCATTATCATTGGGGAGTTGGTCTTGCTAATCCAATGCATTAAGATAAGATTCATTGAAACATTTATAAAGGCAGTTAGAGTAGATCTAATCAGCAGAGAGGACTAGGAGTGAAAAGGAAATCTTATCTGTCAGTCACTTTCTCCGCTTTAGCAATTACTTGGCCTTTCTGTTCTTTGCCTTTCTCTTCTGTTAAATGGGGTTACTGCTTTGGCTTGTAGTGGAAGGTTAGTGGCATCCTGGAGGAATCTTATGTCTGAAAAACATTGTCAGCATTGAGCCTTCTTGCAAGCTGGCAGATGTATATTTTTTAGCCTCCAGACTGGTGTGCTTTCTGAGAAGTAGTAACAGCTACATTTCCCTCTTTAACAGATGAAAGAACAGAAGTAACAGCAGCAACAGCAAGAAATTCTATGCCCCTACTCTTCTACTGTATCTACCTTTTAGCTTCAGTCTTATTTTCCGGATTGGGCGAGAGTTCTTAGGAGGTAGAAAGAGTTGACTGTATTTGTTTTAAGCTGCTATAAAACTTGTGAAACGTACCTAGATTTCCCTAGATTTTTGTGTAACTTAGAATTTTCTCATTTAACCCTGTTGCCCAGCAAATTGTCTTCATTTTTACCTCTCTAACTAAAAGGGCCCTTTTAATAGGTTAGCAGTGATTTTTAGTCACCAATCCCAGAGGCCAGTCCTCAGTTCATATCCTCCATGACTGATACCACTCATCTCCAAAGATCTGGTCTTAGAGAGACACAGAAAAGATGGAGATTCATGACTGATTCATGACACAGAAAAGATGAGTGGAGATGGCCACTCATCTCCAAATTCCTTCTGCTTCCCTGACACTCATCTCTCCTGATTTTCTTTCCACGCCTCTCATCAATTCTTTTCTTCTTGTCTGGTTCCTTTTCCATCCCTATGGTGTCTTCCAGAGATCTGATCTAAAACAAAGTGTTAGCCCTGCTAGATTCCTGTTTCTGAATCCTTCTCTTTATAGCTAAAGCCATATGACCCCCATCTTTGGGTTTGACTGTGCCTCAGACGTTAGGGCCAGTCCTGATCTTGGGCGAGAAGTATTTACGTAACTCCAGCTTAACATGCTGTGGCACTATATCACCACCTTTGCTGATAGGCCGCCTGACCTTGAGCACAGAATACCCTGCCTTGGAATCAAAGCATGTGCTTAATTCCTGCTTTTACCGTTACTAACGTAGTGGTCTCAGTAAGCCCTGGACCTTGCTGGCTTTTGGTTTCCCCATACAAGGAGCAATAATATTTGCATTCTCATTTCATAGGATTGCTTACAAGGATCTCATGCATTGATATGTGGAAGTACTTGTAAACTATGAGGGAACACATCAAGTAAGCATCAGCATTATTATCATTGCAGAGGTTTATCACTGATGAAATAACTGGGTTTTCTGAGTCAATATTATTGCTGTCTCAAGAACTTGATCTTCTAAATTCGCTCATTCATTCACTTCGTTCATTTATTCAAAAACGTATGTCGAGTGCTTGCAATAGCTTGCTGTATATACATATTACATTTATAGAATTTTCAGTTTAGTAAGTGATATAAAACAAGCAGTAAATTGCAGCTTAAGATGATTTGTATTTAAATAAATTTAATAAACTGGATAATTTTAGTTTATTAGTTTGCATTATAGGTCTTCAGGTTTTTTGTATAAGTATTTCTTGTCATAACCTGGAATATTCATGTCAGATACCCAAGATAGCCCGTTTGGGAATTAAAGGGCATGGGGAGCCAAACTAGTAATTGAAAGATTGCTTTCAGAGTTTAGAACGAGGTAAAGGGGATTGAAGATTGAATAGATTTATAGGATGTTTCTCTGAAACAGTAAAGCCTAGAAAAGCATCCCAGCTCCATTCCAATGAACAACAACAAAAAAACACAAGCCACAAAAACAATCAGGTATATCTCTCTCTCCCTCTCTCTCTTTTTTTTTTTTTTCGAGACAGAGTCTCGCACTGTTGCCCAGGCTGGAGTGCAATGGCGCAGTCTCAGCTCACTTAAACAGTTCTACATAAACATTGAAAATGGGTTATCAACCTAAAACTCCTTGTTCAGTATCAGAATATCTGCATGTATGATGACTAGCAAAACATTTTTTGATAATTTGGTTTATTTTGATTAGTTATATTTTAAATATCAGGCTTCCTATTTAGAGAGGCACTAGTCTAAACAACAACACACTTCTAACTTTTCTTTTAGCTAATCTAATCTAATTAATGTTTATATTTTTGCATCTTGTTATACAGAATTTGATTATTTTTAACTTTATTTCCAAATTCTGGGCATGTGCCTTTTTCAAGTTCTGTAGCTTGTCTGTGCACCAACTACATGCTAATTACACATGTATTTGTGTATATTTATGAAGTTGTTTTTCTTAAAAATAGAAGACTTATTCTTAATAATTTACTAAATCATGGAGTTATGAAAATGTCAACAAATTAAACCTCAGAAGACTTAGCTGCTTCTTTTGGCCCCATCCCTAACTAGCTCTGTGATCTTGGGTAGTCTTTTCATCAGCTTTTTAATCAATTGTATGTAGGCAGGGTTGTTTTAGATGAAAATATTTTGGGAAAAAAAAACATATAAGACCCATGTAAATGAGAGGAGATATTCTGTCACTTTAAACTGTTTGCTTCTTGGTGAAATATGATCTATTTTTATTGCATTAAATGTAGATTTTTATGCTTTCCCAACGTATTCTCTTTTTATATTAAGATGTTTGGCATCTATCAGACTATTTATTAAGAACATGGCTGGCTGGGCACGGTGGCTCATGCCTGTAATCCCAGCACTTTGGGAGGCCGAGGCCAGTGGATCACGAGCTTAGGAGTTTCAGACCTGCCTGGGTGACATGGCAAAACCCCATCTTTCCAAAAAAATACAAAGAAATTTAGCCGGGCATGGTGGTGTGTGCCTGTGGTCCCAGCTCCTTGGGAGCTTGAAGTGGGAGGGTCGTTTGTGCCTGGCAGGTGGAGGTTGTAGTGAGCCAAGATTCTGGCAACACACTCCAGCCTGGGGGAAAGAGTGAGACCCTATCTTAAAAAAAATAGAAAGAAAGAAACAAAGAAACATGGACATTGTATAGGCCAAAGGAGTCAGGTTTAATCTGTATTGCATTGCTACAAACTTTAGAAGTGATTCTGTTAGTTTACTTGCATTACAAAGTCATCAGGCTGTGTCTTTCTTTTCTTCCTTTTTTTTTTTTGAGACAGAGACTCGCTCTGTCGCCCAGGCTGGAGTGCAGTGACGCGATCTCGGCTCACTGCAAGCTCCGCCTCCAGGGTGCATGCCATTCTCCTGCCTCAGCCTCCCAAGTAGCTGGGACTACAGGCGCCCGCCACCACGCCCAGCTAATTTTTTTTGGTATTTTTAGTAGAAATGGGGTTTCACCATGTTAGCCAGGATGGTCTCAATCTCCTAACCTCGTGATCCGCCCGCCTCAGCCTCCCAAAGTGCTGGGATTACAGGCGTGACCCACCGCACCCGGCCCTGGCTGTGTCTTTCTAAGTATTTAATGAGAACATCCTGTTTAGTGCAATGAGATTTTCAAGCAGATTATTCATGGCCAAGAACACCTGGATCCAAACAAACGGTCTGAATATATTGAGTGGGCTGAGCTGCATTTTAATCTAGTGCCAAGATACTGGCCTTGCAGGGCCCTCTGAATGAGGAATTTATTTCCTTCCTTCCTTCCTTCCTTCCTTCCTTCCTTCCTTCCTTCCTTCCTTCCTTCCTTCCTTCCTTCCCTTCCTCCCTCCCTCTCTCCCTCCTTCCTTTCTTTCTTCACACAGGCAGAAACTGAAAAGTTTTCCAAAATATAATTACTTTGTGTGTAATTCACTCTTTCTTCTTTCTTTCCCTCGCCTTTTTTCCCCTCCTCCCTCCATCTTTTTCCTTTTCTTTTCTTCTCTTCCTTTTCCTTCTCTCCAATCTTGGAAAAATAATGCCAATCATTATTCACTAAATTGATTTTGTGACCACAGCTTGAAAAACACTATCCTAAACTTTAATGGATATTTGCCATTCATATTTCCTCTTGAGTCAGCTCCTTTGATTCTCTGGACAAACTTTTTGGCCTTGGTCTGTATGCTCTGGAGGATTTCTGGCCACCTATTACTTGCAGACAGTTGTTTTGTTATTGGTCTTCAGGCTATTTTGAGGACTTTGTCTTCTCATGAATTCTTCTGCTGCTTGTGGTCAGCTCACCTGATCTGTCAGCACCTACAGTAAGGACCTCCTCATCCCCCGTATCTAGTAGTTGAAGCCTTGCCCATCAGTCAAGGCCCAGCTCAAATACAGTTTTCCTCTCAAAAAGCTGCTGTAGATGCCCAGTCAGAATTAGTCTTTTCTTCCATTCACAATACTGTGTTTGTACTTCTGTTGTGACACTCACCCTTAATCAGATATTTTTGCATATATTTGGCTCCCCAACCAATCTTTGAGTTTTCTTTGTGGGAACTACTTTTCTTTTGTATCTTTTTAATGCAGTGTAGGAGTAGCCTTAATAGAAATGGCAGGAAAAGGGTTTGGGAAGCTGGAGAATGATCCAGTTTCCTCCTGGTCATATCGTGGTTGAAGTAATTTCCACAGCTCTATGTTCTCCATCTCTCATTCCAGGATTCTTTCATGTATTTACTGTACTAGAATAAAGAGGGGATAGAATTAAATGATATCCTAGATTGGGCATATGTTTTTTTTCCTTCATGCAAGTCCATTTTAGTTCCAGTTAAGAGAGCCTATTGTGGGAATTATTCAGAGTGTATGCTTAATAGTGTTTCTCATTTACCGATTCTTCAAATGTGGACCCTGAGACAATGTTATTATGAAGTTCAATCTCACTATAGTTGCCTTAAGTTCACACTGGTTTGAAAATGGTACACCTTCTCAAATAGGCAAACCATGGCAATTTAACTCTGACAAACAGCCTGGGAAACTAACAATATGAGGTAAAATATTTTATATATTTATTTACACTAATCTTTGTTTAAATGCATGATAGAGTATTCTACAAAAAAATGCTTTGGACTTTTGTGGCCCTCTAATAACCCATTAGACTGATATGCCTAACTCTTAATGTGAGTTTACAGTGAGTCTTTGTCAAAATAAGCCCTCATGAATACTCATTGCATTTGCGCAATGAAGTCGTTGGCATGTGTGTATTCTTTTTGTTCCTCTGAAGTTTGATATTTCTAGTTCCCTAATTATTATTTAATTGCCAACTCTTCTGTAGTGTTTGCATACTTGCTCTTAAGGATAGGCTATATAGTCACATTTTGGTATGAAAAATGAGAACTGGCAGTATAATTTAAAAATAATGTACCATACCCAGTTAGTCTATAAAGAGAGACATGAATTCTCTTGGTTTGATGTCATCATCTTTTTGTAGATGACAAAAAAAAAATAGAATTTTTGTTGGAGGAATTATGTAGCTCCCTTGAAAAAAATTTATTTTCAAATTGTGATTGAAAACATATCAAAGGGTAAAAAAAAAAAGAGCCTACTTTAAGAAACAGTTTGCCTGTGGTTGATAAACTTTGGGCTTAACTGATAATAAAGGGACCAATAGAGAAGGAGGAAAGCAGTTAATTGAGTTAGAAGCTTGTTTGCTAAATAGAGGAGTCTTTTACCAGTTGAGTGGGAAAAGCCCTGTCTCAGGTTTTACAAAGCCTCTTAGAGATGTAAAGAAATGCAAGCACTTTCTGATTTCTGTTCTGGAAGGAAAAAAAGAGTACAGCAGAAGGATGGAATAACTCAGGACTGTTCTGATGCACAATTCTAGAAGGCACTTTTAACCCGTGGGCAGTTCCTTTGCCCTACGTGGATTTAGTGAGCTGCTACCCCTTGCACAATAAGGGATGACCTCAATCACAATAAGCTCTTGCCATCAAAATCGTAAGATCAGCCAGTACGTGTTATGTGTCAGTTCTTGTTCTCAGTGCTTTACATATATTAATTCCTTTAATCTTTTGAGATAGGTATTATTACTATCCCCATTTTGCAGATGAGAAAACTGACACAAAAAGAGACTAAGAAATTTGTCTAGGCTTACAGAGCGCAAACAAGGTAGAGTGAAGATGTCAACTCAGGCACTCTGGCTTCAATACCTGTGCTCCTCACCCTCCCTTCTCTGCCCTTCTCTGTTAACACTGGAGGTAGAACAGACTGCCTCAATCCACAGATGGCTTAGTGCCTGAACTACCTAGGTGGAAAAAATAAAGGCTGTGTTCAGAGTAATGAGTCCTAAGAAGTTATGGATGTGTTGATATTTCTGTTTGACTGGAAGCCTCCTTTCAGGAAGCTTTCGCCATTTCTGTACTACAGCCCTGTGGTACTACCCCACCAAGGCACATTTAGCACAGGCTATTGAAAATGGCTGTGTATCTCATTGAAGCTCTCATTAGATGGCAGGGAATGTGTGCTTCTTATTCACAGTTGTATCCTCTGTATCTAGTGCAGTGTTTGGCATAGATGAGGGACACAGGAAATGTATTTGAATAAATTAATATTTCTGAAGAAATTTGTCTAGCCTTATAAGTGTATTGATTTAAATATGTATTATTAAGGCAGTAATTCATATTAAGGTAAACTTTGTTCTGTGTTAAACTTTTATAAAAAAATTAAGATACACAATAGGCTATATATTGTGGCATTTTTGCTTCTCTCAATTATTCACGCCTATTCTGCTTTGTCTAAGCTTTAACAGCCACAGTCTTGTGGTAGCAACCCCCACAATAGCTGGCATAATGCCTGGAAGGAAATAAGACTTCGAATGCTTAGAAGGAAATAAAAGACTTCTATAGGGTTGATCTGGTCTGGAAGAAAATAAAATACTACTAAAGGGCTAATAGTGCATTTTTAAAATCTATTGATGAAAAACAAAAACAGAAATCTTAGTAGCTGAATGGGACTTTTAGTCATTTTTTTTCCCTCCTTAATTTTGGATGATCTGAAATCATCTAGTCAAGTAAATATCTCATGTGGGAAAAATGATTTGCACATTAGAAGACATTAGGAGATGCTCAATAAATATTTTTTTCTGAACAAATGATGAAGTATAATTTCTTTCCCTTATTTAAAATAAGTGGTGATTTCTCCATGCAAGTTTCAGTATATACAGAATTAAAATATATTTAATATACTTTTTCAGGTCATCTCCTATTATAGTAAATACATTTAATATTATTGTGCATATCTTATGAAATGCTTTTACCTATATTTTCTTTTTTTTTCTTTTGAGGCAGGGTCTCAGTCTGTCACCACGGCAGAAGTACAGTGGTATGATCGTGGCTCACTGCAGCCTTGACCTCCCAGATTCAAGCAATCCTCCTGCCTCAGTGTCACAAGTAGCTGGGATTACAGGCATGTGCTACCATGCTTGACTAATTAAAAAAATTTTTTTTCGTAGAGACAGAGTTCCACTATATTTCCCAGGCTGGCCTTGAATTCCTGGGCTCAAGCAATCCTCCTACCTCCCAGCAGCTGGGACTCAAGGTGTGCACCACTATGCCTGTCTAATTTTTTTTTTTTAATTTTGTAGAGAAAGGGTGTTGCTTAGGGCTGGTCTCCAACTCCTGGGCTCAAACAATCCTGGGCTCAAGCAATCCTCCTACCTTGGCCTCCCAAAGAGATGAGATTACAGATGTGAGCTACCATATCTGGCCTATATTTTTCTATCTTTAACTTCCATATAATTGTATGAAGTACATAGGACTGCTTTTATATTATTCTGGTTTTGTAGTTGGGAGAATAGGGATTGAGAGGTGAGATGACTTGTCCAAAGTCCCACAGGTGGGAAGTCATGGAATCCTTCTTCAAGACACTTTCATCCCATTATGCATTATCTCAGGCAAAAACAACAAAACTCCATAAATCAGCCATGTAAGATCTAGATCTTGTATTGGCTCCTCATTAAAGTTGGATGGCTTGACATTTTTCTGAGGGATGACTGTCAGTGTACTATTAGCTAAAAACAAATTATTGAGCACTTGTACTTTATAGAGTACTGAATTAAAATTCTGAGGAGTGGGGAGCTCTAGGGTGCAAGGAAGCTCAAACCTTGTATGTTTTCACAGAGGTTGGTAATGAACTGGGGGGAAATTGGCAGAAACATAAACAACAGGTGAGTGTAAATGTGCAAGTCAGGTAAGGAGAGGGCAGAGAAGTCTCTAGAGCTTGAGTCAGGCTCACGGGTCCTGGTTGGAAAGTTGGCTCTTGGAAGTAATAGGTTTTCACATTCTTTTCCAGTGGTTAGGGCATTTTTTTGAAAAGCCTCTCCTGTGTGGTTAAGGTACTCAAACTGGCTGAAAGATACAAGAGAATGGGTCTAGTAGAGAAGGTGCTGCTTATAGATTTTATTCTGGGGACCTGGTCAATGGAACAGGATTACCTGCACTGGGAGCAGGAGAGCAGGCTGGCTGAGGAAGCAATTGCAGTTTGGCTGACAATTTGACTGAAAGGTTGCTTCCTTATGGTGAGTTGGTGGCAGAATTATTGCTTTGCTGTGCCCTATAGACATGAATCTAAATGGAATAACCAAATACTGGGTGATATGGGTGGGCCAGGTGCACAGGCCAAGCCTGTGTGTCCTGCATCACTGGCAGTTGTAGATTTAAAAGAGAAGACTGCCACTGCCCTATAGGGGATTCTCCGTGTTCATCTCAGTAACTCCTATTCCTTGTAGGATGAGAAAGTGAAAGCAAAGCTGAGGTCTTCTTGTACACCTCAAACATAAAAGAACTTCTGTCCTGAATTTGTTTTGGTACCATGAACCCAAATACTACCAGGAAGCCAATCCCACCCAGGAAAACAGCCACAAATATATCCCATTCTAAGAAATGTTAAAAATGGCATCTGGAACTGTAAGACACCATGCACATATGTTTTTAAAAAATTTATTTGTTTAGATATAAGGGAAAACAACTGCAGCATTAGAAACCTTATTGGTATGTACCTACTTTCTCCTCTGAATTCACACTATTGACTAGGTCATATAAAATATTTCCTGGCAATAAATATGTGTTGCTTAAAATAGCTTGTTAAATGATTAAATTAATGTGTGTGAACATGTTTTGTAAATCACAAAACATTATTTTCAAAACATTTTTGAAATAACATTATGTTATTGCTATTAAAAGGCTAGCTTTAAAAAATTATAATTGGAAAGTCTGTTGAATGTGGTTAATTGGTAATAAATTAATCATTGCTCTCAAGAGCTTATTTGAATGACCTGCAGTTTCTAGTTGAGTATTGAATGGTCTTATTGAATGTTGTGTTATTACTTCAGGAGTTGTGATATGTTTCACCTTGGTTTAGAAAACCATAGTTTTATCATGATACCTGAAAAAAGATTTAGTATTCTCTCTTTTTCTGAAGTTGCCTCACACATTCACATTTCTTTTTACTTCATAAGGCTGGGAAAAGAGAATACCATAATTGTCCACTTGATTTTTAAAATCTTCATTTTTTTAATCTCTATATTTTTAAAATTCACACCTCTCTTTTCTGAGCTTCTTGCCTTCTCTTTCCTGCCTTTTCCCTCCTTTTCTTTCGTCATTGTCTCTCCTTATCTCTTCTGGTGAATTTTAATTCCTTCACCAACCAGGTCTTCACCATGCTAGACTCTTTAGAAGGACCCTGCATGGTCCTCTGGCCCCTGTGTTGTTGTCATCATCCTTATGACTGTCATCATCATAGTCTCTTTCTCTGGTCATAACTGATTTTTCAGCCCAGAGTAGGACTTTCTCTTGGATTTCCAAATCCTGAACCTGGACTTATATGTGCTTTCCTGGTACTGTGTCTTCTTCCAGAAGCCGTCATAGTTAGACTGTCTGCTCTGGCAGTAATAAATACTCTGAAGGTCTTCTAGGACAGGAGATTACCTTGAACACCAGCTCTTTGTGTGGCAGGCATTTCCAGGGCCTACTGGGACTCCCTGAGGAATTCTGCCCTCAGCACCAAGGTGTTAGGAAGCTTCTTCCAAACTATGTGACCCTGTTTTGCTGTGACCACAAGGTCCATTCCAAAGCTTGCTGCTGCTGTCATGCCCCTCTAGGACTCTCTGCTAGGTGGCCACCTACTCTTTGAAGTCCTGCTTCCAAAGTCCCCTCAAAATGAATCACTGCAGCTTTATTTGGATGTTGTAAAAGCCAAGGAGATAGATGGTCAGTGGACAGCAGCTGTATCTCTAACTAAAAAATCTCTAGTCACAGTCAAATAAGATAATCTTCTTTAATTCCCGCCTGTGTGACTCTGTACAAATAATTCTCCATTTGATCTGGGAGATAGACACAATAGGAAGTTGGTTTGGTTATCCTAAGTTTTACTGTTTTGCTTCTTTTCCTACATATTTTTTTCCAGTGGGTAAAAGGGATGAGGTGGGATAGTAGAAAATCATTGACATTGGTCTATACAGTTTGTTCTGGTCCCCACATTTGACTCTGTCTAAGGCAACACAGAATATTAACTCATTGGAAGGATCTGCCTATATTATTATTAAGTACTGAAGTCATATTTAAGGAAATAAAGGAAGTTAATTTGTTGCAAGGAAATTAATTCCTTGTATCTGTCTTTAAATTGGGCTTTATTTTCTTGAATTGATCTAATTTAAAATTTCTTATTTTCATTGTGGTGATATATCAATAACTCCCACTCTTTTATCTGATTTATGCTAATCTGATACCAGTAATAGGAATAACTTTATTTTCCCTTTTATTTAAAAAAATCAATACTTACCTACAATAGCATAAATCCCATATCTGGCACAATTTTATTACCTATTGTCCTCATGTGTACATTAGATCTCTAGACTTTTTTATCCTAAATATCTGCTACTTTGTATCTGCTGACCTACATCTCCCCATTTCTTCCTTTATCCAGTCCCCAGTAACCACTGTTTTTTTCTCTATCTCTCTATGTTTGACTTTTTAAAAAAATTTAGATTTCATATATAAGTGAGATTATGCAATATTGTTCTTCCTATGTTTGATAGACATATAGTCAAAGTGCAATTTGAGTCCAGTGTTTCTCCATTCATTTTCTGTCTGGTTGATTTATTCACTTAAAAAAAATTTTAGAGACAGAGTGTCTCTCTGTCACTCAGGCTGGAGTGCAGTGTTGGCATCATAGTTCACTGCAGCCTTGAGATCCTGGGCTCAAGTAGTCCTTCTGCCTCAGCCTCCTGAGTAGCTGGAACTACAGGCACATGCTACCATGCCTGGCTACCTTAGAAAATATTTTTGTAGAGACAAGGTATCACTATGTTGCCCAAGATGCTCTTAAGCTCCTGGCCTCAAGCAATCCTCCTGCCTTGGCCTCCTGAAATGTTGGAATTACAGATGTGAGCCACTGCACCTGGCCTGATCTTTTCATTATTAAAAGTGGGTATTGAAGTTCATTATTGTTATTGCATTGCTATCTATTTCTCCCCTCATATCCATTAATTCTTGCTTTATATATTTAGAGGCTCCATTGTTAGGTGCATAAATATTTACTGTGGTTATGTCCTCTTGATGAATTGACCCCTTTATCATTTAATAAAAACCTTCTTTTTCTCTTTTGACAGTTTTTGACTTGAAGTCTATTTTATCAGATATAAGTACATAAGTATAGCTACCCTGCTCTTTTTTGGTTACCATTTATATGGAATATCTTCTATCATTTTACTTTCAGCTTATATGTCTTCTTAAAGCTTAGGTATGTCTCTTGTAGGCAGCATGTAGCTGGATCTGGGTTTTTTTTTAATCCAATCATCCTCTCTATGTCTTTTTTATTAGAAAATTTAATCCATTTACATTCAAGGTTATTAGAGATAGGTAAGGACTTACTATTACCTTTTGTTACTTGTTTTCTGGTTGTTTTGTTCTTTATTCCTTTCTTCCTCTCTTGTCTTCCTTTGTGATTTGATCATTTTCTATATTGCTATACTTTGATTTCTTTCACTTTATTGTTTGTATATATGATGTAGGGTTTTTTTTTTGTGTGTGTGTGGTTACTATGAGGTTTAGATAAAACATCTTATAAACTACTGTTGTAAGCTGATAACAATTTTTCTGTCACATACAAGAACTTTAGCCATTTACCTTACCCCATTTATGTTTTTAATCTTAAAATTTACATCTTCTAATGTTGTGTATTCCTTAACAATGTATTATAGCTTTAATTTTCACTGTTTTGACTTTTAACCTTCATACTAGAAATATGTATGATTTACACACCATCACTACAGTGTTGGAGTATTCTAGATTTGTTTATATATTTACCTCTACTGGGAAGTTTTATACTTTCATATGTATTCATGATAGTAATTATTGTCCTTTCATTTCCACGTAAGGAACTCCTTTTAGTACTTCTTGTAAGACAGGCCTAGTGGTAATGAATTCCCTCAGCTTTTGCTTGTCTATGAAAAATTTTCTCCTTCCTTTCTGAAAAGACAGCTTTGGGGATATAGTATTCTTGGTTGTCAGTTTTTTTTTTCTTTCAGTACTTTGAATATATCATTCCACTCTCTGTTGGCCTATAAGATTTTTCCTGAGAAATCCACTGGTAGTCAAATGGAGACTCCTTTATGTGTGACTTGACTCTTTTGTTGCTTTTAAAGTTTTCTGTTTGTCTTTGACTTTTGACAGTTTGATTATAATGCCCCTGGGAGAATTCTTCTTTGGATTTGATCAATTTGGGAACTTTGAGCTTCATAGATATGGATGCCTCTGTCTCTGCCAAGGCTTGGAAAGTTTTTAGCATTCTCTGTCTCTTCTCTGGAACTCCCATAATGCCAAAAATCTGTTGGCCTAGTGGCATCCCATAAGTCCCATAGGCTTTCTTCACTCTTTTGCCTTTTTTTTTTCTTATTTTTTCTTCTGACTGAGTCATTTCTAAAGTCCTTTCTTCAACTTCACAGGTTATTTCTTCTGCTCAATGGAGTGTGCTATTGAGGCTCTATATTTCATTTTTTATTTTATTGATTGAAGTCTTCAGCTTCAAGATTTCTGTTTGATTATTTTTTATGATATCTATTTCTTTATGAATTTGTTATTCAGATCATGAATTATTTTCCTGATTTCATTAAATTGTCTATCTGTATTCTTTTATATCTTGCTGAGTTTCCTTAAGATCATTATTTTTAAATTCCTCTTCAGATAATTAGTAAATTTCTCTTTCTGTTGCATCAGTTACTAGAGAATCATTTAGTTCCTTTGGTGGTATCATTCTTCCTTATTTTTTCATGTGTCTTGTGTTTTTGCATTGATGTCTGTGCATCTGATGGTACGATCACCTCTTCCAAACTTTATAGAGTGGCTTTCATTGGGGGAAGACTTGTCCCTGAAGATGAGCCTAAGGGTGGCAGTTGGACAGATTATAGTGGCTCTGGTTTTGTATTGGTGCAATGGTGAAATCTTTGTACAGCTTCTTTAGTTGTGATCAGTATTAGTAATGACTGTGGGTGCCTCTGTGGTGGTGGTTTCACAGCTTATTAGGGCAGGGACTTTAGGGATTTTTCTGTTTTTGTTTTTCATACAATTTGGAGTCTTAGCTGAGAGGATCTCTTTAGGTGTTGGGTCTGCATAGCTCAAAGGCAGCCACAGCAGCACTGTTATTCATGGCACAGGTGCTCAGGGTGGCTATGGATCCAGGTTCTTGGGCTCAGGATCTTTTGAGATTACTATTAGCACCTGGGACTTGAGGCACAACTTCACTCTCCAAGGCATGATTGGATGCAGTTCTCTCACTAGGCTGGGGTCCGTTGCTCTGAAGCATACCCTAGCAGCCCAAACCCTGGGCTGGGATGCAGTTATGGTACTGCCCCTGGGGGGCACAGCATAGTACTTGCATAACTCTTGGGAAGAAGGGGTGCTCCAGAGGCTCAGGCCCAGGGAACAGAGCACAGCTGCAATTTGGGACCTGGAGCCACGAGGCACAGTGGTAACTCAGGCTCTGGGGGATGAGGTGACTCTGGACCCCGAAATGGTAGAACATGGCCATGGCCCAGGTTCTGTGACACAAAGTGCAGCAGCAGCAGCAGCAGCAAGGACCCAGGCATGGTAAGATGCCACTTTGGCTTGTGGGGCGTGGGGCACAGTGCAGCAATGACTTTACTCTCTGGAGAGATGGGGTGCTTCAGCAGCTTGGACTGTGGGGCACTCATTATGTGCCAGGTAGGCATGACACTGTGCCTATTTGGACTGGGGAGTGGGGTGGCATGGCTTAGCCAGGGCTCTGAATCCTTGGGATGGGAATTACTGCATCTGCTTAGCCCCAGAAAGCATGGCTACAGCAGTCCGGGGAGCTTCTGTATTCTCGAGGGTGGGGTGCCACATCAGGTATGGTACTCAGAAGTACAACTGCTCTGGTGTGCTGGAGGGTTGGAGTCCTTTGGTGGGCAGGATGCGGTGTCACCTCTGGGGTTGGGAGAATGCTGCTCTGGTGTACAGGAGACCTGAGGTTTCCTTCCCTTCTCTGTGCAGCCATCTCAGGTTTTTGTACTTTCCATGGTTTTTCCTGTTTATTTGCTGTTCTCTGGTGCTCTCCTTTAGCTATTTTGGTAAATATGCAGTTGCTTATTCATTATTTTGGGTTTTTTTTTGGTGGGAGAGAAAGATCCCTAGCAGCTTCCTGTCAGCCATCTTGCTGACATCGCTCTTCTGGTTGCTTTCAATTATCGACCTCAACTTCATCTTTAGAACGGAACCCCAACTTTTAGCTGGCACCCAGCTGAAATGTCATATTTATCTACTAGACTTCCTGGTGTTCTATTTGGCCATGTGACTAAATTATTGCTTTTAAGATGTAAATAAAAGTATTTTATATACTAAGGCTGGTATTATATACCAGCCTTCATTTTTTCTTCATCTTTCTGCTTACTGGAATGTTGATTTGATTAGAGCTTGAGGAGCATTCTTGGCTCATGAGATGCCTGCTAATGACAATGGAGCAGCAAGAATAGGACGTGGGGTCCTTTTGGCTATGGAGCTGCCATGCCAGCCCTGGATTGCCTACCTTGGGACATCTTTTACACGAAAGAGAAATGAGCATCTCTTTGTATAATCTACTGTTATTTGGGGGTAATTTTTTAAATACAGCAAACTGAAGCACAATTTATATAAAATATATAAGGTTATAATTTTCAAATAGTAGAATATAATAAAGGACATTTAACATTGGAACTACACTGAATATAATTTAAAATAATGTGATATCTAGTAGGTATTGAATTACTGAAGAGCTGAATTACTTTTTGAGTCTAATATAACTTAATAGTTATATTAATAACAACAATGTGGTATTATAAAAAATCTAGTTGTTTTGAATTTTCTAACCTTTGGATTCTTTTAGAAATACACATTAATATTAAGAATAGTTTTGTTATTTAGCTGCAGTATGCCTTATACTATGTACAAAAGTCAGACATCTAGGGGAATTTTTGAAAACATTCTTTCTGGAATCTATTTTGTTAAAATATTCCGAGACAGATATTCTGCTTTTTTTGTTTGTTTTTTGAATGTTGAATGTTTTTTGAATGTTGAATGTATACATTAACATGTGGTATAATGCTTCTCATAAACTTTGTGCATCTTTGGTCAAAGGGCAACAGTCTAAACAAAAGATATTGGAATTTTTATTGTCTTTGGGTTTTTATATCATTTTTCTAACAATTTTTTTGAATTGTGGTAAAATAATTTTTAAGTATACAGTTCAGTGGCATCAAGTATATTCATATTGTTGTGTAACCACCATCATCCATCTCTGTAACTTTTTCATCTTCCTAAGCTGAAACTGTATACCCATTCATTAAACAACTGGTCTCCATACTCCCTTCCCCCACCCTCTGGCAACTACCAGTCTACTTTTTGTCTCTATGAATTTGACTATTCTAGAAACCTCATATAAATAGAATCATACAATATTGTCCCATTATAACTGGCTTATTCCATTGTAACACAATTCTTTTGTATTTACTTGGGAAATTAATCATAAATGAATTATGATTACCTAAGATTATCTTTTTTATATTTATCTTCTGAACATTTTCATCTGTTTTAATTATAATGGATATGAACAGAGTAGGTAGTGTTATGATAAAGTAGGGTATTAGAATTGCTAACCTACGAAATATAGTACAAAGCTGAAGTCACAATATAGCTATATGCTTTGATTATTACGAAGATAATTGAAACCTAAAATGCCCAATTTCTCTTAATAATAGATCAGAGATGAGTGCGTTGGGTATTTTGGCAATCTGGTGAGTTTTCTATCATCCTGTAAAACAATATAAATATCATATTGCAGGGTAACATTTGATTTTATACATTATCCAAATCTGTAATTATATGTTAGAAACAGGTAAAATGTGATATTTTAGGATAAAATATCAAAGTTCACAAATTAAGCTGTTTTCCACTTGGCTTATATTCTATTTGTATAACAAATGGCAATTTTTTTCTTATTCAAACCATGTAGATTTTTGAGATTGAACATTAATGCCTAAAATGATACTTAGATGTTGATGATTATTTTTGTTTTCTTGGGAAAAATGTTGGTGATATTGTGACTATGAATATAACACTTTGTCCTTGACATCAGTGTTTTATTTTTATTTCTAAAGCTCATATCATTTCTTCTTGCTCTTTCTCGGTTTCCTCAGAGGCACTTTACAGAAGCCCACTTTAATAAAACCTTTTTAGTAGATTAGTAGCTATGAATCTTTCAAAAATCCCAGCTAGAAGAAATAGGATAGGGATTTGGCATAATGGGAAGCATGCAACTGTATTTACAAATCTTAGACATTGTCCCACAATTTTGGTGTAACCCTTCAGCTGACAATTAAAATCTTTGTTTTATCAGTCATCACCCAACCCCAACAGATGGGTGAGGAATTAATCTGATTTGTATTTTTCCCCACAACTTTCTGCTACATATTGTAATATTCTATGATTAACATTCAGTGAATTCTTAAAGATGATTGATGGGCCTTAAAGGTATAATATGTACATCCTATTTAAATTTTGCCACAGTAAAACCACAGAACAGAAGAGCTCCTAAGACCCCTGTAGAAATTTGAAAACAATTTTGATACTCTCGTCCACTCAAAAAGAAATCTGCTAATACTGTAATGTTTTTTCCCTTGCCAGGACCCTCCTTGCCTGGTGTCATTTCTTGAGCTCTCCTGGGAGGAGATTAGTCTAAAACAACAAAGTAGCCAGATGTCTGGTTCTGAGAGAGTCCCAGAGGCCAGGCTATGGTAGGCAACAGAAACCGCGTGGGGCTGAAGATCAAAGATACCTGAGAATTACTTATGGGCACATAGTATGTGTCATTCCCATTATTAACAGTCTGAGAAAATTTGTTTCTCTAATTAACCCTTTTGTTGGAATAACCTTAAATTTTAGTGAGTATATTTCTGTTTTGATATGTTTTCTTTTGTGCAGTATTAAGTGCACACACCAAAAAAGAGAAATGAAAAGGTACTCTCGTGCTTGATTGAAATCTCTAAGCCATTATTCTTCTCCCAAATAGATACGCTATCAAGTGTGTTATCATTTATCATGAAATGAATGGGCATTATGGTTCTAAGTTAAAATTATACATCAATAGTTAGGAACTACATGGTTTGTATGTACAAAAAGCTATTCTTAAATTCCTAATCTTTTTTAAGCACAAGTATTTCAACTTTTATCTGTTTTAGAGTGGTGATTTTTAGATCACAGCTTCCTGTTCCTAAAATGAATTCAGAATAAATCCCAGTGGTGGGAAATCTGTATCTTATTAATAGTTGACCTCTTTCTTTTCACATTGGTATTACTAATGAAATGCTAATTAAAAATTCTTGTTATCCTTTACCTGTTTGCTTTTATGATATAATCTTGCATTACTTAGACATGTACAAAATTGGAAAATACAAATGCATTTGCTATTTTAGGTTATTCTTAATTCTAGAGCCCCTAAAAACTTTCAGCTGAATTTATGCAAGGGATGAGTAAAACTCTAATTATAACTTTTGAGTTTTTAGCCTCTAGATGAGAGTATCAGAAAAGAAAACAAAAGATTTTGGTTGACTTTGCTACTTGTTTTTGTTTCTGTTTAACATTATCATGTAACAACAAAAGTGTGTAAAAGCCTTATTCTTGCTTTTCCTGAGATGTAATCATAAACCATTGTTATCAAGAGCATGATTAGTCAGCTTTAGAGCTTTTAAGCGCTACAACGCATTCTTTAGCATCTAGTAATATAAACTTGGCATAAAAGCTGTAAAAATGTCTTTAAATCTAATTGGAGATATGTGTTAGCAATTTAGTGCAGAGATTTCATATTCTTTGTGTAGTGGTCAAGGCTTCTTTTAATTCCTTGAGGAAAATGAAGCTCCTAGGAGCAGTTTATAAGGATTAATTGATTTATATCTTTGTTTCTAGATTTAAGTATTGAAGCAAGAATAAAACTGGCTTATTGTACAAAGAACTGGAGAAACAACTGTATTTTTTTTTTTTCAGAGCAGAATTTGTTGTTACTTCAGTGACAAAGGGTGATCTGTGTTTTTCACTCTTTACACCTGTGTTTCTGCTACTGGCTTCCCCCACTGTGAACAACACCATTTGCTATCACTAAACCAGTCTAGTTAACTGTCTTCCTGTTTTGAATGTAAGTTGAGTCAGTGATGGTCACTTTACCATAAATATTCCTAAGCCCTAAGTAATGGATTACTTTAAGCAAGTAATATTAGAGAAAACCATAATTCCATCAATTCCTTGAAGTTTTTTAATAGTAAGATTTGATCTGAGGCAATGCAAGTCATAGTTCTAGAACTAAAGTCCAAAAGAAAGGAGATCCAGCATCCCACTAGACTGTGGCTCAGGGTGCTGTTTACGTTTCTCCTCTTCAGGTAACTCCACATGTGCCTCCCCTTTACCGTTCACCCCAAGACACATGCACATGCACACACACACCAACACACACACAATTTAAACGGGCATTTGCTAAAGAGAAGACTGAAAGGTAACGCCTCGTTTTGTCTTTCAGAAGTTGTCAATACTGCTGACCACTTACTTCTTAATGTATTTATTTTGCATTGGCCATTGGTGCCCTGCCTCTCGCCTCCGCCTTATTTACCTCATGGGCCATTACTGCACCTATCATCTCTTTGTGCAGCGTATCTTCCACAACACTCTACAGAGAAGTGTTTAATTGTGCTTTAAAAAATAGGTATTATCAAATTTAAGGAGGTGAAGAGTGTTAGTTTTCTGGTTGCTACTCTTTACTTACTCTACCTTCCTCATTCATAGATTTCTTTTTACATTGCCTCCTCCTCTACCTTCTCATGTTTTATTTAGTTTTCTTCATCTTTTAGGTGTTAATTCTGTTTCTTCATCCTATCTCCTATCTGTAGCTTTTCAGGAAGCGTTCTGATTTGAAATAAGAGGTAAACTGTAAAGGCAGGCAATTCAGATCTCTTTCTAAAAACACCTTTAGCAGCTTAATGCATAATGATTTAGTACTTGCATGGGTGTTGAGGTAGTCATCTGTAAACTTTTTATGATAAAATATGTGCTTGCAATATAAATTCAGTTGGCTTTGTTAGAATGTGAAGATTTAATATGCGGTTTAATTTCTCTTAATTTTAAAAGCTTCAAGGTTGTGTATACAGTCTTAAAATCTTTTTAGTTCGTGATGGATTGAAAGGTTTTTTGAGGTATTTATTTTTTTTACTTGTTTGATCAATTTCTGTAGTTTTCATTTAAAGTTATATTTATCTTCACCTGAGGTTTGGAGTAATAGCTTTGAAACATCTGTTACTGTTTAGAATGGTGGTCTTTGACGCTTAAGTTGTCCAAGAGGCTGAGGTTGCAAAGTGATAGTATTAGATCTTGGCAAATGGGAGTGTCCTTTCTCCAGTGCGTAGCATGTTGCTCAAGAAGGGCAATCGTGGAAGGCAAGGATGTTTGGGGAACAAAAATGATCAGTTCATGAATCCTTGTGACTTCTAACTCTGTTGCTAAAATAAAGATCAACATTTTAAAAAGCTATAATAGAAAATTAAGTATTGCCATTGATTAATATGAGTGGTTGACAGGAAACGTTTTAAGTGGATTATTTTTCTTTTTTTCAAGTAAGATTTACATGATTAAATACAAAATGAAACTACAGCTGATAGATAATCAGATACCTAAGAATAATGTTTGGGAAGCTGGGTTTCCTGAAGATATGAGGCTCAGTTATTTTAGCCTGGGGATTTTGCCTGGGGAAAAATGTATGTGCCTCTACAGCTGAAGGGCTATTCAGGAAGAAACAAAGTAAAATGGCATCTATTTTAACGTGTAATTTCGATATCTCATACTTAATCTTATCCTTGGCAGAAATGTCAAAAAATACTAGCTGCAAACCATCTCTGAAGCCATAGCTATACCACCAGATTGAACTGGGTAGATAAAGTTCTTAGGAATCAAATGGTTTTCATTGGAAAAGGAAGGTCCTTTCTAGGTAATTCTCTGGAGGGAAGGGAATGCTCTGGTACTATCAAAATGAAGATGTGGCTTATTTCAAATATAGGAATGTGCAGCCTATAGAAACAGCTGTTGGGGGTTGGGAGGCACATTTTAAAATTAGTATATCACACGTAAACATAAATATGTTTCTTTCACATGATTTTCTATTTGTATTTACTCTCACTTAAATTTTTAAATAACACTTTCTTCATTTATCTTTACTTTTGTAAATTTTATAAGTTTTATAAATTTTAAGCTTATCCAAAGTTGAATTGCTAATGCTGGAAATCATACTATAATTCTGTCCTTATTGCCTTCTTTACCACCCTTTAGAGACCAAATTATTCTAGCTGCATAAGTTGCTATTTAAGATAAAATCAAGTTCTTAGTGATGGCATAACTAGATTTCTATTTCATATACATGCTTTTCTTTTGTTTACCCTAGAGTGGAAATGTACCTCTTTAAGGAATTTAAAAAGTGGTAAAGTCTGGCCACTATTTATCCTGTCACCACATGGCTGCTGTTGATTGTTTGTTAATCAAAAGTCAAGTTTCTATACTTAATGACTTGGAAGATGCATTACATTTTGTCAAAATGTAAGAATTCTTGAAGAATAAAGAGTCCCTGGAATCCCCAAAAGATCAAGAAGGGATGTGTATAATTTTGTTGTTTAACACATATGTAAGCATTAATATTTAAAATGGAGTTTAGTATTTTGTATTTATACTTTCATCAACAATATATTGTTGTGTATTGTTTAGAGACTATTAAATAGCTCAGGATTTACTTATGGAAGGAAAAATTCTTCTAGTTTTTTTTTTTTCTCTTTTATTTGACTTTTCCTCAGGTTGTTTAGTAAAGAACAACTTTCTTCAACATAAGGAGGATATTTACTTTATATAAAACCCTCTCTGGCATGTATGGGAGTAATCCAAAGAACTGAGAAGTTGCAGAATGGTCAAGCTCACCTCTTTAATGTGTTGCAAAAACTGTTAAGGTAACAGAGATAACTGTGCCAGTGAAAATCAGTGCCATAGCCCTTGATACTTAATTTTGGTTAATTATTAGAATGTATATAAAGTATATCAGGTTGGTTGCTATAAATAATAGTGTTGATTCCCTAACATTTAAAATTCAAAGAAATGTTAGGAAAATGTACTTTTGTTTGACTGCAGGATCCATTTTTTTATTAAAATACCAGTAAAAAAAATGTAAGATTTCTAGAAACTCATTTTTTTTTAAAATACTTGATTAGTAGAAAATGTTTCCCTAGCCAAATTGGTAGTCTCATGCTCTTTTAAATAGCATTATTTAGAATACTTCTAAAAGCACTTTTTCCTGTTAAATTAAATGTCAAATTATACCCCTTCTTTGCAACCTTTTTAAGGGGAAATTTCAAGGAATGAGACTATATTTAATTCACTGAAATGAATTATGATTTCAAACATCTGTTAAGGTGTTTTAAAGATGATCTTATGTAACGTGGTAAATAGAAATTTTCAGTGGAATATACCCTTCAGCTTTTCCTTACTTGATATATATTGTAGCTTGGAAAGAAAATCACACACAGATAAAACATTCTAGGAACTAAGCAGCATTAAAATAAAACATATATGTCATACATGCAAACAGTAAAAAGCATGTCAGTGGGTCAGCCTTTTTTAAAAAAAACTGTTTTCAATAATCATTTGAGATTAAACAAAATAATTTTGACATGTCTTTTTTGATTATACCGTCAGCCGGTTGTAGTAATCTGTCCACAACTTTTCTTATTGGAATCAGCATGCACAAAGGTTTCTGCTTTATGGGAACCTTAGGATGTGCTTGGATTAGAATTAAAAACTACATTTAAAAGAGACATTAGTATAGGAGTACCCTCACTTTTATCCCCATGAGGAAATAGTGATAACTGCCTTTCAGATCTTCCTTACACTTCTAGTCCTCTATATTGATTGAGGAATCTTTAGACAACCGGTGACCAAGTGGTTTGCTTTTTACCAACTTGGGCTTTTATATTTGAAATTCACATTTCAGTCTCATTCCTACCTACTGCTGCAGAATGGCCTTTAGACAACTAGACTTTAAAAAGTTAAAAGGCAATAAGTCAATCCTCTGGAAACGATGCAGAAATGTAGATTCAAATCATAAATAAGGAAATGCATTGGGTACATTAAACAGACATAGAAAAATGGATTTCTGTCTTTTGTAGTAAAGTAATTGGGCACCACTGCTTGGCAGGAGCTGGTGCTGTTGAGCTAGCTCTAGCTGCCACAGGTTGATAGGCAGGTGATAAGGCAGCTTCCACCAGGGTCTGCACAGGAGGCCTACCTAATATGCTGTCTGCCCTAAGGGCCTATGGGAACACAGTTGGATTATTATGTTAATGCATGAGCCCGCTGCCCTCTTCCTATCCCAGCTGGGTTCCCTGTTGTTAGGAACTGCTTTGCACTGACAGTGGAGTAATATGCTTCATGATTGAAAGGGCAAAGGGGCTTGAAAGGAAAAAAAAAAAAAAAAAACAGAATAAGCCTGCACAGATATGTAAATGAGAGAAGGAAATCTGTAGGAAGATTTCACTCTAAGTATAGACAGAAAGTTTATTAGAAAGTTCTTCTTATAGCACTCTGTAAAACCACCCATTTCTTAATTAATTTCTGGGTTTGTTTTTCTTCCTAACACTGGTATGTATGCCGTACATGGAAGTGTTTTTCTAAACAGGCGCTTAACTTGATTTGTTTTAAACTAAGATGCTCTAACACATTTGTACCCAGGTATAATGCTGACAGCAGTGCATTTTTTTTGCACGTTCATTATTCTTTAATGTTTGTCCCTCAGTTATTCCACTATATTTTATAGAAAAGTTTATTTTTAAGATGCTGAAGGATTTATATTTTGTATTGAGATGTCACTTTTATTTCTCTTTATTTTTAGTGTATATTTGGAAAACTGCATGAGCTATCTTTTGGGAGTGGGGGGGTATGGAGAACAGGAAATGGGTGGGTCAGAAGAATATTTTCTTGAGTTCGTGAATTTGATATAAGTGATGGTTCAAGCATTTTATGTTTAGTCAAGGTTTTTAATGTTGACACCTTAACATAGTGAAAAGAGTGTGGCCTTTGGTGTCTCTAGACCTGTTCAAATGCAGGCTCTACTAATTAAGTACTATCTGATTTTAGATAAATTATTTTACTTCTCATTTACTTCAGCTGTAAAATGGGTATAATATGAATTTTAAATGGAAAGATAAAGCATATAAATAATTTGGTGTGACATAGAGTAACTACTCATTAAATGCTTGCCATAATGACGATATTTAATTGCAGTTGTAACAACTATCATTTTCAGTTATGAGATCATTCTTTTAATATGTATAACTGTATACTTCAATGGATTGAGGATTTTATCTACCTTCTTTTCAGCAAGCCTCACCAAATAGGAGTGACTTTAGCTACAACTGGAATTTGACACAGAAAAATATTCAGATAGACATTGTCTAACTTAAAGATCTAAAGGTACCTCAAACAAAATGCGAGGGTGTGTTTCTAAAGTTAGTTTTATAATAAGCCATACTTCAAATGCTGAAAGAAAACTGAATGGAAAAGAAAACCCAGTTGGTCCAGTGTTCTAGATAACTTCTATAGTTACTTTAGTATATGCCTAAATTTAGGAAAGTTTTCGACTGTCCCTATGTATGTAACTATTTCTACAAGTTCAGTATCCCTGTTCTGAAAATCTGAAACATTTTGAATGGCAACATGACACTCATAGAAAATGCTCACTGGTGCATTTTGGATTTTGGATTTTCGGATTAGAGATGCTCAACCAGTAAGTATATATAATGCAGATATTCAAACATCTGAAAAATCTAAAAATCTGAAACAGTTCTGGTCCTAAGCATTTTGGTTAAGGGATACTCAATGTGTAATCATTTGTTTATTTAAGCTAATTTAAAATGACAATATATAGTTGGGCTGTATTTTAAATACATCTCATGTTTTTTACTTAGCATTGTACCTATTGCATGAAGTGATATATGTAAAGATGATACATGCACAGTGCCTGGCACACATAGAGGGATTGAGAAGTGGTGGTTGTTATTAGTGCTAGTGAATTTCCCATACCAACATGCTAGCCTGCATTAGTCATGCTTTGCAGATTTGCAAAGAGGAATTTCAGAGTCAGCAAATGCAGAAAGTTTGGGGCTAGTTATAGGCTCCATAGTCTAGTAGTATGGTTATCATATATCTGGTGAAAAAGAATTCACATGATTTCTTTAATGAAAAATATAAATATGTAAACATCATTTTAATACTCTAGGAAAAACTGTGTTCAAGTTTGAGGTAAGTACCTTGTGTTATATCAGAAAAAAGACTTCTTTCCAAAAAGGTAATTGTGCATTTGACTTTAAATATTAAGAATGAAGAGGGAAGGAACCAACTCTATCTGAGCAGTCCTTCTTTGTAGTTATAGCAAAATTCTTTTATAGCATGTCTTTATATTACCCATTTAGTTATGTATACATGGGGTATGTGTATGGCATGTGTATATATTTATATATGTACATATATATGTATATATACGTATGTACATTTATATGTATATATAATATATGCATCTGTATCTCAGAATCAGTAGTATACCTAGGGATATTTCAAGAGGAATTTTCACTGAGAACATTCTTTAAAAGTGGCACTTAAAATAATGCCTTAAATTTGAACAATAGTTCTTAAGACTTTGAAGAAGAGACATTAAAGGAAGCAATAAGCCCATGAGATAGGAGAGAAATAGTCAAAGAATTATAACTTTTTTGCATCCTTCTTCTCCCACCAAATAATAGTGCAAGCTCTGTATGCTGCCTGTTGTCAGAACGTATTTATACATCTACCTCAAATGTAGCCATTCCACATTGCATAGTTATATATCTGCCCCAAACGTAGCCCGTCATGGAGTAAATAATAAATTCTATTTTAAAGGAAGTTTGATTTTAAAGGAATGCCTTTGTTTTGTTTTAAAGTTGTTTTGGGCTGGGTGTGGTGACTCATGTCTGTAATCCCAGCATTTGGGAGGTGGCCGAGGCGGGAGGGTCACTTGGGCCAGGAGTTACCTGAGACTAGCCTGGGCAACATAGTGAGACCTCATCTCTACAAAAAAATTTAAAACATAGCCGGGTATGGTGGCATGCACCTGTGGTCCAAACTACTCGGGAAGCTGCGGTGGGAGGATTGCTTGAGCCTGGGAGGTTGAGGCTGCAGTAAGCCATGATCATGCCACTGCGCTCAAGCCTGGGTGACAGAGGAAGACCCAATAAATACATAAATAAATAATCTTTGGGTTTTATACATGCTAATACTCCTTTATAGGTTGAAATGTTCTTGAGGATGGTGATCATATCTTACAATAAGAAAATTATTTCACTGTTTTTTATACACAGTAGGAATTCATCACATGTCTGTTTACTGAATAATTGGGTTGATTTTGATGATAGTATGCAGATTCAAGTAGAAGGATTCTAACTCCACGGATCCTAGTGTCCTTTGTTTTCTCTTACTTTTCCCTGGTGCTACTTTCAAGGAAGCATTTCCCATGTGCCCTTTGGCATCTTCATGCAACTGCTGACTGAGTTAAATTTCCAATCTCTCTGACACCAGCAATAGCTTCTACCTCTCCTGACCACTTTCCTACCTTCACCAACCATTTGTGCCTCATTACATCATCCCTATGTTACTATTTTAGGAGCACAAGAAAGGCCACAGTTGGAGAAATGATGACTGGGTTAGAAGTTGTGCATCATAGGAAAAATGCCAGGATCTTGACAGAGGGGTTTGTTCGTACCCTCCTAGAAGCCATTAGCCTCTCCAGTGACTGTGCTCTCCTTCTGGTTGTGCTCCCCATTCAGCTTTGCTTTTCAGGAAATTTCAGGAGAACCCTGAATGATTCTTTTTAATCCAAACTGCAATCCTAATTAGAACTGTGAAGACCTTCTTCATACAAGTTTGGTTTTCCCCGAGGACTTTAAGGTACCCCCCTACCCCCAACAATGGTTTAAAAAAATGTATTTGTTATTGAATATTTTCTGAAGCCTCACAAATCTCTAAATATTAACAAAGAAGTACCCCCCACATAACAGGTTATTATTTTAAAATCACAGTAAATTATGTCATAAGAATTAAACACTGTATTTTAAAAGCCTTGCTGGCCAGGCGCGGTGGCTCACGCCTGTAATCCCTGCATTTTGAGAGGCTGAGGCGAGTAGATCACCTGAGGTCAGGAGTTCAAGACCAGCCTGGCCAACATGGTAAAACCCTGTCGCTACTAAAAATTAGCCGGGTGTGGTGGTGCACATCTGTAGTCCTAGCTACTCAGGGGGCTGAGGCAGGAGACTTGCTTAAACCCTGGAGGCAGAGGTTGCAGTGAGCTGAGATTGTGCCATTGCACTCCAGCCTGGGCAACAGAGCGAGACTCCATCTCAAAAAAAAAAAAAATTAAAATATAAGTTAGAATAAATAAATAAATAAATAAATGCATTGCTCCATGCCCTCATGTCCATCCCTCCTTTTTCCCACATTAAAATGTTTATTTGTCTCTATGTTTTCAAATTTATCAGAAGCTTTATATCTCTGTTTCTGGATTTCTGATTTGGCAAGTCATTGATTAATGGCCCTTACCACTTGGTAATGTGATAATATTGATGATGATATAGTTAATAATAGCTAATATTTATTAAGCTTATGGTGCTACTGATTGTCATGAATTGTCTTATTTAATTCTCACAAAATTCTTGTAAGTAGATATTATGCCCATTATTGAGATGAAGGAATAGAGGCTTGAAGTAGTTTAATTAAACTCGTTAGAGGTTCTCTAGCTATGGAGCTGCATTCAGACCTAGGTAAACTAAGTCTGGGGTCCTCTGTT
Source organism: Homo sapiens (assembly GCF_000001405.40). Taxonomy (NCBI): domain Eukaryota; kingdom Metazoa; phylum Chordata; class Mammalia; order Primates; family Hominidae; genus Homo; species Homo sapiens. Next base: position 146,468,043 of record NC_000004.12, on the reverse strand, counting down.
GCCTGCATATCTCATGGCTGTTTCACATGGTAAATTATACACTGTAATATCTCTCTTCTCCCACCTACCTCTCTCTAATCTTTGGGTTGTCATATCTATCCTTGTACAGGGTGCTGTGTCACATTAGGCATCATCACATCACATAGATCCAGGAGGCTGAATCATAGATAAAAGAGGGCAAGGCCAGGTGCGGTGGCTCATGCCTGTAATCCCAGCACTTTGGGAGGCCAAGGCAGGTGAATCACCTGAGGTCACGAGTTTGAGACCAGTCTGGCCAACATGGCAACACCCCATCTCTACTAAAAATACAGAAATTAGTTGGGCATGTTGGTACATGCCTGTACTCCCAGCTACTTGGGAGGCTGAGGCACAAGAATCACTTGAACCTGGGAGGCAGAGATTGCAGTATGCTGAGACTGTGCCATTGCACTTCAGCCTGGGAAACAGAGCGCTCTGTCTCAAAAAAAAAAAAAAAAAAAAAGAGAGAAAGAAAAAAGAAAAGGGCAAAAAAACATGCTAAGGAGTAAAAAAGTATTTGTGTGTGCCTGTGTGTGTGTGTGTGTGTGTGTGTGTGTGTGTGTGTGTGTGTTTAAACCTGCTTTTCAGAGTTGACTGGGTAGGGAGCTTAGCAATTTAGTGTTGTCTTTCTCAAAGGAAAAAGTAATAGCTAGCTTAACTAGTCCCTGTTTTACTAGTAAAGCATAGCAGCAAAAGTTGTGTAGAAAAATGATTAATTAACAGGAAACTGACAGTGGAAGGGAGTGAAAGGCAGAACTTGAGTTTGCCTTAGTTTCCTTAAACATAAACCTAGCCTGGGAGCTAACAATCTGGTAAGTATACAAACAGACCCTGAAGATGGAATGGAAAAGTTACCAAGAGGAAACAGCATAGATTAATACACCAGATCTTTACTTTATGGTAAATCCTGGCATTGAGTAAGAAGATGCCAAGTAATTCCGGCTTTTAGCAAGCTCTTAGCCTCTGCAGAAAAGTCCTGAGAGCCCCAGGAATGAAACTTCTTGAAGCATTCTATCCAAGCTTACTACCAGAGATGAAGTTGTTTTTTGGGGCCATGACAATCCCAACAGCCTGGTAGACAGGATTATAGTTAATCTTAACATTGAAAATAGGTGCTTCATCCTAGGCTTTCCTCCTAAGGTCTCACCTTTGCAGAAATGATACTATCCTTTTACCAGATGGGAGCATGGATTTAGGAGTCAAATCCCAGTTTCACCACTGATGCATTTAATTTATTTCTCTCAACCACTTAAGTACTCTGAGCCTTATCTTTTGTATCTATAAAATAAAGTAATCCTTACCTCATAGGGTTATTTTGAGGATTAAATAAAATAACACATTGTCTGGCATATAGAAGGTGCTCAATAAATGTCAGCTTTTTTTCTGCTTATGAAATGCAATTTTGAAGAGAAAGCTAAGAAAAAGAATGTAATAATTGCATTATAACTTCCTGGGTCAGAAAAACAGATTTTGTCCCCTGTCCTTACAGAATTTTATGCATCATCTCTCATTTAGGACTCTGTGAGCTCCTGATCTTGGGGGAAAAAATGAAATTCAGTTTGGTTAAGAAAACATCTTGGAAGGCAGTTTTTAAACTGCAAAGAAGCTTGGTTAAATGGGAGCCAAGTGGGGCCACTTCCAGGGGTTTTGGAGGTGAAGCAATTTGTTTTTATACTTGTATCAGTGCTTTTACTCTTTTAAATCTCATTTCTAGTCCCTTCGGATCTATAATAAAGTCTTCAGTACTATACGTTTTTATTAAACATCTTCTTCTGGACTCCAATTTGCATTTCAGATAATATAACAAAATGTATGTGTTTCAAATATTCACTGCATAATTGTGATTAGAACATGTAATCCCTCAAAAGATGTTAATTGCAATTTAAATTCACACTGAATTTAATTAAGTGAGTTGGGGATTAGAAAGTAGATGTAAGGAGTAGTTAAGGGAATACATTTTTTAAAAGCATCCACTTTTTTTTCTAAAACACATAAACTTCTTTCAACTTTAAGATTAGAACTATGTAGAAAATACAGAAGGAAAGAGGAGAAAGCAGGTTAAAGAACATCTTAGAAAAATCTCAAACTATGTTCACAATTTGGATTTAAGCTGTTAAATAATTGTGGTTAGACAGGAGGGCTGGTTTGAGTAACCTTCTCATTTGTATTCTTGAAGAATCTTTCAGTACATGTTAACTCACTTGATATCTGATGAAGACTTCAGTTAAACTGCGATCTTTAAGAACTGCAGAGAATGACTGGGTTGGAAGCAGCCACAGAGATCTTTCAGTCCAATTGTTACCTGATGCTTCAAGCTTCCTTATAATCTCCTTGCCAAGGGGGTATTTTATGAATAATTTGATGTAATAGGAACTTTGTGCATGGACAAATCATATATAAGTAGTGCTTTTCCATGAAGGCTTCACTGTTTTAATGGAAATAAACAGTAACTTTGCAAGAAACACAGATATCTTTTTTTCTAATAAAATAAAGAATATTAAAACTTTATATTTAAGGTTATAAAAAGTATTCAGCAGTTATATCTCCCAGAGATAGAGAGAATAAAGTGTGCAAATTATCTGTTGTTGAATCAAAAAGCAGTTTTTCAAAAGGCTGCCAGAATAACATTGTGCCTGTAAACCTCATTTTATTTATAAATTTTCCTAGGAATAAGTTTTCTAAGATAAGGAATCAGGGATCAGTTTTAAGATGGTCTAAACAGTTTTAAAAGCAAAAGTATATTCTTACTGTTAAGTAATTTTCTTGTTTTTGTATGTGTTTAGAAGAGGAAAAAGATCAATTTCATAAACTTGTTTTGAATTAGTCACACCATGAGTATGATGTGCACATTTCTGGAGAGAGGAAGAGAGAATATATGTGTTAATTACGCACAGTGGCTGTCTGATACTTTGTTGGACTCTATAAATAACTTTTTAACAAACAAATTGTAGTTTTAAAAAATGTTCTTAGTGGAAATATTTCCTCTGAAAATTCTAGTGGGATGCTCTGTCTTTGTTTCATAAGAAATTGAGTATCTTTTACAAAGAATCACGAATCTGAGCTTTACATCTGGAACAAATTTCTTCAACTTTATCTTTTCTATTGTGAGTTAAGGGAATACTTTTTAAAAAGTGGGTAAATAATAAACTCTGTTTTAAAGGAAACAAAAATTCTGTTTTTGTCTAAGATACCGTCTGTGGCTTTAAATATTTAAACCGTCATCTATTTTGCTTGCAACCTAAAATCATTCTACATAAATGTCTTTTTTTATTTGCAATTTTTTTCCTCCAGAAATGACTACTTTGATAATGACTGTCATAGATTCTTTTTCTAATATCATAAAATTACTGTTATTCTTAATGGCATGACTTTTTTTTTTCTTTTGGATTAGGCTCACATTATCACATGAACATAATTTTTGGCCAATGGCATTTCAAGGAAAAGGCTTACTGTTCATTTACTGTCCTAAAGTACATTGCATTGTGACTTCTCTTAGTCACATACAATGTTCTGCAATCACTATTTAATAAAATTTTATGTTCTTGTATGGTATATAATATTTTAATAACTTTTTATTACAGAAGCATTATGTATTCCTAGTGAGCAATATAGAAAATATAAATAAAAAATACCATAATCTCACTGTTCAGTTAACTACATTAATGTTTTTATGTGTATCTTTTCAAACCTTTTAATCTGCACATATGTTTAATGAAATGAGTCATACAATGCGTACTGTTTTGTAACTCTATTTGTCCACTTAATATAGTGTGAACATCTCTCGATAGTGTTCTACAACATTCTTCTTATAGACTGTTTATTATTCTCATGTATGGATGTGTAATTATTAATATCAGCCCTGATAGTTCCAGCTTTTTTTTTTGCTATTAGAAAATAATGGGGCCAGGCGTGGTGACTCATGCCTATAATCCCAGCATTCTGGGAGGCCAAGGCGGAAGGACTGCTTGAGCCCAGGAATTCAAGACCAGCCTGGGCAACATAGTGGGACCCCATCTCTCAAAAGTATAAAAAAAAATTAGCTAGGTATGGTGGCACATACCTGTAGTCCCAGCAACTTGGGAGGCTGAGGTGGGAGATGGTCTGAGCCCAGGAGATTGAGACTGCAGTGAACTGTGAATGTACCACTGCACTCTAGCTTGGGCAAAAGGGTGAGACTTTGTCTCAAAAAAAAAAAAAAGAAAAAAAAAAGGAAATAATGGTATGATGAAAATCTTTTTAGCTAAATCTTTTTATGGACCTGAATTCTGTTTTGTTTTGTTTTTTTAAGACAGGGTCTTGCTCTGTCACCCAGGGTGGAGTACAGTTACACAATCCTAGCTTACTGCAGCCTCAAACTCATGAGCCCAAGCAATCCTCCTGCCTCAGCCTCCCAAGTAGCTGGGCATACAGGCATGTGCCACAGCACCTGGCTACGTTTTTAATTTTTTCTAGAGACAGGATATTACTATGTTGCCCAGGCTGGCCTTGAACTTCTGGCCTCAAAAAATCCTCCTACCTCGGCCTCCCAAAGTGCTGGGATTACAGATGTGACTGAATTATTTTCTGAGATAAATTTTTACAGGAGACATTGCTGGGTCAAGGGGCACGTATGGACATTTGTAAGATACTGATATTTACCACACTTTCAGCAATATTATAAAGCGTGTGAAGTTAACTTTTCCCTGAACTCTCATTAATCATATGCAATATTCGTTGCTCATTTAGTGTTTTTCTCCCCTTACAACTTTTGTTTTTCTCCTCCCAATGCAAGTTAGTCTATATATTATAAAGATGAGGAGTCCACATAATATTTTATAGACACATGTATTTAATAAATATTTTTATTTCAGGCCGTTTTCCCAATTTTCATCGCTTGCATTTTAGAGTAAAATCTAGAGGGCAGCATTTTAAAAGTTGCTGTATTTCTTTATTTTACTTCAACCAAAAGATGTACATGGTGTAGTTGCTGAGTGTGTTATTTAACTGGATCTCTAACCATGTTATAAATGGTGCCTGTAGAAGGATCTGGGGACAAGACCTTTAAGCTTTTTTTCTTTTTAATCACAGCTTAAGATCTTGAAGAATCTGAACTTACATAAGAATGTTTGGGCTACTGTTATTACAGTGAAACCTTCTGAGAGTATCTTCACAGGTGATTTTTTTTTAGAGAAAGTCGCTTACAGATATAAAACGTTTGACCAGGAGAAAGCCTCAGGTTGTCAGAGTTACTTACACACCGTTGTTCAGCTGGGCCTCTTTATTAAATCATCTCTTGGCAGTCCATTAGTTGTGGTGGTACAGCTATTGCATGGCTCACTAAGCTAATATACCTTCAGTCACTAACGGAAGGATAACCTTAATAAGAATTTGAAGTCGATTTAGTGCTTCACTGCTTACTGACTAGTGTTTTACTTTTTAGTGTGTCTATACAATTTCCATGCTGTGTATTTTTGATATTCATATATATCTTAGCTACATAGCATATTAGAGTCAAATAAAGGTTAATGGTGTGGAGAAGGAAGAGTGTTTGGGGGGAGCTCTTCCTTGTAATCCTGACTCAGCCACTGTTAGACATTGTGTGATCTTGAGCAAGTCACTTCCCACACTGGGCTGCTGTCTAATCCTTACATGTAAAATTAAGAAATTGGGAAGAGATTTTCTAATATTTATTTCCATATTTATTGTTTGTAGAAAATTTAAACCACATTCTGCTGAATGTAGCACTCTGAAGCTTGTTTTAAACATCAGCTATGATTTTACTAACAAAAAAGAATTGCTATATTCTTCCCCATATAAATATTTGAGTAACTAGAATGAAAAAAAAGAGAAGATCCACATTATTCAGTGGTAAGTGATACAGGAGAAAGCTCATTTAAACTCAATTAACTTTAAAAAATTAACATTTTATAGCAATTATTGAAAAATATATTTATTTAGACTTTATTTTGAAAAAATAAAACTAAATTATGAAAATAAGCTTATTTTATCATTCACTTCACAAAATTTACATGAGAACTATTCACTAATTCTTGGCATGAATGGAGAAAGAATCAAGTGTTGCTTTTAGGGAGTGGGGGCTGATGTAATTTTCCTGAGAAAATTGTATGATGATTTGATATCCTATTTTTCTCTCCTGTTTATTTTTGCAAAAATAATTGTCTTCGTCAGTTTTCACAGGTGCTCTCATTTAAAAAAAAAAAAAGCCTGGTCACTCTCCTTTTAAGCACCTAGCCTATCTTTTTTTTTTTTTTTCTTCTCATTGAGTTTGTTCTGATTTTCACTGACTTACTTAAATTCTGCAGGATGGGCAGTTATATTTAGCAACCTAGTTATGTATTATATTTGATACATTTACAAGGTGTTTAAAGTACTGTACAATTAGTGAGAGTAAGCCAACCAAAGCTGGAGTGCAGAGATAGACATTGGGGTGTGTGTACAGAAAGGAAAGAGGCTTTCCTGGGGATTATTTTAGAAATGGTCAGTTCATTAGTGAATCATTCCCCACTGTGATGTCTCTTGTTTCCTTGTACAACCTAAGTTCTTAGGGAACTTGGAGAATGAATACTTAGATAATGAAGGCTTACTGGGCCTTACTTTATATAATATTTTGTAGCATACTCACTGGTTTCATATTTGCCATCTCATTTAATCCTCACAAAATTTTATGAAGTTGGCGTTGTGTTTCCCACTTAATGAAATGAATAAACTGAGATGTAATGAGTTTTCATAGCTAAGTATGTGACAAGTTGTTTTGAAATCAGATCTTCAGACTCCATTGTAAGTGCTAGTTCTAGTATTTTATAAATGCCTCTGTGATGATTTTAAATTAAAACAGTTTATTTAATATGAAATCCTTACCATCTTTAAATAAATGTGAAACAAGGGTATCTTTTTTGAATGTTAGGTAAGTTCTAAGTCTCCAGATCATGTTACTGTTGAAAATAATGACGTGAAAAGACATTTTTACAAATCACAAGCAGAGCCCTGAAGCTTAATCTTTCTTAGTTAGGAAGTAGTAACAGAAATTTGGTGGTTTTGGTTCATTTCTAATTCTGTTAAGCAAAACCTTATTTTTTTAATTAAAATTTTCTGTGTAAACCTCAAAACCATTTAAATATAAACAAGCTAAAGCTTAATGTCATGTAGTTATGTTTTTCTACTTTTTGTTGACTTTTAAAATTTTTATGATCTAAAAACTGAGATTTTTGTGTATATAATTTATAGACAGTAAAATTCATCTTTTAAAATTATATGTTTTAGAATATGTATAAAATTGTATAAACACTACTACAATCAAGATTTAAAACATTGCCATCAGGACAAAAAATTCTTTTATGGCTCTTTCCCCTTCCTCTACCTGCAGTCCTTGACAGCCTGTGATCTGATTTCTGTTTTACCTTTTCCAGAATAGCCTATCAGTGGAATCATACAGTACATGTAGCCTCTTGTGTTTGGCTGCTTTTACTTAGCAGAGTGCTTTTGAGATTCATCCATGTTGTTCCATTTATCCATAGTCCATTCCTTTTTATTGCTGAGCCATATTCCATTGTATGAATGTACCATAATTTCTTTATTCATTCACCATTTGAAGGACATTTGGGTAGTTTCCAGTTTTGAGCTATTACAAATAAATCCGAACATTTGAATACAAGTCTGTGTGAATGTAGGAATATCTGTCTTTTGCGTAAATACCTAGTGGTGGGATGGTTTGGTCATATGGTAAATATATGTGTAACTTTAACAGAAACTTTGTTTTCGACAGTGGCTTCATCATTTGCAATCTATACCAGCAATATATGAGAGTCCTCATTGGTCCACATCCTCACCAACACTGAGCTGCCAGTTTCTTTTTAAGTTTTAGCCCTTCTTGCTGGTAAATAGTGTTATCTCATTGTGATTTTAATTAATTAATAGTTCTCTACTAACTAAAGATGTTTAGGATCTTTTCATGTGTTAATTTGTCATCCACATCTCTTCTTCAGTGAAGTGTCTGTTCAAATCTTTTGCCCATTTTTAAAAACTTGGGGTTGTCTTCTTATTTAGTTGTAAGAGTTTTGTTTTATTTTGTTTTAAAAATATATTCTGCATACAAGTCCTTTATCAGCTATGTGTTTTAGAAATTATTCTCCCAGTCTGTTTGCTTTTTCATTTTCTTTACAGTGACTTTGAAGGACAATGAAGTCCAATTTATCCATTTTTAATTTTATGATTTAAAATTTATTATATCAAAAGTTTGTGATTTTTGTAGCCTAACGTAGATATGTTGTCCTAATCCAGAGTCACAAAGATGTTCTTTAAGTGTTCTGAAAGTTTTATAGATTTAGTTCTTATGTTTAGGTCTATGATCCATTCCAAGTTGCTTTGTGTGTGTAGTGTGAATAAGCATCAGAGTTTTTCGTTTTTTTTTTTTGTGTGTGGATGTCCAGTTACCACCTATTGAAAAGATTATTCTTTCCACATTGAATTACTCTAGCACCTTTGCCAAAAATCAATTTACCATCTCTATATAGATCTGTTTCTGAACTTTCTCTTCTCTTCTGTTGATCCGTATATCTGTCCTTAAGCCAGTACCACATTATCTTGATTAGCATAACTTTATCGTGAAATATAAAATGTGAGTCTTCCAACTTTTCTAAGAATAATTCCCTGAATAAATAAATAAATAAAGTTTATTTTTAAAATAAATTGTAGTCATTTGTCAATTTCTACTAAAAATCCTGTAGGGATTTTGACTGAGATTACATTGAGTCTATAAATCAATGTGGAGAAATTTGACACCTTAATATCAAGGATTCTAATCCATATCTCTCTATTTAAGTCTTTTAGAATTTATCTTATCAGTGTTTTATAACCTTTAGCATACACAGTCTACACGTATTTTGTTAGCTTTATTTTATATTTCATGTTCTTTAAACTGTTTGTGAAAAATATTTTTATTAATTTCAATTTAAAATTATTCCTTCCTTGTATATAGAAATACATTGATTTTTCAATATAGACCTTGCATTCTTGAATTTTGATAAACTTTCCTATTTTGTAGTTTTTTTCAGAAGGGAGGTTTTCTAGGATGATGTAATTTGTGAATAAAGGCAGGTTTATTCCTTTCCAATCTATTTGCATTTTCTTTCTTTTTCTTTCAGTATTACATGGCTAACACTTTCAGGCTGTTCAAAACAAAAATCAGATCAGATAAGTAAAGAGAGTTTTAAAGTTTACTGTTGAGTAAAATAGTAAATACAGATTGTTACACACAAGCCCTCAAAATCAAAAGTGGTTAGAAGCTCAGAGGCCTACTCTTGCAGATTGGGTTTTATAGTAAAAACGAGGAAGTTGTTTAACCTTTACAATGATTGGATACAGCAGTGGGGATTTCCAGATAGCAGAGGATAGGCCAATAACAATTACTTTCACCATTTTTGTAAGGTGAGTTACTTTAGTTTCTGATTATCAGAGACATTTATAAGGAATAATCCAACTTAAGTTTTGCTTACATTTACCAATCAAATCCTTATTTGACTAACTGACTTGGTCTGCTTGGGGAATTTTCAGCCTAGTCTCCATTTTATTTTACTTTGACAAGGCCAAGATTGGATAGACGTAGTAATAAGAATAGACATCCTAACTTTGTTCCTGATTTTAGGAACACTCAGTCTTTTACAGTTAGGTATGATGTCAGCTGTTTGGTTTTTTATATGAGGCAGAGGAAATTTTTATCAGTTCTAGTCTTCTAAATTTTTATCATCAATATATATTGAATTTTGTCAAATGATTTTTCTGTACCTATTGAAATGATTATATGTTTTTTTCTTTTTTCATCTATTGATAAGGTGAATTGCTTTGATTGATTCTTAAATCTTATGCCAACTTTGCATTCCTGGAATAAACTCCACTTTGTCATACTGTATCATCCTTTTTATATATTGCTAGGTTAAATTAGTTCAAATTTTATAAGGAGTTTTATGTCTATGTGCATGAAGATTATTCTTCTGTGGTTTCCTTATGATGTTTTAATCTGATTTTGGTATCAGGTTAGTGCTGGTCTCGTAAAATGATTTGGCGAATTTTCTTTCCTGTTGTATTTCTCTTGGTGAGTTTTTATAGAATTAATATTTCTTCTTTAAATATTTGGTAGAATTCACCAGTGCAGCCATTTGGTCCTAGAAATTGCATTTTGGGAAAGTTTTTAACTACACATTTAATGTCTTTGATAGGTAATAGAAAATTTAGGTCATCTGTTCTTAAGAGAGTTTTTGTAGTTTGTGTCTTTCAAGGAATTTGTTCATTTCATCTAAGTTTTCATATTTGGGGACATAATGCTGTCTACAATATTCTCATCTTTTAAATATCTGAAGCAGTTTAGGATGTCCCTGCTTTCATTCCTGACATTAGAAATGTCTGTATTTTCTTTTTTTACCCAAGAGCAGGGATGAACAAACTGTGGTTTGCAGGGCAAATCAGGCTTGCTGAAAGTTTTTTGTGTGGTATATGAGTTAAGAATGTTTTTTGGGGCGATGAGGGGATGGTTAATGGGTCCAAAAACAAAGAATGAATAAGACCTAGTATTTGATAGCACAACAGGGTGACTATAGTCAATAATAATTTAATTGTACATTTAAAAATAACTAAGGAGTATAATTGGGTTGTTTGTAACACAAGGGATGGATGCTTGAGGAGATGGATACCCATTTTATATGATGTGATTATTACACATTGTATGCTTGTATCAAAACATCTCATATACCCCATAAATATATACACCTATTATGTACCCACAAAAATTAAAATAAAAGGAAAGAATAGTGTTTACTTTTTTTAATGTTTGGATAAAAATCAAAAGAAGAATAAAATTTCAAGATATGAAAATTAAACAAAAATCAAATTTTAGTATCCATAGATAAAGTTTTATTGGAACACAGCCACACTCATTAGTTTATATATTGCCTATGGCTGCTTTTGCACCACAATAGCAGAGTTGAGAATTTATGACCATATGGTCCACAGAGCCTAGAATACTTAAATAATGTGCCTGTTGTATAATTTAAAAATATATCTAGTCTTTGACCCAAGTTCTTGGCACAGAGCTTCAATAACCTTTGGAATTTTCTGAGTGATGGGAGTATCTTTGTTAGGCTAATGAGGTTACTCTTGGTGAGTCCTGGATAGCTTTGGGATGGGAACTGGCCACCAGAAAGACCAAGCATGTGATTAGAAGGTTGGAACTTTCAGCTGCCTGACCTCTAGGAAGAGGAGGGGGCTGGAGATTGAATTCAATCATGTGATCCGTGATTTAATCAATTATGCCTACATAATGAGACACCAATTAAAACTCGGTGTTGCCTCTTGGTTTGTGAGCATCTTGATGTTCTCTGAGAGAGCATAGAAGCTCTGCACTCCTTCCCAGACCTTGCCTAATGTGTATCCCTTATAATTAAACTGTAATTGTTAAGTATGGCACTTTGAGTAAGTTCTGTGAGTTATTCTAGTGAATTAGTGAACCTAAGGAGGACATTGGAACCCCTGAATTTATAGCCAGTTGGTCAAAAGTGTGGATAGCCTGTGGACCCTTGAAGTGCAACTGCTGTCTAAAGCAAGGGCAATTCTGTGGGGGACTGAGTTTTTAACTTGTGGAGTTTGACACTAATTCTAGGTGGTTAACACCAGAATTGTATTCCAGTACACCCAGTTGGTGTTAGACCAGTTGGGTTAAAACAAAGCTGTGACTCTTTAAAAGTTCACCAATCCCTGTTTTAGAGGTGTATCAATTTTATTTGTCTTTTTCAAAGGCCCAGGTTTGATTTCAGTGATTTTTCTTTACTGTTTTTCTGTTTTTTATTTCATTAGTTTCTGCTCATATCTTTATTATTTCTTTCCTGTGCTTGTTCTGTATTTAATTTGCCCTTCTTTTTCTAATTTCTTGTGCCTTTGGAATTATGCCATCTTTCCCTTCTTGGTGTTGAGTGACATTATATTTGCACTTTGAAATTGGCCGTGGTGGGAGTATTTACACCATGAAAATCAGCACATATTACAAATTGGTGTTCTCTCTTTATCCTAAGAGCCAGTCGTTAAACGGCTACTAGCACGCTACTTGTAATGGCAAAAACACAGCTTTTAAAAATTTTCTCAGGGGACCTAACATTAGAAAAAACTCCAATAAAAAGTTAAGTCAGAAAAGGAAAGAACTTATTAGTTTAAAATATGATTTACAGTATAGATTTTAAAATCTAAAACTGTAAAGGAGATTGTGCACTGTTTGATCCTGAAGACATAAAGAACAGGATAGGTAGACACCATCTGTGATTTCAGTATAGTCCTTTTTGAGGAAAAGTGCCTTGATGAGATGATCTGCGAAGTCCATTGCAGTTCTGTGAATCTATGGTAAGTTATTTCCCAGAAGATGGTAGGAAAGCTATTTTATTGCTAATGAAAAGCTGATGAGAGAGTTATTGCTAAGGGATTGATCCATTGCCTTCTTAAGAAGCTTTGAGATTCCCAGACCTAATGGATGGAAAAGAGCAGAAATAACAGAGTTAAGAAAGCTAGAGTCTAAAATTCGTAAGAAACATTAGATGCTTTGACATAGGCTGTCACTTAGGTTTTGTGGATGCACTTCTAAACAAAGTGTTAGGGGAATTCTTGGCCAATTCCTCTCTCAGTGTGCTGAGAGCTTAGTTCAATGTGTTGGTATTAAATAGAGCTTCCATTAATTGATCAGAAAAGTGCTTGTTGTATTTCACTAGGAGATATTGGAAAAGCCCATTTTAAAGTTAATTTCTGTGCTGCCATAACTCTTTGATACCATTGATCTTCTTGTATTGTAGTTATTATGATGTCTGTCTTCTAGCCCTAGACTGTGAGTTGGTACTCTATGGTATTTATTTTTGTGTTTGCTTAATAAATTTAGGTTGAAGGAATGAATAATTAGAGAAGCATTTGTTTTATTCTTTTCTGGAAGAGATAGGAAACCCAAAGGATTAAGAAGAATTAAACTTGAGGAATACTGAGAAATTGATTTTTTAAAAGATATAATATCAAATAGTATATAACATTTTAAGTAAGTTTCATTCAGCTTAATCTTAGAGATTTACAATAAAAATCTTAGATATTTATCAATAAGCTATTAATGGATAAATAGTATAAATAAATAGTATTTTCAATTTAAGTGTTGGTATTCTGGGTTATACCCATGGTTTGTTCCTGTGAATATTCAGTGTTAGCATAGCAAAGAAGACTAAGTAGTTTAGTCTTTTAACTACTTTTAAGTAGTTTCCTTTTGGTATTATCTTCAATTCATTCAATTTTTAGTCAGACATTGAGCATCTAATATGTGCACAGCATTGTTCAAAGTTTGCCTAAAGATTAAAGAGAGAGCCTCTAAAATTCTTAACATAATTCTAGGAGAAGCACAAAGGAAAAAATATTCATAATTCCATTTACCCCAACATAACCATTAGTGTTTCAGCATATGCCCTTTTTCCATGATATATCTGCAAATGTCTGTTAAAAATAATATATAAAACAGACAGTGTGGATGTAATAGAGAGGGTGCAAGAGATGTCTGGAGATGAATTCTATTCTGGCTTTACTGCTGTCCAGTATGACCTTGGAAAAGATCCTTTGCCTGTCTGGAGTTCTGTTTCTTGATTAACAAAGGGATTGTCATAGTATTTAATGGCCTCTCCCACTTAAAAATTCTGATTTTATAGAAATTGAACACCTTTGAAGACTGAGATTTCAGGAGGATGCAATCAAAATGTTTGATTAAGTTTAATTTCACCTCAATTATAAGGCAGATTTTAAAATCTTGAATTAAATATTTCTTGCTAATATTAGGTATTGTTATTGTGAACCTGTAACCCTTAAAGTAACAAATTTCTTCCCAGAACTAGAACAACAATCTGAATTGATGAGCTTATTTGAACTGATAATTATGTTTTTAGGAAAATGTTGAAACAATTCTTTTAAGCTCTTAAAAAGTATTCTACTAGAAATAAGAAATACAGAATCATCACTATTTTAAGTACATGACATTTCATCAAAAAAGCATACCAAAGAGAAATCAAAGCAGCTATGTTACTTCATTGTTTTTGCACCTCAGGAAAATTGATTTTGCCCTTCCTCTCTTGCCCCATGCATATTGTGAAAATGTAGATTGGTATGCACGAACTATTGCATATTGTGTACCAGGGCTTTAAAAGTGTTAAAAGGTGTCTGTTTTGTCTTAGAAGGGTCAGTTTGCACATTAAATGATTTTTGTTGAACAGTTAAGATGTCCTTTTACTTTTACTGTTTTGTACTAGAATTTTTTGTATGCGTTTTAACGGTTATTTAAGAGTCCCCATGTGCTTAGAAAGGAATCTGAATATATGTGCCTTTTTAAAAAAAGCCTCAGCACAATGTAGGTTATTCCATCAATACCATCAAATGACTGAGAGCTGTAGTTGGAACAATATGTAAAAATACAGCTTGTGAAAGATTTCCTTTATTAACTGTCATCATCCACAGAATATATGTTCAAATAAACGTTGTGCAATAACTAAATTTGAGATTAATAGGCCCCTTAAGAAACAGAGAAGTCATTCAGAATAGTCAGTGAAAAATAGGCTGTAAGACTGTAACATGCACATATTGTCCTGCTTATGTGCTCTCTCTGGTGTCATTCCCATTTATCACTGTCGGCCGGCTCTGTTCTCATTAAAACACTCTTGCACAAAAGCAACTTAATTTTCTTAAGAGGAGAGGACACCTGATTCAATTTAGCACCCAGAAAACAGTAACTTGAATATATTTTTTTCCTTACCTGAATTGAGATGAATAGTTACAAACAAGGATAGCAACCCCCTATTCACCTCAAGATTTAGAATATTAAATAATTTTTTCCACTGGTGTCAAGAAATGAACCTGTAGAAATAGGCAAGAAATGTAGCTTGCTCCTCATGTCAAACATTCACTCTTAACTTGAAGATTGTATATTTATATATATATATATACACACACACACATTGTATATATCTATAAATCTATATCTGTATATAGTATACATACTTCTGTTAATTCCTGTAATATTTTAAAACAAAGAATTAAAATTAATCTTTCTTTAAATTGGTGAATGCTTTGCAGCAGTATTAAGTCTTCATTTAGCTTTCTTTGTTGAGAGAAAATATTCAGTAATGGTTTAAGTAATATTCAGTAATTTAAGTAATGGTACTTAAAAAATACAATGATATATATAAAAATGGTATCACATTAAAAGTGCCCTCTTAATATTGAGCGTAGTGTATAAATCCGCATTTTGATTGATATCCTGAATATGTTTACTTTTCTGTGGTATGTTGTAGTAATACTTAAATATGACATAGAAATGTAGAATTCAAATTTTTCTTGTAATGAGGGCTCTTCAGTGAAAATAGTGGTAATTAAGTAGTCAATAGTAAAACTAGCAACTAAGTTGCATAAGAGAAAGTCAATCATAATTGGCTTTGAAAGAAGCAATAAATATTTCTTATTTTTTTGACTTTTTATAGCACTTTAGAAAGTGCCTTACAGATAGAATGAAAATGTTTTGTGTTTTCATATTTAATTGAAGATCAAGTATTGGAATTCAGTCTTTGATGTTTTAGTCTTCATGTGTTTTTAAAACTGAATCTATGCTTAGGGAGAAAATAAATATTAAGGCTGTTTCTCCTTCCTGCGAATCAAAGCCTGATGGGATATAAATTCACATAGTTGAAGAACTTTTCTAGGGTAAGGCAATTTAGCTTTGACCTCCAACAATTGTGGCCAATAGTCAGTTTTCTCTTCCTTATTTTCAATGATGTCATATGCAATAGGAACAAGAGATTATACTAAATAAGATTTAATGTGCCTACTCAAGCTCATATTTTAGAGGAAATAGTTTTTTATTTATCTGATCTGCCGGAGTAGTCCTTTATTATTTTTTCCTTGTTTAGGAACATGGTGGTGTCAGGCTTCAAGTACCAGAAAATTAGACTAAAAGTGGCTTTAGCAAGGAGGGACTTATTTTTCTCATATACCAAGATGCCTGGAGGTAGAGGCTGCTGGCGTTTATTCTGCGGCTCAGTGACATTAGAGTGGCTATCTCTCCAGTGCTCTTATGGATGCAAGATAGCTTTTGCTGCTCTCGGCAGGAAGAAGTGTCAGTACCAGAAACTAACCTCCCTCCCTAAGCCCCCACCATCAAGCATATATCACTTTTTATCTCATTGGCCAGAACTTTGCTGCATGGAAATCCCTAGCTTTTCTTTTGTCTTATCTTAAGGTGTGTAACTTCTATCTAAGGTGTGTAACTTCTATACCTAATTTGTTGAGAATTTTTATCATGAAGAGATGTCGAATTTTATGAAATGCATTTTCTGCATCTATTGAGGTAATCATGTGGTTTTTGTCCCTCATTCTATTGATGTGGTGTGCCACATGTATTGATTTGCATGTGTTGAACCATCCTTGCATCCCTAGGATAAATCCCAGTTGATCATGGTGTACTATTGTTTTGATGTGCTGTTGGATTCCATTTGCTAGGATGTTGTTGAGGATTTTTGCATCTGTGTTCATCAGGGATATTAGCCTGTAGTTTTCTTTTTGTGTTGTGTCCTTGTCTGGTTTGGTATCAGGGTAATGCTGACCTCATAGAATGAATTAGGAAGGATTCCTTCCTCTTCAGTTTTTTTTTGGGTAGTTTGAGAAGAATTGGTAATAGTTCTTTAAAAGTGTGGTAGAATTCAGCAGTGAAGCCAGCTGGTCCTGGTTTTTTTTTGTTTTTTTTTTTTTTTTTTTGGTGGGAGACTTCTGATTCAGCCTTGTTACTCGCTGTTGGTCTGTTCGGGTTTTCTATTTTAGCTTCTCCTTTTTTATATGTACTTTTTCTGTCTTGCTTAAAAAACTGCTTTTCTTTCTGAGGGCATAAAGATAGTTTCATATTTTCTTCTAAAAGTGTTAAAGTTTTGCCTTCCACATCTAGATCTTTAATCTGTCTGGTTTTTTTTTTCTTTAGTATATTGTAAAAAATCCAGTTGCTTCCCTTTTCCTCGCTGCTTTTATGATACTCTTGTCATACAGCTTTCTCACATTGTTTAAAATTTTTTATTGTTAACATTTCTTCAGTGGAGGTTGTGTTATCTGGTAATCCACTCTGTTCTGGGTTATTGAAGTGACCCCAAAGAGAAGTTTCACTTTTGCTTCTTTCAAGGACTTAGAAGTTCCACTGCCCCTTCATCTGTTTTGTCATTTCTTTCTTTAAATAAATTGTTAGTTTGAAATTCATGAGTCATGTAGGTAGTGTAAATTCAGTCCTTACACCCACCTTTGATACAGACCTTATACTACTTTCTTAAATTTGTAAGTAGAGTTTTCCAGTTGCTTTTACACAGTGCTGGCAGTCCTTCTAGCCTTCCACTCTGCTTTCTGCAGATGTCTCATTTCCAGTTCTCCACCCTTTGCAGGCCAAAGCCTGTGCTTCTCATTTCTTCATGGGCATGAGTGCAGCATCAACTCATATGCTTTACTACTCTGGCTTTGACTAATTTCTATATGTTTAATGCAATTGTCCCATGGTATCTGTGGGGTATTGGTTCTAGGACTCTCCAGGAACACCAAAATCTACAGATGTTCAAGTCCCTGATATACAATGACATTTATATATATAAATGCACATCTTCCTGTATACTTTGTCTTCTCTAGATTACATAGAATACCTAACATATGATGTAAATGCTGTGTAAGAAGTTGTACACTGGATTGCTTAGGGAATAACAACAAGAAAAAAAGTATGTACACATTCAGTACAGATGCAACCATCTTTTTTCTTCTTTTTTGAATATAGTATTTTTGATCTGTGGTTGGTTGAATCCACAGATGCAGAACCCACAGATACAGAGGGCTAACTACCTGTTTTTTGTTTGTTTGTTTGTTTTAGCTCAGCTATATATTTAAAAGGTAGTGTTGTTATTATAATATTTTTATTGAATGGTGTGAATGTAAGGATTATATACCTGAAATGCCTTCTCCCATATTTCTGTTCCCCATTCCCACCCCTCCTTTGATGACATCTCTGTCAATCTCATGGTTTTCTGGTCACTTTTGATTACAAAAATAGTCATATCTTTGGTAATTAGGATTAATTTCTAGCTATTAAATAACCCAGGGCATTCTAGTTTGAAACTTTAAATTCCCTTCTTTCCCAAGTGAGGCCAAACCTACGTTTTTAAAACATAGGAAGTTATACTTTTAATTAATGAATATATAAACATGATAAGAATTTAAAAATAGGGCCCATGGAGAAGAGGGCATGGTCTGTTTCACTGTTTTTGTTGTTGTTGTTGTGGTGGTGGTGGTGGTGGTGGTTTGTGTTTTTATTTTTTTAAAGCTTCTCACCTTTTCTACTTCCAACCACTTCAGAGGAGAAATGAATGAGAGAGAACAGGATGGGGTCTTAGCTTATCGATACTGTCACACTGTGGCCCTCAATGCCCTCTGTCATAGCAGGGGTCTACACGCTATCTCTTTTTGCTGGACAGGTTAGGGGAGAGGGTTGTTCAGAATACACTTCCAACCCCTGCTCCTCTTGTTCCTTCAGCCTCTTGTTGGTGGAGTCTCTTCTTGGGTGTGGTCTCTCAAACTGAATTAAGTTCAGTGGCATCTTCTTGGCTCATTTGGAATTGGCAGACCCATGCCTCATCACAGAATTTAGATATACTTTGTCCAACTGCTTACTGTCTCTCCTTGCCCTACCATTGTGGTCTGTTCTAGGCAGCCCCTCACCTTTGCTGTTTCTAGTCAGGAAGCAAGTATTTATTTCTGGTTCACTTATATACCCTCCCTATCCCTGTCACCCAGTGGGAAATGCACTGGGTGAGAATGTTCCTAAGAACTCTTACAGGGTGTATCCGATGCTCCTGTGGTGGCCCAGTGTGGAATTTGTCCTCTCACTAAACATCCAGCATGGAACAGAGATGCTATTCTAATTTCTTTGCTGTTTGTTCTAGCACAGTTTCTTCATTTGTAGATATCACCCTCTACCCCAACTTGAGAGGTGTGGTGAACAGAGCAGCTTTCTCCTGTAGAGAAGGAGGAAAACAATTTCATTTTATCAATCTCCTCTGGAATTTCTGGTCTTCACCTATACAGCCTGCATGTGAAGTGGTCCCTGACCCACTTTTGGTGTCTTTTTTATAAATACCAAGGTATGTGTCTGGCATCTTACTTTTGAATGCAGGATTCTTCTCCCAAGTTTGGTATTCTCCTAAGGGTATTCTCCTAGGCTTGAAACATCATTAGAAATTCTGAGATAACCATAAATATCCCGTTTTTACATTTTGGTAAACATTTCTATGTATTTTGACTAAGAATCAGGTACTCAAAAGCACAAGCTAGAAGTTTAATACATTAACTTGCCATAAATTATTCATACTCAATGTAAATAATGGATTTTACCTTTTTTTTATTTAGTAACCTCATAAGGGAAGGAAAAAGAGGGGTGTTGGACCAGCATTATGAAAATTTTTGATATAATGTCATAAGAGAAGACTTGGGTAGGAGTCAGCAGTGTACATATATTTGAAATGCATTTATAAAAGGGATGAGACATATTTATGTAACTCCAGAGCACAGAACATGGTCCAGTGCATGGCAGTTATGAGAAGTTATAGATTTCAGGCTTATGGTAGGCTTAAGGTAGAACATAACGTTTAGAGCCTTTCAGCAATGAAAGAGCTTGCTTTTATCAGAGAATTGTTTTTCCCCATTTTTTTAAGTTTTTTTTAAAATTTTTTTTATTTTTTAATTTTATTATTATTATACTTTAAGTTTTAGGGTACATGTGCACAATGTGCAGGTTTGTTACATATGTATACATGTGCCATGTTAGTGTGCTGCACCCATTAACTCGTCATTTAGCATTAGGTATAACTCATAATGCTATCCCTCACCGCTCCCCCCACCCCACAACAGTCCCTGATGTGTGATGTTCCCCTTCCTGTGTCCATGTGTTCTCATTGTTCAATTCCCACCTATGAGTGAGAACATGCGGTGTTTGGTTTTTTGTCCTTGCGATAGTTTGCTGAGAATGATTAGGTTTTTTTTTTTTTAAGAAATTTACCTTTGTTTTAAATAATTCCAAGTAGTTTATGATGAAATTAATTCATTATTGAACTTGCTCAGTTTTCCAAAATAATTTAATAAAGACATGCTGTATAATATATAATGGAACATTAGTAAAATATCTTATATTGGGTAAAATTGGGTTGATACCAAAAGCAATATATTATCTACAAATGTGTAATATAAAGGAAGTCAATCTAGTCAATATTAAAAAAAATCTCAATATGAACTTTTTTTTTTTTAGCTAGGATTGATCTAATTATTCACCAAATGTGATTACTCCAAGGTATACATTTTGCTAATGGGATTTTATGAGTTAATAATAAAAACATTACTGTGTAGGACATTCAGTTAGCACAAGAGGTATTTGTTCATTCACTCGTTTCTTTCAATGAATTAGACAAATTCTTGTTGTAATGGAGCATTCTAGAGGAGGAATGGGTTTTGAAATATTTTCTAACAAAGGAGATAATAACAAAAGAACTGCTATATTTTAAAATCAAGCTGGGTATGGTGACTCACACCTGTAATCTCAGCAATTTAGGAGGCTGAGATGGGAGGATCGCTTGAGTCCAGGAGTTCAAGACCAGCCTGGGCAACATAGGGAAACCCTGTCTCTACAAAAAAATTAAAAAATTCTAGCTAGGCATGGTGGCTAATTTTTGGTCATTTATGGTTTACAGTCATACTGCTCTGAACTTGCCCAATCTCATCTGATCTCGGAAAACATTATTTATATTAAACATATTTTATATAACTATATTATAATAGGAAGGTTCAGGCATTTTAAGAGAAGTAAAGCAAGATACTGTTTTGAAAACGATGTGAAGGAAATTCTTGTATTGAATGGGGTGGATGGGAGTCTGAAGTCTAGATCTCCTGTTACTGTCATAGGTTGGTTATGGTACCAGATGTCAGATCCAGTCTTCTGTGCCTTGGATTCTGCCAAACACATAAAATAACTCAGTAGGAGATGAAGACTTTGGACATTTCAGGGAATCGTACTTGTGTCAGCAATTCATACTTTTTAATTAATGAATATATACACGTGATAAAAATTTTAAAAGAGTACCAGTGGATTCAAGGGCCTGATTTGTTTCACTATAGATAGATAAATAGATAGATAGATAGATAGATAGATAGATAGATAGATAGATAGATAGATAGATAAACCTTCTCACCCTTTCTACTTCTGGCCACTTCAGAGTCAGGGTGTGAGTAGGAGTAACAAACAAGTGGGTGCTTAGGGTGAGTTTCATTAGATTCCTATCTTAGATGACCAGCGGAGAGAGGCATGTAAGTAGGTCATTTATTTTCATTTTTTTTTTTTTTTTTGAGACAGGGTCTTGCTCCGTCACCCGGGCTGGAATGCAGTGGTACAATCTCGACTCACTGCAACCTCCACCTCCTAGGTTCAAGCAATTCTCCTGCCTCAGCCTCCCAAGTCACTGGGATTACAGGCATCTGCCACCATGCCTGGCTAATTTTTGTATTTTTAGGAGAGACAGGTTTCACCATGTTGGCCAGGCTGGTTTCAAACTCCTGACCTCAAGTGATCTGCCCACCTCGGCCTCCCAAAGTGCTGGGATTACAGGTGTGAGTCACCATGCCCAGCCAGTCATTTCAATACAGTAGGACAAGTCCCATGGCAGAGATAGGCTCAGGATGTTCTGCCAGCAGGTGTGGAGATACTCAGTCCATCTGTAAGTGTAGATATGTGTGTATGCTAAGGTGTGTGTGCGTGTGTTGGGGGAAGGTCATTGAAAACTTCTTGGAAGTGATAGGGCCAGGAGGCAGAGAAATACTGGGTAGAAGAGGGTGGGGTTCCTGGCGAGAGCTCCACCCTCAAGCCTGGACCCACGGCCCAAAGTGAGAACTATTCTTGTTTTCCCACCTGAAATTTTACCTTTTGGACTGCCCCACCCCCTATCCTGTGCCCATGAGAACTGCAAACCCCAGACTCAGGGGACTCCCGTGCACGCGCGTGCGCACGTGCACACACACACACACACACACACAGAAGAGAGAAGAGAGAAGAGAGAAGCGTTTGAACAACCAGAGGAGAAGAGGCTGGACGTCAGAGACTATGGTCAGAGAGGAGTTCGATTAGGGATGGCCAGACTCCCGCGGAAGATTTTCGTCCCATTCCACCCCGTTTCCAGCTCCCTTTCCCTCTGAAAGCCACTTCCACCGCTCAACAAAGTCCTCCACATTAACTACCCTTTGATTTGTTTGTGTGACCTGATTTTTCCTGGACGCCTGACAAGAACTCGGGTACCAAGAGGGCAGAGTGTAAAAGGCTGTCACCCTGACCCTCCGCTGAGCTAGTTAACACCTAGCCATCCACGGACGGCAAATGCTAAAAGAGCAGTGATTGTAACACACGTCTTCTTGGGCTTCGAGGGTCACAGACACCCCCTCCTGGATGGCAGAGCTAACGGAGCATTGTAACACACTTGGACACTGCCGCGGGTCTGCACAAACCCTGCTCCCGCCAGAGAGGTGCGACCGGCCAGTTCCAGTGTTCCTTTGTGCGCGTTCCCACACCCGTTTGCTTGTGTGCTCGCTCCTGTAAGGCATGGAGCACGGCGGCCAAGTAAATGAGCCAACCCCTTCGCGAGTCCCATAAGGGATCAAGGGAACTCTCCCATCTCAGAAGGATGATGACCAAGCTGTGTTATTAAAATTAAATAGAATTACCAAAGTAGAAGAGGGGGAAGGGTATTTCAGGCCAGGGAGCAAGGAGATAAGAAATGGCATGATGAGTTTGGGGAATTGCAAGTAGTTCATTGTTGTCAGAATGTAAAATTCGAGGCAGGGAATGAGATGGATAGAAACATGTTCATGGAAGGCCCTGGACGTCATGCCAAGGAGCTGGGAATTCCTCCCTAAGTCAAGATACATGCATGTCTTTTATATATCAATAAAATACTCTAAATATTTATTATTACTTGTT
Source organism: Homo sapiens (assembly GCF_000001405.40). NCBI lineage: Eukaryota > Metazoa > Chordata > Mammalia > Primates > Hominidae > Homo > Homo sapiens. The sequence continues at coordinate 146,444,954 of NC_000004.12, read as the reverse complement.
GAAACTCTGGAAATCATGGTTCTTTCATAGACTGCAACCACAGAATTGAGCCAACTATTACCTTAATTATCGGTTGCTGTTGAGCCCAAGATCCTTGGTTTCAGTGTCTGATTTCACGTGGTCTTCAGGGTACCCAGAACCTTTAATCAATCATTTCACAAAAGATTGACGGAGCTCACTGCACAGGAGGACAGTATAGCTGACTGAGTGAGTTCAAATCCATCACCACTGTTGGCAAACAACTAAGAATGAGTTGGCCTGCAGCATCGTCTTTGGGTACCTAATATACCCGTCACTGTCATTTTATAAGAGGCAGGAATATAGGCCAATTCATATAAAATGTATTTCTTGCGTTTGGGTTAAAGAAGAGAACAAGAGGGAGTAGGAATATGGTGATTTGATCTTATGAGTAGTAGTTGTTATATACTCATATAGTTATTTATGAGTATTTATGAGTTGTTTATGAGTATGATATTATTTGTCATATATAGTTATTTTACTTTGACTTCTGAGTCTCTTTTCCTCGAATGATTCTATGTTTCCTCAAATGCTAGACAAGACCGCTAGTTATTGAGTAAAATGTTAGTGAAAGGGACTTGAAAGAAATGAATTCAGAAGAGACAGGCTCAAAGGGGAAGACCTCCTTCCTTTACTAAAAGGAAGTAATTCTGTTTTAAGCACAAAATAGGATCTAAATATAAAAATTGCTTGTGGGAAAGGTACATTTTTTGTAGGAAGGAGGACCAGTGTTCCCTGTTGGTGTCACCACAACTAATTTATTTATAACCTTTTACTTATTTTTCCCCATACATAAAACTTTTTCCTGGAATCATCCATAATGGAATTCCAGGAAGATGTGTTAAATATATTGCTATAGTTTACAATTGTCATCTGTAATGTTTTATTTAGCTGATTTTCTTTTTTTCACTGCTCCCCATACAACCCAGAACACCATATGCCATTGTCCCTGTCAGGAAGCAAAGGTTTCCCTGGTCTGTGCCTGTGCCTATGTTTATGCCACAGAGGAGCTGTGGTCCGGTGCCATCTTTTATTGATAGGGCCAGCAAAGGAGAAATCTAATGAAATTATCAAAGCTTTGAATTAATTATGAACTGGAATAGGAGAGCTAAGCTCTCTGGAGCCGAGGATCTCATTACCCATTCACTCTCATTGCATCCTCTTCTGGAGCAGAAGGCATTTTCAGCTACAGCTCTTAGCCTGGCTTTGGACTTTATTCAAACTTACTAAACTGACATCCTCTTTTTACTACAGTGTGGCTGCTAATGTCCACAATGATTAATTTAATTCTGCTCTGGGTATGCAGGAGATGTAAATAGGTTCTCTCTACCCCTTTTATTATTTTTTCTTTCTTGTTTTCTTTTTATCAAATTGGATGTTATACAAGTTTTTTCCTTTTTGGGTAATGTGAGAAGCTTGCAGGACTCTGGTATAGCTTCATTGAATATAGTGATTCAATTAAAATTAAGAGCTATATTACGTCTGCTATGTATTCCATGGATATTTAGGTAAGCAGAGAGTCAAATATTTTTTCTTTGAATTTTGAACACCAAATTGGAGCTTTTCTTGCTTTTCTTTACCTTAGAATTAATGGTACAGCAATAACTTTCCTGGTCTTAACAGCATTGTTCATATTTCTAATGTGTGTTGTATAGAAACAGATCTTACCTTGTGATTGTAGCTCATAAGACTTGTGCCACTGACAGCAATTAATGTTTGTCTTACAATTCTGTTTTTCCTTCTTCCAATAATATACATTTTTAAACAAATAAATCAATCTCTGATTGTTTTAAATTTAGTAGGAAAATCAATAGCAACATGGTCTCAATTTAGTATTGGCAATGATTCTTTTGGTACTGTCATATAGGTTCAAGGCATGACAAGCGTTTTCTGCCTGCTTTTGAGACCCATTATTTATGAATTCCTAAGCTGTAGCTCATCTGTCTTAGTAAACTACAGGCCACTGGCAATTTTTGTAAGCAGTGACTAACTTTGCTTTATAGAGTCAATGTTTTAAGGTTTTGAATAGTGGGGGAGGGGAGAATGATAATCTTTGGCTTTATTATTCTTATTTACTTTCAATGAGTTTTTTTCCCCTATTTATTTTCTTCATAGGCAGCTGCAATATTTAATTCAGCCTTTGGAAGTTTTTTGGTAAGTAAACATAGTTTAACTTGTCTATTACAACTTTTGCTGTGATATTGTGTATATGAAAGATTTAGTGAAAGCTGGATTTGTTTTACTCTTTGGTTAAGTATAAAAATTGTTGAATCTTTTCATGTGCCAGTATCCATACCCTGAAGAAAAGTAGTTAATGAATAAAGCAAATGTTCTCTTACAATATATTTTGGAGGTTTGGGTTTTAAAATTCCATTTAATGAATTCAAGGAATCAATTAAAACACTATGTGTCTCCTTATAGAGGTTATGTCAATATATTGATCATTTAATGAGGTCTTTTAGATTATTATTATTTTGTATCATGGGACTGAGGATTTTGAAAAGGAAACATGACCCAGCTGGTCAGAAAGGGAATGCTAATTTACTTGTTGACATGCCATTTATTTTGTACATTTCACTGTCAAAGAAGCTACTGGCTTGGATGCTTCTGAGAAATCTATGTGAAAAAAAATTTGAAAGGAAGATATGACTAATGAGTAATTTGCAAGTAAATGTTGTATCTATATATATATATATATAAAGATTCAAAAGTAGTTCAGCTTTCATAAGTAGAACCAATATAAGGACGTTGTTTTAGCATTTTTAATCATTATTTTTAAATAAATGATGTAACAGAGGCTTGATTTGTGTTATGAAAGATTGAGAAACTAAATTTTCTGTTGATTTAATTTTTTTGTGCCTTAAAACTTTGTTAAATTCCTGAAGTTAATTATCATATTGTATTTTTTGGGGCATAACTCATTAGCAGATATGTAGTGCAGTGATTTACAAATAATTGAGAGTAAAATCAGTGATGTATAAACTAGTTCATGAGTCTAGGTAAAATATCAATTACCTCTGTTTAAAATGCTCTGTTAATTATTATTGTATGTATTTAAATGTAGTTAAAGCTTTTAAACATGTTGTTACATAGTGTTAATTCTACATAGTGCTACACAGCTTTTAGTGTCACATAGCCTTACAGAGTTTATAATGATGTAGCATCTGCAAAATATATGCATAGCTTATATCCTATTTTTATAGAGCCAGTAATGGTTTTTGTGATGCTGTATTACTTCTGGGTTTTAGACAATAAAGTCTGTTTAACAAAAATAATCTCTCGGATTGCTTAGTTTAGACTCAGTAATATTTTAAGTCATTATTTCATGAGTCCAAGTATTATTCTATACGTTGTCACAATTGTTTAATAGAATAATATCTGTAAAACATGAACTTTCTGGAAGCCAATTTTTGTACATGATTTGGCACCATACACATCCACTATCAAAACATCTTCTTAAGTTGGGTCTCTTATTCTTTCGGATGTCTAGACTTTGAGAAAATAAAATTGACACAATTGTCTGAGTGACTAAAACAAAATATACGATTCCTTTGTTAGAGAACAAGCTTATTAAATATAGTTTGAGACATGCACTGACTATATGAATGTATCATATTTTTTCTACCAGTCCCACTTGTTTGGTAAGGTCTAGTGAAGTACAACTTGTTCTTGTGGTTCTTTGGGATTTGTATTGTGCTCTTTCACTCCTAAGAAGCTGTGTATTCTCACTTCTTAGTCTTCCTCTTTTTCTTTTCTTCACTTTTTTTTTCTTACCCTAATTCAGTTAATTGATCAAAAGTATTTATTGATTTCCTGCTACACAGAGGTAGTTTTCTAGTGTCAGTGAAGAATGCAGAGAAATACAAGGTGGGTCCCACTAGGTTGTGGAGATGACATGTAGAAAAAGAAATGCAATGTAAAAGTTAACAAGCCGTATGAAAGATGTTACTAGAGATATATGATTGTCAAATAAATGGCACAGACAATATGCACTCTAAATTCAAAGGTCTGACAGAAGTGATTGCTCTGAGCTGGGCCTTGAGGTATGGGTAGGACTTAACTGGTAAAGGAGAGAGGAGAGGAAATGGCATGAGCAATGGCAGACAGGCAGAAGCGTTGTTTTACTTTTTTTATTCCCCTTCCTTTCCTTGCTTTTTCTTACATAAAGTTGAAAATTACCAGAGAGAGTTTGAGAGTGAAAATTATGATTAGGTATGTTTTGCTCCAGTGTTATAAGAGAAATAATTCTATATCTTTTTTTCCTCTCTTCACCATAGTTACAACAACCTAGGATTATGAAACATGTGTAAACTGTATCAGTTAGAATTAGGTTTGGCTTAAGAGAAAAAAATTGATAGTGATTTATACAAGATTAAGATTTATTTCTCTATTATATAACATTTGGAGGGAGCTGTCCAAGTATGGTATAGTGGCTTCATGGTCTCATCATGGGCCAAGACTCCTATCTCTCTCCTCCACCATCTGCAGCATGCAGTTTTCTTCCTCAAGGCTGCCTCATGGTCCAAGATAGTTGCTGGAGCCCCAGCCAGAACGTCTGGATAGCAAGGTAAAGTAGTGGGAATAGAAAAAAGAGCTCCCTACTCCAGCCTGGGTGAAAGAGCGAGACTCTGTCTCAAAAAAAAAAAGAAAAGAAAAGAAAAAAGACCTCCCTAAAACCTGAGTCTTCTTTCTTTGAACAGCATTCCTGGAATTCTAACACAATACCAGCACTCCTTATTGCAGAACTCAGTCACATGATCACTCCTAGCCACTGAAGTTGGGAAATATGGCAATTTACTGCGAGCTAAAAATTAGATTTCTGTTACTAAGAAAGAAGAGGAAAATAGATATCGAGACATCTAGTACATTCTACATATGAGCAATATACAACAATTATTAAAGGTTTGAAGAAAGAGATTCATCTCAGTTAAATGACATGAGAAGGCTTCAGGGAGAAATTGGTGCTTGAGTTGGGATTAGGAAGAAGATTTATTTTAGAGGAGTGAAATTCCAAATTGTAAACTTTATATTTTTATTTTATTATTCTTAAAGGATGGTACTTGTTACAGCTATTTGTGAATTTTCTCTATAAATGGAAAATATCCACCTGTTCTTAAAATTTAGGATTATGGGTAGTAGTATGGTTTCTGGAGCTAGACTGGGTTTGAATTCTTACTTGACTGACTACTAGCCTAATTATATAAGCTTCCCTGTATATAAAATGAGGTAATGATAGCGCCTAAACTGTAGACTTGTGGGATAATCTATATAAAATGTGTATATGATGTGATAAGAAATAACTTTGAGCTAAACTTTAGATCTAGGTTTTTATTGAAGCTTTGTCATGAATGTTTGTGGGTGTGACTATGGATATCCATGAAATAAGGAAATTGGTTATCTCTGACTAAGCTTGGCAAGATCTAAAATACCCTGATCCAATGATTATTCTCTGATTATGAGTGACCATTCCTGTGGTATAAATATAATACAATCTGAAAAGGGTATTTATTTCAGATTACCTTAAAACTTTGAATGAAAGGCTTTTATTAAAAGAATTTTTGAAGAAAGAACTCTGAGAGCATTTTTGTTGATTTTCAGGCATCTGGGTATAAATAAAATACTGTACATATTTATAGCTACTTTAATAATGTCCCAGGTCTAATTTAAACAGTGTTTTTAGGAACTAATTATTATAGAACGCTGTTTTTGTTGTTGTTGATGTTATTGTTTTTAATGTATCTAGGCTGGTAATAACTAATGATAGGTGAATTCAATTTACATAAATTTGAGACCAAGAAAATATTTTAAAATCATGCCATGGAGGATTGCTTTAAGTTAAGCAGTTAATGTCATTATCTCCTCCTCTCATTTAAATTGTTCAGTTTATAATAATTGTGGAGCATAGTAAGTGATTTGAGATTTCTCTCTTAATGAGATTTTAATAAAATTTGATAGTCGAGCACCCTGAATAACTAAAATGCTATTAAAATTTATGTATATACGTGTATATATTTCGACTTCAAATTCAGGCAACTCACATGTTGCTCCTCATCAAAAGGTTTCAGTTTTTAAAAAATAGATACTGACATCTTTTGGGAAAATTCTAATTGAAATTTTTTTTCTTTAATTTCAAAAGATTCAATTGTGTTGAAAACAAATTCGCCAAACTAAATTTAGATCATTTGATTTGTTAGAACTTAGCATTTTTGATTTGGAGGCTGAATTCAGTGTTTCCATGTCTCTAAGAATTACAGGTTAAAGTTTAAAAGGAACATTTAGAACTTTGCTATTTTTAGACTCCTCAGCCTATTTTATTATTTTTGGTAACTCCTAGTCTTAAAGGGAAATGCTAATGAGTGACAAGCTGATCATGCCAAACTGGGTTTTTAATAATGATGTTATAAACATTAGAACACTTCATGGCAACATAGATGTACTAATAAGAATTTCAGAAACAGCATCAAAGAGTCAGAAAGTTAAATCATCCTTGTAAATTCAAAACATCTAGTCTAAAAAAGATCTGTACGAGTCACTGATTACTTTCTAAATCTCTTCATTTAAAGTGTCAAGAAATGAGTTTCTTTCACATAATTTTTCTCTTTTAAAATACTCATTGCTGGAACTAGCAGAAGCTATTCTAAGATTAACAATTTTCTTTTCATGCCAGATCAAAGATTAAAAGGAACTCCTTGCCTTGGGCTGAAAAACTAGCCAGTTTATATTTTTCTTCCCTTACCCAATTGTTCTGTCTTCTCTCTGCTTTGGCTGGTTCTCGGTTACTACCCTGCTTTGTAGAAAAATTTGAATAGTTAACTGATTGTTATTATAGCTGCTGAAAGAAAAGAAATCCCAAACACAAGTGCCATGTTTTAATAATAATAACTTGTGACATGTTTATCACCTTCTTGTAATTTTTCCTTTCCTGTACAATGATACGTGCCTGTTTTATTGTTTTTGGTGACTCCTGATCTTAAAAGGAAACCCTAGTGAATGACAAAGATGATCATGCCAAACTGAGTTTCCAACTATGCTATAAAACATTAGAGAAATTCCTGGTAACATAAATGTAAGAATTTCTGAAATATTTAGAATGGTTAAAGAGGAAACACCATTATCTTTGTTACTCATTGATTGCTGTGGGACAATGCTTTTTAAAAACTAGATCAAGAATCTCAAATGTTAAACAAAGAGGCTTAAAGGTGGTACTAGATAAGATTCAATTGTTAATTTGGTTTGCTTTCACCTAAGTCTAGGATGTATTTAGTTTATGGTTTATGGGGTCTCTTATTTTGTACAGTATTGAAGACTATGCTGAATTTGTGTGTGTGTGCATGTGCTTAATTTTCTTAAAATCTTAATCAACCCAAATTATTCACTTGGGATCTTAGTTTTACCTCAAAAGTTCATGGCTTGTTTATAAAAAAGTTTTTATTTTCATTAAACTTAAATGCCAGAACAAACAAATGACTTAATATTTAAGCAGTTTCAGTACCATCTTATAGATGCTGTTTCAAGTTCATCTTTTAGTGGGAAGAACTGGATAAAACCAAGATTTTAAATGGCCCATCCTGGGTATTAAAATTAATAACTGTGTTCAGATGAATGGAAGTTGGTTTCCACCTTTGCACAATGCAACCCATCATCGTGCTATGCATTTCATTTGATCATCACCTGTTTGAGCAAGTGAACATCATAAAAGCTGGATTGCTGAGAACAGACTACTTCTGTTTTAAAAATACCATTGGTTCAATTAGCAGGTAGCACAACATAGGAAAATAGGATAGAAAATCAACACACATATACTCAGAGTCCATTAGATTCAAGGCATTTTTTGAGATACTGAAGCAAATACACAAAGCATAAATGTGGGGAAGAAATAATAAAATATTTAAGAAAGAGAGAAGACAGGAAGGAGGACTGTCTTCAATGCAGTGCTTTCCAGCATTCAGACATCATTATAGCTTTTGCCATGTCAGCATACTGTTTGTTAAATAAGACTCACATTTTCAATTTAAATTTATTTCAAGCCAAAACTTTACATCAACACTATAAATAAAGAACTATCTTGTCGTGAATAGAAGGTAACTGAAATTAAGTCAATGGAAAAAAAAGCTACTATTAATTTGTAGCTAACCTCTGCTGCGTATTCAAGGCTCTGAATCTGATGCCTGCCCTTCTTTTAATAAAAGGTGAAATTAGCACCAGCACCAAACAAAGCACTTTCTCCTTCTGCAATCCAAAGGATTGAAAGAGAGTTGAAAAGACAGTAAGTTGCATTACTAATTCTCTGTGCACATGTCCTTTGAGTCATCTTGTTTTCATTTATACTTTGGGAAACACTGTTCTCTGAGGTCGCTTCTCAATCACGCCATCAAAGAAGTGAATTAAAATTATTTGGAGAAGTCAAATGAAGAAACCCCTAGAATCAGGGACTCTGGCAACCTGAACATGTTTGTGTTTCTTTCACTAGATCATTTTTTACATGACACCTCTCTAGAAAAACAGTGATGTGTGTGCCAAAGTGACAAACATATTTGCAGAGTTAAAAATATGGTATAATGCTCCAATCAAGAAGACCCACTGATAGCTCTATGTGGGTTTGTTTTTAAAACAAACTCTTATCTGAAGTACAATCATTGTAAATAAAAAATGGTCTTTGTTACTTAATAAAAATGTATAGGATCTGTACCTATTCCATTTTAGCAGCATAATGTTCTATGCTGTCTGGCAGGACTTGTGTAGCAAGTAAATGCATTAGTCACAGTGATCATTTTTCTTGCAAATTTGTGACACAGATTTAATTATAGGAATGACCAGCAACTTACAAATCTAATTTTGGTGGAGGCTGAAGCAACTTTTTTTTTTATTTTAATAATGATGGATTTTTTTTAAAGCAATGATTTCATTACCATTTAAAGAAATCTACTGGTGTAGAACTAGCCAATTGACTGGAGTTATTTTATTACCCTTTAACAAATGCCATGTACTTTCATTTTAATTTTTATTAATTTTTGAAACATCATCAGTCCCAAACTGGGAAAGTATTTGCTTCTATACTCATTTGAGTAAAAATAAATAAATATAAATTATTCTGGTTCAGAATGTTTGTAAAGGACCTCCTAAGAAAGATGATCCTAGCAGTTGTTTAAAATAAAAATTAAATTTCCTTAATTTGAATCCAGCCTACTACAGAACTGCTTAGTTTATGGTCTTTAGTAGGAGATGCTTATTAACTACTAATTGATGATAATGTGGCAAATAGTTCTTATTTCTTTGTTTCTTTTTCCTTCAAACTAAAAATTTTGTATGGTTAATCTATTTGTTGAGCTAATATTTTGGGGTTCTGGCATAATAGTGTGGTGAGCCAAACGATTAAGATTCCTGCCTTCATCTACATTACAGATTCTTAAAGTGAGAATATCAAGTCCTAATTGTGTGTGTATATGGTGGGGAGAGACTGTTGGAGTAAATAATGTTAAATATTTTCTTAGAACTTTTTTAAAGTTTTGTTCCATTATTAATATACCTCATTGACTGAGACCCCACTACCATTCCAAAATAAATCTGGCCATGTGGAGAGAAGCAGGAGGAAAATAGAGGATGCATAAACTGTATAAACTTGGTTCTATCAGCCAAAGAGAATCTTCCCTTTAATTGTTGGTCCCTGTGATGAAAGCAGTGTTAGACCTCCAAACTTCATCATGGACTTAGGATTTCAAGTAAACAATTTAGCATTTCTAAAAAACAATAGTCTGTATTTTTGGAAATGGCAGATTTAGTTTGAAATAAAAAAATCATTTTTTAAGCCTAGATTTACTGGATGTTGCTGTTTGATTTTAACTTTTAAAATGAAACATTTGTGGACTTCCTACTGTATGCTCAGTTCTGGGCCAGCTTCTAGAGCTGAAAAAATAATTAAAAAAAAAATGATTCTTGCCCTCAATTTGCTTAAAATTCCTGGATTTAAATGCTGTTTTTCCTAGTGTGATTCCACAGACATCCTAATTCTGAATCGCCTCCAGGTAACTGCAACATACAGTTTGAGAAACACTTATTTTACTATAAAACTTCAAGTAGGTGGGCGTGGTGGCTCATCCCTATAATCTCAGGACTTTGGGAGGCCGAGGCTAGTGGATCACGAGGTCAGGAGTTCGAGACCAGCCTGACCAACATGGTGAAACCCTGTCTCTACTAAAAATACAAAAATTAGCCAGGCATGGTGGCACATGCCTGTAATCCCAGCTACTCAGGAGACTGAGGCAGGAGAATCCCTTGGACCCAGGAGGTGGAGGTTGCAGTGAGCAGAGATCGTGCCACTGCACTCCAGCCTGGGCGACAGAGCGAGACTCCATCTCAGAACAAAAACAAAAAATAAAAACAACTTCACGTAATGCAGTAGGTTATCATCTCAATTATTGCTTTTTAAAACTGCTACTTTTTGTTACAACTCCAAAGAAAACTGGATTTTTATCATAAGGTTTGTATCTACCAATTTAGATGTTTTGAAAGTGCAATTTATCAGATACCAGATTCAATTTTTAAATATACCAAAAGCTGACTTAGAAAGATACTTTACCACGTATAATTTACTTTGTGGGGACAATGTGTTAAAAAATAACTTTCAAAAAGCTGCTGTAATTTTAATATGTTTATTATAGAACTTATGAAAAATATAGATAGAATCACCTAGCTATAACGAATCAGCATTTTGGTCTATGTCCTGTGTGTTACGTAGATGTAGTTAAAAAACTGATATTACGTTGTATAGACAATCTTATTTTCTGCTTTTTCCCTTTATGTATGTGAGTATTTTCTCATATTCTTATTTCTACTCTGATAACTTGATTTTGTTTTATATAATGTAGAATATAATCTATAATTTTTTTGGATACAGTATTTATTCTTTCGCTATTATTTTTAAAAAACTGCCACAACATTTTTGTACATAAATATTTGCAGTTCCCCCTTTTCATTATCTTTTAAGGATAATGTAAATGGGTAAAATGCTGCATACTTTAAAATATTCTTGATATTGCTAAACTATCCCCTGGAAATGTTGAACCAATTTATCATCTTTATTTTTTTGAGACAGGGTTTGGCTCTGTCACCCAGGATGAAGTTCAGTGGCATGATCATAGCTCACTGCAGCCTGAACTCCTGGGCACAAGAGATCCTCCCACCTCAACTGGGACTAGAGGCATGCACCACCTTGCCTGGCTAATTTTTTTATTTTTATAGAGATGGGATCTCGCTATGTTGCCCAGGCTGGTGTTGAACTCCTGAGCTCAAGCGATCCTCCCACCTCAGCCTTGAAAAGTGCTGGGATTGTAGGCATGAACCTCCACAACCAGCCCTCAATTTATCATCTTACAAGAGTATATAGAAATATTTATTTCCCTCTGTCCTCATCAATTCTGGGTATTGTTTTTTTCTAAAAAAGCTTTAGCAAACTGATATTTTATCTTAATTATAATTTTTTGGCTGAGAAGTTGATCTTGTATCTGTTTATTGATCATTTCAAATTATTCTATTATAAATTATCTGTTCATATCTTTTGCTTATGTTTCTTATTGAGATGGTTACTTTGGTTTCAAAGAGCCAGAGAATATGTACCGGGCATGGTAGCATGTGCCTGTAATCCCAGCTACTCGGGAGGCTGAGGCAGGAGAATCACTTGAACCCAGGAGGCAGAGGTTGCAGTGAGCTGAGATCACGCCACTGCACTCCAGCCTGGGCGACAGAGCGAGACTCCGTCTCAAAAAAAAAAAAAAAAGCTAGAGAATATGAATGTTATATATCTTGCAAAAATTTTTCTCTGTCTTTAGCCTTCTAATTTTTGTTTTGTGTGTATATGGGTGAGGGGGGTTGATTTTTTATTGACAAATTCAGATTTTTTTTTGAGACAGAGTCTTGCTCTGTCACCCACGCTGGAGTGCAGTGGCGTGATCTCGGCTCACTGCAAGCTCCGCCTCCCGAGTTCACGCTATTCTCCTGCCTCAGCCTCCCGAGTAGCTGGGACTACAGGCGCGTACCACCACGCCCGGCTAATTTTTTGTATTTTACTAGAAATGCGGTTTCACCATGTTGGCCAGGATGGTCTTGATCTCCTGACCTCGTGATCTGCCCACCTTGGCCTCCCAAAGTTCTGGGATTACAGGCATGAGCCACCGCGGCCGGTTTATTGAGGTATAATTTCTATACAGAAAAATCTATGCATTTCAGAGGTATAGTCCTGTCAGTTTTGACAAATGTATGCAGTCACATAGCAACCATCTCAATCAAGATAATATTCCCATCACCTGGAAAGTTTCTTCTTGCCCTTTGGAGTCAATTTCCTCCCTTATCCTCAGTCTCTGGCAGCCACTGATTTTTTTTCCTTTCTCTATACTTTTGCCTTTTTCTAGAAAGTCATCTAAATGGAATCACACGGTATATGCTTTTTGAGTACGGTGTCTATCACTTAGAATACACTTTTGTGATTCATCTATGTTGTATATATCAGTAGTTAATTTCTTTTTATTGCTAAGTAGTAATAAATTTTTAATAAATTTACCAGTTGATGAACTGGTTGTTTCCTGGATGATAATTATAAATAAAGTTGCTATAAATATTTCTGTACAGGTTCTTGTATAGATATATGTTTTTATTTCTCTTGGGAAAATATTTATGCTGAGTCATATAGTGAGTATATTTTAACATTATAAGAAACCACCAAACTCTTTCCCAAAGTGATTGTACCATTTTACATTCCTAGCAGGATTGTATAAGTAGTCCAGTTACTCCACAACCTTGCCATCCCTTGACATTCGCAATATTTTTTATTTTAGCCATTCTAATAGGTGTGTAGCGGTATGTCATCAAAACTTTAATTTGTATTTCTCTAGCGTCTAATGATGTTGGACATTTTTTATGTGCTTATTTGCCATCCGTATATCTTTGGTGGCCTGTGTGTTCAAATCTCTTGCCCATCTTATTTATTAGGTTGTTTTCTTATAATTAGGTGCAAGTTTTTAAGTATGTTTTGGACACCAGTCATTTATCAGACATATATTATGTAAGTGATTTTTGTTCCAGTCTGTAGCTTATCTTTTCATTTTCTTAACAGTAATTTTCAAATAACAGAAGTTCAAAATTTTTGATAAATCTAGTTTGTCTTTTTTTTTCTTTTATGACTCAGGCTTTTTGTATCCTATATAAGAAATCCTTGTTTGTCACAAATATTTTTCTCCTATGTTTTCTTCTATAAGTTTTAGTTTTTGTTTTTACATTTAGTCTTGTGACCCATTTTGAATTAATGTTTGTGTATAGTTTAGTGTATTGGTTGGTGTTCATTACTTTTCGTGTGGTTCTAGAGTTGTAAGGTTTATGTGTCTGTCACATTTGTCCATTTTTTCCTTTATGGATTTTTTCATTGCCTTTATACGTATGAAGCTTTTTCCTATCACAATGTCAGGTAAAAATTCATGTGTATTTTCTTTTAGTTTTATAATCAAGATGAATATTTAATATTGTGTATGTTGAAAAGCAAAGCCCATCATATGGGGGTTTATAAAAAGAAATAATAGATTGAAAATGCTTCACCTGATTATCGTATCACTTGTTAAAGAAGTCAATTTCTGTTTGTTGCTTTCGCCACTGTGTTTTTTTGCCCTGTAAATCCAGCCTCATAGTGTTATTCTCACATCTACATATTGATATATATGCCTGTCCCTGAAAATAATTGGATCAGTATTCATGACTGTTAAAAATTGCTTTTCTATCTTAGGATATCACACATGACATTAACGCAATTACTTAAGATAAAATTGTTTATTCAAAATGTGAAATGGGGATGGACATAAAAGAATAAGGGAAAATTATAGAAACTTCATTTTTATATTAATTTTATTTACAAATGTTCACACAAATTAATAGTAAAATATTCTTATTTGGAGGATTATGAACCAAGGTGAATAACTTTCTTAGAGTAATTTAAGATAATGGAGGACTTTATAAAAATAAAATTCATAATCTTAAGAGCCTTGATAAACTTGATTTTAACTTTTGGTAATTGAACGAGCTGCACTGATCAGGGGAAAAAAATTCTACTAATATAAACTTGGTATTTTGGAAATTAGAAAGTCAAAGCACCACAAATCTTCTAGACTATGAGTAACTAGAGTAACTAGTGTTATCTAGAGTAACATTGATTCATATTCTATGTGTCCGGGGATGGTTATACTCTGAGCTTATAGCTTTCTTTTTTGCTAGAACCCTACACTTGTTTACTTTTCCTGAGTAGCTTTTTTTGGTGATATTTTTAATAAGTGGAATAATTAAAATGTTCACCGTGTTTATAGTTTTACCTTATAACAGTAGTTGGTGTACAGTTCAAGATTTGTATTTTGGTTTTTTTATTATTCAGCCAGTTCTTTTGTAAGCAGTTATTTTCTGCAGTGTTCCTAGGTTTTCACTTGAAAGTTTAAGTTAATATTTTTATCCATTGATTTTGGAGGGATATGTTTATTAACATTATTGTGCTTTTGGTAATTTCCAAGAGCCAGGGCAATGAATCCTATCTTCTTCATTGTCATCCACACAATGTTGTAAGATAAACTATTATCACATATAACTTTTATGTGTCACTCCTATGCCCTAATGTCTATAGTGGCTCTTAATTACCCACTATCTAATTGGCCATTCAGGGATCCTCCGAGTGTGGCCCTATTGTCTCTCTCTCTCCCCGCCCATCCAGTGTCTTTCATTCCCATGTTAACTGTTGATCCACCCTTCACCCTCTCCTGTTTGTTAAATCCAGTTTAACTATTTTTTTTTCTTTTATGGCTCAGGCATTTTGTATCCTATCTAAGAAATCCTTGTTTGTCACAAAGATTTTTCCCCTATGTTTTCTCCTATAAGTTTTAATTTTTGTTTTTACATTTAGTCCTGTGATCCGTTTTGAATGATTTTTTTTGTATAGTTCAGTGTATTAGTTGGGGTTTGTTACTTTGCATATGGTTATAGAATTTTAAAATTTTTATGTATGTCACGTTTGTCCATTTTTTCCTTTATGGATTTTTTTTCATTGCCTTTATACTTATAAAGCATCCTCTAACACTTGGACCTTTTTCTGCTCCCACCTCTTTGCTTGCACTGTTCCCATCCATTCTATTATCCTAGCTGTCCTTCAAAACCTATCTCAAAAGCAATTTCTCCAGCTTTCCTTTTATGGTTATTTAGCTTTTGGAGTGAGTTTCCATCTAGATTGTAATGGGTTACTATAGATTGTAACTGGTTAGTGTAGTTAATTTGAAATTCTGATCTTCTCTCCCATCTCTGGCACTTCCTATTTTTGTTAGCCTGCTATTTTTCTTTCTATAAAATAATGTCTTCCAACATAGTATATAATTTGTCATTTATTACATTAATTGACTGTCTTTCCCTATTCAAATGAAAGCTCCATGAAGGCAGGTGTTTGTTTTCCTTTGGTTGTTTCACTACTCTATCTATCTTCAATATTTATAGTACTTGGCACAAAGTAAGCTTTCAAAAAATATTAGATGAATAGACAGAAATCACCCAATGAATGCTATTTTAATCTCTCTTCATTTATCTGATTGTAAAATATCTTGTATATCATATGCACTTAAAATGTACGCTAATTATCATAATTGTATGTTGAATTCTTTTGACAAAAATCCCATCTTTTTGTCATCTGTTTTGACCATAATTGGTCATCTGTCTACCAAATTTTTCTTTACCACATTAAAATGATTTTAAATTCCAAGGTTTTAAATCTCAATAAAACTTGCTGTAGCCATAAGAAATTTATATTGCCTTATATTCACAGTGTTGATTTGGAATGGAAGTGGAAATTCATCCCCACATCTAAGTTTGATATTTAGTAATTTATAAGATTTTTTTTCTACTAAAGAAGAAAATCCTGTGAAGTAGATTAGGGCAGATTATCCCTGTATAATAGTTTACCAAACCCATATGCTATTTTCATTGAAATAATGATTTTAAATATCAGGAAGTTTTACATGGAAAATGGCTACAAGTGTGATTACTACAAATATTTAAATAGCTAGAGATGTGTAAATAAAAGGATGTAATAAGTGATTTCTATTATATAGCATTGTAGAGAATGATTTCACTGTTGGTATTAAAGGAAAGTATTTTTTTAAATTAAAGTTTATTTTTTATCTACTTGTGAAATACATACTTTAATCAAATTGACAAGTGAAAGTTAAATTTCTAGACAGTGCATAAAAAGAAACTGTACAGTATCCTAAAGAAGAAGTAAAAATATAAGTATGAAAAAGAACCAATTCAATGATGTATAAAGACTAGATCAAATCCATGTCTGAGAGGCATTAGAAGTCCTTAGAAAATAAAAAAAAAAAAAGAGCCAAGGTGAGAATGACAAACCAGATAACTTGAACTTGCAATATCATATGACAGCAGATGCAAGCTAATGTGGTTTGCTGTTTAGAAGCATCATGTTACAGCCCTCTGCACTTGAGTTTGATGAGTTCATAATTCAGAATATTGCTTTGACTTTTTGGTCTTATCATCTTGTCAGCGGTTAAAATTTGTTAAATGAGATATAGAAAATAATAAAGATGTGACTTGGGCTGGAGAAGCTTTGGAGAGTGCTATCTATCTCCATGTAATGGAGAAGAGACAGACTTTTAAGAAAGTAAAGGAAGGATAGTTACTCAAATGATTTTTTAATGGGAAAGTTAGTGGTTTTTGTTTGTTTGTTTGTTTGTTTTTGAGTTAGGGTCTTGTTTCATTGCCAAAGTTGGAGTGCAGTGTGGTAAGATCACAGCTCACTGCAGCCTCAACCTCCCAGGCTCAAGCTATCCTCTCACCTCAGCCTCTCAAGTAGCTGGGACTACAGGCATGCGCCACCATGCCCAGCTAATTTTTTTTTTTAATTTTTTGTAGAGACTGAGTCTCACTTTGTTGCCAAGGCTGGTTCTTGATCACCTGGGCTCAAGCAATTATCCTGCCTCAACCTCCTAAAGTGCTAGGATTACAGGTATGAGCCACTGCGTTTGGCTCCATTTTTAAAATAATAACCTAAAAAATACATTAACATCTGTATTTTTGAGAACAGGCTAACAAGCCATTCAGAATACCTGATCAGTAGCTACCGAGGTATGCAAATGAAGAGCAGGACAGATTTGTCAATCTTTTCAATAATTAAAATCAGTAATAGGAAAGATTATTTCTAGTGTACCAAAGAAAGTAGGTTAAATGTTTCTTTTCCCTCTTTTCTTCATTTATTTCTACCTTTTTAAACTAAAGAGGAAACAATGAGTAGAGATCATGGAAACAGTATATAAACATAGAGGCTTCTACCTTTTGCCCTTTAATTCACAGATATTTTTCCTCAAAGATGGTTGAATCCTGATTCCATATCACCATATGTCTCTGTAGAATTTTGGGTCTATATCTTGTGTAGTTTCCAGCCAAACAACTGTTGAAGTCAAAAGGTTAAATTTCCAGCTTAAAAAAAATTGAATAAAAACTCCTACCAGTGCAAACCAGTGTTAAAAAAAAAGTTTTAAGCTTGTAACACTAGAAAACATCCAGATTAAGAAGAATACTTTTCTTTCTTTTGTGTGTGTGTGTCACCCAGGGTGGTGTGCAGTGGCAGCATCACAACCCACTGTAACTTCTGCCTCTCTGGCTCAAGTGATCCTCCCATCTCAGCCTCCTGAGTAGCTGGAACCACAGGCGTGCAACACCATGCCCAGCTAATTTTTTGTTTTAATTTTTTATAGAGACAGGGTTTTGCTGTGTTACCCAAGCTGGTCTACAATCCTTAGTTCTGAAACAAATCTTCCATCATGTCTGGCCACTTTTAGATTCCATCAACTTAGTGCCATAATCAGTAAGAATTTTCTAAAGACAGAAATAGCATACACTAATAAAAATCTCAGATAACATTGTGCATCTTTGTCTTACTTTTCCTAATTGTCCCTGACTGTTCATTTCTCTACGAGACTGCTAAATAGTGAGTCACCAAAACATATGTTTTGTTATAGGTTTATTTTGTTTGTTTGTTTTTTGAGACGGAGTCTCACTCTGTCACCCAGGCTGGAGTGCAGTGGAGCTATCTTGGCTCACTGCAACCTCCGCCTCCCAGGTTGAAGCGATTCTCCTGCCTCAGCCTCCCGAGTAGCTGGGGTTACAGGCGCATACCACCATGCCCAGCTAATTTTTGTATTTTTTAATAGAGACGGGGTTTCACCGTATTAGCCAGTATGGTCTCCATCTCCTGACCTCGTGATCTGCCCACCTCAGCCTCCCAAAGTGCTGGGATTGCAGGTGTGAGCCACTGCACAAATGGCCTGTTATATGTTTTTAAAAATACAAACTAGAAGGAAAAGTTTTTCTTCTTTTTATTTACTTATTTAATTTATTTTTTGTAGAGATGGGGTTTTGCTATATTGTCTAGACGGGTCTTGAATTCCTAAGCTCAAGTGATCCTTTCACCTTGGCCTCCCAAAGTGTTGGGATTACAGATGTGAGCCACAGCACCTGGCCTAAGTTTTTCTTCATAAAGAAGGAGAGGTTGGGTGCCACATAGTCCTTAAAGAAGTTTTTCTTTCTCTACTGGAAATCACTCAATACCTCACAGATCTGAGAGCTCTTTCTTTGGCTTTGATGGTAGCATGATGTCGCTCGCTGAACCGTTTCTAGTAATATTACTTTTTTCATTGTCTATTGGAATCATCCCACATTTTTAAGATCCTGAGCACCTGATTGTCAGGAAAAAGTGGCATATACTTTGAAAGTTTGTGATGGTTCTGTTTAGAAACTAATTTTGTGGCTCTACCTTGCAGGAATAGACTCACATTAATCATACATAATGATACTTAAGACAGATTGCCAATTTACTAATTGTGAATGGAAAAAATAATTTGAGAGACCTTTAGACACTTGGCTTGATGCATTCTCTCTTCATGGTTAAATTCACAAGAGAAAGTATTTTACTAAGGAGTTTATTTGGTGAGAATGGGATTAGAGGAAGCAGAGGTAGGGAGGTAATTCTCAAGTGTGATTCTATCAGGCTATTGGAAATGGATGTGTCTGGCTCCCCTGCAAGGGTACACTGCCCTTGGAAACAGACATGTCCATCATTTGGACCAGCGATCTTCTTTCCCAGGTAGTGCTTAGATAGGTATTCTCAATCATTGCTTTTAGGTTTGTTTTCTCTATTTCCATTGCTGGCTGGTTTCCCCTTTTTTATTGACCCACCATACCTTAAAGTCCTGCTGACATTGACTCATGTTTTAAGGTGATCTTGCATGTTTTTACCGTAAAGGTATTTCTTTTATTTTCAAGTTCAGGAAGAGGGAGGTACATTAGTATTTCCATTTTGTATCGTCTATAGTTGCGCTGACCAATATGGTGTCCACAAGCCACATGTGGCTATTTAAAATTCAATTAATGAAAATTAAATGAAGTTAAACTTTTCTATTCCTCAGTCACACTAGCCACATTTTAGGTATCCAACAGACACATGTGACTGGTGGCTCCTGCATTGGACAGTGCAGAGTGTTGAACATTTTCATCATTGCTCTACTGGAGAGCGCTGGTGAAAGATATTTAATAAACAAACTATTTTGCAATTATATATTTAATCCGTTTAATTATAAACTATATTGCATTTTATACATTTTAATATAATTTGATGTCTATTCTTATATGTCTTTATTTTTGTATGTTTCTTTCAGGTAACAGTCCAACTTCCCATTCCAGTCTTCTCTAGTGAATTCAAAGGCAATCACATACACATGTTCAGCTTGTCAGGGATCTGTTGTTAAGATACTAGTTAGTTAAGTATCCAGCACTTAAACATTTTTCTTATTGAAAAGTGCTCATGATTTTTATTTGCATTTTTCCTTTAGTTTACTGAGAGGACTGTTTACTTTAGGATATTAGAAAAAACCCTGGTGCACAGCCAGAACTTTTTTTAATGATTAAATTAAAATTTACATAATTATGACATTTCATCATGGTAGATTGCTTTTCTTTTTCAACACTATACTGTTCTGACAAATTAATAATACTCTTTCAGAAATGGTGACAGTGCCAGGAAAATAAATACAACTTCATATGTATAAGAAATGTTTTTTGGAAAATAGTATAATGTTGTAGCTAGAAATGCCTGAGCCTGAAAGTCAGTTCATTTTCAGAGTCTCAAATATGGTTTTATATTTAACTCATGGTTTCTTCTGTTTTTTTGTTTTTGTTTTTGTTTTTTTTTTGTTTTTTTCTGAGATGGAGTCTCGCTCTGTCACCCAGGCTACAGTGCAGTAGCCCGATCTTGGCTCAATGTAACCTCTGTCTCCTGGGTTCAAGCCATTCTCCTACCTCAGCCTCCTGAGTAGCTGGGATTACAGGTGGCCTCCACCACGCCCAGCTAATTTTTGCATTTTTATAGAGATGGGGTCTCACTACATTGGCCAGGCTGGTCTCTAACTCCTGACCTCAGGTGGTCCGCCTGCCTTGGCTTCCTAAAGTGCTGGGATTACAGGCGTGAGCCACCGTGCCCAGCCCTTATTCTGTATTTAACAATGATTCTCAGACAAGAATGGTGGCTCACATTTGTAATCCCAGCATTTTGGGAGGTTGAGGCAAGTGGATCATTGGAGCCCAGGAGTTTGAGACCAGCTTGGGCAACACAGCAAGACCCTGTCTCTACAAAAAATTAAAAAATTAGACAGATGTGGTGTTGCCCGCTTGTAGTCCCAACTACTCTGGAGGCTGAGGTGGGAGAACCATTTGAGCCTGTGAGTTCTAGGCTGCAGTGAGCCGTGATTCTGCCACTACACTCCAGCCTGGACAACAGAGGGAGATCTTGTCTCTATTTAAAACAAAAACAAACAAAACCCAACTGTTCTCATGGGACTATAACATTTTTAAAAAATCTGCTTTAACCTTCTTCACAGTTCAAAGATTGTTTTTTGTAAGATAGGTCTTTCTTACATGGTTGGTTGACTGACTAGGCCAGTGATTTTCTAACATTTAGATTCCCCTGATAAGTAAAACTTCAAAATAAATTTTGGCAGATGCCTAATGTTTTCCATTCTTTATTTTCTAAATGGAATTACCATTTGTTATTGTCATCATTTCATGGAAGGAATGGGCATTTAAACATAAAACTCACAAGGCTATATTTCAGAATAGCTGGAATAAATGTATGATATTCATATTACGTTCTTCTTATTTTTCTCATTTATTCCTTTAGGGCTATTGAGTAGCACTAAACCTAAGCTCTTCACTGTTGAAATTACCAACCATTGTTAGTTGGGTTTCTTTTTCTTCGTTGATCTTTTTTACCACCTCGCTTTGGTGTTTTAAATTACAATTTTGATGTAGATTTTATGCTTTTAGTCAGGCAAAGACTGTCTCTAGGCAAGGAAATCCTATCATATAATTAGGAAACATTTGACAAATCCAAAGTTTGACAGGTGATGGTGATTTATCCAAAAGTTATTCAACACTTTTAACCATACCAACTATTATTGTAATTTTCATTTGTCTAATTCATACTCTAAATTTGCCCAAGTTATACTCTGCAGGGACTAAGAAGAAATAGAACTGAAGGAAGAAGGAATCAAAGCAATACAGAGAAAATGACTTGTTAAATAGACCTAGGAGTTAGTTGCAAAGGAAATTTATTTTCAGGTTTGGTTAATTTAGCTCACTTGATAAGAACTTAGAATTTTAGCAAAAAAAAATTTATACAGTTTGGAAAAATGCATTTTTAGGGTGACATTTAGAAATATGTATATAATTTTTGCTTGTGAAATTTTCTATGTGCTTAATGGACTTGTGAAAGAACTTTTTATACATATTTATTCATCTATATTTTTATACACAATTGTTCTTATCATTAGAAAAGGTCACTTGTTATTGAATACTTTGAAGGTAATGCTTTCAATGTAGCTGCTGGGAGGAATAAAAATATGTCAACAGGTCCAAATCCTACTCTCAGAGAATTTACACTATATTAATTAGTATATATGAAAGGACATGTAAAGATTGGCTAAAATATGGGCGGTTGGGAAGACCTCCCAAAATAGATGGCATGAGAAGCAGCTTTGCAGAACAGGTAGAATTTAGGAAAATAATGACATTCATTTCAGACTAAGAGGACCTTACTATTATTGATTCTCTAGGAAACAATCTAAGTAGGATTATCTTATTATGAGTTATAATATTAGCACATTGTAGACAAAATACAGTATAATCCAAAATAATAATCCGAAAGAGACAAGTAATACATATAAGAAAATCAGGTCTAATGTTTGTCATAGCTGGATTTCTGCAAGAAAGTTATGTTTGACATGAGAAGTCTGCAAGTCCACTTATTAAACTTTTTAGTTACAGTTTTATACACGGTTAAACTATAGTAATGTTCTTTTTAGGTAAATGTTATACTCTCTCTTTCTAAATATTAATCTTTACTTCTGTTGAAAAAGAGTTTTTCTTCTAAATAAGTAAAGACTTAATTTGCTCCTATCAATATTATTGACATCATAGCAGAGCCCTAATAAATTTGGCCTATGGTATGGCCTCTAAATTATGTTCTATGAAATGCAAGAATTAAAGGAAAAGACTGATGTTTCATAGATCCCCTAAAATATTATACATTATTGGAGACAGTTATACCATATGGGAAAAATTTCTTTTTTTGTACCTTTATTCTCCCTATTTACATACCTGTACCTTTCCTAGAGCGTTTTATTTCTCCATTTTCAAAGATAAATTAGATCTTGATCTATTATTATTTTGACTTTGTATGCTTGGCTCTTTTCAATACTGAAAGCTATTTATTAACTTCATGTTGTACATATATCATTGAAGTCAGCTGAGTTACATTCAGTTTGGTGATGAAGAATATAAGATACAATTTCTGTTTAAGAGAGTGTAATCGAAGAAAGGAGATGTGCCTAAGTAAAACACTCAGAGAAAGAAACACAAGACAAAATATAATTAAGTGCTCAAATGTGTGATATCATCAATTAAAAAAGAGAGGACACAGTAGGTTAAAGTGATCAGGAAAGGATGCTGGTGAATGTTAAGTGTGAAGATCTTGAAAATTGAGAACAGCCCAAGTGGAGAAGGTCAACCTGAGAGAGGATGTGGCCCAGTAAGGGCAGGGACCATGCCTGTTATGCTCACTGTTATATCTCTCTGTGTATAAATGTAATGGCAAATACGGTACCTGGTACATAGTAGATGATCAACACATAAAAAATAAATGAATGAATGGTCAGTTGCAGGCAAGAAAGTGAAAAGAGGGGCATTTACTGGAGTAAGCCCATTCTTGGTGGCTGGTGGAAATTAGGTGAGACAGTATTATAGAGAGCCTGAGTGAGAGGCTCAACTTGGACATGATACCATGTGAGGCATTGCTGAAGAGTTTTCAAGGAGTATATCATGGACAAAGTGCTATACTGGGAGAAATGGCCTGGTAGCAATGTGTTTATTGGTAAGTTGGTGAGTGAAAGATGCTGTGTAGAATGTTCTGAGCCCAGATGAACAAC